>NC_000007.14:35865242-36490242 GCF_000001405.40 Homo sapiens | reverse complement strand
ACACATAAAGCACCTAACACAAGTCCACATTATCTTATTCACATTCTCCAAATCCAAAAAGCTCTGACAACCAAAGATTTGTTTCATAGCTCACTTTGGAGGCACACCCTGACCTGCCATGACATGAGGACATTTAGGCTTTATTTATCCCACTTAATATGAACATTTATGTTTCCCTGCAGAAAAATTAATGGGTTGATTATAGGGAGTTGTCCTAGACCCTTCCAGAGCATTATGTAATATATAGCATATGCATAATATTAGCTCTACATATTCAAAACGTTCTGAATTCCAAAGTACATCTGGCCCAAAGAATTTCAGATAAGGAACTGTGAACCAGAGGACATCCTCATTTGATTATTAATTTATAAATCCCCTATGCCCAGTTCATTGAGTACCAAGACCTCCTATGTATGCTTTCAATTTATGATAAAAGAGCTTATGTGAGCGTTTATGGCTGTTTTGAGTAAATTCTATGATATCAGTGAGTTCAGGGTCATCTTCCAAAAGAGAAGCAGAGTTTCTGGGCAAAGCATTCCGCTACTTCTAGACAGCACTTGAGTCTCAAGGCACAAAGCTTAAGGAGGAAAAGTTATAACCTCTCTTGTTCAGGAAACACCATTGAACAAATGAATGGAGTCAAGTTAAAGGAAACAAGGAATGGCCATACCGTAGAAGCCTGCTGAACTCCATCAGGAGCCTGGAAAAGACACTGAGGAGCACTGAGTGATTTGCCTTCTCCCTCCCAGGGTAGGTGCAAACTGCCGACTCCAGGAAGCACTCTAGGAGCTATTCAGTTGGTGCAAAAGTAATTGTGATTTAACAATTAGTGCAGTTAGGAGTGCAGCTTCAGAGCAAGTTTTCATACTACATGGCTGGTCTGCAATGCAGCAGATGGCAAGCACATGGAAATTTGGAAAGATCTAACTTGTAGGAACTGGTTTTGGGCAAAGACTTCATGACTAAAACACCAAAAGCAATGGCAACAAAAGCCAAAATTGACAAATGGGATCTAATTAAACTAAAGAGTTTCTGCACAGCAAAAGAAACTATCATCAGAGTGAATAGGGAGAAAATGTTTGCAATCTATCCATGTGACAAAGGGCTAATATCCAGAATCTACAAGGAACTTAAACAAACTTAAACAAATTTACAAGAAAAAAACAAACAACCCCATCCAAAAGTGGGCAAAGGATATGAACAGACACTTCTCAAAAGAAGACATTTATGCGGCCAAAAAACATATGAAAGAAAAGCTCATCATCATTGGTCATTAGAGAAATGCAAATCAAAACCACAATGAGATACCATCTCATGCCAGTTAGAATGGTGATCATTAAAAAGTCGGGAAACAACAGGTGCTGGAGAGGATGTGGGGCAATAGGAGCGCTTTTACACTGTTGGTGGGAGTGTAAATTAGTTCAGCCATTGTAGAAGACAGTGTGGCGATTCCTCAAGGATCTAGAACCAGAAATACCATTTGACCCAGCAATCTCTGGTATATACCCAAAGGATTATAAATCATTCTACTATAAAGACACATGAACACGTATGTTTATTGCAGCACTATTCACAATAGCAAAGACTTGGAACCAATCCAAATGCCCATCAATGACAGACTGAATAAAGAAAATGTGGCACATATACACCATGGAATACTATGCAGCCATAAAAAAGGATGGGTTCATGTCCTTTGCAGAGACCTGGATAAAGCTGGAAACCATCAATCTCAGCAAACTAACACAGGAACAGAAAACCAAACACTGCACGTTCTCACTCATAAGTGAGAGTTGAACAATGAGAACATGCGGACACAGGGAGGGGAACATCACAAACTGGGGCCTGTCAGGGGGTGGGGGGCTAGTGGAAGGATAGCATTAGGAGAAATACCTAATGTAGATGAGGGGTTGATGGGTGCAGCACACCACCATGGCACGTGTATACCTATGTAACAAACCTGCTCATTCTGCACATGTATCCCAGAACTTAAAGTATAATTTAAAAAAAAAAAAGGAAGAAGAAGAAGCACTGGTTTTGGGGAATTGCATAAATTAAATATACAGTAAGATACAACTATAAAAAATAAATAGCTCTCCATTCATTTCAGGCTGCTTAATTCTTTAGCATACGTTTATCTGAAGGGTGTCATACACTTGTACTCATTTTTAACTACATCTAAAGCTGAATTAATAATAAAATCCTTAACTTTATCAAGAGCATAAGTAATCAATCTTTCAATGCTTTTCAAATGCCACATCGGAGGATATCAAAGCATTGTGGCAAAACTACTAGTGAAGTATTGGCACCATCTGATGGGTGAGATTGGAAACTGCAAGTGTACATGTACCACTTAAAGCTGAAGTTATAAACTTTGACAAGCCAGTGTTATTTCCTCAAGTGCTGATCTCCTTCCAAAATTTTCATCATAAATCCGGCAAATTCACACTAACAGACTGATAGTCACACTAGTAGACTGAGATATTAATCAAGTTGTTAAAAGAAAACATAAATGTAAATATTTTTTAAAGAACTCTTTTATAAGAATTAAAATAAAAGACATACACAAATATACATATCTTTTTTTCACAGGTGTGTTTAAATTTAGTTCTCTTTGAGACCTGGACAGTGCACATTGGTTGTTTACATAAGGAAGAGGTTGTATATTTAGGTTGGTGCAAACGTAATTGCAGTTTTTGCCATTACTTTTAATTGCAAAAACCACTATTAAAAGTAATGGCAAAAACTACAATTACATTTGCACCAACCTAATACAATTCATTCTACAGACTCCTGCTCAAAGAAAAGCCCTATTCTTATGATACATGTGATAAATAAAAAGGAATATTTGAGCTGTATGGGCAATCTCTTTTTATGTTTTCCCACTTTATGTGACTTTTTAAACTGATTGATTGCATTAGATAAAAGGGCTTCTTCTGGGCCAGGTGTGGTGGCTCATGCCTGTAATCCCAGCACTTTGGGAGGATGAGGCGGGCTGATCACTTGAGGTCAGGAGTTCGAGACCAGCCTGGACAACATTGTGAAACCTTGTCTTTACTAAAAATACAAAAATTTGCCAGGCATGGAGGCACATGCCTGTAATCCCAGCTACTAGGGAGGCTGAGGTTGCAGTGAAACGAGATCACACCACTGCACTCCAGCCTGGGCAACAGAGCGACACCCTGTCTCAAAAAACAAAGGTAGGGGGCTTCTTCTGAGTATGTATATATAAATATATATATATATAAATATATATAAATATATATATAAATATATATAAATATATATATAAATATATATAAATATATATATAAATATATATAAATATATATATATATAAATATATATAAATATATATATATAAATATATATATATATAAATATATAAATATATATATATATAAATATATATATATATGCCCTTTTATCTAATGCAATCAATTATATATATATATAATTAGGTTCCCAACAGTCAATACTTTTAATTTTTTCACTCTTCCTCAGAAAATTTTACATAACATTTAAATGTATTAAATAAATAATAAAGACACAAATATTTTGATTAATCATTCTTCGCCTTCGGCCTAGATATGAAAATCAGGGAGACTGAAAAACTGTGGCAATTGTGGAAATAAACAAAGATTACCCAAAGGAGAACAGAGAAGGACTATTTATTCAGAACTTGCTCTAGCAAGGGAGTCAGCTACTGTCACTCGAATTTGGCAGAGACTCAAAGGCAGGCAGAGGAAGGCTTTATAGCAGGGAAAAAAATGGGGAATGCTCCAGTGTGCCCTGATTAGAGGCTGTTGGCATGGGGAAGCTGGAGGTGGTTAGGAAGAAGCAGGGCATCCTATGTGATTGGTTAGGGAAACATATTTGGCTTTCTCTGGTTGGTCTTAAGTTGGACACGGACAAAAACTATGGAAGCTGTCCATTAGTAATTAAGTGACCTCTCAGGGTTAGGGATCTTGGTTATCCTTCCATCCAGGAAAGAGGCCCACACAGCCCCAGAAGCAGACTCCAGCCATTTGGGTGGGGAATTCTGAGGACCAGATACCTGCACATGGTCCAGAAAGGGAAACGCAGGCCCTGGGTGGTCATGTCCCCTTGGCCTTGCAGAGGAGGTGCAAGGTTGGAGATGGGCTGGAGGAGGGGGGCAGGGAGGCAGTCCAAAGCTTGGAGCCCAAGGGAGGGGCCCTGTTGTCTGAGAAGCCACTGTCCTGAGCCTTTGTAAAAACACGAATCTCCCATGATGCTCTTTTCCACTTCCTAACAGCCTCTTATCTGCAGATCCTGGAGTGAGACTTTGAATTCTCCTTTGGCTAAGAGAGTTGTCTCTCACCACCAAAGGCTTACTCAGGGAAAGAATAAAAATTATTACAGGTAACCCTCCAGGCAGGGTCCAAATTTATATTCTCAGTAATTTTAGCAATAGTCACAAAACTTTATTTACATAAATCCATAACAAAAAGTAAAATTAATGTCCCAATTTCAAATATTCTGTCTCACTGGTAAACCAGTTTTCTGGACTTCTAGTTCCAGGAATATGATCACTGTGTGTGTTTGTATTGGCCATCAGGAATAGGTCTGGGATCTTCTTATGCCTTAAGACAAATGGAGGTTATAAACTATTTATGTTAAAAGAGAGAGGGAGGGAGGGAAGGAAAAAGGGATGGAGTCCTATCCGAGAGTCCTTGGTTATTTACCTTTTATAAATTAATTCCCACTAGCCAGTGTGTCAAGGTCAGCAATGACAATATCTTCCAACCCTGATATGTTCTGCATTTGAAACATGTCAAGAGTCGCTTGAGATGACTTACCTATTTTGTTGTCAAACCTATTGCTTAACTTTTCAGCTATTCTTGCCACTGCTCTGAGACAAACAGTGGAATTCAAGAGTTAGTTTTATGACCAGGCTTAAGAGTTTTTCTAAAACACTTCCAGCCAGTGAGCTCAAAACATTCCTTTTCTTAAAAACAGAATTTATTGTACACAACCTTACTGTGACAGGAGAAAGTGTTAAAATTAAAATTCAGAAGAAGCCCTTTTATCTAATGCAATCAATTAATTGAAAAAGTCACATCAAGTGAGAAAGCAAAATAAGAGATTGCATACACACACAGCTCAAATATTCCTTTTTATTCATCACATGTATTGTAAGCACAGCCCTTTTCTTTAAGCAGGAGTCTGTAGAATGAATTATATAACCTCTTCCTTATGTAAACAAACAATGTGCACTGTCCAGGTCTCTAAAGAGAACTAAATTTAAAGAAACTGATGAAGTAATCTCAGAGCATTGTTCTTCTAGATTTCTACTCTTTTTCCCTTTTGTACTTAATATGGCCGCAGTTTCTTTTTTTTAATTTATTTTTATTTTTTGAGACGGAGTCTCACCCTGTCACCCAGGCTGGAGTGCAGTGGCGCAACCTCAGCTCGCTGCAACCTCCACCTCCCGGGTTCAAGCGATTCTCCTGCCTCAGCCTCCCGAGTAGCTGAGACTACAAGTGCGTGCCACAACACCCAGCTAATTTTTGTATTTTTAGTAGAGATGGGGTTTCACCAGGATGGTCTCGATCTCTTGAACTCATGATCTGCCCGCCTTGGCCTCCCAAAGTGCTGAGATTACAGGCGTGAGCCACTGCGCTCGGCAGTTAATCTTTATAGAATCTCTGAGTTATTGTTTAAAAATTTCATTTTCACACTTTCAGTTTATATAATGTTTAACTATGACATTTACAGTATGTCATTTACAACTGGTACGATCACGTTTGGGAGCAAACACTATTGACTCTTCTGACATTTGCTTGTAGAAACAGAAATGCACACACCTGTTAGGGAGCATTCCACTAGCCTCTGATGGTTACCAAAGAATTTTACCAAGGGAATGAGCAAATTAATATAGTGATATAGTTAAGTGGGACTTACAGTCTATTTATGATGAATGCATATGTCCACGCATGCGTTCACATGCACACACACACACACACACACACACACACACACACACACACACTCCCTGACTTCTCAGGAATGTGCATCTTGAGGGAGATCCTTTAGTTTTGTTGAGAAGGGATGTTAACAACGATGCAAATGAATGAAGCCAGGAAGGATAGAGTGGAACTGGACCAAGATGGAACTGGACCAAGATGCCAGACTAGAAGCAGCTCATGTGCACCACTCTCACAGAAAGGAAACAAAAGGGCTAGTGAACACTGACCCTGCAGGCCAGTCATCTGAAAAACTACACTGTGGTCGGGTGCAGTGGCTCATGACTATAATCCCAGCACTTTGGGAGGCCGAGGTGGGCAGATTGCCTGAGGTCAGGAGTTTGAGACCAACCTGGCTAACATGGTGAAACCCCGTCTCTACTGAAAATACAAAAATTAGCTGGGCTTGGGTGGCACATGCCTGTAGTCCCAGCTACTCGGGAGGCTGAGGCAGGAGAATTGCTTCAACCCATGAGGCAGAGGTTGCAGTGAGCCAAGATGGTGCCACTGCACTCCAGCCTGCACAACAAAGCAAGACTCCATCTAAACACACACACACACACACACACACACACACACACACACACACACACATTGGGATCCATCAAGGTAGCCAAGAAACATAGAGAGCAGAACTGGGCACCAGCCTGTCTGGGCTCAGTGCAGAGCCAGGAGAATCTCTCCAATACCAGAAAGGATGAGTGAGTGAGAGCCCCCTGAGGGATTCACACTTTCCACGAGGACCTGTGCAAAACTGAGAATGGGAGAATTCTCCTGGCCTTCCCACACCCCCCACTGCACTTCAAGACTAAGGCAGAGAACCACCTGGACATTTCGCAGGGGCAACTCTTGAGTCCAAGGGGACCTCTCCAGGCCTGAGACCCCAGAGCAGACCAGTACCAGTGCCATAGCCTCAATAGAGACCACAGTCATGGTGCCTGGGAGCAGTAAGATTGCTCTACCTGCCCCTCGCCAGATGGAGCTTGGCACCAGCTTCTGGCCCAACAGTCCCACTTCTGTGCAAACTCAGCTGACAGCTACAGCCTCCTGTTATCCTGGGAATCACCTGGATGACAGGGTAGGCAACCTTACCCACCCCTACCACTGATAGCCAGGTAAGCAATGCCTGCTAGAGCTTCCAGCCCAGCAGTCCGACTTCTGTCTGAATTCAGCCAGCAGGTGCAGCCTCCCACTGTCCTGGGAAATGCCCAAGTGGCAGGATGGGTGACCCCACCCACCCCCTGGCTGCTGGTAGCCAGGTGGGCAACACCTGCTAGAATTTCCAGCCCAGTGGTCCCACTTCTGTCTGAACTTAGCTGGCAGATACAGCCTCCTGTCGTCCTAGGAAGAACACCCAAATGGCAGAGTAGGTGACTCCACCCATCCCTGCCTCTCATAGCCAGGCCAGCCAGGCCTGCTAGAGCTTCAAGCCCAGTAGTCCTGCTTCTGCCTGAACTCTGTGGGCAGGCACAACCCTGTCTTCTCCCAGCCAGAAAGCACTCAGACAGCAAATTAAGGCCAACCCAGAAAGCATACAGCCAGCTGGCCAACTGTGGCCCCTGCCTGAGGGAGCCCCATGTACCAGAACACCCAACAACAAAACGTGGATATAGAGACAGTAATCAGAAGGGGCTCCTCCAAGATCCAAGAGTGGACTAGAATCAAAGCAAGTTGACTAAACCCACCTTATACCATAATCAAACCCCCAAGGGCATCAAAGGAGATAAAAGAAAAAAAACACACATAAAGACAGCAACTTCAAAGATTAAAGGAACATCACCCCACACGGATGAGAAAGAACCAGTGCAAGAAGTCTGGCAACTCAAAAAGCCAGAGTTCTTTTTGTTTCCAAATAACAACACTAGTTCCCCAGCAATGGTTCTTAACCAGGCTGAAATGGCTGAAATGCCAGAAATAGAATTCAGAATATAGATAGAAATGAAAATCATCAACATTCAGGAGAAAGTCAAAACCCAATCCAAGGACTGTGAGAAATACAGGAAGACAATACAGGAGATAAAAGACAAAATGGCTATTTTAAGAAAGAACCAAACTGAACTGATAGAGCTGAAAAACTCACTTCAAGGACTTCATAACAGAATCACAAGTATTAACAGCAGAATCGACCAAGCTGAGGAAAGAATCTCAGAGCTGGCTGGGCATGGTGGCTCATACCATAATTCCAGCACTTTGGGAGGCCAAGGCTGGTGGGCTGGTTGAATCCAGGAGTTTGAGACCGGACTGAGCAACATGGTGAAACCCCGTCTCTACTAAACATACAAAAATTAGCTGGGCATGGTGGCATGCACCTATAATTCCAGCTACTCAGAAGGCTGAGATACAACCCTTGCTTGAACCCAGGAGACAGAGTTGCAGTGAGCTGAGATTGTGCCGCTGTCCTCCAGCCTGGGCTACAGAGTGAGACTTTGTCTCAAAAAAAAAAAAAAAAAAAAAAAAAAAAAATCTTGAAATCTCAGAGCTCAAAGACTGGTTCTTTGAAATAACTCAGTCAGACAAAAATTTTTAAGAAACAATAAAGAATAATGAAAACCTCCATGAAATATGAGATTATGTAAAGAGACACATCTATGACTTACTGGCATCCATGAAAGAGAGGGAGAAAAAACAGGCAATTTGGAAAACATATTTGAGGGTATCATCCATGAAAATTTCCCCAACCTCACTAAAGAGGCCAACATTCAAATACAGGAAATGCAGAGAAGCCCTGTGAGATTCTATACAAGACAACTATCCCCAAGACACGTACTCATTGGATTCTCCAAAAAAAAAAAAAAAAAAAATGAAAGAAAAAAATGTTAAAGGCATCTAGAGAAAAGGGGCAAGTTACCTGTAAAGGAATCCCATCAGGCTAACAGCAGACATTTCAGCAGAAACCCTACCAACCAGAAGAGAGATTGGGGGCCTATATTCAGCATTTCTTAAAGAGAATAAATCCCAATCAAGAATTTCATATCCAACCAAACTAAGCTTATAAGCAAAACAGAATTAAGATCCTTTTCAGACAAGCAAATGCTGAGGGAATTTGTTATCACCAGACCAGCTTTACAAGAGGTACTTAAGGGAGTACCAAACATGGAAAGGAAAGACCGTTACCAGCTGCCACAAAAACACACTTACATATATAGATCATTGACACTATAAAGCAACCACACAATCAAGTCTGCATAATAATCAACTAACAACACAATGACAGGATGAAACCTGCACATATCAATATTAACCTTGAATGTAAATGGACTAAATGCCCTAATCAAAAGGCACAGATTGGCAAGCTGGATAAAGACACAAGACCCAACTCTATGCTGTCTACAAGAGTTCTATCTCACATGAAATGACACCCATAAACTCAAAGTAAATGAATGGAGAAAAATCTACTGAGCATATGGAAAACAGAAAAAGGCAGAGGTTGCTATTCTGATTTCAGACAAAACAGACTTCAAACCAATAACAATCAAAAAAGACAAAGAAGGGCATTATATAACATTAAAGAGTTCAATTCAACAAGAAGACTTAACTATCCTAAATATATAGGCACCTAACACAGAAGCACCCAGATTCATAACGCAAGTTATTAGAGACCTATGAAAGGACTCAGATAACCATGCAATAATAGTGGAAAACATCAACACCTCACTGACAGTATTAGACAGAAAATCAAGGCAGAAAGCTAACAAAGATATTCAGGACCTGAACTCAGCATTTGACCAAATGGGCCTAACAGGCATCTACAGAACTCTTCACCCAAAAACAACAGAATATACATTCTTCTCATCTGCATATGGCACATACTCTAAAATTGAACACATAGTCGGCCATAAAACAATCTTTATCAAATTTTAAAAAACTAAAATCATACCAACCACACTCTCAGACAACAGCACAATAAAAATAGAAATTAAAACTAAGAAAATTACTCAAAACCATGCAATTACATGGAAATTAAACAATCTGCTCCCACATGACTTTGAGGTAAACCATATAATTAAGGAAGAAATCAAGAAGTTCTTTTGAAACTAATGAGAACAAAGATACAACATACCAGAATCTCTGGGACATAGTTAAAGTAGTGTTAAGAGGGAAGTTTATAGCACTAAACACCCACATCAAAAAGTTAGCAAGATCTCAAATTAACAACCTAACATCATACCTAAAGGAAGTAGAGAAACAAGAGCAAACCAACTCCAAAGCTAGCACAGGGTAAGAAATGATAAAAAACAGTGCTGAACTCAACAAAATTGAGATTAAAAAAACCATACAAAAATCAATGAACCCAAGAGTTTGTTCTTTGAAAGAATAAATAAGGTTGATAGATTGCTAGTTATCCTAATAAAGAAAAAAAGAAAGAAGATCGAAATAAACACAATCAGAAATGACAGAAAGAACATTACCACTGACCCCACAGAAATACAAAAAACCCTCAGAAAGGACCATGAACACCTCTATGTACACACACTAGAAAAACTAGAATAAATAGATAAATTCCTGGAAACATACAACCTCCCAAGATTGAACCAGGAATAAATTGAACCCCTGAACAGATCAATGATGCATGTTGAAATTGAATCAGTAATAAAAAGCCTGTGAACCAGAAAGAGTCCAGCATCAAAAGGATTCACAGCTGAATTCTACCAGATGTATAAAAAAGAGCTGGTACCATTCCTACTGAAACTATTCCAAAAAATTGAGGAGAGACTCCTCCCTGACTCATTCTATACGGCCAGCATCATTCTGATGCCAAAACCTGGCAGAGATACAACAAAAAAAGAAAATTTCAGGCCAATATCCTTAATTAACAGATGTGCAAAACTCTTCAACAAAATGCTAGCAAACCAAATCCAGCAGCACATCAAAAAGCTAATCCACCATGATATGATCAAGTAGGCTTCATGGGATGCAAGGTTGGTTCAATACATGCAAATCAACAAGTGTGATTCAACACAAAAGCAGAACTAAAAACAATAACCATATAATCATCTCAATAGATACAGAAGAGGTTTTCAATAGAATTCAACATTTTTTAATGTTAAAAACTCTCAACAAACCAGGCATTGAAGGAACATATCTCAAAACAATAAGAGCCATCTATGACATACCCACAGACAACATCATACTGAATGGGCAAAAGCTGGAAGCATTCCCCTTGAGAACAAGAACAAGACAAGGGTAGCCATTCTCACCGCTGCTATTCAACATAGTACTGGAAGTGCTAGCCAGAGCAATCATGAGGCAGGAGGAAAAAAAAAAAGGCATCCAAATAGAAAGAAAGGAAGTCATACTCTTTCCATTTGTAGATGATGTCATTCTATGTCTAGAAAACCCCATGGTCTCTCCCAAAAGCTCCTAGATCTGATGAACAATTTCAGCAATGTTTCAGAATACAAAATCCATGTACAAAAATCAGTGGTTTTTTTTTTTTTTTTTTTTGACATGGAGTTTCACTCTTGTTGCCCAGGCTGGAGGGCAGTGGCACGATCTCAGCTCACTGCAACTTCCACCTCCCAGGTTCAAGCGATTCTCCTGCCTCAGCCTCCCAAGTAGCTGGGATTACAGGCATCTGCCACCATGCCCAGCTAATTTTTTGTATTTTTAGTAGAGACGGGGTTTCACCATGTGGGCCAGGCTGGTCTCAAACTCCTGACCTCAGGTAATCCACCCATTTTGGCCTCCCTAAGTGCTGGGATTACAGGCATGAGCCACCACGCCTGGCCTAATCAGTAGCATTTCTATACACCAACAACATCCAAGCTGAGAGACAAATCAAGAATGCAATGCCATTCACAATAGCCACAAAAAGAATAAAATACCTAGGAATACAGCTAACCAGGGAAGTGAAATGTCTCTACCACAAGAATTACAAAACACTACTCAAAGAAATCAGAGATGGCCAGCTGTTGTGGCTCACACCTCTAATGCCAGCACTTTTGGAGGCCAAGATGAAAGGATCACTTGAGATCAGAAGTTCAAGACCAGCCTGGGCAACATAGCAAGACCTCATCTAAAAAAAAAAAAAAAAAAAAAAAAAAAGACAAGCATTGTCGTGCATGCTCGTAGTCCCACCTACCCAGGAAAGCTTGAAGTGGAAGGATCACCTGAGCCCAGGAGTTCAAGGCTGCAGCAACCCATGATCACACACACCATTTCACTCCAGCCTAGGTGAAAGAGCAAGACCTTGTCTCAAAAAAGAAAAGAAGAGAAGATAGAGAAGAGAAAGAAGGAAGGAGAAATTAATAAGAGATTACACAAGCAAATGGAAAAACATGTCATGCTTGTGAATAGGAAGAATCAATATCATTAAAATGGTCATACTGCCCAAAGCAATTAACAGATTCAATGCTATTACTATCAAACTATCAATGCCATTCTTCACAGAATTAGAAGGAACTATTTTAAAATTCATATGGAACCAAAAAACAGCTCAAATAGTCAAGACAATCCTAAGCAAAAAGAGCAAAGCTGGAAGCATCACATTACCTGACTTCAAACTATGCTACAGGGCTACAGTAACCAAAACAGCATAGTACTGGTACAAAAGCAGACACATAGACTAATGGAGCAGAATAGAGAGCCCAGAAATAGAGCTGAACACCTGCAACCATCTGATCTTTGACAAAGATGACAAAAACAAACAATGGGAGAAGAACTCCCTATTCAATAAATGTTGCTGGGATAACTGGCTAGCCATATACCAAAGATTGAAGCTAGACCTCTTCCTTACACCATATACAAAAATCAACTCAAGATGGGTTAAAGCTGTATATGTAAAACCAAAAACTGTAAAAACCCTGGGAGATAATCTAGGAAATACAATTTTGGACATAGGCCCTGGCAAAAATTTCATGACAAAGACACCAAAAGCAATTTCAACAAAAACAAAAATTGACAAATAGGACTTAGTTAAACTACAGGGCTTCTGCACAGAGAAAAACTATCAACAGGGTAAACAGTCTGCCTACAGAATGGGAAAGAATATTGCAAACTATGCATCTGACAAAGGTCTAATATTCAGAATTTATAAGGAACTTAAATTAACAAGCAACAAAAAACCCATAAGAAAGAGAGCAAAGAACATGAACAGGCACTTTTTAAAAGAAGATACATACACAGCCAACAAGCACATGAAAAAATGCTCAACATCACTAATCATTAGAGAAATGCAAATCACACCAGTCAGAATGGCTATTATTAAAAAGTCAAAAAATAACAGATGCTGACAAGGTTACAAAGAAAAGGGAGTGCTTATACACTGCTGGTGGGAATGAAAATTCGTCCAGCCGTTATGGAAAGCACTGTGGTGATTTCTCAAAGAATTTAAAACAGAAATTTCCTTTGACCCAGCAATCCTATTACTGGGTATATACCCAAAGGAATATAAATCATTCTACCATAGAGATACATGCATGCATATGTTCATCATAGCACTATTCACAATAGCAAAGACATGGAATCAACCTAAATACCCATCAACAGTACACTGGATAAAGAAAATGTGGTATATATACACCATGAAACACTACACTGCCTTAAAAAAAAGAACAAGGCCACGTCCTCTGCAACAACATGGATGGAGCTGGAGGTCATTATCCTAAGTGAACTAATGCAGGAACAGAAAACCAAATGCCGCATGTTCTCATACGTAAGTGGGAGCTAAACATTGAGTACACATGGACACAAAGAAGGGAACAGGAGACATCAGGGCCTATGCGAGTATGGAAGGTGGGAGGAGGGAGATGACTGAAAAACCACCTATTGGGTACTATGCTTATTACTTGGGTGACAAAATAATCTGTACACCAAACCCCTGTGACACGCAATTTACCTATATAACAAACCTGCACATGTACCCCTGAACCTAAAATTTTTTTTAATTTTTTTAAAATTATAAATGAATAAATAAAGGCTTTCCAGAAATAACCAGTAGTCAACATCATCGCTCAGATATTTTCAAACTGATTTGGTGGAATTTTGCTGAACTTACAGTATTTTAGGAACAAAGCAGATATTTCCCTACACCAGCAACAACAACAAAAAGAGTACAGGTTTCTTTTTTTCAAGTATCTTTGCTATACACTTTGTAACAGTCCCAAAGCATCCTTCCTGATATGGCCCATATTGAGGCTGAAGGGCTTCTAAGCCACACATACTCTTGGGCTGAAAACACCTAGGAATCTGCCTTTGGCACTCTCATGACCACGTAGAACACAATTTGGAAATTCAGGATACGTTAATAGTGAAAAAATGATGTCCGCAACTCACTTTCAAATGGATAACCAAAAACAGTGTCACTCTAGATACAGATTTAGCTTTAAATCTGTGTGGGTATACAGATAAAGTGAAATAACAAAATATTAACAACTATTGACACTTGGTGGTGAGGATATGAATATGAATTGTAACATTCTTTCAACTTTTATATATTTTTGAATATTTTTTATATTAAAAAGTTGGGGGCCAAGGGAAGTATGAATCTGAACAATAGGCTGAACGTTCTCAGCTAACACCCAGGAATCCCACTAAAGATCATATGTTTTCACAATGACTTTGAAAAAGTGATTCAGAAACTTGTATGCAAAGACTGTATGCACATTTTCCACACAGGACACACCACCACGGGTACAGAGTGGAGGTAAGGACTAATACTTACATATTTCTAGTAGATGTCAATGTCTTAAGTACCTGAGATTTGGAGTCTGTGGCCACAGGGAGTATTACAACTGTACCAAAACAATGTGCTTCACTTTTGCTTCAACAGCAATGGTGGCAGCAACCGCTTAGAAAAGCAATCCAAAACCACAGGTTGCCATCATTAATAAAATACTCCTCTCTTTTTTTGAAGGTGGCAACAAGATAAAAGTAGGAAAAGAGAAGGTGTTAGTATATATGATTAGCTTAGGTTTTACAACATATGACAGAAATCCAAAAGTGACAATGGCTTAAACCCATAGAGGTTTATTCTCTCACATAAAATAAGTCTAAAGATAGTCTAAGAAGATTTGGTGGCATCATTAAGCTATGAGGAACCTGAGTTTATCTTTATACTTTACTGTCCTCAGCACATGGTACCTATCCTCTTGATCCAATATGGCTACTGCAGCTCCAGCCATCATGCCTTTATTCCAAAGAGGAAGAAGAAAAAAAAACACTTCCTTAGTTGTTGGTCCCCTTTTAATGAGTCTTCTTTACATATCATTGGCTGGAACTAAGTCATATGGCCATACCTAGAAATGTAGTCTTAAATTTTGCTGTCAGAGTATCCTTCTCTTCCTCACTGCTCCACTCTCTGCCCCAGTTATATAGTGACTCTGATGTTAAAACAAAGGGGTGGGGAGATGGATGTTGGAAGGCTCTAACAGTATATATCACTGTGGGTTTAGCTGTCCAGGAGATAAGCCAATGGTCTTTTAAACAGATTCTTAATGCATTACCCTAGCATGGGCTCTCTATGCATATCCTGGCTTGGCTTCACATACTGCCCAGACCCCACTCCCAGGCCTGAAAAAGCCAAACTAGGAGGTCAAGTGAAAGCAGGAAGGGTCCTCACCTGAGGGAGCTTGGCCAGAGAGAAGAGTCAGAATTACTGCCGACAGAAGCCAAATAGAGTCAAGCACTCAACCCAGAGGGGCCAAGATGAAAACGGAAGAAAAGGCATCAAAAACAGGATTTTGGAAGGTTAGCAGCAAGGCAGATTAAGGAGTCAGGAAGTGGTCAAAGAAGGTGATTCATAATGTTATCTGGCACATGCACGCTAGAGCTTTCCTTTGTGTGGTCTAAGATGTTTCCCGAGAAACCAGCCAGGGAAGGGACCCTTCTCTGGGGGACATATGTACTGTCTGTGTGGCCTATTATGAGCTCCCCTTTGATTTTGGCACGGGTACAGGACCCAAAAGAACCATGGGGAGCTGAGAAGGTGTGGTATCATAGCCCAGGGCAGAAGCCCTTGACGGCTACATTGTTATCCAGAGATGAAAAGTTGGCCTGTATTTTGCCTGAGGGACGTGATTTGTCCCTGTTAGTACCTGTGCCTGCTTTGTTGTTCCAGCTGTAGTTTGGCATGCTCCAACAGCATTGTGGATTGGGCCCACGCCTACACTGAGGTGACCAATGTCTCCAACTGTTGCATCTGCACTGCCCTCCCAGCAGCAGCTGCGGACAGCTTGCCTTGTCACGTGCATCCAGCTTCTGTGCAGAACTGAACATCACTAGAGACTTGGGATCCCATGGACAATGGGTGGGATGCAACACAGCGGGCTTTGGACAGGGGTGTTGCAAAACCATGGCAAGCCTGCCCCCTGGCTGACTCATAGTGTCCATGATGGATGGGGCTGGCTAATAGGAGATCACGTGGTGCCCCCATCGCAGGTGCCACAATGCATAGAGCAGCACCGGGGAAAAGTCACTGTGGGATGGCTGCCTACTGAGGTTTGTGCAAACACAACACATGTCACCACACCAAGGGTGTGGTGGAACAAGCAGCCTTACCAAGGCTGGGCCCCCCCCATGGACTTCGTGCCCCCTGGGAGTTTATGGGTCTGTGGGGACACAGGATGGCCATGTCTGCCATCCAGTTGGACCAGATGTTGTACCTGGGGTGGCCCAATGTGCCTGCCACTGTGTTTCCCCCATTGCCTAGTTGCTGGCATTATTAGGAGGCACTGCATTCCCGCTTTTTGCGAGGGCAGGGGGCCCCCTGGTGGTTCTATCCCTTAGCAATAACTATCCCTGGAGTAAAAGTCATTACTGTAGAAAAGCAGGTTACAGCCTTTGCAGAGCACACAGCTCGTGCTCTGAATGACACCTGAGTTGCTCTCCTTTTGTTAACTGATGAAGTTGATCAGATCAGGAAGGTGGTGCTACAAAACCAGATGGCTTTAGACACAGTCACAGCTACCCAAGGTGGCACCTGTGCCCTTGTAGGGACACAACGTTGTACATTTATACCTGACAACCACCGGAACATAACAGCAGCTTTACAAAGGGTGTCACAGGAGATTAAGGTGATTGAGCACCTTACTGACGACCCCCTTCAGAGATGGTGGGCATCTCTGGGCTCTGGCCTATGTTGGGCTCTCATAATCATAGGTAGCATAGCAGGAATATTAGTGGTAGGTTTTTGCTCTCTGTATTGTTGCTGTGGCCTGTGGGTCCAGGGTGCTGCTGTATATGCAGGGGTCCCCACCAAGAGGATCCCCTCGGCCTAGGGGGTGTAGTGTAAGGAACATGGCTGTGCTGCAGCCAAGCAGGCACAGGGCAGCAGGCATAGGCCCAGGTAAACAGCTTGGATGATCCAGCAGGTTTGTGGTGCAGGCACACAGTCCCATGTTTATATAATCATAAGCATGTAGACATAACATAGAGAAGCTCATCACCTGGCTCTCAGGCACTATTGTTTGTGTGGTGCATAAATGTAACACTGACTCTGTGAAGGAGCTGCTGAATAAAGCCATCTCCCATCTACCTGCTGTCTCTCAAGTGTTCTTCCAGCTCCCTGCCCTACATCCACCCACTCCCCTCAGCCCTCAGCTGGGGCTGGAACCTGACCCTGAGCATGATAGAATTCTTTATGCTATTATCAGACACTTGTACCTGAGTGTGAATGAAGACACTGAGAGCTGTGTCATGGGGTGCAGGAGACAGACTATCAGGATACTGGGTACCAGGAAGGAAAGGTGGCCAGTGCAGAGGCTGAGGGCATAACTAGATCAAGGGACAAGCCTGTCTGGTGGCCAACCCATAATAAGCACCAAGATATCACTGAAATAGGAGGAAATATTGTGCCAGTTGGCTCGGATTTCTACATTTATTTTCTTACCTTACTGGCAAACTATAATTGGTCTTGTTCTCCCGGATTCCCTCAAAGTGGAAGTAAACATTTGAAAAGCAATCCTCCCATGTGCCCATTGCATGGTGCCACTTTTGGCCTCTCTGTCAGTGATGAAAGTGAATAGGCTGGCAGTCCTACAATGAGAACAACATCAGCAGAATTCCTGGCCCCCAGTGATGTTTGATGTGGTGCTGTTGACAAATAATGAGGGTTCCACTTTATTGTTTAAATTGTAACCCTTTAGGCCAGGCACGGTGGCTAACACCTGTAATCCCAGCACTTTGGGAGGCCAAGGCGGGTGGATCACTTGAGGTCAGGAGTTCGAGACCAGCCTCACCAACATGGTGAAACCAAGTCTCTACTAAAAAAATACAAAAATTAGCCAGGCATGGTGGTGGGCACCTATAATCCCAGCTTCTCAGGAGGCTCAAGCACGAGAATCACTTGAACCCAGGAGGCAGGGGTTGCAGTGAGCTGAGATTGCACCACTGCACTCCAGCCTGGGCAATAGAGCAAGACTCTGTCTCAAAAAAAAAAAAAAAGTTGTAACCATTTAATAAACCTCCCAAAAGGATGTCCCATCCAGAAAAATATAAAACTGAAGGAATACAAGGTAAGTCTACCAAAAAAACAAAAATCACTTGCCACTATGATAGTCAGAAAAAAAATTTAAACATATTTTAACATTTTACAGCTATATGTATTTGTTATCATTCATCATTAGTCAAATGAGTAATGCTATAGAAGTATGAGCAATGGAAAAATTATAAAATAAAAGATATTCCTAAATAAGTTAAAACATTTAGTCTTATAATTTAGTTTAATAATAAGTTTAGTCTAATAATTAGGTTTAAATTTGAAGAAAAGACATATGAAATTTTTTTTTAAACAGAGGGTCTTGCTATTTTGTCCAAGCTGGACTTGAACTCCTGGGCTCAAGCGATCCTCCCACCTCAGCCTCCCAAGTAGCTGAGACTATAGGCATGTGCCACCACACCCAGCTCATGTAATTTTTAAAAGAGAAAAATCCATCCTGTCCCCTTAATGGTTAGCTAAATAAATATTGAGCAAACATGGAAACTATGTTCATTGGGAGGAGTGCCAGATTCTTAGCCTGTGTCAAGCACCCTGTCCTAGCCCTGGTTTAGGACACCTACTTCTCTTTTTCTTTCTTTTTTTTCTTTTTTTTTCTTTTTTTTTTTTTTTGAGACTCTGTCTCCCAGGCTGGAGGGCAGTGGCACAATCTTGTTTCATTGCAACCTCCACCTCCCAGGTTCAGATGATCCTCCTGCCTCAGCCCCACAACTAGCTGGGACTACAGGCATGCACTATCACGCCCAGCTAATTCTGTATTTTTGGTAGAGACACAGTTTCACTATGTTGGTCAGGCTGGTCTTGGACTCCTGACCTCAAGTGATCCACCCGCCTCAGCCTCCCAAACTACTGGGATTACGGGCATAAGACACCTTGCCTGGCTTGCCATTACTTTTTATTTTTAGATGGAGTCTCGCTCTGTTGCCCAGGCTGGAGTGCAGTGGCACGATCTTGGCTCACTGCAACCTGCAACTCCCAAGTTCAAGTCGATTCTCCTGCCTCAGCCTCCCGAGTAGCTGGGATTACAGGCACATGCCACCACACCCGGCTGATTTTTATATTTTTAATAGAGACGGGTTTTGCCATGTTGGCCAGGCTGGTCTTGAACTCCTGACCTCAGGTGATCCATCCTCCTCGGCCTCCCAAAGTGCTGGGATTACAGGCATGAGCCACCACGCCTGGCCGCCATTACTTTTAAATGGCAAAGACCACGATTACTTTTGCTCCAACCTAATACAATCACAAGGAACTGGATTCTACCAACAACTTGAGTGAGCTTGGAAGCAGATTCTTCCCAGAGCCTTCAGATAAGAGCTAAGCCAGCCAACACCTTGACTTCCATCTTGTGAGGCCCTAAGCAGAGGACCCAACTGAGCCACGTGAGGCCCAGACTTCTGACTCACAAACGCTGTAAGATAATAAAGGAGGGCTCTTTTAAGCCTCCAGGTATGTGGTAATGTTTTCTGGCAGCAACGGAAATCAATACAAAGGATCTTTCAAGAAATAGGATTTACAAAGAGAGAATGAAAATCAGTATTAAGAAATGCCACGAGAAGACTAACCCAGAAGTCTCAAAACCAAAATAAAGTCATTCAAGAAACAGGAAACCCAGAAAAACACAGAAGAGGGGATTATCCAAGAAACAATCAGAGAAAAATATCCTGCCCAGCACAATGGATGTCAAAAGACTCCACAAACGTATAACATTTTCCTGAAATTTCAGAACACTGACAACAAAGAAAAGATCCAATAAAGCCTCCAGAGAAAAAAATAAGTCACATCAAAGGATCAAGAATCAGATTCTGTGAGTAAAAAAAAATACTAAAAAGAAGGCCAAGTGTGGTGGCTCACACCTGTAATCCCAGCACTTTGGGAGGCCGAGGCTGGCAGATCACTTGAGGCCAGGAGTTCAAGACCAGCCTGGCTGACATGGCAAAACCCCGTCTCTACTAAAAATACAAAAATTAGCTAGGCATGGTGGCAGTCGCCTGTAATCCCAGCTACTTGGGAGGCTGAGGCAGGAGAATCACTTCAACCTGGGAGGTGGAGGTTGCAGTGAGCCAAGATCATACAACTACACTCCAGCCTGGGTAACAAAGCAATACTCCAGCTCAAAAAAAGAAAAAGAAAACAAAAGAATCAGAAGATCTTTGGACTTCACAACTGAAGTGCTAGAACCTATAAGCAATGGAGCAAAACCTTCAAAAGTCTAAATAAAAGCTATTTCTAGCCTAGAATTCTGTGACTCACCAAACTATCAGCTAAGTGTGATAGTCACCTAATAACATTTTCAGACACATTAGCTCTCAATAAATGTGCCTGCCAGCATCTGTCTCAGATGGTCCAGCAAAACAAGGACTTAAGCTAAGGGAGAGGAAGACACCAGGTGCAGGAGGCATGGGAAGGAGGAGGGTAGGGAGGCAGAAAGCTGCTGGTCTTACAATAAACTTGGTAGACATATCAGATCCTGAAAATCTGATTAAGATAAAAATAGAAACATACACATAGTGCAAAAATGTAACAATAAATGAATGAGAAAATGCAATGAAGAAAAACAACCTGCAGTCAACTTAGTACTCTCAAATGTATTCTGTCTGGTCTTGATTAATTCCAAAAGCTGGACCACAAATTTGGCTCTATTCTTCTGAGATGCTGTGACAATAGAGAGACACAATCAGTTACAAGATTTATAGTGTCCACAGGACAAAAACACCACAACTGTTCAACAGAATGCAGCTTTTCCTAATACCTGAGATAAATTTTTCCCATGGGCCCTCATAAAGGGAACACTGCGTAATGTTGTAGTCTGTGTCCTTCAAAATATCCCAATGATATATACAACAGTACATTTTACATTGCTCTTTCTTATCATGTCCATCAAAATTGGCAGATTGCAAAAAATAGAAGCACAATTTAGTACAAGTCCCAGAGCCAAAAGTGCATGTGCCAAGCATAACGTTTAGAAATGCACATCCTTCAGCAGCCCTTAATGAATATTGCTTCTCACAGCCCAGGCTGTCTCCCCAAGTGTCTCTATATTTGTCCCAGGTTAAGGGGCCTCTCTAATATTGGGGTTCAGAAGCATGAGGCATCTGCAGCAAAATAAAGGGTCTAAGATTTTTTTCCTGCTTTTAGGCTAACAAGTTGGTCTGCCAGTTTCACAAGACACAAGGCTCCTGGGTTAGAGACAAAAGACTATATTATACATAGCAATAAGAGTAGTCAGAGTATCAGCATTTGCACTGGTTCACCAACCCCAATTCCCACAGGGCAATGCAAAGAAGTCCAGATGATATCTGCACATACTCTGGGTTGTGTTACAGGAGAAAAATTCTGTGCTTAAGGAACCAGGATCTTTCATAATGAGCAGTATGGCTGCCTTTTGCTTATAAAAAAAAAAAAAACCTCTATCTTCCAAGGTTGTAAGCAAATCTGCTCTTTGTTCTAGAGGCAAATATTTTCTGTATCTTCCAAGGCTCTCTTACTATATAAACATGTAGGGTCCGGCCCCACAGGGTCGGTGGGTTTTCTCCCCATGTGCGGAGATGAGGGAGTGTAGAAATAAAGACACAAGACAAAGAGATAAAAGAAAAGACAGCTGGGCCCAGGGGACCACTACCATCAAGGTGCGGAGACCGATAGTGGCCCCGAATGACAGGCTGCACTGATATTTATTGGATACAAGACAAAGGGGCAGGGTATGGAGTATGAGCCATCTCCAGTGATAGGTAAGGTCACGTGGGTCACGTGTCCACTGGACAGGGGGCCCTTCCCTGCCTGGCAGCCAAGGCAGAGAGAGAGGAGAGAGACAGAGACAGCTTACATCATTATTTCTGTTTATCAGAGACTTTTAGTACTTTCACTAATTTGCCACTGCTATCTAAAAGGCAGAGCCAGGTGTACAGGATGGAACATGAAGGCAGACTAGGAGCATGACCACCGAAGCACAGCATCACAGGGAGACAGTTAGGCCTCTAGATAACTGCAGGTGGGCCTGAATGATGTCAGTCCCTCCACAAGAGATGGAGGAGTAGAGTCTTCTCTAAACTCCCCCAGGGAAAGGGAGACTCCCTTTCCTGGTCTGCTAAGTAGCAGGTCTTTTTCCTTGACACTGACGCTACCGCTAGACCACAGTCCGCTTGGCAAGGGGTGTCTTCCCAGATGCTGGCGTTACCGCTGGACCAAGGAGCCCTTTGGTGGCCCTGTCCAGGCATAACAGAAGGCTCACACTCTTGTCTTCTGGTCACTTCTTGCTATGTCCCCTCAGCTCCTATCTCTGCATGGCCTGGTTTTTCCTAGGTTATGATTGTAGAGCGAGGATTATTATAATATTAGAATAAAGAGTAATTGCTACACACTAATGATTAATGGTATTCATATATAATCATATAAGATCTATATCTAGTATAACTATTCTTATTTTACATATTTTCTTATACTGGAACAGCTCGTGCCCTTGGTCTCTTGCCTCGGTACCTGGGTGGCTTGCCGCCCACACAAACATCCTTGAAAAGATAGCCTAGAACAAAAGTAGTCAGTGACTCTCCTTACAAGATATGTACAAGCTATTCAGAAATGCAAAGAAATCATGGAAAATTCCCTCCCAACAGTGGGTGGATAGAGGGAATGACAAAACACAAATTTCAAGAGGAAATCTCAAGAGAGGACTGTGGAGTCTCAAAGAGAAAATGTATCCCTTGGCCAGGCAAGGTGGCTCACACCTGTAATCCCAGCACTTTGGGAGGCCAAGGCGGGCAGATCACTTGAGGTCAGGAGTTCGAAAGCAGCCTGGCCAACATGACGAAACCCTGTCTCTACTAAAAATACAAAAATTAGCCAGGTGTAGTGGTGGGTGCCTATAATCCCAGCTACTCAGGAGGCTGAGGCAGGAGAATCGCTTGGACCCAGGAGGTAGAGGTTGCAGTGAGCTGAGATCTCGCCACTGCACTCCAGCCTGGGTGACAGAGTGAGACTCCATCTCAAAAAAAAAAAAAAAAAAAAAAAAAAGAGAGAGAGAAAATGTATCCCAAGCCATGCTCAACAAGGCATGAAGTTCAGATCAAAATAACACTTGCCACTGTTATAAAAGGGTGGAGCAGAAAGGGTGTTCTGTAAGGAACAGAGCCCAGTATGGCCATGCGTATCTTAGGAATCATGTTTCAGTGGCCACTCAGAGAAGCCCCAAGAAATCTACACAAATTATCACAGAGAGTAAACCTCACCATTTACATTGGTCTCAGGGTCTGATTTAAAACAGGTGAAACAATACAACTTGTACTGCCATTCCGAGTATGTAGAAGAAGACTTTGCAGTATCAGGGGAACCCACCCCCAACATTTCAATGTAGGTTCTTTCTATTTTCTGTAAGTGTCAGCCAGCTGAGAAATAAAGATAAAAAGTACACAGAGAGGAATTTTACAGCCGGGCTGCCAAGGGTGACATCACATATCGGTAGGAACATGATGCCCACCTAAGCCTTAAAACCAGCAAGTTTTTATTAAGGATTTCAAAAGGGGAGGGGGTGTACGAACAGAGAGTAGGTCACAGGCTTCAAGGGGCAAAAAGCAGAACAAAGATCACATGCTTCTGAGGAAACAGGACAAGGGCAAAATCAGAACTCCTGATAAGAGTCTCTGTTCAGCGGTGTGCATGTATTGTCTTGATAAACATCTTAACAGAAAACAGGGTTTGAGAGCAGAGAATCAGTCTGACCAAAAATTTACCAGGATGGAGTTTCCCAATCCTAGTAAGCCTGAGGGTACTGCAGGAGACCAGGGCGTATCTCAGTCCTTATCTCAACCGCATAGGACAGACATTCCCAGAGCAGCCATTTATAGACATCACCCCAGGAATGAATTCCTTTCCCAGAGTATTAATATCAATATTCCTTGCTAGGAAAAGAATTTAGTGATATCTTCCCTACTTGCCGTCCATTTACAGGCTCTCTGCAAGAAGAAAAATATGGGTCTTTTTGCCCAACCCCACAGGCAGTCAGACCTTATGGTTGTCTTCTCTTGTTCCCTAAAAATCGCTGTTATTCTGTTCTTTTTCAAGGTGCACTGATTTCATATTGTTCAAACACACGTTTTACAATCAATTTGTACAGTTAACACAATTATCATAGTGGTCCTGAGGTGATGTACATCCTCAGCTTACGAAGATAACAGGATTAAGAGATTAAAGTAAGACAGGTGTAAGAAATTATAAAAGTATTATTTGGGAACTGATAAATGTCCATGAAATCTTCACAATTTATGTTAGTCTGCTGCAGCTCCAGCCAGTCCCTCTGGGACCTTAGGAGCTGGTCAGGCACAGTGGCTCACACCTGTAATCTCAGCACTTTGGGAGGCCAAGGCTGGTGTATGACCTGAGGTCAGGAGTTTGAGACCAGCCTGGCCAACAAGGTGAAACCCTGTCTCTACTAAAAATAAAAAATTAGCCAAGTGTGGTGATGTGTGCCTGTAATCCCAGCTACTTGGGAAACTGAGGCAAGAGGATTGCTTGAACCTGGGAGGTGTAGGTTGCAGTGAGCTGAGATCACACCACTGCACTCCAGCTTGGGCAATAGAGTGAGACTCCATCTCAAAAAAAAAAAAAAAAAAAAAAAAAGATTTATAGGAGCAATGTGACCTGACCAAGGACAAAGGAGTTTTGCAGCCTCCTTCTTCTGATGCCCAGATACCCATGGTCACCAGTCACCTCATTGTTCCCCCATCCCAAATATAAAAAGAAGCTTGAGATTCATGCCTTTTAGGATGATTCTTTAGAACACTGGTCTGCCACCTTCTCTGGTTGCTGGCTCTCCGAAGTAAAGTTGCTTTCCTTCCTCCAACTCCTTGTCTCTTCACTTATTTGCTTTCGTGCAGTGAGTAGAATGAGTTTGGACTGAGTACATTTTCAGTCTGAAGTCTCACATTTTGCTAAACTTCATATACTACATCCAAACCTCTGAACCTTGTGAAGTACACATTTTTTTTTAATACTTCAATCATATAAACTACTAACTTTTGGAAGAAGGCAAATTAAATCCATTTTATACAGCCTTTTTATGGAAGTAAAAATTGTTTTAACTTCTCAAGGAAGTTTTGAAATTAATAAAAAGATGTTATAATTGAGAGTAGGCAATTCTAAAATTATAGTATTACTGTTATTTTCTCTGTGACAAAACTTCAGCAAATGCCATAAAGCGTTGTTCCTTGCCAAGCGAACTTCTAGGCATTTTCATATTCCCAGCAACCTCTTCAGAGTGCAAGAGCAGAAAGCTTGGTCTTGGGAAGACAACTAGCCTGAAGAGATTTATTTCTGCCTGTCTCCAGATCTCCTTGGGCAGTTAATTCCACAATAAATAATCACTGCCATTTACCAGGAATTTACTCTTTGCCTTCTTACTGGTCTGAGGAGTTAACATTCATAGTCTTATTTAATGCTCCCAATAGATCTATGTGGTAGGTGATGAAATATTCAATTTGTAGCTAAAGAATGCAGTTTGTAAAGGAGATGAGCGTAGCTGCAACCACATACAACCAAATACTAATATCCCTAACATATAAGTCAAATAAGGACAATTGAAAAATGGACAAAGGACACTAACATAAAATTCACAAATAAAGCAATACATAGATCCAATAAACACATGTGAAAGATACTCAGCCTTACTAGTAATCTACCACAACTGCCTAGGCAGTTAAAAACAACTCACAGCTTTTGGAACACTTCTTGATAGAATTGATTAAAGAAAACAATTTACAGCCAGGGAAGCCTGTAATTCCAACACTTTGGGAGGCTGAGGTGGGCAGATTGCTTGAGCTCAGGAATTCAAGACCAGCCTGGGTAACATGGCGAAACCCTGTCTCTACAAAAAAAATACAAAAATTAGCTGGGTGTGGTGGTGTGCCCCTGTAGCCCCAGCTGCTCAGGAGGCTGAGATGGTAGGATTGCCTGAGCCCAGGAGGCAGAGGTTGCAGTGAGCCGAGATTGCACCACTGCACTCTAGCCTAGGCAACAGACTCTGTCTCAAAAAAAGAAAAGAAAAGAAAACAATTTACTCCATAACAGAAAGGGTCATTTAAAGTAACATAAGTAAACCCCACAAGATGTGCTTGAGAACCCATGAAATTACGAACTGTTAAACTTCAATCAACAAGTCCGAGATGGAGTAGAAAAACTTCTCCCAATTCCCCCTGCTAAGTACAGCTAAAATCCTGGGCATTATATATAAAACAAACATTAGAAGACTGGAAGGTGAAAAGAAAAAGGAAAGCCCTCTAGAAACCTTGAGACCCAAGGAACATATACTCAAGCCTATATGCCACGTATGTAGCATCCTACAGGTGATTTCTCTGGGTGTTCTTATTGCATGCTTTATCTTGAATTGGTTGCTAGTGAAGCCGACAACCCAGAAATGTCAGTGGCAGCAGACAAAGAAAAGCCCCCAAGGGAAGCCTGCGCTCTCTAGCCAAAGGAGCAGAAAAGAAGCAGCCTAGCAAGACAGAAAACTTTGCAACAGTAATCACCATAGCCCAGCTAAACACCACAGAAAAATATACATTCCTACCCCAACTCATGTCGGCAAAGGCCAGGTGGGGTACCTAAATTTCTACCCTTGAACAGCAAGGATCAGAAGCCTGTACTGCGTCACTAGAGGCCACTTGGAATCCTGACTTCCAACCCTACCCAGTGGTGATGAGCTCCCCTTACCTGCCAGTGTTAGAGGAAGTCAAGGGGAAGTCAGATGTCTCAATTGCCGTCCGCTCCCTCCCCTCCTTGTTGGCAGTGAAGATTACTTGAGGAACACTAGCAAGATGCCTCTCTCCCAGCCTGGGTGCTACCAATAGAGGCCTAGTGGGAGCACGGATTCCCACTCCCACCCACCTGGCACTAACAAGGAGCCCCGCCTCCTCAAGGGCCAATGGCACCTGGACTTTCACCCCCACCTGACAGAAATGAGGCAAGACCCCCTCCCTCCCACCAGCATGATGTCAGAGGAGACCTACTAAATCACAAAATTTAGATAAAATACAGAGTTTCATAGCATAATACCCTCAATGTCCATTGCACAATATTTAAATCACTTATACAAGACCGGGAAAATCTCAACTTGAATAAGAAGAATCAATTGACAGGTGCCAAATCACACAAATGTTGAAACTATCTGAGAAGGATTTTAAAGCAGCCATCGTAAAAATGCTTCAGTGAGCAACTATTACACAAACATGCTTGAAATAAATGAAAAAATGGGAAGTCTCAGCAAAGAAGTAGAAGATATAAAGAAGAATCAAGTGGAAATGTCAAACTGAAAAATACAGTAATTAGAATTTAAAATTCTATGGATGTTTTTACTTCAGCAGAATAAAGAGAACAGAAAAAAGTATTAGTAAACTGGAAGATAGGACAAAAGAAATTATCCAACCTGAGAAACAAGGAAAAAATAGGCTGGAAAACACAAAAAATACAAAAAAATTAGCCAAGCATGGTGATGCACTCTGGCAGGCCCAGCTACTCGGGAGCCTGAGGCAGGAGGATCCTTGAGCCCAGGAGGTCAAGGCTGCAGTGAGCCATGATTGTACCACTGCACTCAAACCTGGCTGACAGAGGGATACCCTGTCTCAAAAACAAAAACAATTTTTTTAATTATTTGAAAATAGAATGTACAGTGTTTTTTCTGTTTTTTTTTTTTTTTTTCTGTATGTGTTTATTTATTTATTTATTGAGAAGGAGTCTTGCTCTGTTGCCCAGGCTGGAGTGCGGTGGTGTGATCTCGGCTCACTGCAACCTCTCCCTTCCGGGTTCAAGCAATTCTCCTGCCTCAGCCTCCTGAGTAGCTGGGATTACAGGCACGTGCCACCACGCCCAGCTAATTTTTGTATTTTTAGTCGAGACGGGGTTTCACCATGTTGGTCAGGCTGGTCTTGATCTCCTGACCTTGTGATCTACCTGCCTCAGCCTCCCAAAGTGCTGGGATTACAGGCGTGAGCCACTGCACCCAGCCGAATGTACAGTTTTACATTTAAAAGTCTAAAGTATGAATGAGTGTCTAGAGATGGATCAATTACCAAATCTCTTTAAGAGGTAGAAATATGGTCAGGCATGATGGCTCAGGCATACAATTCTAGCACTTTGGGAGGTTGAGGGGGAGGATTGCTTGAGGCCAGGAGTTTGAGGCCAGCCTAGGCAACATAGCAAGACACCATCTCTACAAAAAAATAAAAAATAAACATTAGCTGGGTGCAGTGGAGTATACCTGCAGTCCCAGCTACTTGGGAAGCTGAGGGGGGAGGATCCCATGAGCCCAGGAAGGCTGCAATGAGCTATGATAGCGCCACTGCAATCTCAAAAATAAATTTTTTTAAAGAAATGAAGTAGAAATATTGTATGAGCCAAGAAACACAGAAAAATTAAACATTATAATACAATAGGTAGGAAGCTTCTAAAATGCCCCCCAGTGATTCCCTGCAATTGAGCATGGTTTAATCTAGTGATTTGATTCTAATAAATAGAATATAGCAAAAGTGATGGGATGTCACTTCCAAGAATAGGTTGCAAAACACGACTTCCATCCTGCTTGTACTCCCTCGGCTCTTCTCGCTGGCTCACTCTGTTGAAGCTACCACATGCCCTATAGGGAGGCCCCTGTGGTAAGGAACTGAAGGCATCCTCCAACCAAGAGCCAGCAAGGAACTGAAGTCCTCATTCTAACATGGTGTGAGGAATTGAATCCTTCCACAACCAGATGAGTAGCTGGAATCATACCCTTCCCTAGCCGAGCTTTGAGATGGACTGTTGGACTGACACCAGATTGTGGCCCTGTGACGGACTCTGAGCCAGAGCAGAGTCCAGATTCCTGACCCATAGTGACTGTGACATGCTGCGTGTTGTTGTCATTTTAGGCCACGCAGTTTTAGGGTAATTTGTTACCCAGGAATAGATAACTAATACACAAACTATCTGCAAAACATGTACCAAGGTTAGGTTGTTTTAGGGGCAAGTCTTTAACATCTTCAAGAAGCAGGCCGGGCGCAGGTGCTCACTCCTGTAATCCCAACACTTTGGGAGGCTGAGACGGGTGGATCACGAGGTCAAGAGTTTGAGACCAGCCTGGCCAACATAGTGAAAACCCGTCTCTACTAAAAGATACAAAAATTAGCTGGGTGTGGTGGTGCATGCCTGAATTCCCAGCTACTCGGGAGGCTGAGGCAGGAGAATCCCTTAAACCCAGGAGGCAGAGGTTGCAGCAAGCCGAGATCAAGCCACTGCACTCCAGCCTGGGCGACAGAGCAAAACTCTGTCTCAAAAAAAAAAAAAAAAAGCTATCTAAAATCTAAATTTTTCCAGAGCACAGGCACAAACTGGCATCAATTTATGAAGTAATGTGGTTCATATTTTTCCTTTTGGGGGGAATGTCATATCTTTGTATCTGGATTATAAATTTGGAAGCTGGCCATAGAAAAAGAGGGATATAAGGAAACTTCCTTTATATAACAAACAATAAAGATCTATCTCAAGTGAACAATTAGCATTATATTTAATAGTGAATACCAGAACATTCTTATTAAATCAGAAATGCCTGCTATCACCACTATTATACTGTTCTGGGAGAACAAAAATAGAAAGTGTGATACAAGTGTTGGAAAGGTGGAGACATTATTATTATTTGAAGTTGGTATCTCTGAACACCAAAAAGAATCATGAAAAATTATTATAACTAATAAAGTAGTTCAGTAAGGTGACTAATGCTTATAGGTAGCAAATCTTCCAAAACAAAACTAGAGGAAAAAAAGTACTGAAGGAAATACAGTCAATATAAATTTGGCAAGTAAATAAATACAGATATGGCTAAAGACATGAGAAACTTGACTTCTCCAAGGAAGGAGAGAACGGTGAGCTAAACATGAGCATGAGAAAGCGAACACCTCGCTGCCTGCAGGAAGGGCACCATCGCTACTCAATACTCCCTCCAGCTGCGGCTCCAGTGGTTCTCCTTCTCAAGGACGTCCTGACAATGAAATGACCATGAAAGCTCGGTGCTTGGGAGGTGTTGCCATGTACTCTGGACACTCCTGATTTGCCCTTTGGTAAGCACCTTCACGTTGCACCCCATGACCATGTAACCCAGTGCAGGTCTGCATGCTCACCACTTGCAGAGTCTAAGGAAGAGTGAGGTCTTGTAGAAAGAAAATGATCCTATTAACCAAAATTAGTAAAGGAGAAGTGGCCAGATTCCCATCCAAAGCAGCCACTTTGATTTTTTGGAGGGAAGGCAGGAGTTTAAAAAAGGAAAACTTGATAAGGAAGGCATGCAAGGATTGTGCTGAGAACAATGTCTGCGTCTGGTGGTTATCTTGGGTCCCAGTCCGCTTGGATCTTGGGCTGGTGTCATCTCAACAATGACTAGGTTGTTAACTAGCCACCTTGAAGTAATCTCTGGAATTTTGCAGCTGAGTCTCCAGGCTGTGTCTGTCTCAAGATTAGCCCCTGGAACTTCTAAGAAGGCACACAGTTAGACACTAGCAGAAGGCTGGATAAACGTGAAGGGAGTATATACGGTGAGAAAGGGAGGGACATGGAGTCTGTTTTAAGGCTTAGGGAAAAGGCTCCTGCAGTTTGCTTCAAGGGTATATCTTGAAACCCAAAAGAAAAAGAAAAAATGTTTTAAAATGTATTTTGAAGTTAAGCTGCCCAGTTATAATCTAATGCCCTAGATCTGGGCAGCCACATGCCCGTGAACACCAAAGACTTGCTAAAGGGCGCATGCGCATGAAGCCACTTTGCCATCCTCCTGTTTAATGAGCCAAACTGCCTGAGGTGTTCTTTTTTCCCTCCTCTCTGCCTTCCCAATGGCTCCCCTCCACTCCCACTTTACACAGGAAAGCCATGCTTTCTGCCTAACTCTCTACAGTCACTTTCCTGGGATGTAAAACCCTCCCAATACTAAAAGAAAAGGGACAGTCCAAATACTGGTTTTCCTGGACCCTAAAGGCAGAATAACAAATCCTTTTGCAAGTCAGGTGGTTTTCATATCTTTGCTTTCAACAAAAATGAAGGATTTAGAAGCAGTGGTAAGGCCTGCTGACAGTCCCCTGAATGCACCATATTTTGCCTTTGTATAATAGAACCCTGGTGAATTTCAACAGGGGTTGTGGTCACTCAACTAAAGACTACATTTTCTTGGTCTTAATCTCAAAATGACTGGGAATGAGCTCTGCACTTTCCGCTCTCCTGATAGATGGACCATGGATGTGATACAGGTGAGCTGGCTTTGGCCATGAGGACAAGGGCCACATACCAGGCTATGTCTGGGACAAGGACCTTGGAGCCTGGACACCCTCAAGGCTCAAAACCACCTCTCTGCCCAGAACCAGTCCCCTCTCTTTGGACTGTCCTATGAGAAAGAAACTTCTATCTTGTTTTACCTCTTCTATCTTTGTTATGATTCTTTTTTTTTTTATAGTAGCATAGTCTGTACCCTGCTTACTACATCAGCTAAAAATAATTGAGTTTATCATTAAAAATAATTTTAAGGGGAACTTGGGGTCAAGGGAAAAGTTCTCTTTGGCCCTCTGAAGGCTCACTGAAAAATCAACTCACAAAAGTTAGACTCGTTGGAGAAAATGCATATAAATTTACTTAACGTGTATACACAGGAGCATTCAGAATGAAGACACAAAAATACCAGAGAAATTGGCCATTTTTATGCTTAGGTTCAACAAAGCATTGACCGCTGTGTAGAAGTTGGACAAAAAGGGTAGATCTAATGCGAATAGACTGTGCAGGGAAAGCCAGCAAGCCTTGTCTAGATTCTTCTTGGCATCTCTGAGCCACATTCCTTCCTTCTGGGTGTGGAGCAGGACCTGTTCTGGAATAAGGGTCTCATGACCTACAGTCAAACAAGGTAGGTCAGATCATTTCTTTACGGCCAGTTTTACACAGAAAGGCAAAGGGAAAGTTAGAGAAATATGTTTAGGTTTTGTGGCTGGCTTTGGAGAAAAGAGGTTCTCGTTTCTACGACTCACCGTGGGGAAGAGGGGTTCTAGTTTCCATGGCTATCCCTGGGGGAGAATGGGACTGAGAGACAGGCAGGCAGGAGAAGATCAGAGGAAAACTCTTGCTTCTGAGGCCTTCTTTTTGGAGTATTGTTTTCTGAGTCCCAACAATATCCTTCCCTGAATGTTTTCCCACCAAACTATTGTCCCAGTTAGGCCTTTCTCTTCACAATTCAATATCCTGAAGTCTCTATTCAGTCTTGCATTCACTCAATTTTTCATTTTGATTTTATTTTTGAAGTGTTCCTAAGTCCACATACATGAGTGATATATGAAAATATTCTCATTGTGAACATATCAAATACTCTAAAAACAGAGACAAATGTCAAAGCATTCCTCCACCCCACACTGCTCCCAACCTTTTCCCCATGTACTTCATGTGATTCCTTCCACACTTTTATCTAGTTATTTATGTGCATCTATGTTACATACATGGTTCCATGTTGCGTGGTACATCCCTTTCCCCTATAAGTTGCTCTGGAAGTCAATATATAGATATACACTTGCTTCATTCTTTTTGACCACTACATGGTGTCTTGTAGGAAAAATGTACCATAATTTCCTACTAATGGGCTTGCAGATTATTTATTTTTTTCCCTTTAAAAACTGTCTCTAGCCAGGCATGGTGGCGGGCACCTGTAATCCCAGCTACTCCGGAGGGGGAGGCAGGAGAATTGCTTGAATTGGGGAGGCAGAGGTTGCAGTGAGCTGAGATCACACCACTGCACTCCAGCCTGTGTGACAGAGACTCTATCCCAATAAACAGGTAGATGATAAATAGATAGAAGATAGATAGATGATAGATAGATGATAGATAGATAAAAACAGTATTGTAATGATCATCCTTTTATACACATCTATGCTCACATGAAAGTTTGTCTGAGAAGTGGGGAGTTAGCACAGCTGGCCCTTGATTTCGGTAAAGGAAATTCCTGGTAAACATGCTAAGAACTGAACCTCCTAGTAAACAGACAAATGGTATTTGCTGAGAGAACTCTTTATCTGTGGAATGTGCTTAGTAGGATATAGCTGGTTAAGGGTTGCTTACAGTAAATAAACTTAGAACTTATGGATTTGTGAGACAAGACTCCTAAGAGAAAGTCACAAAAACTATACCATATAGGGTATAAAATGCAATGTTTCCATACCTAAAGCCTCCCTGCTGAGTGAGAGGACCGCAACCCTTCCTTGAGATCTCATCTATTACCCTGGGCCACAGAGCAGGTGTCTCCTGTGGGAACGAGACCCTGGGAGGCATGCAGGATGATGCAGGCCTCTCCCTGCTTTGCCAGGGCTTTTTGATTCCTTGTGTCTTTGAAACTATGAGTAAAGCTTGATAGGGGTAAGATCTCTGATGCATGGAAGTCAGATTTGACAATCTGATCCTGTGTGTTAGTAGATTCCTGTTTAAGTTACCAAGTTGCCATCCAAGTAGGCTGTTTCAGTTTCTATTCCCACCAAGAGCGTAAGTTCGTTTCTCAATAATGTTGGTTATAGTTTCACCACCTGTGGGCCAATAACCCATTGCCATTTAAATCTGTATTTTTATTAGTATTATTTTTACATGTTTGCCGGCTCTTTGGATTTGTGTGTATGCAATTCCTGCTAATATTATTTGCCCCTCTTCTTTAGGTTAAATTTTCTTTTTCTTATTGAGAAACAGCAGAGTGTAAGTATGTGGATTCTGGAGTAGACTGAGTGCAAATCTGGGTCTGCCACTTGCTCAACGTGGGACCTCAGAAAAGTGAGCAAAACTTTAGCTTCAACGCTTATTTGATAAGGTCTTATGAAGATGATCTGAGATACTGCATGCAAAACACCAAGAATAACGCCTGGCACATAGTAAATGCTCACAGATAGCCAGTCATAGGAGCTCTTTTGTTTTTCTTTTACTTAATTCCCAATGTGATAACAGTGAACCACTTGTTGGTTCTTTTTATTTTTTTAATTTTGAGGTTTTTTTTTTTTTTTTTTTTAGAGACAGGGTTTCGTTCTGTTGTCCAGTCTGGATTGCAGTGGGGTGATCACAGCTCACTTGTAGTCTTCACCTCCTGGGCTCTAGCAATTCTCTCACTTCAGCCTCACGAGTAGTTGAGACTACAGTCATGTGCCAACATGTTCAGCTAATTTTTTTTTTTTTTTTTTTTTTTGTAGACAGGGCCTTGCTATGTTGCCCAGGCTGGTCTTGAACTCCTGGCCTCAAGTATTCTCCCATCTCAGCCTCCCAAAGTGCTGTGATTACAGGCATGAGCCACTACACTTGCATAGGAGCTCTGTTTTTTATCAATGCCTTATTAAATATGTTATAAATATTCTCCCTTTGTCTGTTGCTTAGTGTTTTGACTCTAGATATTTATCAGATTTTTTAACGCAATCAATTCTGTCATTCTTTTTCCATACAGATTTTATTGTAATCTGATTTTTTATCTGAACCATTTTGTTCAACTGACTGCTCCAAATTTCAATTCACATTTTCTTTATTCTGCTTTATGATTTTGTGGTCAGAATCTTTTTTTTTTTTTTTGAGACAGTCTCGGCTCACTGCAGCCTCTGCCTTCTGGGTTCAAGTGATTCTCCTGCCTTAGCCTCCCAAGTAGTTGGGATTACAGGCACGCACCACCATGCCCAGCTAATTTTTTATATTTTTGGTAGAGACAAGGTTTCACCATGTTGGCCAGGCTGGTCTCAAACTCCTCACTTCAGGTCATCCACCCACCTCAGCCTCCCAAAGCGCTGGGATTACAGGTGTGAGCCACCGTACCCGGCCAAAATCTTTTCTTCTTTGGTCTCACCAGACACCATTCTTGTTTTTCTTTCATAGAAGACAATCATTAGACTTGTCTTTTCTACTTTTCCCCTTAAGAACAGTGTTCAGGCCAGTCGTGGTGGCTCACATCTGTAATCTCAGCACTTTGGGAGGCCGAGGCAGGAGGATCATTTGAGGTCTGGAGTTCAAGACCAGTCTGGCCAACGCAGTGAAATTCCACCTCTACTAAAAATACAAAAATTAGCTGGGCATGGTGGTGTGTGCCTGTAATCCCAGTTTCTCAGGAGGCCGAGGCACGAGAATCACTTGAACCCGGGAAGCAGAGGTTGCGGCGAGCCGAGACTGTGCCACTGCACTCCATCCTGGAGGAGAGAGTGAGACCCTGTTTCAAAAAAAAAAAAAAAAAGAACAGTGTTCTTTTTTCTCTTTCTTCTCTTCCCACATCATATTCCCTGGATGATCTTATTCACTCCAATAGTTTCAACAATCCCCCTTAGGCAGATGACACTGGAAATCTTCAGAGTGACATTTTCTACTGTTTACGGAGTATTTCTAGCTTGAGGTCCCACAATCACCTTAAGCTAAATTTCTTCTAAAGTTGAATTTTATAAATACTATCTATATATTTAGATGATCTCTAAGGAATACTGTTATACTTTTTGTTTAACTTACAATAAATGGTATGTATAGAATATTTTTATGAACAGAAGAATATAAATATTTGTATGCAATATGTGTAGTGGCCTCTGGCAGGACATAAACATTGGTAAAAGTAGTTATGACAGTAGGAAAAGACTTGCTTTTTAACTTTACCTTCTTTATGCATTCTGAATTTTGTACCAAGCTTTTGTGCCCTTTAATGCCTACTCAAAAATAAATGCAAGTCTATAAATAAATACAAGGGACCTTCTTATCAGTCCCATCAAACCTATTCCCTGTTTGGCTGATGATATCACTCATCCATTCAGTATCTGCTAAAGACTTGGGAATTATACTCCCTATCCTCAAATGCACATCCAATTACCATATTCAGTTGAAATGCCTCAGAAATAGATCCTTCATTCACTTATGCATTCAATAGCAGCCCTAAGAACACACAATAAGCCAAACTGGGTAGAGAGAAAAAGATGGATGAGACATTGTCAGCACAGTACCCTCAAGAAGCTCCCAGCCCAGGGATGCAGAGCAACCATGCCACACATTGAAACAGTGCTTCCTAAACAACTGATTCCTTTAGACATTTACAGGTATTTATTTGAGTAAGAGCTCATAAAATATATTTTTATAATATGCACAAGAAAAAATACATTTGAATGAATAAAAAATAAAATGACAGGAGGTGACAGAATTTAGTGTTTATAAATGAGGTCATAAAGAACTTTAATAATTCAGAGAAGAAGTTCAAAGTGTATTTAAAAGTTGAGACCCTGCTTTACAATATTTTATAATTTTAAAAAAAGGCGTTTAAAGGTGATAGGTGACTTAATAATTTTCCACTTTCAAAATGGGTTTCTAGACACTGTTGTTCATGAACCAAAAACAAACAAACAAACAAACAACAACAAAACCCAAACACTTTGGCAAGCAAAGTATTATTAGTACATAGCAGCTTCATAACAGTTTACTTTTTTAATATAAAGATTTTTCAATTTACACTTGTAGGAGTAGAAAAAACTAATATGCTAAGTCTGTAAGCTACGCAGCAAAAATAATGATCTTAATGAAGCCAGAATTCTGTGAAAATGTGCACCACACTGCATATATAGTAGCTGAGTAAATGTAAACCATGTGCTTATTAACTCTTCTATATAAAATATTGAACCCCCAAGTCTCACACATTGCCTCCTATGTCCACATCACTTTTCTGAAGACAGCCTCATGCTTTAAGCCAATATATATTTGCTATTTGAAAAAGTTCTCATCCTCATTACTAAAAATGTTTCTGTAAAGGCCTTAGACATTTTTTTCAGTACCCTAGTAACAAGTCATATCACGATCAATAAATGATCACAGCCTTTCGAAAAAACTACTGAGATTGGAGAATGGGTTTCTGTCTCCAACCCCTGAAAGACGTTGCTGCTTCAAGACCTACAGCTCCAAGAAGACAACTCAGAATTTCTTACTTTTAAAAAAATATTGTCATGAATAACTGAATAATTAGATTTCTAGGAAAATGAGGCTTTTAAATTAAGATTTAGCAAAATCAACTATAATGTATTTACTTCTACTCATTGATGAATGACAGAAATCAGTTAAAGTTTTACATACAAAAGATATAAATACTGCATAATACGTAGTGAATATTGGCACAAACCCTTTCGTACTTAAAGCATAAAATGCAATCAGTAAATCTGATGCTCTTAAGTGTGTTTCTTAAGATGACATCAAAAACCTCTAGATAGCATGGAAATTTCCCGGTTTAAGGCTTTCCAATAGGTTTGTAGCAAGCATCAGGTTGCCAGAGGCGAATATCAACAAGAACTTGATTGAGTTTTTGCATCCAGAGATCCCGCTCTTCTTTAGTATCTGCAGACAGCCAGTTCCTACAGGAACAAACAACCAAAGAGGTCAGAATTCTTCTCCCTCCATTCCATACCCCCATGTACTCTTGCTAGGGAAAAAAATGACTAAATAAACCAGTAAATGAATTACCTTTAACCACCTTTTATGGATGCTAATCCACAGCCACTTAGTGAGGTGCATCTCCAAATAAAACAGAGGAAAATTATCCCCAGTTTGGTTAATTGATGCTAACTTACACTAATTACACTTGGTAAAGGATGGTGTTTCCAACAGGTGTTTTATACAGGTAGTGTGCGGCCTGGGTAACCTGATGGTATAGGACACCCACTGAGTGTGGGCAACTTCTCTGCAAGAGCACCTAAGGCCTGATTATAGGCACTCCCTGAATATGGGCACTCCCAATATAACCTTCAGAGTCAGGTTCTCCAAAAGCTGCAATCACAGACCCATGGACCTTCACCTGGCTCTACAGGTAATATTAGTTTGCACTGTGTCCCATTAGATTTGTCCTACTATATTAGTAGAACATGATTTTAAAATAAACTATCAAAAGATCCTAAGACTTTGTCTATCCTAACCTCTCTGTCCATATTAGGAATATTTTCCTTTCATCCATATTTAGCTACAAGTTGACTAAATAACTAGTTGATGGGGCAGGCCAGAGTAAGGAAGGGGGGATTCCCTACCTCATAGCCAGAACATGCTTCCAGAGAACAGCCAGCCATTAGGTTTTTATATTGCACTCATTCTACAACTTTTTAAGTTCTCCCCATTGGTACTAGAAATGGTGTAAACATGAATAAGTGAAGTTTACCACCTTCTGGTAGTCAATGAAGAAAATACTGCACTTATAATAGCCACCACTTGTTAAGCTCATTCCATGTACTGGAAACTGTGCTAAGTGTGTTTACTCATTCATCTCTGTTGTCTGAAGTCTCTGTGAACCTATTCTGGTTCAAGAGGCTAATAAAAATAAAAAAAATCTCTAGTCACTGTGGAGGTTATTTTTCCTTTTTGACACAAAAGATTTCAGAGGGCCAGCAAAGTTAAGTGACCTGCCATGGTTACATTTGATGAGTCAGGATTTAAACTTAAGTCCGTTGACTTCAAAGCTCCACTGTAACTACTGCCTCCCCATGTGATAAAACATTCTGGTTTCAATGTGTAGTCTCTATTTTGAAGTATGCAGTAGAGATCAGAAGAAAAATCTTTAGCATTGACAACAAGCTTAGTTAGTAGAAATGAAAATGAGGTACATTAAATTCAAGTAAAAGGCCTAAGTCCAAAAGGCCCAAGGCCCCGTAAGGAAACACATCAGTGAGGCAAAGGAGAATGCAGAACTGCAGAATGTTTATATTCTCACCATCAAAAAAGTAAAATAAATTTTAGGTCACCAAGCAAAGCTGAAGACTCAGCCAAGACTGAATTGAGAATGTACTACTCTCATATGCTTGGGCGAAGGGTACCCATCCAAGTTATAATTTTATAGTGAGAAAGACTACAAGTACATGAGGTACAGAGTAATTAAAGCAACATGTAATCTGCTATTTTTATCACAGGGGAAGGTCTACGGAGAAGTCTAAGAGAGTTTACGCAACCAGTAAAAAATAAGGTTATACAAAAAAATGTAAGTGATATTCAAAATGGCTGAAGTGGGCCGCTGTGGTCAGGAACTATTTGGATACTGCACTTTGGTTGGTTCCTCCACTGACCGTGACCATGGACACGTCGCTATCAAACAAAATGATTAGAAATCCATTTTGCCTGTCCTGCCCTGTCTGATTCCACCACTGCATAGAAGGCCCCTGAAATAATTGAGTTAAAATGAATAAATCTGGAAGTAATCTAGACATCAAAAATTTCCATCAAATGAGTCCTCTATCTAGCTATTTTAAAACAAATCGGCAGTCTCTGGGCAACTTTGTTCTATTTTAGTATTGTGTCTCCTGGCTGTAGCTTTCTAATATTTTCACATTAGAAACTCATAAAGCTAGTCCTACCAATCTCCCCCCATCTGCAATATCCAGCAACAGCCTAATTACCAAACATCTTATCAAATTCTAACTTTTGTCCCTAATGACAACTCTGTACACTGAAGTTGGTCTTCAAGCTTCTCTTAGGCATCCAAGCAAAGAAACCTATCTTAGAATCCTAGCAATAAGCCTTCGTATCTTACACTTGAGATCAGGGTTAATTAAAAAAGGGGCACTCCCAAAAGTTTTATTCTGTTAATCTCCATCCAGAAATTTGCAGAATAGAATGAGATTGTTTCTGTGAGTCATCTGATTACACGAGGGTATTCTGGGAATGGAAGGAAGGGATGTGTAAAGTCTCTTTGAATAATGCTTGACTCCTCAACTACGCATGAAATCTTTAAACTTAACCCAAAGATTATTATCTAACTGCCATGAAAATGCCTCCACTGTGAGCATACTGGAAAACATTAGCTAAGATACAACCTGAGTATTATACTTTCCTTAACTACATTAATTTAGTTATTATAGATGGTTCACTTACTGCTTTGTGTGTGTTTTGTTTTCTCACTAAGGCTGTGCCCTTTTCAACGTCAAGGACCATCTGTGATATTTCTCATAGTGGTAAGTACATAGTGGGCAATCAATTGCTTAGTTGATAGAAATATTTATAGGCCAATACATACTTGGTAACACAGAGTGTGTCCCTGCATTGGCTGACAAGAGTCTCTCGGTCATCTTCTCTTTGTGGTCGGACAGTAATTAATTCAAAAGTGTTGCGTCTTGCACAAAATTCTCTGTTGGCTGGTTCTATCTGACGACTGGTACAATTAGCCAGATTTATCCTTCCTATGGGATTCTTTAAAAACAAATTAAGAGAAATTAGTAGAAAATAAGACTATTTAAGTCAGTAAGCATTAAGCAGCATTTAAGTTGGTACAAATTAAATATTAAAAAGCTATTATTTAAAAGTTAAAATTTAGTTACACTGGGCTTAGAGAAACATATTTAACATTTATTATTGTTCCTAGCTAGACATAAAAATAAAACCCAAAAATATCAACTGGTAGCTCTTGCCAACTATCCTATAAAGCTCTTTATTATGGTGAACTTCAAATAAAAAATACAAACAACAGTATAATGAGCCCCAGGTACCAAAACCAGCTATAACAATGAGAAACACACTCAAGTGCCTTTTATCTACAACTTACCCACTTCTCCCCTTTCTATAAAAGGAAACCTAGACATTGGATTTCATGTGTAAATATTTCTTTATATATCTATGAAAGATAAGGGCAGACAACTGCCCTGGATTGTTGGCAGCCATGAATTCCTATGATACGAGTCAAAGTGGAGGAAAACATTCACGAGACCAAATGGTCCTGAAAATGGGAAAAGAAACACATATAGGCACACATGAGCCAACAGCCAATAAGTGTGTCAACTCTATTAGAATTTTTAAAAATAAAAATAGAACATACCAATTTAAAACCTTAGATTGGCTAAGTCTGGAAAAAACAGTAACAACCTCTGTTGATTGGTTAGGGAGTGAGTAATACAGTTTCTTATGCATCACTGGTGAAAGTATAATATGATCTATTACTCGTAGGCAACCTGATAACAGTAATCAAAAACCATTAACAATGAGCATTTTCTGATCCTACAGTTTCACCTAAATTTATCCGAAGCAAATATATAAATATGCACACACAGATTCTAATATGTGTAGTCACTGTTTTTTCATAATAGCAAAAAATTCCAAACAAATTCAATGACAGTAATAGGGGACTATTTAAATAAATCATGGTATTGTTTCCAGCAAATATGATACATTAAATAGTCTGAAAATCCTCCCATTATATAAGCCGCCAAATGCTAGATAATTAAATTGACAAGAAAGTAGAAAAATCCTTCAAAGGCCAAAATCAATGAGCAAGGGAGAATGAAGAATAGTAAGCTAGTCTGAAACCCTGACTTCCCTTGGGGCATTTGCCAACACTTAAGACCTGCAACCTAGAAATGACAGAATATAAATTCTGGTATTTGCTTTAAAACACCCTAGCAAAGCAACAAAACAAAACAAAAATGCATGTGTGTTGTGGGGAGATAAATGAAACCTGAAAACGAATAATTAATTAAGCTGAAAGTTCATTATACTATTTTTGCTTTGTGTACATTTGAACATTTTCAACTGTAAAATGCAAAACAGGGCTGGGTGCAGTGACTCATGCCTGTAATATCAACACTTCAGGAGGTGGAGGCAGGCGGATACCTTTGAGCTCAGTAGTTTGAGACCAGCCTGGCCAACATGGTGAAACCCCATCTCTACTGAAAATACAAAAACTAGCCGTGCGTGGTGGCGCTTGCCTGTAGTCCCAGCTACTCGGGAGGCTGAGGCAGAGAATCGCTTGAGCCCAGGAGGCAAAGGTTGCAGTGAGCCGAGATCGTGCCACTGCACTCCAGCCTGGGCAACAGAGCGAGACCCTGTCTCAAAAAAAAAGAAAAGAAAAAAGTGAAACATATATGTATATATATTTCCATGAGGTGATGGCAGGGGGTGTGTGTGTGTGCAGCAGTGTATGGAAAAAGCAAGGACCAAGAATAGTCATACAGTAGCCCCCCACTTATCCATGGTTTCACTTTCCATAGCTTCAATTACCCACAGTCCACCATAGTTGAAAAATATTAAAAGAAAAATTCTAGAAACAAACTATTCGTAAGTTTTAAACTGCATGCCATTCTAAGCAGCATGATGTAATCTCCTGCCATCGCACCTGGCATGTGGATCCTCCCTTTGTCCAGCGTATCCACGCCTTACCTGCTACCTGCTCAGTAGTCACTTAGTAGCGTTCTGAGTTATAGGATCAACTGAGATCAAGACCATCCTGGCTAACACGGTGAAACCCCGTCTCTACTAAAAAAATACAAAAAATTAGCCGGGAATGGTGGCGGGCACCTGTAGTCCCAGCTACTCGGGAGGCTAAGGCAGGAGAATGGCGTGAACCCGGGAGGCGGTGCTTGCAGTGAGCCGAGATCCCGCGACTGCACTCCAGCCTGGGCGACAGAGCGAGACTCCGTCTCAGAAAAAAAAAAAAAAAAAAAAAAAGATCAACTGCTGTAGTATGCAGTGCTTGTGTTCAAGTAGCCCCTATCTGACTTAATAAGGTCCCCAAAGTGCAAGAGTAGATATGCAAAGACAAACCATAAAGTGCTTCCTTTAAGTGAAAAGGTGAAAGTCTTCAACTTAATAAGGAGAGAAAAAAAATCGTATGCTGAGGTTGTCAAGATCTACAGTAAGAATAAATCTTCTATCCATGAAATTGTGAGGAAAGAAAAAGAAATTCATGCTAGTTTCGTTGTCACATCTCCAACTGCAAAAGTTACCACCACAGTAAATGGTAAGTGCTTAATTAAAATACAAAAGGCATTAAATTTGTGGGTGTAAGACATCAACAGAAACGTGTTATGACTGATGGCAAGTGGGTCTGGTACTTATCTATGGTTTCATGCATTCACTGGCGGTCTTGGAACGCGTCCACTAAGGATAAGGGGGAACTACTATACATTACTCCATAAGTTAGGAGACTGGCCTTAGCAGACATTAAGATTTATTTTAAAGCTACGGTCATTGAGATTGGGATAGGGAAACAGACCAAAGGAAACAGAACCGTGAGCCTAAAAATAAACCTACACATATAATGACATCTTGATACACATGAGAAATGGCATTGTGGATCAGTGAATGATACAGTTTTGATATTTGTCTTCACCCAGATCTCATGTTGAATTGTAATCCCCAGTGTTGGAGGTGGGGCCTACTGGGAGGTGACTGGATCATGCAGGCGGATTTCTCAAGAAATCCCCTTGGTGCTGTCCTCACAATAGTGAATGAGTTCTCGCATGAACTGATTGTTTAAAAATGTTTGGCACCTCCCCTTGCTCACTTGCTCGCTCGCTCGCTCCTGCTTTTACCATGTGATGTACCTGCTCCCACTTCATCTTTTGCTGTGAGTAAAAGCGCCCTGAGGCCTCCCCAGAAGCTAAGCAGATGCCAGCATCATGCTTCCAGTACAGCCTGCAGAATCAGGAGCCAATTTAAAAATTACCCAGTCTTGGGTATTTCTTCATAGCAATGCAAGAATGGCCTAACACAGTGGGGAAAGAACAAACCATTCAATGATGCTGGCCCAATTGGTTATTCAGATGAAAAAAAAAATCAATTCTAGGGAAATTAAATGTGAAGTATAAAACTCTATAACTTTAGAAAGAGGTATAAAAGAAATCTTTGACTCCAGGATAAGGATAGTTTCTTAAATTAGACCCTAAAAAGCACAAAGCAATAGACTAGCAGGTCTGATTACCTTAACATTAGAAAAGTCTGTGCATGAAAAGACACTATAAAGATAAATTAAAAGATACGCCAGGCCTAAGACTAGGGAAATATAATTGCAATGCATCAAAAAATATTAAAATGAATAATATAGAGACAATCAGTTCATACGAGAGAAAATATAAATGGCCATACACACTCTTATGCTTAGAAAAGATACTTAGTCTAGTAATCAAGAAGATACAAAATTTTTTTAAATAAGAGTATATTTCACATCTATCATACTGATGGAAGTTTAAAAGGCTGACATATGATGTATTGGTGGGAATATGAAAAGCTGAGAACTTTCAAATACTCCTGGTGGGAATGGAAAATCGTACAACCACTTTTGAGACTCATTTGACAAAATCAAGTTGTAGATGTGCAAACCCTACAACCCAGCAATTCTGCTACTAGGTAACATTCAAAAAAGAACTCTCATCCATGTGTACAAGAAACTAAATCTTCCTGCATGTGGGCTGTAAAAGGTACAAACCAAAACAAAATGAGAAGAAAGTGAATCACAGCAGCATTGTCTGTATACAACAATTTAGAAATAATCTAAGGGTCTCTAAACAGGAGAATGGATAAATTGTAATGTGCTCTTACAAAAGTATACTATACAGAGAAGAGGGGACAATCTAAAGCTACACATACCACCCCAGACAAATTTCACAAACCATACTGACCCAAAAAAGGCAAGTTGCAGAATAATACATACAATATGTTATTATCTGTATAATGTTTAAAAACATGCAATTGCAGCAACATATATTGTTTATATACATGTACAGGTTAAACATCCAAAATCTGAAAATCTTGAAATCTGAAATGCTCCAAAATCCAAAACTTTTTGAGAGTCAACATGATGCTCAAAGGAAATGCTCATTGGAGCATCTCAGATTTTGAATTTTTGGATTAGGAGATAATTAATTGGCACGTATAATGCAAATATTCCAAAATCTGAAAAAAAAAAAAAAAAAAAAAAAAAAAGAATCCCAAATCTGAAACGCCTCTAAATCCCAAGGATTATGAATAAGGGATATTCAATCTGTATAATAAAAATTTAAATAAGTGCATGGGAACAATAAACAATTTTAGGGTAGAAGTTATCTCTGCGGGAGAGAGAATTACATGGGGAGCTTCAACTGGAATAATAACACAGAGGTTGATGAAATTATTTTACGCCCTTTTGGATGTCTCAAACATTTCACAAATTTTTAAAATATTAATAATTGTAATGACTACAGTGTAACACACATAGCTATCCAACACAGCATTAGACTTATCTTTACTGATGCTGAAAGATGTTAGAATATTTTATCAAGTAAAAAATCAGATTATAAAAAGCATGCTTTTCCTTTTAAAAAGATTCATAAATGAATAATTATTATATATTATACATTTTAAAAGTTTGAAAACATATCTAACCAAAATATGAACAATAGCTATGTCTATTATGGATGATTTTCCTTTTTAATTCTGCTTATTTCTATTTTCCAGTTTGGGGATAATAAATAATGTTACTTGGGCAATGATATTAACTTCTTTAAAAACATGATATATTACACAAAATCCTATTATTAAATTTTAGAAACAAAATACAAACCACTGTTCCTGTGGGTGGGTTTCCATTACTGTTTTACCCTAACTAACAAGATAAAAAATTAAATTTAAAACATTTCCAACTTCAAATGTCAACAAAAAATATAATTAAACATCCAGTAGAAAAGAAGGAAAAATATACATGTTAAGGTATTTTAAGAGTGGTCAAATCATAGGGAATGGATAGGATATAAAAATTTTAAAGGATTATCACACACACACACACACACCTACAACAAAAACATTTTTTTTTTTTTTTTGAGATGGAGTCTTGCTCTGTCGCTCAGGCTGGAGTGCCGTGGCGTGATCTCGGCTCACTGCAACCTTGGTCTCCTGGATCCAAGAGATTCTCCTGCCTCAGCCTCCTGAGTAGCTGGGATTACAGGCACCTGCCACCACACCCAGCTAATTTTTGTATTTTTAGCAGAGACAGGATTTCGCCATGTTGGCCAGGCTGGTCTCGAACTCCTGACCTCAGGTGATCTGCCCGCCTTGGCCTCCCAAAGTGCTGGGATTATAGGCGTAAGCCACTGCGCCTGGCCAACAAGAACATTTTTAATGGCTTAGTGAGTACACAAAAAGGGTTATTAATTTGGGTGAGTGATGGGGGCCAGAGGGAACATTTGCATGAACACTACACGAAAGTCAATCAGGGCTTTCACCACTAAACAGTACTATATAAATTACCTTGCGTTTCTCATCATCTGGATAAGTCCAATAAGATATACAGTTTCCAGAAAGAACACACCATCTTCGATGCCAGGCACCAAAACCACTAACATCTTCAAATATGGTCTGGAAAAGTCAGTTGAAATGCTGGCTTTAGAAAGTTGAGGAAAATGTCCTAACAATGAAATGCTGATTCTGTACACTAACTGTAGTATGTTGACATATTTCATATCTCAAAACCTATTTGTATGTTTTTTTATCATGTCTTTTATCTTAATAATAAAAATCACTGATTATTCATATCAGAAATTTACTTCAACATCATCTACAAGCATTTAAAAACATTCAGATATCAACCCTAAATTAAATACCTCTACCTACTTTAAGACTTTTAAAAAGTATAGTGTCCCTAATCAAATGCTCCTTAAACAACAGAAATGCCTCAAGTGTTGGAGAATTAATAATACAAAATTACCATACCTTATATATTTTAAAAAATTAATGATAACATATTAAGTTAAACCTATCTTAATATGCAAGACTGGCATTTAATCTTTATTCAGGAGATCAAGTTTTCTAACAGGATTAGAAAAGAGTTAACTTATGATCATAAGCCTTGGTCAATAACCATGATAAACATCAAAACTCCAAGCCCACTGCTGGGCCGTGAGACACGCTTGAAGTGGTGCCTCCCTGCCATCAGGCGTTTGTCCTTAGGGATGCTAGCTATATGCTAAAGGTAGGCAAGGCAGTAGTGCTGGATAGAAACAGGGCTCCAGAATAGGCAACTAATAACATCTGGTTTTGTTCCACGGAAGCACTTCCACTTAAACAGGGTAAGTAGAAGCTAAGAGTTTTTCCCCCACTATTTTTTAGTTATAGTCATAACAGAGCCCTAATCTATATAGAAGCCCTCACTTTTAATTTAAAAAAAAAAACAACAAACAAAAAGGCCAGGCGCAGTGGCTCACACCTGTAATCCCAGCACTTTGGGAGGCCGAGGCGGGCGGATCACGAGGTCAGGAGATCGAGACCGTCCTGGCTAACACAGTGAAATCCCATCTCTACTAAAAATACAAAAATTAGCCAGGCGTGGCGGTGAGCATCTGTAGTCTCAGCTACTCAGGAGGCTGAGGCAGGAGAATGGCGTGAACCCGGGAGATGGAGCTTACAGTGAGCCAAGATCACGTCACTGCATTCCAGCCTGGGTGACAGAGTGAGACTCCGTCTCAAAAAAATATATAAAAATATAAATAAATAAAAATTAAAAAAAACAACATTCATCTGGGAACTTCTGTGTTAAAGAACAAAGCAAGGTAAAAACATAACAATGCTGTAGATCAGGGAAACCTTTTCTATAAGGGCCAGAGAGTAAATATTTTAGACTTTGGGCCATACGGTCCCTGCCACAGCTACTCAGCTCAGCTGCTGTGGCACAGAAGCAGTCACAGATGCTAAGTAAGCAGATCAGCCTATGTTCCAATCAAAGACTATAAAAACAGTCAGTGAGGGCTGCTGTGCTGCCCTCTGATACAGATGATCCAAAGGCATCTTTGCGTTTGATTTTAGATTACCTTCATATTCCAACTTTACTTCTCTGATTGTTGAGAAGCTAAGAATAAACTAGTATTACTTGGTTGTTGCTGTGAGGAACCATTCTAAGCATATCTTTAAATTATCTCAACTACTCCTCTAAGTATTTTTAAATTATCTCAACTAGTCCTTACTCCAACCCTATGACAATAGGATATACACTCTTCTCAATTCACTGTTTTATGTAAATTTCCCAAAAGGTGGCTTGAATCAAGAGTCTAATTTCTGGCCATGACGTGTGGGAGCAAATGTTACCAAGCTAGATTGACACCTCAGATTAATTGGCTTGCTCCAACCATATGCTCTCCTGCCTCACCTTTTTCCTCCTCCCCTAATCCTTCCATTTTCCTCCCAAAGCAGCCTTTTTCTAGGCAACACTGCTTACAGCTCCCCAAGGAAGAAAGAAAGGAATGTCGTTATTTCAATCTCAAGCATGAAAGTTAACACAAATCACTCACCAGCTCCCTCCTGTGTTAACGTTCACCTTTTACATCATAAAGGTAATAAACAGACAAGGTAACTTTTGATAAACAAGATTAACACCAGCTATTATGACATCATACTATAATCAGAGAGGAATAAGAAAAGGACGGCCTTTTCATTTCTATAGCTGAGGAAACAGAGGGCCAAGGAAATTAAGTGACATCACACAGACCACAAAAATTGAACCTTCTGGCTGCCAATCCAGAGCGCCTGCCTCTTGCTGCTCCTCAGTGGAGGCAGAGCTAGCCCGGCACCCTGTCAGAACCACTTACCTGTCTCTTTGGTTGGAGTCGCCCTCCTCCAGGGCAGCCCTGGCACATCAGGAAAGGAAGCTGAGCTGAGGAGCTTACATTTCCATTACTACCTCTAATTTTTTATAGGGGGTAGAGGCAATTAAAATGCAATGTTTAGGCAGAGGACAGAAGTTATGTCGGGGAATCCAGAGCTCTTTCTTACTACATTTTTGTAAGTGTGAATGTGAGAAGAATGGGCTACAGGATTCAAGACAGAGTAAACTTGAAGAGATCTAACAAGCTCGTTAAGAGCCCATCTAAAAAACTAATTAGGTGAGACGTTATATGCAAATGGACCAGCTATCTTAACAGAGCCTATCCATTGCTAAAGGCATCAACAATAAAATATAAAAATGTTTACATGAAAAGAAAAGGTCATTAGGCAAATACTGCCTTCAAGTCAGAAATTTACACTCTTCCAAGACTATCTAGTGCCACCTGCTGGATTTATATGTGATAAAACCTAATAAGGAAGGAAAAAATACTGTTAATAAGTAGCAATTCCCAATCCTTGGGAAGTTGGCTACAGTTACTTAGACCACCGGGCTTTCCTTAATATCTAGCTCTTCTTTCTGAACCTTTGACAGCAGTTACAAACTGACTTGTAACATCCCTTGCATCATTCAAGTTCTTGCTTCACAGAGAACACCAAAGCAAGTGGATTTTCTCTACTTCTTGTACCATACTCACAATCTTCTATGCATTCTACACACATACTTTCCTCCTCTGATAATGAGAAAACTGTAAATTCTGTATCAAATAAATCCTGTGAATTGTGGCTTGGGCTTAATTCTTCCCATTCTCATGACCTTGCTCTATGAATTACCCCATAAGCCCTAGATCAGGTCCTCCATGGCCTCTATCTTCAATCTCTTTGGCCCTATTAGAAGCTACCCATCTACATTTAAAGCCGCTTACGTCTCTCCCATCTTAACAAAATGTTGACAAAATCCTCCTTTCACCCTACATACCTCTGCAAGCACAACACTCTTCTCTCCTTACTCCTTCACTGCCAAAGTGTTTCCAAGAGTTTCCAAGCTCCTGTGCTCATTCCTCATCTCCCACTCACTCTGGACCCATTTGCAGTCTAGCATCTGCCCTCACCTGCGCCAGAATGATCACCCAATAATAAGTCCAACAGTCCTAACAGAATCTGATCTAACTCAACCACTCCCTCCTTTCAATGTTCTCTTCTATTGACAACCATGATGCTAGATTCTCCGTTTCTCTCCCTGCAGTCTCCTCTGAGGCTTCCCTCCTTCCATCCGTCCTTTCAATGCTGGCACTCCTCCAGTGAGTTGGCTCTGCTTCCCTCACTTGCCCTGGGCTTCCCCATGCTGCAGATATCCACATCTTTACCTCTACTAAATGTCTGTCTTGAGCTCCAAACCCAGAACTTTCACACATGTTTCCAGGCATCTAAAATTCAAATCACGTAAAACTTAACTCATTAAAATTTCCCACATTGGTGGGAACTGACTAGTCTTCTTCGGGTTGTCATTCTCCAATCTGCTTTCCACATTGGTCAGAATGATTTTCTCAATCCCAAGTTGGATAATTTCCTCTGCTTAAAATCCTGTAAGAGTAACTCGCTGACTCTAGGATAAAGTCCAAATTCTTTAAAAGGCCCTTGAACTCTTGCCCCATTTCCCCTAACCACACTTTCCTCCTCATTCCCCACCCACCAATCACATGCATGCCCTCAAACTCTAAGCTCTAGCTATCCTGAAATACCTTCCACTGTCTGCATGTGTCATTCTTCTTTTCTTTGGGTAGGAGTGACAAAGAAGGGCCCTTCAAGCCACTGTACATTCTCCCCCTATCTGGAGCACTTCTCATCTTTCTCTCAGATTAACTTACTCAGTTTAGAAATTACTTCTCTCAGCAGTTCCCTTTATCCCACCCCACACACAGTCAAGACCTGGTGTCCCACCAATTGACACCGATGCACCCTGTTTTCTCCTATTAGAGTATTATATTGTGCTTGTCTGTTCGTTTGTATTTCTCTCTTCTAAACTAAAAACTCATGAGCAGAGGAATTATTTTTTGTGGTCTTTTACATTCCAATGGCAGCACAGTGATTGGCATATAAAGGACATAAAACAAATCTTTACTGAACCAACTTATTACTTAATCACAAAGGATTTCATTCCTATGGGAAACAAGTCTGTATTTCACAAAATGGAAAAAAGGAAGTTAAAGACTAAGTGATGTTACTTACTAGAAAACCTCTTTCTTCAACACTGGAATTCACTTGACATTTTATTTTTAAATAAATATGACCTTCCAAAGAAGATAAAAAGGGGACCTGCAAAGAAAACAGGTAAATTATTTGCAAAACAGGTTCAAAGTGTGATTTTTCTTGATAAATCATGTATAAATCATGAACAGAGACTATTACAACTTGAAAACAGAGCATTTTCTAAAGTTGGAGTATAAAAGACATGGCCAAAAAGCCATTGGTTCCTTACCAACAAATACTTTTGAAGAATAAATTCATTTAAGGTAAAGCTTGACAAAACCAAAAGCCCTAAGTCTCAAGTTAATGTGAGAAAGAAAACAGACGACAATATTTGGGTTTATCTATTCTCCATCAACAGGAGAATATACTCAATAAGAGACTGATAAACCAACCTGTAAATTCACACCACACAATACCACCCAGCAATAAAGAACAATAAACTGCAGATATGGAAAAGCCAGTCCTTGAATTCATATGTAATTGCAAGAGACCCCAAACAACCAAATCAATCTTGAAAATTAAGAACAAAGTTGAAGGAATCATATTTCCCAATTTCAAAACGTAACGCAAAACTTTGGTAATCAAAGCAGTGTGGGCTGGCTGGACATGGTAGTTCACGCCTGTAATCCCAGAACTTTGGAAGGCCAAGGAGTGAGGATCACTCGAACCCAGGAGCTCATGACCAGCCTGGGTAACATAGCGAGACCTCGTCTCTATTAAACATGAAAAAATTAGCCAGGTGTGGTGGCAGATGTCTGTAGTACCAGCTACTTGGAAGGCTGAGGCAGGAGGATCACTTGAGTCCAAAAGTTTAAGGTTGCAGTGAGCTATGATCATGCCACTGCACTCTGGCCTGGGCAAAAGACCAAAACCTTGTCTCAAAGAAACAAAATCAAAAACACCAGTGTGGTGCTGGCATAAGAACAGACATATGGACAAAAGAAATGGAATTGAGAGACCAGACATAAAGCCATACATCTTATGGCCAACTGATTTTTGCCAAGGATGCCAAGACCATTTAAAGCGGAAGAGCAGCCTTTTCAAAAAATGGTGCAGAGAAAATTAGATATCCACACCCACCAAGAGTGATGGTGGACCTTCACCTCATACCATTTATAAAAATTAAACCCAAATGGATAATATCCTAAGTATGAGAGCTAAAATTATAAAACTCTTAGAAAGGCTGGGCGCGGTGGCTCACGCCTGTAATCCCAGCACTTTGGGAGGCTGAGGCGGGTGAATCACCTGAGGTTAGGAGTTCAAGATCAGCCTGGCCTTGAAGGGATTTCACCTTCAACATGGTGAAATCCCATCTGTACTAAAAATACAAAAATTAGCCAGCATGGTGGCACATGCCTGTAATCCCAGCTACTCGGGAGGCTGAGGCAGGAGAATCACTTGAACACAGAGGCAGAGGTTGCAGTGTGCCAAGATTGTGCCATTGCACTCCAGCCTGGGCAGCAAGAGTGAAACTCTCAAAAAAAAATTTTTAAAATAAAATAAAATAAAATAAAACTCTTAGAAAGAAAACATAGAGGTAAAGCTTTGTGATCATGGATTTAGCAATGGATTTTCAGATATGATACCAAAGGCACAAGCAACATGAGGAAAAAATAGATAAATTAGACTTCACCAGAATTAAAAACCTTTCATTACTACAGAGGTTCCACAAAAAAAAAATGAAAAAATAAAACTACCATATAACCCAGCAATCCCACTTCCAGGTATTTATCAAAAGGATTGAAATGGGTTCTTGAAGTGCTATCTGCACTCTCACGTTCATTGCAGCATTATTCACAATAGCTAAGAGATGGAAATAATCTAAGTGCCCATCAATAAATGAAGAGGCCAAAAAAATGCGGTACATACATACAATGAAAAATTCTTTAGCATAGAAAAAGGAGATCCTGTCATATGCTACAACATGAACAAACTTTGAGGACATTATGCTAAATGAAATAAGCTAGTCAGAGAAAGACAAACACTACACGACTCCACTTATCATGAAGTATCTACATTTGACCTTATCCAAAAGGCTGAAAAGCAACATATGAAATCTTTAAAGTAGCCAACCTCATAGAAGCAGAAACTACAGTGGTGGCTGCCAGGGAGTGGGGAGGAGAATATGAGGAGCTGCAGTTCCACGAGTACAGAATTTCAGTCATGCAAAATGAAGAAAATTCTATAGATCTGCTATATAACATAATGCTTATAGTTCACAATAATTCACTGTATACTTAAAAATTTCTTCAAAAGATAAATACCATGTATTATTTACCATAATAAAAAAAATTATAGACCTTTGCACATCAAAGCACTTTATCAAGAAAGTGAAAAGACAGTCTATGGAATGGTTTGAAATATTTGTCAATTATATATCTGATAATATCCAGAATATACAAAGAAAACTCTTACAACTCAGTAACAAAAAGACAACCCAACTAAAACAACTCAGACAAACCAAACTGAAAATTTGGCAAAGGACTTGAATAGACATTTCTTCAAAGATACACATTTTGTCTTCCAATGAGCACATGAAAAGACATTTAACATCAACAGTCATTAGGGAAGTTCAAATCAAACCTACAATGAGGAACCACTTCACACCCACTAGGATGGTTATAATTTAAAAATAAAACGAACAGAAAATAAACAATGGAAAAGATGTAGGAAAATGGGAACCCACATTAATGGTAGAAATATCAAATGGTCTAGATGCTTTGAAAAAGAGTTTAGCAGTTCCTAAAAATAATTATCACATGATCCCACAATTCTGCTCCTATGTATATCCTATGTATACGTACAAAAGAACTGAAAACAGGTACTCAAATCATGCACACACATGTTCAAAGCAGCTCTATTCACAATAGGCAAAATGCGGAAACAGCCCAAATATCTATCAATGAATGAACAGATAAATGAAATGCTGTATATACATATAATAGAATATTATTCAGCCATAAAAAGAAATGAAGTTCTAATACATGCTACATCATGGATGTACTTCCGAAACATTACACTAAGGGAAATAAGCCAGACATAAAAAGTTACATATTGTATGATGATCCCATTTATATGAAATATACAGAATAGATATGTCCATAGAAACCAAATGCAGATTGATGGTTGTCAGGGGCTCGGGGGAGGGAAGATGGGCAAAGACTGCTTAATGAGTAAGACTTTTTACTTTTAGAGACATAAAAATATTTCGAATTAGACAGAGGTATTTTGAACAACATTGTGAATGTACTAAATGCCACTGAATAGTTTACCTTAAAATTGTTACTTTGGTTACATGAATTTCATTTCAATACATTATTTTTTGAAAACAATGAACTACTAACATAAACAGCAGCATGGATAAATCTTTTTTTTTTTTTTTTTTTTTTTTTTTTTTGAGACGGAGTCTCGCTCTGTCGCCCAGGCTGGAGTGCAGTGGCGCGATCTCGGCTCACTGCAAGCTCCGCCTCCCAGGTTCACGCCATTCTCCTGCCTCAGCCTCCCGAGTAGCTGGGACTACAGGCGCCCGCTACCACGCCCGGCTAATTTTTTGTATTTTTAGTAGAGACGGGGTTTCACCGTGTTAGCCAGGATGGTCTCGATCTCCTGACCTCGTGATCCGCCCGCCTCGGCCTCCCAAAGTGCTGGGATTACAGGCGTGAGCCACCGCGCCCGGCCATGGATAAATCTTAAAAACATCACGCTGAGCAAAAGAAATTAGATTCAAAAGAGTACACATTCTTTGATTCCACTTAAATGAAGTTCAAGCCCAGGTATGGCGGCTCACATGTGTAATCCCTGAACTTTGAGAGGCTGAGGCAAGAGGATCGCTTGAGCCCAGGAGTTCAAGACCAGCCTGGGCAACATACTGAGACCCCCCCCCCACCATCTCTATTTTCTTTTTTAAAAGATAAAAATAAAAAATAAAAACAATAAATGAAGCTCAAGAACAAGCAAAACGAATCTAGGGTGAAAACAGAGATGAGAAGAATGGTTGCCTGTAGTGGCTGGGATTGACTAGATGGGAGTGATGGAAATGTCCCTTATCTTGACTAGGTTTTGGTTATATAGGTGTATTCATTTGTTAAAACTCACTGAATGCTACACTTAAGGTGTCTATAATTAACTGAACATAATCTTTTTACAACTATATTGAGTACAATAAATTGAACATATTTAAAGTGTAGGGTTTGATGAATTTTGATATATGTATATTATAACCCATGAAACCTTGACCACAATCATAATAATGAACATTTCCATCACCCTCTAAAGCTCCCTCCCATAATCCTGCCTCCATGTATTCCCATCTCCAGGAAACCAATGATACGCTTTCTGTTGCTATAGGTGATTTTTCATGCATGTCCATTTACACAACAAAAACAAGTGTTTTGTTTTGTTTTGTTTTTGAGACAGAGTCTCATTCTGTTACCCAGGCTGCAGTGGCACAATCTTGGCTCACTGCAACCTCCGCCTCCCAGGTTCAAGCAATTCTCGTGCCTCAGCCTCTCCTGTAATCCTGGGGTTACAGGCATGCACCACTACACCTGGCTAATTTTTGTATTTTTAATAGAGATGGGGTTTCATCATGTTGACCAGGCAGGTCTTGAGCTCCTGACCTCAAGTGATCCAGCCGCCTCGGCCTCCCAAAGTGCTGGGATTACAGGCATGAGCCACTGTGCCTGGCCAAAAAGAAGTATTTTTAAAGAAAAGGAACCTAAACATGTAAGAAAATATTCTTAGCAACTTAGCAGAGGAGCAACCTTGCCATAAGCAACAAATTTTGCAGGGAAAAGGAGAAACCAGTTGAGCCTTCAATGGTTGAGCCCAGGCTGAGGTAGACAGGCATCTCAAGAAGCAGAGGCAGAGCTAGCTCTCCCTACCTGCCAATTCTCCCCAACAGGAATTTTGCTGAGAAGTGATGGTTGAAGACATGTCTAAAAAGCAGAGAGAAATCTTGTAGACGTGCAGTACTTAGATCTCAAAGTTCTGCTCAAAAGTGGGGCCTGAAACCATTCTCAAAGCATTTAAAACAAAACTTGAACCAAATCTATCCATAGCCTAATTTCAGCTGTTTCTGATTACATAAGAGACCAGTCCCTAATCTATACTGTCTGAAAGACAAAAGAACAAGGTATTACCTATTTCAGTCTCTACTGTTCTTTTATAATATAATATCTGGCCTACAGTTAAAAAATTACAAGACATGTGAAAAAGTAGGAAAACACGGAGCTTATCAAGGGGAAAAAAATCCTGTCAATAGCAGATCCACAGATGATCTAAACGTTAGAATTAGAAAACAAAAACATTTATACAACATTAAAATATTTAGATGAAAAGATGGAGAAAAATTAGTGAGAAAATGGAGAACTTCAGCAGAGAAATTGAAACCATAAAAAAAATCCAAATGAAAATTTCAGAACTAAAAAAAAGTCTGAATTTAAAAATGCATTGGCTAGGCTTCAAAGCCTAGATCACATCAAGAAAAAAACAGGTGAACTTGAAGAACTGATAAATAGAAACCATCAAAAATGAAGCACAAAGAAAAAAAGAATTAAATGAAAACCAAAAAGAATGTCACAGACCTGTAGAAAAATAGTCAATAGTCTACATTAACTGGAGTTTCAGAAAGGAGAGAGCAGGGCAGAAGAAATAACTTTAAGAGACAATGGCTGAGTATTTGCTAAGACTTATAAAACAACTAATTACAGATCATAAAGCTCAGTGAAACCAAACAGGATAAATACAAAGAAAACTACACGTAGGCACATTAAAATCAAACCGTTAAAAATGCAAAATAAAAAAACAGAAAAGAATGATGGCTGGCTGACTTCTTATTAGAAACAATTAAAGCCATAAACAATAAATTAACAACTTTAAAGAATTGAAAAGATAAAAACCTGTCAATTTAGCAGTCCCAGTGACAATATCCTTCAGAAATTAAGGCAATATAAAAATATTTCTGGACAAACAAAACCTAGAGATTTCATTTCCAGCAGAACTATATTACAAGAAATAATAAAGACAGTTCTTCTTGACAGGACAATGACTTCAGATGGAATTCTCAATCTACAAGAAGGAAGAACACCAGAAATGGTAAATATAAGGACCAGTTTATAAAAATATAAAAGTTTCTTTTAAAAATTGATTCAAGAGGCTGGGCACAGTAGTTCACAACTGTAACCCCAGCATTTTGGGAGGCAAGGCAGGTGGATGGCTTGAGCCCAGGAGTTCACGGCCAGCCTGGAAAACATAGCAAGACCCCATCTCTTAAAAAAGAAAAAAACTGATTAAAGAAAAAGTAACAACAGTGCATTGTGTGGTTTATAACAAAGAAGTAAAATATACTGGGATGGGAAAATGAACTATACTGTTGTGAGGTTCATATTGTAAGTTACATGAAGCAGTGTAACAGTATTTCAAAATAGACTTTAATAAGGTAAGGATGCATACATTATTTCCTACCAACGCCTTAAAAAACAAAAACAAAAACAGGTAAGTATAGCTAAAAAATCCAAAAGAGGAGATTAAAAAGGATTACCAAAATACTCAATTAATCCAGAAGAAGGCAGGAAAGGGAAAACAAAGCAGTAAAGAACAGACGAAACAAATAGAAAACAAATAACAAAATGGTAGACTACGAGTTGGCAAACGTTTTCTATAACTTACACAGACTGTACATGGCACCATTCAGTCAGGAGAAATGTAAACAAATATAAAGATGCATTTTTTGTGAAATACATTTTGATCTTATATTGAAAATACAGTTTTTATGTGAGTGCAGGATTGCTATAAGAAAGACACACCTATAGACTCTAATATAGGATTAAAGGAAGGTGAAGGATCTTCAACTTGAATATTTAATGCCAGCAAAGGATGGTTTGATAATTTTAGAAAGAGGCTTTAAAAATGTCAAGATACAACAGAAGAAGCAGCTTCTACCAAATGAGACAGGAGATGAGTTCCCAGACACCATTAAGAAAATCAGTGAAGAAAAAGGATATCTGCCTGAACAAGTTTGTTTTTTGTTATTGTTTTCCAAAACAAGGTCTCACTCTGTCACTCAGGCTGAAGTGCAGTGGCGTGATCATAGCTCACTGCAGCCTTGAACTTCTGAACTTCTGGGCTCAAGCAATTCCCCCATCTCAGCCTTCTGAATAGCTAGGGCTACAGGTGTGTACCACCACACCCAGCTAATATTTTTTTATTCTTTGATGAAAAAAAACTGTTTTCATCATCTATGTTGCTCAGGCTGGTATTGAACTTCTGGCTTTAAACGATCCTCCCACTTTGGCCTCCCAAAGTGTTGGGATTGTAGGTATGAGCTACAGTGCCCAACCTGAACAAATTTTTAATTCAGATAAAAGTGCCCTATTCTGGGGGGGAAAAAAGAAAGCCACAAGGGACATTTATTAGCAAGGAAGTGAGAACCAGAATTTAAGGCAGAAGGGATAGGCTAACTCCTGTTTTGTGTAAAGGTAAGTGGGTTTATGATCAGAACTGCCCTTATCTATAAAGCTGCTAACACCCAAGCCTTGAAGGGAAAAGATAAACGCCAACTGCTAGTCTTTTGGTTATACAAGGCCTGGATTGGTTCCATCAATGATTTGTCCCTGAAATCAAGAATAAAATGGTAATATATATATATATATTATATATATATATATATATACACACACACACACACACACACACACACACACACACAAACACACACATATATACACACATATATATATGATAGATAGATAGATAGACAGATATCTAAAGTAACATTGACTTCTGAGTCAAGATAGAAAGGAAGATGGAAGTGTCTGTCATTTCTATTGCCCAGGGAAAAAGAATGGCATCCCAACTGGATTAATCTTAGTTAAGTCTAAATTTGAGTTTTTAGTATAATTAGTTTCCAATGATTTGACCCTCTAACATAGCAAAGATAACTTAAAGGGGGAATTCTAAGACAAAAAGTATAAATTTCAGTAGACTAATTTCATGAGATGAACCTCCAACTGCCCAAATTTGAAACCGATCCACAATGCAGAACCAAAACATCATATGCCTCATCATCCTATTTTGTAAAAATTCCCTTTTTGCTTTTCCTTACAGTGAGTTTTAAGTTCCTTAGGCTCTTTCCTCTCAATGGTATTTAACAGAATTCCATTGTTTAGCACAGAGCATGCTACTGATAACAAAAATCAGAACAATGAGAAGAAAATGTGCCCTCTTACTCTGTAGCTGAGGAAAAGTAGACAATATTTTTGGTTAGAAGCTTGTCCTGATAAAGAAGTAAATTGAAAATATTCACAAAAACGTCAAGTTTACTACCCCTCCCCCTAGTTGAGTGTGGAGGGAGACTTGTGTGAAAATGTATGATCCTATTCTGTTTTGTGTTTAACAAAGGAGTCTTTTAAGACATCCACACTTCAAAGATTATGTTAAGAGCTGTAAAATATAACCTACAACCAGGGAGACTGTGTAATGTGTTATATGCTGGGATATTTTTGAGGGTGAAAGGGGCACCATTAATAATTACACAAGGCCAACAGGTATAAACTGGATAGTTCAGGGCATACCAGAATGCCTAACCATTTTCTTCAATCCCAAAACTGTATAATCCTAATTGGTTGTTTTACTTCAAAATTGTTTGCTCTAATAATATTTAAATTGACATTTCTATTTCCTAAAAGGTATAAATACCTATGAGGTTCCTTTAAGTCAGAAGAGGAACTTTGGGACATCCTTCTCCCTTTATCTATAATAGTATAATAAAACTATGACTGTTTTGGATTCCCTATTCAAAGAAAGGGTTTGAAAGTCTGACTCACTAAGATTTGTAATTTAAATTCCAGGATGCCAGGCTTTAAATCAGATCTGAATAGCCTCAAATAAAATGGAAATCCACTGACAGTGGTGTCCTAAATCCGCAGAGCAAACCAACTGGATTAACCTCAACAGAAATTCCACTCTGGAAGGACCTCACAGATAACCTCTGTGATTGTTGTATTACTGGTCAAGGCACCAGTAAAATAAACCAAGACTGCGTTGTACTGACAGTATCTGACAAGGCAGGAAAGACATGTATACTCTTTCAGTGACAATTAAATAGGATTATTACATGAGTGTAGAAGGCCTTAAATTTTTCCCACCAACTTCAAGACCATTCAAACTTAACTATTTTAGATATTCTCCTACATCAAACCCAGGCAATTGGAACAAATATTTGCTTCCCCTCCTCACTCAGAAAAGCACAAAATTTGTTCCAGATTTTACTTCTAAATCGTACTGTATCTGACTGAGAAGGAGTCTCAAGAGTAAAAGACACAACAAATTAAACTGAGTGGTTTGATTTTGCACTCAATCATGTGGTTGGCTATTTAAGTTATAAATTCAAAGGAGTTAAGTGAATGGGAATATAATTTAATTTTAATTTGTAAATGTGACATTTTGATTCAAAATGGCAGCCAAAAAAAGTTTTTAAAAGAACAGTCTATATTTAAGATATGTCATTGAAATCTCTTTCATTTTAGAGATTAATGAAATCTCTTACATATGTAGAAACTGGCTATGTGACAATACTGAGTAAAAAACACAGTTCGTAAAATCCCAATTCTTATGGTTATCTAATTTGCAAATCCTATTTTAAGAATTTAAAATAAAATAAAAAATACCATCCAGCATTTTGTTAATTAGCATCTCTTTAACCAAGAGAATGTTTGTAACTGACCTTTACAAAAATATTAAAAATCTTTAGATGGGCGCAGTGGCTCACTCCTGTAATCCCAGCACTTTGTGAGACCAAGGCGAGCAGATCGCCTGAGGTTGGGAGTTCAAGACTAGCCTGGGTAACATGGTGAAACCCTGTCTCTACTAAAAATACAAAAATTATCTGGGCATGGTGGTGCACGCCTGTAATCCCAGCTACTCAGGAGGCTGAGGCATGAGAATTGCTTGAACCTGGGAGATGGAGGCTGTAGTGAGCCGAGATCGTGCCACTGCACTCCAGCTTGGGTGACAGAGTGAGACTCTATCTCAAAACAAAAAAAAAACTTTAAAAAGTCTTCCAAAATATATTATTATATTCAGTATAATTTCAGTGCTAAATGTATTATAATTTCAAAATTAACAAGCAAAGGGTCATCTATCTAGCAATATACCTATTAGCCAATTAAGACCATAAAAATTTTCTACTTTTGGCCAGGCACAGTGTTCACACCTGTAATCCCAGCACTTTGGGAGGCCAAGGAGGGCTGATCACTTGAGGTCAGGAGCACGAGACCAGCCTGGCCAATATGGTGAAACCCTGCCTCTACTAAAAATACAAAAACTAGCCAGATGTGGTTGCATGCACCTGTAGTCCCAGCTACTTGGGACGCTGAGGCAGGAGAATCGCTTGAACCCAGGAGGCAGAGGTTGCAGTGAGCCACGATCACGCCACTGCACTCCAGCCTGGGTGACAGAGCAAAACTCCGTCTCAAAAAAAAAAAAAAAAAAAATCTGCTTTTATTTAAAACATCACCAATAGCTCTTCCAGTATACAGGTCAAAAATATTGAATAATTTTTAGTTTTAAATATAGTTACTAATTGGTATTCTAATTGTACCTAGAAAAATCAATATTGATGTGAATATAGGATTATAATGAACTATAAGAGAGAAGAAAGAATATGGAAAAAGACCCAAACACCAAACATGCATTGAAAAAATAGAAAACTTTCAAAGAAGGTTTTAAAGTATTGAGAGTGGAGAAAAAGACACCCATCTATAAGAGTCTCATGATAGAATAATGTACATAATGTCCTTAATTATTCAAAGTAAACAAAAAGATAGTTAGTAAAACAAATATATGTAGATCAAAAATTAAGGATTGATTTTTAAGCTCATTAATTTCAAGCAAAGAAAATAATGGCAACCTTTTCCTGGAACAAATAGCCCAGTAGCTCTCGCTCTCTTACATCATAATTTATCTAAAACAGACAAAATAAGAGACAGAGAAAAAAAGACCCAGGATCACTCAACTGGTTAAAGTAGCTGAATTACTAAATAAAAAGTTACAAAAATTTTTAAAATTAACTTGTTAAAACACATTCATGCATTAATAGTAATCAAAACTTCAAATACAGTCTGCTTTTTGTCCATCAACTAAAAGAAAGCATTTCATAGAATTTTAGATTGTTTCAGGCTAAACTAATATTTCTGTACTGGAAAACAAGACCCTAGAGAGATGAGGTGACTTTGCTCAATGTTAAAGAGTAAATCACTAAGGGTAAATACTAGAAACCAGGGCTTCTAATTTTTACACTTCTTCATCTCTATATTCGCACTACAGAAATCTCACATGATAATATAAATTATCACTGTATTATATAGAAGTCAACCCAAGAAATAAAATTTGCCTCTAGTTGTCTTACTCCTTAAAATAGTCTTGGTGAAAAAAAGACTCAATAGTGATGTTAACACAGATCTGATTTTTGAAGCTTCTAATATGAAAGGGAAGTATGAGAAGGAAATCTCTTAGATTCGTAAGTACTTTTCTAAGAGGTTAATCTACCTTTCACTGTCTTGTCAAAACTAAATTCATAAAATATTGTTCATTTCAAAATATAGGTTCAAATAGGCTGGCCGGGCAAGGTGGCTCACACCTATAATCCCAGCACTTTGGGAGGCCAAGGCAGACAGATGGCCAGAGCCCAGGAGTTCGAGACCAGCCTAGCCAACACGATGAAACCCCATCTCTACAAAACAATAGTAAAAATTAGCCAGGCGTGGCATCACGTGCCTGTAGTCCCAGCTACTTGGAAGGCTAAGGTGGGAGCCCGCGAGGCTGAGGCTTCAGTGAGCCATGCACTCCAACCTAGGTGACAGAGTGAGACCCTGTCTCAAAAACAAAAAAACAAAAAAACAAAAAAAACCACAAAGAAATGGAAATAGGCAAGATATTATGTTTTAAAATTATAAACTTAACATCTAAATGCAGGAAGTAATACTTCTTTAGTCAGAAGTGATACTTAGAATAAGCAAGCATCCACTGAAGTTCTAACTATTAAAAGGGAGACATACTTCCAAGACAAAAAAAAAAAAAAACATTTAGGTACACTCATACCTAGCAAAAATGTGCAATTCTAAGAACATATGTTTTCAGTCGAAGATTTCAAATACCTAAAAGCATTGTGGCATTTCCATTGAGCTAATTTTTCTAAGATTAAAAAAAAAACACCACACCCTTAGAAATAAAGTTGGATTACCTTGTCCAGAACAAACTTAGTATTTCCTACTGAAGACAATGATAATGTGTAAGATCCAACAAGGGCGAAGTTGCTGGTTCGCACAGCACTAAGACCTCCTGGACTGGCCATGACTGTGAAGAACGAGGAAATTAAGTTTAGTTCAGAATGACTTTTGTTAAGTATAAGTAACAATTCCTCACCCCATCCCAGTAGAAGAAAATTAAGCTGCCACAGAGAAAAAAAAACTGCCTCATTTTCCTTCATCTTTAAATGTGGGGGGAAAAATCAACTTATTTCCTAATGAAAGAGGTACAAGCACTCCTTAATAATTGGGATGGATGTGTTTTTAAAGATATAGACCTAAAAATGTATGCATAAAAAGCAACTTCCCGATAAAAAACATGGAAAAGACTTCAGTGCTAGTTATAATGCAGGGTGACAAAATCAGCAGCAGAAACTATCTCTGTACAGGTCTCTTAGTAACTCTCTTGCACCACAGAGAAGAAAGAGACCAATAGCCTAAAGGAAGTGAGTGAAACCAGCTCCATCCTAATTCCTTTTGGAAAAAGATAGGCCTAAAGTCATTCTAAAGAAGGCCTTTCCTGGCTTAACAGCATTCCAGTTCCCAGTGAACTAGAAAGATGCATTTCTGACATGATACAACGCCAGTTATGATCAGTAAAGCTAAAAGAAGTAAAATCTGCAGTATGGAAAGCACAAAACAAATCTATAGAACAATAGAAGTTGAAGTAAAGAGTAATGCCACCTGCTGCTAGAGCTGAATAACATGATGACTGGTGCCTCTATGGTGGTACCTAACAAAGGTGCAACCAAACTGCATCCTACTCTGGCCAGTAATCCTGTTACTAAGAAACTCACATAGAAAATATTATTCCAAAGGAGATCAAGGTAAACATTCACAAATCAAGATGGCCTATATATATGTAAATATGCAAGTGCTTAATTCCTTACCTTATTCTAAAGTTTCAAATAGTTCAAGATACACTCACCTGAAGAATGAATGTTGCTTTTCTAAAAAAAAAAAAAAAGGTGTGAAGAAGAAACATAAGTTATTTCCCTTATTTAATACAAAGATTTAAATATGAATCACTCATCTCTTTTAACACAATAAGAAATACATTTCAGAAAACACTTTTCCTACATAAATTACAGGGATATCCCCCCATTAGTACATGTTAAAATTTTCCACAGTGCTCAAGGTTCAGAAATGGTTAACCAATTTAAAACTGTATGGGTAAGATGAAGATTTCTCAAGGAAGCTCAATTTCTCAAAAATTCTACTTACTGTGGTTATAGATGTGAGGAGTCGCTTTGGAGTAATAGCCTAAAAGAAAAGATAGCTTACTATATATATTTCTTATTAAACATTATGTCTCAGAAAGTAAAACTATCCAACCTTGAGAAATTCCTACATAGAAAATAATTAATTCTTAGCCGGGAGCAGTGGCTCACGCCTGTAATCCCATCACTTTGGGAGGCTGAGGCGGGCGGATCATGAGGTCAAGAGATTGAGACCACCCTTGCTAACATGGTGAAACCCCCTCTCTGCTAAAAATACAAAAAATTAGTCAGATGTGGTGGCACACACCTGTAGTCCCAGCTTCACAGGAGGCTGAGGCAGGAGAATCGCTTGAACCTGGGAGGTGGAGGTTGCAGTGGGCTGAGATCACGCCACTGCACTCCAGTCTGGGCAACAGAGCGAGACTCCGTCTCAAAAAAAAAAAAAAAAAAAGAATGAGTTCTTAAATATGAATACATTACACATGAGTCCTTGAGTAATTAATTCTTAAATATGAAAACATTACACTTGAGTCCCTGATTAAGGCTTTCTTATACTGTTAGTCCTTTTTTGTTAGAGCTAAAAAAAAAAAGTTTTTAAAATGATGACTTAAGAAAAGAACACAGACTGGGAAGGCTGGAAAGCAACCTTATGCCTGCAAAGTGACCACATAATTATTAAGTACTGGTATAGAGAACACAGAGAGAAGAGGGCTCAGGGAAAAGTCTTGAGAAAAGTTTTAAGCAGTTATAAAAGTTGCCAAGTAAATGTAGAGAAAATAGAATTATCTAGCCCGAGTGTATCAGGAACTTATACTGACAATCATGATCACTCACAGTTTATTTTCAGTATTCATACCTATTTAACATAGTAACTACAAATTGGAACATGAAACTGATCCAAAAACTTCCTAATCATTAAAAGTTGTACATAAATTAAAACTGGTATGATGATATCTATTACTTCTGATGAAAATATTTTTACTGGGTTTCTTTAATTCTCACCTTGGACTTGGATGTTTTTTTCTTCTTATCAAGGCCTGAGGGATCTTTCTTTTGCACCTACGCACAAACCCAAAGCATAATTAATTTATAATCTGATATTGTTAAGAAAAATATACTCTTCATTATTTTAGAAGGCTTTATCAGCTTACCAAGCTGTAAACTTCAATATTTATTTCAAAGTCATTGGATACATCTTGCCTGGAAAAATAAAGCATTAAGTAAAACCTTGAGAGAAAACCTCAATCACACCATTAAAAATGATGCTACAAATACTCTTACAAGACTCTAAGTAAAGGAATCCACTATGACTTTAAAGTCAATAAAAATTGTTAAGAAGTCTATTTTTTCCCTATAATGCAAGTCCAAAATATTTTCCTCCGTGTTTTACAACTCACAATCTTCAATAATAAAAGTAGTAATTATTTTTCAAACTGCACTTTGACTCTTATTTAAAAATAAATGTTTCACTAAATATAAACGTATTTTCATTAAGACTGAATGTTAAGTACATTATGAGATTTAAGGCATATGTTAAAAATCTATGGTCCAGGTTTAATGTATATATCATTTCAAAATATGTAATACCTACAGTCATGTGGAAAAAAGGTGCTATTCAACAAAAGGAAGGATAGAAACATATGAGTTAAAGCAACAAATTGAAAGATGGGTTATTTGTCAATATAAAAAGAATGTGCATAAGGCGTTTCAAAGATTATAAATGCCACCTGAATGCTTTAGACTGTATCAACTCTACAAAAAGAAAAATGCATTCGAATCATCAAAAGCCTGATTTACTTACAGAGTAAATGTAGTAGTGAATGTCAGAGCATCACCGTTAAGAGAGTTTGAAGTACTTGCTAATGGTGTGGCTACCATATTTTCAGCTCCTGCTTTTAGTATAATTAAGTAATAGTAATTTGCTGCATCTGTAAGAAGTAATCATATTACATAGTAAGCACAAGCAAAATCAGATTTAGCTAATCAGCATTCTGGAATACCAAAGAAATAAAGGAATATTGAACTGATTTATATACAATTTATTTTTAAAATTACTAAAATCAACTTTCCAGACACAAAAAGCTAAATAAGACTTAAGTAGGCAGTATAATCCTGAAATAAGCATCATCAAGGTCTCTCCCTGTTATGTAAATTGAAATAATTTCACTCCACATTTCTCAATTTCTGCTGATTTTGAATTTTACCTAGTGACCCTTAATTCTTAACTAATAGTACATATCTCAAAAGGGTAAATTATGGTTTGTTATTTCAAAACTGAAATTAAAATACTGTATTTCTATAAAAGTTACTCAGAGATAAATGATAATAAAAACATAAACTATTTCTTCACCATTTGTCATTAATAACCACGTACCTCCAGACGCATACTAAATTACCAATAAATTTCTGCCCACACCCCATCAAAATCAGATAACATCAAGAATTAGAACCTAAATTACCTTATTCCTACAAAAGTGCTCAAACCTTTCACAACCTCCATTTACTTTCCCTATGCCTGAAATTTGCTTCTCACCTATGTCTAGCCCTCCTTCCCCTCAAAAAGAAATTTTTTAAAATAAATTGTGTATAAATCAGTTCAGTATTCCTTTATTTCTTTGGTATTCCAGAACACACACAAAAAAATTTGTGTTCCACACAAATAAAATTTTAAAAGGAACTTTAAAAACCATATCCAACATTTAATAAAACTTTATATTCAAACTTTCAGTAAGAGCAATGTCCATTATTGTGTAGATTGGTATCCCTATATATATCTGAAGTTTTCTTATTTTTATTATATCTCAATAAAAGGACCTAAAGGCCAAAGATACAAACTTTGCATTGTTATGCATGATTTACTTGTTTCTATTCTGTACAATTCAATCTAGGTGAGGTTCATAATTTAACACACAATCTAGAAAAATCACCACCATACCTGGTTTCTGAACCGTACTGCAGACAAAATCTGCTTTTAGAGGCAAGCGGATTTCTGACAAAGTAACTGATCCTTTGGATGGCATAAATTCACTTTGGGGACTAGCCTTATTCTTCCTCTGAGGTCCTTCGTTCTTCAATTTATTCAATTCATCAATCAAAAGTGTTCTCTTCCCAGCTATGTAAAACAACGCAATATTCCAAATATTAAAATCGTAACTGTTTCTAATGAGAGCAAATTCAAAAAAGTGTACTGATATGGAAACTGTACGTAACAGCGAAGACGAAATCAGTAACACTATCTTTATAAAACATGGTAGGTGGTTGGGGAAAACCTTGGTTGCTCATTTACCAAGTCCTTATAATTTAATACATCAACTTTCGGCTAGTTTTCATGTGTGGTATCATCTGTCCACCCCAAAATGCCCCATCATCACCACATATACGCACACAGCAAAATTCACAGAAGTTGTTTTAGCTATTTATTGATAAGGGAAGGAAGGGAGAGAGAGAGAGAGAGAGAGAGAATGTATGTGTACATGTGTATATATAGAGATTCATTCATTCATCCATTCATTCATTCAATCTGCACAACTGCATTTCTTCAAATGCCTTTCGGTTGCTTCTACCTTTCATGCAAACTACAATTTGTTTTACATAGAGTTCTTAAACCTTATAAAAACAAGAACAAAAAATAGATCCACTGGAACAGATGACTAGGAAAAGCCCTTTCTCTAAACTTAAAGATTTCTAAATATCAAAATGAGTTTTCCCTGGTTAGAAATTTGTTGGAACTCTTTCAGGTGCATCACACTTACTTGCAATTAGAAGAAGTCTTTCTGCTTCAGCTTCTTCTAGGGACCCTTTTCCATGTTCTTCATCAACACAGCAGTTAAGAGCCTGGCTAGCTTGATAGATCACTGTCTGTTGCATATTTATTTCGTTATTGAGTTCCTAGGAAAACCAATGAGAGGAGAAAAAATATACACATTTTAAATCATCATTTTCACTTTAAATTTTAATTCTAACTAACTTGATTGGATAGTTTCTAGAATTTCCAGATGAAAGTCAAAATGTTAGTTTCACTGCTCAAGTTTCTCGACTATGCACCAAAAACATTTAGCATGTTACAATAATTAAGCTATAAATATTATTCCTTATGAAAAAACTTCCAATTCATACTTATTAAAGTTAAAATTGGGGTTACATCCAACAACGTAGAAATTTAGAAAGTATCTGATTCATTTTATTTAAATTACAATTACACTGTTTTTTTTTAATATGCTTCCTTAGGGCCAGGCATGGTGGCTCACACCCGTAATCCCAGCACTTTGGGAGTCCAAGGCACAAGAATCATTTGAGCCCAGGAGTGTGAGATCAGCCTAGAAAACATAGTGAGACTCCATCTCTATTTTTTTTTATAATTAAAATATTTTTTTTAAAAGCCAGGCATGGTGGCTCATGCCTGTAATCCTAGCACTTTGGGAGGCTGAGGTGGGTGGGTCACCTGAGTTCAAGAGTTTGAGACTAGCCTGACCAACATAGTGAAACCCCATCTCTACTAAAAATATAAAAATTAGCCAGGTGTGGTGGTGCATGCCTGTAATCTCAGCTACTTGGGAGGCTGAGGCAGGAGAATTGCTTGAACCCGGGAGGCAGAGGTTGCAGTCAGCCAAGATTGCGCCATTACAATCTAACTTGGGCAACAAAGAGCAAAATGCTGTCTCAAAAAAAAAAAGCTTCCTTAGCATGAAAAAACCTTGAAGAGCATAACAAATTTCCCACTACATCATTATCCAATTAATAGTTATACTTTAAGGATATTTATGAAAAACTTGTTTAAAAATAAATATTTCAGCAATATCAAATGAGTTTCCAAGTTTTCAAAAAGAGTACCTTTCCAAAAATAAACTGAATTCAAATGTGATTTACTGAGCTTCTATGCATCAGACACTATTCTGGCCACTCAGGGTTCAGAGATAAGTAAGGCTGGGCCCTTTGTCCTCACAGAGCTCACAGCCTAGTGCAAGAAACATTCCAAAGCCCCTTTCCACAAAAGTACATACCTGCATTTTCTGTTTGATATTAACTTGACAAGGAAAGGCATTATTTTTTTCATCCAGTTTTGAAGTAACATCTTCCTTCCGAACAATCACCTGCTTTATTGATGGACGTTCTGTTTCTTTGAATCTTTGAGATCTATATGCATCAATGCTTCAAGAGGTAAGTTACACTCTATTAGAAATCCAGCAACACACTGAGCACTATCCTTTATTGAACATATCAGCAGAATTTGACACTGATATTGAACATGTCAGCAGAACATTTCACAACAGAATGGAACTCTCATTTGGTGAAAGAGAGGCTAACAAAAGTTATTCCAAACTTTTATACAGATGAGTTATTAATAACATTATAATTACAAATTATAACACGACTTATGTCAATCTAAACCATGACCCTTAGTGAGTGAATGCCTTCCAGAAATGTTCTTACCTGTAAAGAAGATCACGATCTTCAGAACCAAGGCTATCACCAGATTCAGCTCGAGGGACACGAGTTCTTTGGAATTTTCCTGGTTTTGGACTTTCATCACTTCTGCTGGTGTCTTTCAATTCCAGTCTAGGTGTGGACACTAAACTCTGTGGGAAAACGCATCAGATATTAACATTGATCCTAAATGATAATTCATTTTATTCTGTGAAAATCAATGAATTCTCCATTAATATTAAGAAAAAAATCCAGTAAGCTGATTGATTCATCATAAAAACAAAGCAAACTAAGTTCCTAACACATAAAAGAATAAATAAAACTACAAAGACAGCTGAAACTTATACTTCAAAAAAAAAATTCTAGTTGAATCAATCCCCAGAGCTGCAGTTATTCAATTGAGGGTGAAAGCTAATAACAGCAGTTAGCTGTAACTAAATGTTAGTTACATGTGTTTGGAGCTAACTACCGATATACTAATACAACAATGTTCACATCAACTCCACTATATAGGTATTATTAATAACCTCGTTTAACATAAGAGGAAATGGTGGCATAGAGAGCTTAAATAACCTGACCAATAAACAGTCAGCAAATGGCAGAGTCAAAAGCTGAGCCCAAATGCCTGGCCTTTTAAGCCATGTTACTCTTTGGATTTCATCTAAGGTCAAAAGGAAACCACTCAAGAGTTTTAAGGTTTCTTTTAAGAGAACAGACAACAGGTCTGCAAAATTCCCTTGGCTACTGAGCCAAATGTCCATCTGTCAACAAAAGAAAGGGGAGATACGAATACTACTTAGTTTACTTATGTCCTGGGCCTGTTTAGTTAGCCTTTTCTTACCTCTGGACTTACCACACCAACTGTTTGTGCCAATGGTGCAAGTAAAGACATTGAGGAGATATTCAGTGCATCTTCCTGTTCTTCGCTGCTTTCTGCTAATGCTTGATCCATCTCCTCTTGGCTCTTCTCCATATCTAGTTCACCTTCCTCTAGGACATCACTGAAGAGGTCATTAATTACTTTCGAACTATTGATATCATCATCATCCACACTCATCTCAATTTCACGTATCACTTCTGAAAAATATTTCAATAGGTGGACACTGTGACTCAGATATTTAAGAATTAAAGGCATAACAAAGAAAATTTAATATTCATATTCTTACTAAATAGGAAAAAATGCCTTAAAAAAAAGCACCTCCTAAAAAGAAAAATAAGAAAATACTACTAATAAATGAAACCAAGAAAATCTTCAGCTTCAATAACACTTTCTAAGAAATGAATATTGGTAATCCCAGCACTTTGGGAGGCCAAGGTGGGCAGATCAACTGAGGTCAGGAGTTCAAGACAAGTCTGGCCAACATGGCAAAGCCCAGTCTCTACTAAAAATACAAAAAAAATTAGCCAGGCGTGGTGATAGGTGCCTGTAATCCCAGCTACTCAGGAGGCTGAGGCAGGAGAATCACTTGAACCCAGGAGGCAGAGGTTGCAGTGAGCCCAGATTGTGCCATTGCGCTCTAGCCTGGGGGACAAGAGTGAAACTCTGTCTGAGACAAAAAAAAAAAAGAAAAAAGAAAAAGAAAAAGAAATGAATATTGGGTCTATCAAAACTGATTCAATACCTTGGGTTTAAGTAAAAGCATTAAGAACTCAAATGTAGAATAATAGCCAAAGACTTCAGACTTTCAAAAAATATTCTCTCAAATGACTTTTTCTATCGTTGAGAGCTACCCTTTCACACAGCAGTCAATAATAGGAAAATATTAATGTCACTTAGGGCAGGGTTCGATAATAACCTTCAGGGGCTGCTAACACCTTGTGGTATTATGATATATACTGGTTTTCGTCCACAGTTCCTAGCTCATAACTGCTGTATCCCTAGTTACTGTCTTTCGTTATAATGTTGGGTGCATTAGGCCTCACAGGAAACAGAACTCTCCTGCCATCCTTTCACCTGCCCCACGGCAGGACTCTAATCTTCTCCTATCTTTCTCATTGTGGTTCTTAAGACGACCCCCACACCCACCTCACCCCTCACCAGAGAGGATCCAGCCTCATACCCTGGGGGAGGGAATGCTGACTTTATGAAGCTTCCACTGAAACCCAAGAGAACTGGGTTCAGGGAGCTTCTGGATAACTGAACACGTGGAGGTTCCTGGAGGGTGGCGCCCCAGGGAAGGCAATGGAAGCTCCATGCCCCTTTCCGTATACCTCACCCATATCCTTTAAAATAAAGCAGTAAACGTAAGTATTTCCCAGAGTTCTGTGAGCCAATTAATCCAAGCTAAAGAGGGGGTCACAGAAACCTCAGCTTGAAGCTGGTCGGTTAGAAGTTTGAGAGCCCTGGGCCAGGTATGGTGGCTCACGCCTGTAATCCCAGCACTTTGGGAGGCCAAGGCAGGCAGATCACGAGGTCAGGAGTTCCAGACCAGCCTGGCCAATATGGTGAAACCCCCTCTCTACTAAAAATACAAAAATTAGCTGGGTGTGGGGGCAGCGCCTGTAGTCCCAGCTACTCAGGAGGCTGAGGCAGAAGAATCGCTTGAACCTGGGAGGTGGAGGTTGCAGTGAGCCAAGATCGTGCCACTGCACTCTAGTCTGGGCGACAGAGTGAGACTGTCTCAAAAAAAAAAAAAAAAAAAAAAAGGAAGTTTGAGAGGCCTGGACTTGCACTTGCAACTGGTATCTGAAGGAGAGGAGGCAGTCTTGGGGACTGAGTCCCCAACCTGTGGGATCTGACACTACTTCCATGTAGCTAGTGTCAGAATTGAATTGAATTGAACTGGTCACAAAAGTCTTCTGTGTTGATGATTGTTGTGGTGGTATGAAAACAGAGGAAAACATAATCCCAGAGAGTTTTTCCCTGAAACACCCCTCTACCAGTACAGAGCGTGGGAGGGCAGCAACTTTCCTATCCCTGTCAAAGTCAGTGAGGGTCTTAACCACACTTTCACAGGTGCCTGTGAGCTAGCAGTAACTGTTAACAGTACCACATCTTGGTAGAAGCTACAGTGTATTCTGATTTAATTTAAAAAGCAGAGATACTCTCAATTTGAATATGTGCTTCTATCAATATATTATTTCCTATAGTATGTGCAAAGTTAATAATAAATAAAGAATAAAAACCAACCAATTTTCTGCTCAACCTTTGGGTCTGATGTTACTTTTAAGGATTTGTCCTCTTCTAAAAACAATGTTATTTTCAAAGGGCTAGATTTCGTCATTTCGCATTCAGTGAAACCTAAAAATGTTTAAGAAAGACCATATTAATATATATAAGAACCTATAATTTTCTAATTATGGAATCTTGTGTGTGTTTTTTTTTTCTGATTATAAAACTATGTATTCGTTTTAAAATATCCAAACCCAGAAATGTATAGAAACACCCCTCCCTGAACACCTGTCCTCTCTTAACCCATTTATGCTGGAGGTTGCAAATTTATTTTGTGAAAAATCAGTTCTTGGTGACAACCTTGAGCAGGAGGACATAAGTAACTCCCATAAGCTTAGCGTTCCAATAATGGAACACTAGGCATAAATGCATTAACTTTTCCCCCACCGAGAGAGAAATGGGACAGCAATATTACCAGGTTATTGTTTGTTTTTCCAGTTTCCCCCAAGGTGTGCATATTTACATATCATTTTGTTTTGTTTTGTGATCATACCATACATACCACTACTCTGCAATTTGTTTTTTACTTTAAAAACAAAGTGCCAATAAAATTACTCAAAAACTAGGAATAGAAGGAAGGTACACAACGTAACAAAGGCCATATATGAAAAGCCCTCAGCTAACATTACACTCAACAGTGAAGGATTAAAAGCTTTTCCTTTAAGATGAGGAACAAGACAAAGATGCCTGTTTTAATGACTTCTATTCAACACAGCATTGAAAGTCCTAGCCAGAGCAATTATATAAGAAAATAAAAGGCACCTGAATTAGAAAAGGAGTAAAATTATCTCTATTCACAGATCACAGGATCTTACATGTAGAAAACCCTGGGCTGGGCGCAGTGGCTGACCCCTGTAATCCCAGTACTTTGGGAGGCCAAGGCAAGCAGATCACGAGGTCAGGAGTTTGAGAACAGCTTGGCCAACATGGTGAAACCCCATCTCTACTAAAAATACAAAAATTAGCTGGGCATGGTGGCAGGCGCCTGTAATCCCAGCTACTCGGGAGGCTGAGGCAGGAAAATCGTTTGAACCCGGGAGGTGAGGGTTGCAGTGAGCCAAGAGATCACACCATTGCACTCCAGCATGGGCAACAGGGCAAGAATCCATCTCAAAGAAAAGTGAAAAAAGAAAGAAAACCCTAAAGATTCCCCCCAAAAAACGTTAGAACAAACAAATCCAGCAAAGTTACAGAATACAAAATCAACACACAAACATCATTTGAGTTTCTACATACTAACCATGAACAATCTGGAAACACTGACCTTTAGGTTCTGTACTAGAATTTTTGGCTGGTATCTGGTTTTCGGTCACCTTTTCTGTTACTGGAAGTGACTGAGTTTTTGAAACACCTTGGTGTTTTTTGAGGGGAGTGCTCTGACAGTGAGTTTCCTGCAAAAAGCGAATGAAAAGTAAATTTTATTTCTCAAAACTATATATTTTATCTTTCTATGTTATTAAATGAAACAAGATTATTATTAAATATTATTCTGTATAAGTTTCCTTAGAACCAAAGAGATAGTGTATGTGAATAGGCCCAGCCTTGTTCAGAACACGACAAACCCTCAGTGCTAGTTCACATTCTTGGTAATTCTCAGTATGTAAAAATTTTTTTGGAGAGGAGGTGGCAAGAAAGAATGAAAATTCATATCAGGGCTCAGTTTTAGATAAGCCAATCAAAGTGAAAGCCTCTCCTTGAAGTCTGGGTATTTGGTAGAATAAAATAAAATAAAATAAAATAAAATAACAATAAAAAAACAAAGTGAAAGCCACACAAAGGGAAAAACACCCACCCCTATGTCACTTATCTCAACCCACACCTATAACATCTGGTGACAGCTCCTACACATCAGGATTCCATTTAATTATCAGTTACCCGGAGGGTAAGAGCAAGAGAAAACAAGGACAAAACAGATCAGAAGGTAAGGAAAGAAGAGAAGAGAAGAAAACATTCCCTCGTCTGAGTCTTTTTATTCATTAGCAAGGTTATTTAAGAGGAACATTCACTATTTTGTATGTTTAAAGACTTTATATTGTTGTACAGATTATTTCAGCAAAGAAATAAAAGAAGACTTTATGAATGAAGTCATAGTAGAAATAATCAAATAAGAGTAAAATAAAGGCAGCTAATACTTATACAGAGCTCAATATGTGCCAGCCACCTTTCTAAGCACCTTATATCTATTGCCTCACCTAATCTTCTCAATAACCCTCTATGTTAGGTACTAGTATCTCCATTTTACAGATGAGAGAACTGAGACACAAAAAAGTTAAGTATCTTGCACACAGTTAGTGACTGGCAGAGCCAGTATACAAACCCAGGTACTCTTGTTCCAGGTCTAGTTCCAGACTTTATTGTCTCTCAAGTTAGAAGCAGCTTTGGTTGTGTAAAAACAATGTAATTAGCATGCAGATGAGTGGATTAAAAAATACATAAAAATTTTTTAAAAACACAAAAAGCAAAGTAAACGATCAAATGGTTCCACTATAAAATCTACGGTCTCATATCTCATCTAAGCCTCAATACTACCCCCTATTCTTCCTATGTCTGAGTCAGCTCTCTCTTCTTTCCTCCATACAGTATTTCCCCTGTCACCTTCCCTTTCCTAAGGATGAATAAAACAGGAGCTTTCAGAAGAAAGTCCATCAGTTTTTGCTATCCTAACTCTAAGACTACCATCACCCCTACATGCTACTTTCCTCCTTCCTTTTCGTCACACAGGAGATTGTCCTCATCAGTTCTGTTCCCTTCACTGTGCGGAGTTCATCCATTCTCACCTCATCCCATCAATTATCACCCCTTATCCCATCACACAAATTGACTTAGGTCTCAGAAAGGACAAAACACATACAAATCATACTTTTCTTCATCTCTTCTAGCCACTACCTCCTTTATCACCTCCATTAGGACCAAACTAAGAAATGCCTGCACTCACTGGCTCTGCTCCTCTTGCCCGTTCCCTCCTCGACACAGCACCACCTGCACGCCACCCTCACCTCTTCACTAACACTGCTCTTGCCACGTTACAGCAAACTTCTTGCTTCAAAACCCAGTAGATTTGGCTTAACCCACATTTGAAACGTAACAATACCAACCATGCCTTCCTTCTCGAAAGTTTTCTTTCTTCCCTTGACTTTATTTCCTTTTTTTTTTTTGAGACGGAGTCTCACTCCATTGCCCAGACTGGAGTGCAGTGGTGCGATCTCGGCTCACTGCAACCTCCGACTCCCAGGTTCAAGAGATTCTCCCGCCTCAGCCTCCTGAGTAGCTGAGATTACAGGCACCCGCCACCAGGCCTGGCTAATTTTTTTTGTATTTTTAGTACAGATAGGGTTTCACCATGTTGGCCAGGTTGGTCTCAAACTCCTGACTTCAAGTGATCCACCTGCCTCAGTCTCCTAAAGTGCTGGGATTACAGGCGGGAGCCACCACGCCGAGCCCCTTGACTTTAAAGACACTGCCTTCAACTACATTTTCCTCCTAGCTCTTTGGCTGCTTAGTCTGTGGAGACCACAGATGAGTGCTCTGCACTGTTACTGTGTTCAGAATTTTGTTTACATGCATATGTGCAACTTTCTGGGAGGAATTTCACAGGTTTATTGGGAATTATTTAGTACAAAATAGTTTAAGAACCCTGCTCTATACTTTCTAGAGACACTGGCAGAAAGCCATGAGAATATGATACACTGGCAACCAAGTAAAGAAGGCGCTCCCAACAGAAGAGTGATCGACAATGTCAAATGCTACTAATCAACTGAAAATTGATTAGTAGGTGAAGATCACTGACAAACGTGATTAGGATACTGAGTCGTGGAAGGAGTGGTGGCAAAGCTTAAGCAGATAGAATTCTAAAGAGAAGGGGGAAACCTGAAAGCAGCAAGTAGGAATAACTTGTAGAAGAGTCTGCATGACATGGAGGCAAAGAAAAGGAGGGGAATGGGTTGCAAGAGTTGTTTTTTTTTTCAGATGGCAGATAATAGCTTGTTATATGCTGATGGGAAGGATCAGCAAACGCATTTCTTCCTTCAAATACAAGTTTGTTGAGCCCCTAGTCTGAGCCAGGCACTAAGGACACAGAGGTGGAGAAGACTCCCATAGGCAGTGGTGGAATGCAAACTTACAACATTCACAGGAAGATAAATATTCTAGTTGAGGTATACACAGGATGACATGGGTGAAAAAAAGTGGGACACTTTGAGAAAAGGAAGAATTCCTAGAGGGGATTAAAGTTTGACCTATTCTTAATGAAGTAGGAGCTCACCAGGGAAATATTCCTGGCAGAGAACAGAAGGCAAAGGCAGAGAGATATAAAAACATGGGTATATTTGAGAAACTGCAAATAGCCTGCATGGCAGGACTGAAGCATACCTGTGGAGGAGCAGTGGGGAGGAGCCAGGTGAGGAATCATTCTATATGTCAAGCCAAGCAGTTTACGCATTTTTTCTGATGATGACTATGAGGAGCACTTCAAGATTTTAAGCAAGTGAATACATGAATATGCGTCTTTTAAAAATATTTCTCGGCTGGGTGTGGTGGCTCACACCTGTAATCCCTGCACTTTGAGAGGCTGAGGCGGGCGGATCACCTGAGGTCACGAGTTCGAGACCAGCCTGACCAACATGGAGAAACTCCATCTCTACTAAAAATACAAAATTAGCCAAGTGTGGTGGCGCATGCCTGTAATCCCAGCTACTTAGGAGGCTGAGGCAGGAGAATCGCTTGAAGCCGGGAGGTGGAGGTTGCAGTAAGCCAAGATCGTGCCATTGCACTCCAGCCTGGGCAATAAGAGTGAAACTCCATGTCAAAAAAAAAAAAAAAAAATATATATATATATATATATATTTCTCTGGCAGCAACTGATAAGGTGGACTGGAGGGTAGCGAGACTAGAAGCAGGATGTTCAGTACAAAGCTACAGCAGTAACTTCGGTAATAGCAGAGGAAAATATGGAAGACGAGGCAGGTGGGTGACAGATTTAGAAAACTTATCACTGCACGTGTGTGTTTATGCATATGTGTGCTAGGGGCAAGCAGAAGGGAAGACACAGTAAACAAGAGGAAGAAGTCAAGGAAGAACTTCCAGATTGTTTTAGATGACAAGGTATAGAGCAAACCAACAAGAGAAGACAGAGACTACAAGGGGAAGATACTACAGCAAAGCATAGCAGGCTTTGCTAGCCAACCACACCTAGAGCTCAGGAGAGATATCAGCACAACGGAGCTGAGCATCATCAGCATTTCAGTGATTATCGGAATCTAGGTATGTGGACAGGGAAGAGATGTTCCAGAGCAACTGAGAAAAAAAGGTTGAGATCAGAACTCTGGGAAATGTGATTTGTTAAGCAAGTGAACTGATAAAAAACAAATCAATCAAGTAGATCTTTCTCAAAGAATACTGATTAAATTTACTGTTATTTTACTTTCTATTAGTCCCCACTGTAAATATAATTCTATTAGCTTAAAAACATATCCTAACACAGTACTTTGTAGACATGTAAATTAAACAGAACACAGCTTACATTGTAGAGATTTTGTTGAAGGCTGATTAATGAACTTTGACCGGAATAAAGAGCAATGTGGGAGGTATGTGGTGACTGAAAGGATCCCAGATAGTCTAAAGACATGGTATCTGGGGAAAGGTATACAGTCATCATTGAGAAAAGTAGACTCTCGAAATATTTTAGAACCACCATCTAAGTGGAATATTAAGTAGACTCTGAAATCAAATGAATGATGAAAATAATTTTTGTAAAATTTGATTTTAAGGTCATCAATGAATATGGTGAAGAGTTCCACTGAAATAGAAAAATATCACAAGAAAAGCAAGAGTTGGTACACACATTTAAGGGATTTATAAACGAAAAGTGACAGAGTTAATTGGAAAAGAAAAATGTGTAAAGAATTATTTGCCAATACAGAACTACAAATTAGATCCCAACTATTTGGGGACCAAGTTCGTTTTTATATTTCTTGTTTACATTACCTGTTTGGTTTCTAGTTGTTTGCTTTTTGAGTTTCCGCCTTTTTCTGCACTCCATATATTGCCCTTGTCAAATCGGCCACGAAGACATGCTAGTTCTTTTTGACGTTCCTAAACCCATCAAAAGCTGTATTTTACACAAGAGCCGGTAGCATGTTTAACATCCAAACACTACTAAAATTTTCCTTGTTTGCAGTTTTAAACTGTTTAAAAAGTTTAAACAGTTTTCAGTTTAAAAAGTTCATAATACACATGGAATTCAGGACAATATTTCTAATTTGAGATGAGTGATACTGTCTACGGCCATACCACCCTGAATGTGCCCAATCTTGTCTGAAATTAGTGATACAGAAAACCAAGATGCTACTTATCTCAGTCAAAAAGACTGGCATCAGAACCCATTTTGATTTCTAGGTTCTATGCAGAGACCATGTGATGAATAATGTTAAATGCAGTACACCATACCTGCTTGAGCTGTTGTGCTAAATGGGTAGTAGATGAAGATGTGTCTTGCTTGAATAATCTTTCTTGGATGGCCTTTGTATTTGGAGTAATAATGGGGGTTCTGTGGGGTGTGCTACGAGCTGGACTTTCTTTGCTATGTTCTTGACAACGCTCTCCAAAGCGTTCCAGGAAAGGCTTAATTCCTGTTCCTCCTACAGAAAACACACACATTTTTGGAGGCTATTCAAAATAAAAAATTATTACGATTTCTATGGAAAAAGTTCTAAACTACATTACAGCTTCAAAATGCTTTGATTCTATCAGGAATATTCATTCACAAAGTAGACTATAAAAATACTTCAAAATTTTAAAAAGTTTACTATTCTATTTAAGTACATGCCCTAAAACCTACTCATAGAATTTAGTTATTTAAAAAAAAAAAAAAATTTTGAAAAGGTAGAATGAGGAGAGGGCAGTAGGGCTTAGAAAACTCTCAAACTGAACAACCAGAATTTAAATAATTAGAAATTGACTGTATGTATATTAATAAATCTACCTTCATCACGAAGTGTGCTGGCCATGGTAACTTCCAACAACTTACATATATCTATAGTCAATTTATTTTACCCTGCTTTTAGGAAGCCTAACGTGAAAATAAAGGAATTTTGCCTTTTTTTCCTTCAGAAGGAAAATTAGGAATTATTCATTTTATCAAAAGGACACCTTGACTTTACAGTGTCTTAAAATAGTATTCAGCGGGGTGCAGTGGCTCACACCTGTAACCCTAGTACTCTGGGTGGCCGAGGCGGGTGGATCTCTTGAGCTCAGGAGTTCGAGACCAGCCCGGGCAACATGGAGGAATCCCATCTCTATAAAAAATACTAAAATTAACCACTTGTAGTGGCATGCCTATAGTCCCAGCTACTTGGTGGGCTGAGGCAGGAGGATCTCTTGAATCTGGGAGGTCGAGGCTGCAGTAAGCTGAGATCATGCCACTCACTGCACTCCATCCTGGGTGACAAAGTGAGACCCTGTCTCAAAAACAAAAAACAGCAAACAAAACAAAACAAAAAACCCCACAGCACTCATTGAAATAGTATGAAGTAAATTTAAAGTAGGGCAAATTGGGCCTATATCACTCCCATTAAGAGGATTCTAAGGTTGTATTATAAAAAAATAGGCTTATCTATATCAAAGATTAGCATATATTTTCCTATAAAGGGCCAGGCACTAAATATTTTGAGCTTTGTGGGCCATATGGCCTCTGTCACAACTATTCTGCTCTGCATTACAGAATGAAAGCAACCACAGAGAATATGTAAGTAAATGGGTGTGGCTGTGCTCCAATAAAACTTTATTTGCAAAAACAAGCAAAGGGCAGAATTTGAGCCACGGCCATAATTTGAGGACTTCACCTATCACTTATTACTACTTCAGGCCATATTCCAAACTAGAGTCCATTAAGAATACAATGAAGTATCTAAAATAAATATCTCTGAAACCCTGGAAATGTGATTCTGGGTATATCCAGTAGCCAAGAACAATTAAAAAGAATGCCTCTTATCTAAGCTTAAGTCTTTAGAAAATTGGGACTAACTAGTCCTATTCCATCTGGGGATCTTGCTATTGTTTCCAATTCTCATTCTGGCTCAACTGGAAATTGCAGATTTCTACCTACCCCATAACCGCTTCCCCACTCTCATTTCTGTTTACTGCCCCTTTATGATGAACTATAGTTTCTGCAGAGGTTGTATTTTCAAAAAGTTAAACCTTAGAATTAAAAGTCTTTCCAATGAAAATGAATACAGTTCAGAATAAACTCAATTACCATATATTTTAGTCCTGTGTTTCTCAATTAACAGTACGTGGAAGTGTGCCAGAAGGTATAAATCACCACAAGATAAATATGGCATTTCCTGGAGTATCAGTTTACGATGGTAAGAAATTTTGTTTTATATGTAAATGCTCACACACAATATACACACAGATAAATATAACTGGGGGATGAAGAGAGGTTGATTAATGAGTACAAATATACAGTTTGGCAGAAGAAAAAAGACCCAGTGTTTGATAGATCAGTAGGGTGACTATAGTTTACAATAATCTATTGTATACTTCAAAATAGCTACAAGAGAAGAATTCAAATGTTTCTAGCATAAAGACAAGTATTTAAGGTGATGGATATCCTCGTTACACTGATTTGATCTTTACGAATTATATAAATGTATTAAGTTATCAAATGTACTCCCGAAATATATACATCTATTATTTATCAATAAACAGCAATTTTTTCAAAAATTTCTATCATTTATCAATTTAGTAAATAAATAAAATTAGAAGTGGAGTCATTTGCATGCACATTCACTTCCCTCTGCTATTAGAGGTGCCTTCATACTCAAGATTGAGAAGCACTGCTCTGCACACTTGGCTACAAGAATGTTTCTCCATTATGCCCCTAAAATGTGATTTCCAGTTAAACATGCTTTGTCTGAATCAAAAAATATAGAAAAAAAATCTAGCATGATCATCCTGGAAAAAGCATGTTTAAACTGTTAAAATGTAACATATTAAGTCCTTTAACCAGTAAGTAGGCTAGTCTACGTTAATAAATATTCATTGAATCAACTAAAGCTGAGGTCTCATTTGGAACATTCAGGCATTGGCCCTGGCAAATCATTGCTGTACCATTCACAATTGAATATTTAAAATGCTGAGAATAGATATCCTGAATATAATCAGCAATAACTAAATTTTTTATAAATACGTAACCTGGTGTCGTAGATTTGTCTTTAGATTGAGATTGCAGACAAATTTCTCTACTTAATTCTCCCTTGGATGGAACTGTCTGGGATAAAGTTGACTTCACAATTGGTTTCGATACCCCCGTTTTCAGAGGACTAATAGGAGTTTTTGGAAGTAGCTCAGGATTTTGTCCCTCACAACTTTTAGCATCAGTGATAGATGTAGTAGATTTCACTGGAGAAGTAGCTTTCTGAAACATGAAAACACTTAGGGTAAACAACATTCACAATATCTAAAAATAGTCCTATAACAAAACAATTCAAGTCCTATTTACTTGATAGCCTTTATGTAAGATTTATGAAAATGAAATGATTTTGCTCTCTAATAGATCAAACAAATTTGAAAGATTTGGGAAAAAAAACCAACTTAAAAAATGCTATGATTTAAATCATAATATGTGGGTTAGTCTGCATAATATACTCATGGGTAATGAAGTATTAGCAGTATGATCACTCTTTATTTAAAAAAAAAGTTTTATTCATATTATTGCACTAGTACCTTTATCAAATTTTTAACTATATTAGACCAAATTACATTTTAATTAAGTCAATAAAAATTTAACAAAATAGTATCATGTACTTCATAGTTAATAGATTAACTACTTATACATAGCCAGGTACTATGCTAAGTGCTTTATGACTCTTATTTAGCCCTCCAAATAACCTTTTTTTCCTATTTTACACATAGAAAAATAAAGCCCTGCAATATTAAGCACCTTGTCCAAAGCCAAACTTCTAATTATGTAGTACAGCTGGGATTCAATGCAGGTCTAATTCTAAAGCCTAGCTCTACACTAAAAGACAATGGTCAGAAACACGAAATTATTTTTCCTTTTTATTTAAGATTGTTTTTTGAAAACTGTTGAGGTAACACATGCACAAAGTAAAAGTTTCAAACATTTCAAAAGGATATACAGTGAAAGTATCACACCCTGTTTGGCAATTTGCCTTCCTGGAGGCAACTATAGCTACTATTTTGTTATATATCTTTTCAGAAATATTTGATAAATTTATATAAATTTCTCATATATATATTTAAAGCATTATAACAGAGGACTTAATTTTCAGTGCTCTCCTTAATGACTAAGAAGAGGCTCTATCATTCCATTATAGACTCTGGATTTGCATCAAATTAGTATAACTTCAGCTGTCAACTGCTAATTGATCTTGGGATGGGTACCCAACTTAACGATTTTCACTTTCTAAGAAACCGATATCTTACAAATACATATAAACTCACTATGCATCTATTATAAAACATATATCCACCCATCCACCTGCACATACACACAGATGTATTATACCACTCATAACGAAAAAAGAAAAGGCTTCCAAAGACCAAAATGATACTGACTTACCACAGAGCTGGAAATTGAGGCATTAACCAAAGACGCATCATCAGCACTTGAGGATAGGGCTTTATTCAAAGAGGCATCGCCATCCCTTTGGGAACAGAATGTAGCTTCCTGCTTAACACTGCTGCTATTGATCCTAGCAGATGCTCCACTTGCAGAGGAAAATTTGGATAAACAAGCGGTACCAGGCTGTTCTTGTACACTGTTTTGTTTTGCAAATGAGTGATTTACATCATCTTCCCAGGAGCAAATAGTTGCAGCAAGATTGGCCAGACGGCCCCTTCTGCCAACTGGAGTTGCCGAGGCATTTGAAAGCAGAGGTCTGGGAGGGGAAGCAGCCTTTTCCTCTGATGGCATTGGTGAGAAGAGTGAGCTTTCAGGAATGTCATCTGAAAATGTTTTCAGAAAAGAGTTAAAAACCATGTTTAAGAGTAATGCTTACGTATAATACCAGGATCACTCTATGCTGAATTTTTAAATGAGATTAATAGGTTTAAGAACCAGTGAAAAGTTCTAGCATGCATGAAACTTCCAAGTTATTTAAATTTGACAATATCTTTTTAAATCAAATGATATTAAATCCGAAATTAAAAAAAAACTATTAGATCTATTTTTTCCATTTTTCAATGGATCATGAATAAGATAGGTTATATTTTTAGAATGAATTAATGGTGGTATATATAACATTGCACAATTTAAGATTATGTATCTCACAGAAACTTTTTGTTTTAAAAATGGATTAGACCATTGCTGTACAACAGAATGTTTGATTGTTCAATACAGTAACCATTAGCCACTTGTGACTAATGAGCACTTGAAATGTGGCTAGAGCAGCTAATAAACTACATGTTATTTCATTTTAATTAACTTAAACATCCACATATGGCTAGTGTCTTCTGTATTGGATAGCATAGGGTTAGATCAAATCAAAAACAACCAAATGTTTTTCTGCATAGTTACTTCATTTGGAGAGAAATCCCAAATAGTGATATTTAACTGACGAAGATTCTAGGCCTTCCCTAGGGCATGTATATAGGGAAGCCAAGGTTCATAGCACTTCCTACTCCACAAATTCAATCAAGGAAAGAGGAATCCCTCCTGTCCAAAGCTTCTACTTCTGCTGAATTTTCAATTCTGCCCCTCCAAAACCTTCTCAGGGATCTTGCTCGAAATAAGCCCTCTCCTTCTCTACAAACTCTTGTCTGCACATAAGCACAGTCATGAGTTGTTTAACAATGGGGATACATTCTGAGAAATGCATCATGAGGTGATTTTGTTATGTGTACATCTGTATATCACAGAGCACACATCCACAAAAATGGTGTAGCCTACTATATAGTTAGGATATGTGGTAAAACCTGTTGCTCCTAGGCTAAAAACCTGTACAGCATGTTACTCTACTGAATATTGCAGGCAACTGTAACACAATGGTAAGCAAACATCTAAATATAGAAAAAGTACAGTAAAAATACATTATAATGAGACTACCATTGTATATGCAGTCCACCACTGATCAAAACGTCAATATGTGGTATATGACCATACAGTAGCCCACGCCCTATCTTCAGTTTCACTTTCCCAGTTTCCTTATCAGCAGTCAACTGTTGTCTAAAAATATTACATGGAAAATTCCAGAAATAAACAATTCATATATGGTTTTAAACTGCACACCGTTCTGAGTAGCATTATGAATCTTGCACCATCTGACCAGGATATGAATCTTTGTCCAGCATATCCACACTGTATATGCCACCCGCCCCATAATCACTTTATAGCCGTCTTGGTTATCAGATCGACTACTGGAGTATGCAGTGCTTGTGTTCAAGTAGCCTTTATTTGCCCTAATGATGTCCCCAAAGCACAAGAGCAGTAGCAGTGGTGCTGGCAATTCAGATATGCCTAAGAGAAGCCATAAAGTGCTTTCTTGAAGTCAAAAGGTGAAAGTTCTCAACTAAATAAGGAAAGAAAATAATACGCTGAGGTTGCTAAGATCTATGGTAAAAATGAATCTTCTTCCATGAAATTGTGAGGAAGATAAAAGAAATTCATGGAGTTTTGCTGTCGTACCTCAAACTATGAAAGTTATGGCCACAGTGTGTGTAAGTGCTTAGTTAAGATGGAAAAGGCATTACATTTCCAGGTGGAAGATGCACAGAAAGATGGTGTGAATGATGGCAATTGGGTTCGGTACTGTCTGAGGTTTCAGACATCCACTGGTGGTCGTGGAACATATACCCAGCGGATAAGTGGGGAGACTACTGGATGCTCAAGTCTCTCTCACCTTAGAAATAAACATACTGGCAAGGTGCAAAGGGCCCGTGCCTGTAATCCCAGCACTTTGGGAGGCCGAGGCAGGCAGATCATTTGAGGTCAGGAGTTCGAGACCAGCCTAAGTGACATGGTGAAACCCTGTCTCTACTAAAATACAAAGATTAGCCGGGCACGGTGACGGGCGCCTGCAAACTCAGCTATTCGGGAGGCTGAGGCAGGGGAATAGCTTGAACCCAGGAGGCGGAGGTTGCAGTGAGCCGAGATCGTGCCACTGCACTCCAGCCTCGGTGACAGAGCAAGACTCCCTCTCATAAACAAACAAACAAACAAACATCCCGGCAAGGAGCGGTGGGCTCATGCCTGTAATCCCACCACTTTGGGAGGCCAAGGCGGGTGGATTGCTTGAGCTCAGGACTTCAAGACCAACCTGGGCAACACGGCAAAACCTACGAAAAATGCAACATCTACAAAAAATGCAAAACTTAGCTGGGCTTGGTGATGCGCCTATAGTCCCAGCTACTCGGGTCACTGAGGTGGGAGGATCGCTAGAGCCTGGGAGGTGGAGGAGGTTGCAGCGAGCTGAGAGCATTACCACTGCACTCCAGCCTGAGCAATGAGGCAAGGCCCTGTCTCAAAAAAAATAAACATCCCCTCATTGATATACATCCTCTTTAACTACCGCCCCTCTTTCCCTGCACAATATTCACGCACCACTTAACTCACTCAACTGACCTTCTGCCTATACCACTGCCCTGAAGTTGGTTTTGCCATTGTCACTAGATGCCAGTACACACTTTGCAGGCTTTGTATTTCTTGACATCTCTAAAATATATCACTCCCTTTCTATTTGTGACATCATTCTCTACTATCCTTCCTGGCTTATCCTTCACAGTCTTGCAACTACCAAATACCTCCATTTGGCTCTCCCACAGATATCCCAAATAACATATGTGAAGTTGAAATTGCCCCGAACATATTCCTCCTCATCTTAGGAAAAGACATCACTAACTACCCAGTCACTGAGGCCAGGAATCTGACCTCTTCCTCCCTTCTCCCTCCACCATCCAGTCGTTAGGTCTTAGAGTTTGTCTCCTGTATCTCTCAAATCCAGCTTCTCCTCTTCATTTCCACAGGCCTTCACTCTTTGCACCTAGATTATATTATATTATATTATATTTTTTGAGAAAGAGTTTCGCTCTTGTTGCCCAGGCTGGAATGTAATGGCGCGATCTCGGCTCACTGCAACCTCCGCCTCCCGGGTTCAAGACATTCTCCTGCCTCAGCCTCCCAAGTAGCTGGGATTACAGGCATGCACCACAGAGTATAGTTACAAGAGCTAGAGGTCTTATTAAGCCCATTCCTAAAATATGACAATAAAACTGTCATCTGCTGATAGGACAGTGTTTATTCTAGGGAAAATAACAGAAGTATATAAAGGGTATTGCAGGTAAAGTGGTGGTCAGGGAGGCTTTTCTGGAGGAGGGAGAGACTCCTTAAGCTGGACTCTGAAGGACAACTGGCTTCAGAGAATGGAGATAATCTAGTCAGAAAAACAAAAATGTATAGAAAGCAGAGGTAAGTAACATGAGCAGAGTGTGTGTATAAGTAGATCCTATTCTGGTGTTTAAAGCAAGCAGTAGAAAAGCAAGAGTTACATTTTTTTTCCATTCTGAATGTGTCAAAATAGAGAGATACGTTTGAAAAAGAGCAGGTCCAGATTGGAATTTAATCAGGAGGTGATGGGGAGGTCCTGGGAGAGTTTAAAGCAGAAGCAGGCAAGTGTTTTAGAAAAATCGCGCTGGTGTGAAAATTGAGGAGGGACTGGACAGGGCAGAGGTCTGAAGCAGGAAGACCAGTTAGAAGGCTAGTATTATAACCTAGGTGCAGGCAGGACACGGTGGCTCACACCTGTAATCCCAGTATTTTGGGAGGCCGAGGCGGGTGGATCACCTGAGGTCAGGAGTTTGAGACCAGCCTGGCCAACATGGTGAAATCTTGTCTCTACTAAAAATACAAAAAATTAGCTGGGTGTGGTGGCGTGTGCCTGTAATCCCTGCTACTCAGGAGGCTGAGGCAGGAGAATTGCTTGAACCTGGAAGGCAGAAGTTGCAGTGGGCCAAGATTGTGCCACTGCACTCCAGCCTGGGAAACACAGCAAGACTCCACCTCAAAAAAAAAAAAAAAAATAGCTTTATTGAAGAGGCAATGTTACAGCTCTGTTGATTCCCTGTGCAGAGCAGGGCTACTCCATAGGCAGAGAGTAGCAGTTCAGGGCAGTTTTACAATCATATTTATACCTACTCTTAATTGCATGCACATTAAGGGGCAGCTTATGTAGAAATATCTAGGGAAGGGATAGTAACTTTTGGGTCATTGCCATGGAAAGGGGTGGTAACTCCTGGGTGTTGCCATGGCAATGATGAATTGACATGGCACACTGGTGGGCATGTCACTGGAAAGCTGCTTCCCCCAGGCCCTGTTTTAGCTAGTCCTCAATTTTTTTTTAATTTATTTGTTTGTTGTTGTTGTTATTTCTCTATCTTGTCCAGTGTCCAAGTCCCGCATCTGGAGTCGAGTCCTACCTCTTACCTCACCACTGCTAAAATAAATAGGTATTAATTGACACCATAGACTATGCTATGTGCCAAAAAACATCAGGTGGCCTGCCGAGGTGGCTCACGTCTATAATCCCAGCACTTTGGGAGGCCGCGGCAGGCGGATCACCTGAGGTCAGGAGTTCAAGACCAGCTTGGACAACATGGTGAAACCTCATCTCTACTAAAAATACAAAAATTAGCTGGGTGTGATGGCATGTGCCTGTAATCCCAGCCACTCGGGAGGCTGAGGCAGGAGAACTGCTTGAACCTGGGAGGCGGAGGTTGCAGTGAGCCGAGATTGCGCCACTGCACTCCAGCCTGGGCAGCACAGTGAGACTCTGTCTCAAAAAAACAAAAACAAAAAAATCATCAGGCAGGTCACAGGAGTTAAGAGCTCTAAAGTCAAACCATTGGGATTTGAATTTGAGCTGGCTAACTGTGGACAGGTTTATTAGCCTCTATGAACCCAGTTTCCTTCTTCTATAAAATGAAGATAAAAGTGGTATATATCTCAAGATTATAAGAATTAAACGCTATTAGAATAAAAAAATTTATATTAGAATAAAAAATATTTGCAATACCTAGCATTTTACATACTGTTTGCTCTTGAGATTATTATCATCACTTCCAGAAAACATAATCTTAAACTCTCTGCTGCCTAATTCTTATCAACATTTCAGTTAAAAGAACTGATATGTATGGAAGACTGCCTGAAATATATGTAGTCCATCTGGTTTAATCCAGTCTAAAATATCTGTCAACCATCCAAGCCCCATTCTTCAGATCACTTGATCTCAATTCTGGCTATGCATCAGAATTACCTAAAGAGCTTTAAAAAAAATAAGACAAAAGCACATCTTTGAGCTCCACCACATTTCTGAAATTCTAATCCTATGGTCTATGTGATTCTGATACAATCAGCCAGGCTGAGAACCACCTAAGGAATGCTTCCTTGGGTGAGGCCCAGTAGCCACTGAGCTGTCTGCAAGCACCGTGGGGTCTACCTGCACTATGCTAGCTCACTTTAGAAATGCTTCTACTGCTGGATGCGGTGGCTCATTACTGTAATCCTAACACTTGGGAGGCCAAGGCGGGTGATCACTTGAGGTCAGGAGTTCGAGACCAGCCTGGCCAACATGGTGCAACTCCATCTCTACCAAAAGATACAAAAAAAATTAGCTGGGCATGGTGGCACACACCTGTCATCCCAGCTACTTGGGAGGCTGAGGCATGAGAATCGCTTGAACCTGAGAGGCGGAAGTCGCAATGAGCCAAGACTGTGCTGCTGCACTCCAGACTGGGTAACAGAGTGAGACTCTGTCTCAAAAAAAAAGAAAAGAAAAAAGAAATGCTTTTACTGAGCTTGGAGCCAGGACATCTGCCTGCCTTAAGAAACCTTATAGGTTTATCGGCTCCCACAAAGTCATATTTAAGGACACATGAAAGAAAGTTCTCTCAGCTCTTACTGCCAAATTGCAAGTCTTAGTGCCAAAGATGGTTCTGCTTTTAGCTTGTTAGTCATGTAACTGATAACTGTTTCATGTCTTCGCATAGGCCTCTAGCAAAAGGAAGACTTTACAGTCTGCATTTAATAAAATGACTTTACTTTTCACTTCTTTGTTTTCCCTTCCCGTATTTTCTCTTCACCTTGACTTCATTTTTCTGGTTTCAAAATACAGATATTTTTATAAGTCATCTCAAAGCTTTTTTTTTTTGTAACAAGGCAGGCGATAAGTGAAATTGATCATACCATAAATAACCCTGTTGCATAACTGTTGCTTTACTTCTCAGGTTCCCCTTCCGATTATAGGCTCATGAAAGGTAAGGATCAAGCCACTTCATTCATTTCTAGCACTGTGTGTAATAATATACTTTGCAGCTGCTCAATTTATGTTTTTTGACATTTTATTTCTCCCCTACTGAACAGCATTGCATACCTTAGTCCCTCAAGTTTATTTAATTTTTGAATCCATGAAATAGGATTTCTTTAACATGGAGCTGAGGGTCAGCAATGCTAACAACACGTATAGTTTGTTCTCAAGTGTTTTTCATTGCAGATATTAAGGTAATACAGTTATAAGATCAGGTTTCTATGAACTAGTCCAAGAACCACATCGTGATCTACTTCAGTCTAAACATAACCAACTTATACTACTGGTAGACAAACCATATGCAAGCAAAGGATACTCAACATATAGATAAAACAAAAGCATTTATTTTTCATGAGTTAACTGATAAAATGTTCAACATACCAAACTGAATCTTATTGGAACAGATGTATGGGCCATACCATCTATACAATTCATACCTGTCATATCATCATTATCCCAACGGCGCCGTTGCTCTGCAAGTTTTTGCATACGTGTTTTAACTGAGGAGGCTGCAGTTGCTTCCAATCTTGAGTTCAGCCCTCTCCTCATGCCCAGCAGTGATGCCGGGACAGCAACAGAATCACTGATGGTATCTGCTGCTTGTGGCTGCACCTGAGGAGACACAGGACTTGGAGAACAAGATTTTGCAGATGTCGACTCAACTGGTTGTTTATTTTCCAAGTTAGAAACTTCTACTTCAGTGTTGTCAGAACAGCGTTTTTTTGATGGCGATGGTTTTGTACAAGATTTCTCTACATTAAAAACGATGAAAAAAGACATTCAAATTTGTAATTTCTCACATGAAAAACTTGAGGGTAGATACTCAACAAATTAATAAAACATCACCCCTCCCTATTCTTTTAAATGATTTTAGTTACAACCAGAAGTATGTAAAACCCCATTCTCTTTCAGCAACTTAGAAATCTGATATGAAAGATCTTTTCAAGCAGACACAATTTATATTATAAAAACCTTAATGAAAAGATATTTAGAGCTAAGCTGTGGGGATGGAAAGGCATAAGAAGGATGCAATGGACTCTGGGGACTTGGGGGGAAGAGCGGAAGGGGGGCGAGGGATAAAAGACTACAAATATGGTGCAGTGTATACTGCTCGGGTGATGTGTGCACCAAAATCTCACAAATCACCACTGAAGAACTTACTCATGTAACCAAATACCACCTCTACCCCAATAACTTATGGAAAAATAAAAATAAAGATATTTAAATCATATTTTCAAAATATATGCATAACACTTTATATAGTGTTAAGACAATAGTAAATAAAAAGTGCATACACACAGAATAAGAAAGCATTCTAACAGATTTTAAGGATTATACAGCCTAATCACCTCATCTTCAGATAAGAAAAATCAAGCCTAGAGAAATTCAGTTGCCCGCCTAAAGTCACACAGCTGAGCCAAGTGTAGAAACCAGGTTTTCTGTTTTTGAAACATTCTTTCATGGAAAATAACTAATAAGCATGGTTAGAAGGGCAATTGGCTTGAGGTTTAGGATTACGACAGGAGACAGAAAAAGTGACTGAATTATCTGGTCAATACCAAACAAATTCACCAGTACAAATATTTAACATTTCATATTTCAAGCTTCTATGAACACCTATAAAATAACTGAAAAAGCCCTAAAATTAAAAAAAAAAAATCTATCAGAACCATAAGGCATATTATTTCTAACTATGAGTTTCAATATATCTCCTGGAAAATTAATATTTTCAAAGAAGGTACATTTCATATGAGGTCAGTTTCATCAACTGCCTAAACAAATGTTCTGGCAGTGACCAAAGTAGTATCAGGGATAAATCATGATTGCCTCGTTGACATCAACCTAAGTAAATATACATCATGAAACTTTCTAATCTATTTTTTCCCCACTCCACTTTTATGTCTCTTTTTTTCTTTTTTTGAGATAGGGCCTCACTCTGTCACCCAGGATGGAATGCAGTGGTGCAATCTCAGCTCACTGTAGCCTCAACTTCCTGGGCTCAAGCGATCCTCCCACCTCAGCCTCCTGTGTAGCTGGCACTACAGATGTGCCACCATGCCCAGCTAATTTTTGTATTTTTTGTAGAGACAGGGTTTTGCTATGTTGCCCAAGGTGGTCTCCAACTTCTGAGCTCAAGCAATCTGCCCACCTCAGTCTCTCAAAGTGTTGGGATTACAGGCGTGAGCCACTACACTTGGCTCTTTTTTCTTTTCTTTTCCTTTTTTTATTTTTGAAACTTTCTAATGTTTTATAACTCACTTATCGATCTATTTTCTATGAACACATCTAATAATTTTTGAAAGTGTTCCTGCTTTAACATGCAATACCATCTGGAAATACAGAATTCTTCTAGTTTACAATTATCTAAAACAGTAAATGTGAACTTCTACCTAAACATCGAAATGTAGTTTTGAACTTCTACCTAAAGAAGTTTAGGTAACACTGGTTTCAAATACATAGCACTCAATAGTACAAACCCATCTCACAGTGAAAACGAAGATCCTGGACTAGGGTCAGGCCCCTATTTTCCTGGCTGAATACCATATAATATGTAATGTATTTCCTTCACTCTCCCTTCAAAATGGATAAACGTATGAAAACTAATTCTTGTTCTATGATTAGCTTCCAAAATAACTGAGCTAGCCCCATGTACACTTCTCTGCTTTCTTTTTTTTTAAAAAAACATTGGTTTTGCCCTCTGTAATTTTTTCTATATTTTATTTTACAGTTGTATTACAGTATTTTACAGTCGTACTAAGGAAGATTATTATCTCCAGACTATTCTACACTCCAGGAAAAGACTAAGGAGGCTGTCTGATGCTGGCTGGGAATCAATCCTAGGATTGAGGAAAGAGTAAGACTACAGGTGAGTTTTTGTTTGTGTGTATGTGTGTGTGTGCTTGTGTTTAATTCCACCACTTCTGGAGATTAACAACCTAAACTTTAGAGAGTTGGTTCAGCAAATAGAGAGTGAAAAGGGTTCATTAAATGTCAAGCATGGGCAGTGTGCCTTCCATTGCCTTGCTGGTACCGGAGACACCACCCAAACTCAGTGGCCAGCTGTTCTGCCACCCCTGGGATAAAAAAACTACACACTACTGTAAGTATAAATGTTACCCTACTCCTTTATTTTTCTTCCCTTGAGGTTTTAAGGATAACTTCAGAATGAAGAAAATAAAGTTCAATCAATTAATTTAAAATATTTTTTAGAAGAAACCGTTCCAACCCTATAGGTTCTAGGCCTAATATAATAACTCTGAAATAGAATAGAAGGCTGTTATTTCCCCCAGAGGCTGTTACATTTGTCTCCCAAAGAGCTTGGTTCTTCTATATGCTAATGAAATGTTTGGGGCTTGTCTCCTTCAAAAGAAAAAAAAAGTAAATGTTATTTTTCCCCACAAAGTCTTTTACCTTCACCACCAGAGAGGGGCTGCTGGTTACTTGCTTCTGAAAGTGGCTGTCTAGCTCGCTTAGCATGAGTCATAGACCTTGGAGCTGCTGTGGGCCTCTCAGCCATTTTTCTCTGAAGATTCTCTCGCCTGGCACGGGTTCGCTCCAGCAGTTTCTACATAAATAAATATATCAGTGTTAAAACACAAGTTTAATCAAAGGTTCATAAAATTGCAGTATCTTCTAAAATCACCAATTGCCATACAGGATGACAGTTAAACACATTTCAAAAGTGAAATCCTAAGCAATTATGTCAAGATTCACTAAATGAGTACCCCAATGTCATAACTATTACAGGAATATTACAGAAGGAATAAAATATGTAAAGTTAGTTATATAAGATTTTTAACGGCCACAAATTTTTTCTGCTTTCATCAAAAGACAGAATCTATTTCTTCACCCTTGAATCTGGGCTGGCCTTGTGATCTGCTTTGACCAATAAAATATGGTACAAGTGATATTGTGAGACTTTTAGGCATCAAGAGATTTTACAGTTTGGGGTCTCTCTCTCTCTCTGCCACTAAGTGAACATGCCCAGGTTAAGTCTACTAGAGGAGACACATGGCCCAGGTGATGGTCAGTATCAACTACCAAACATATGAATAAGGCCACCTTAGACCATCCAGCTCCAGATAATCTGCCAGATCACTGAAGATTCCTGCATGACCACTGCAGAGACAAGCAGAAGAACAGCCCGGCTGAGCACAATACAAATTGTTGACCCACTGAATCATGAGAAATAAGAGTATTGTTTTAAGCCACTATGGTAGGCAAAATAATGGTCCCTCAAAGATTTTTTGTCCTAATACCCTAAACCTCTGAATATGTTGCCTTACAGAGCAAAAGAGACTTTACTGATGTGATTAAGAATCTTTAGATGGAGATAATCCTGAATTATCTGGTCAGGCCCAACATAATCACAAAGGTCCTTATGATGGAAAACACAGAGGCAGGAAGATCAGAGTCAGGGAAAATATGACCATGGAAGCAGAGGTCAGAGTAATGTGATTTTTGGCTTTGAAGATGGGGGAACAGGACAAGCCAAGAAATACAGATGGCCTTTAGAAACAAGAAAAGTTAGGAAACAGATTCTCCCCTACAGCCTCCAGAAGAAACACAATTCCACTGACATGTTGATTTTAACACAGTAAAATCCATTTCAGATTTCAGAGTGAGACCCTGTCTCTAAAGAACTGTAAAATAATGAATATGTTATTTTAGGCCACTAAATTTGTGATAACTTGTTACAGCAGCAAAACTAATAGAGCCACTAAAATCTGGGGTGGTGGTAAGCAGCAAGAGATAAATAACATATTAGTCCTTTGAAAACATAAAACACTTCCTAAGAGGAAAGAAAAACAAAATAATCTTATGTTTTATTTAACTAAATATTAACATATAATAAAATGGTTTTAAATTGAAATCTTAGCCATTCCATAAAGTCATGAATACTCCTTTCTACTCCAAATCAACTGATGTTCCTATTTTTAAGTCAATTTTAGTAAAGCTCAAACACAAGACCCTGTAAAACAATTCATTTTCTTTCAAATGCACACAACTAAAGGAGGTATGCAGATTATTATTACTGCCTTGCATACTCAGATACAGTAGTTAGTGCAGGCTGAAAAATTAAATTCCATTTGACTCTTTTTAATTCCTTAAAATACAGTAACAATTTTTTAAAAATCTGAGTATGTAAAAGAAATATGAGCTAAATTTGAAAGAAGGCACACTCTCTACTCTTCTTAAGAATGATTTCTAATTTAAAGTTCATTGAAAAAAGTGACACTAAATTGAAATGCTCTAATCACTGAAAAAATAATTTATGAACCAAATGGCTTCCAAAATACAAGACCTTCACCCGCTAAATAAAAGTCCTTCAACAAATTCAAGAATAAGCATATTGTTTCACAAATCCATATATGTCCGATAATTTCCCCCCATGATACAATATGAGAACTAAAAATAAAATACTAATCCTCCCAACCAACTGAACAGATCCCCTCTTGATGAAGGGGACCCCAGAGAAACCTTAAAAACCGAGTTCTCAGCCATGATGGAACAGGAGGCCGCATGCACCTTGTTATACCCCTCCTTTTGCTGTTTAAACACAATAACTGATGAGCATTAATGTTAAATAGAGATCATAAGACTGACAGAAGACTCTTTGTAGCAATAAGATATCAAATTATAAACAGGATCAAGCCTAGGCAACAAAGCAAGATCCTGTCTCTGCAAAACATACAAAAGTTAGCCAGGCATGGTGGGGCACATCTGTAGTCCCAGCTACCTGGGGGGTGGGGTGGCTGAAGCAAAAGGATTACTTCAGCCCAGGAGTTCAAGGCTGCAGTGAGCTGTGATCGCTACTGCACTCCAGCCTGGGTAACAGAGTGAGACCCTGTCTGTAAACAAATAACTAGGACCTAAGGCCATGCCAGGCAAGGGTTAAGTCACAAACTCCCTACACTTAAAAAATAAACTATCTTCTAACTGCCAAAGTTTTTCTTTTACTCTAGTAGCTGAACAAGCACTGACCTTGAGATAAGCAATAAATATTAAAACAATTGCAGCTCATCTTCCATCAGACACTGACTAACCCTCCTGCTCCACAAGCTACAGCTACAGCTTTAATTGGACAAGAGATTGATTTCAATAAATCTATCTCAGTAAGAAGACCACCAACCATGAACTGATTCTGGCCAGTTTACAGAGGCTGCTCACTTGAATGCCTTCATGTCCCCACCTCACCTTTTGACATATAGGGCCCAACTGTAATGTATTTCCACGTTAAGTCTTCATCCCAAAGTGAACATGGGATGCATGTAACTGCACGTTTGTTCAGTACCCACCCATCAGGACCCCTTTGTAAATACTCATAGCTCTGCCTATAACCTGTTGAATATGTATACCTGGCTAACCCTTTAGGCATAAATCCCTGTTCCAGCTTCTCCTCTCTTGAAGTGCCTGTTTCCAGTCTCTGCCCGAAGCTATTAAATATGTTTCCCAGCCTGTCAGGATGGCCACACTGTAGGCTGTAAGCCTTTATAAGAAAGTCTCTGCTGGGCACAGTGGCTCATGCTTGTAATTCCAGCACTTTGGGAGGCCAAGGCAGGCGGATCACTTGAGGCTAGGAATTTGAGACCAGCTTGGCAAACACGGTGAAACCCCATCTCTACTAAAAATACAAAAATTAGCCAGTTATGGTGGTGCATGCCTGTAGTCCCAGCTACTTGGGAGGCTGAGGCAGGTGAATCACTTGAACCTGGGAGGCAGAAGTGACACCGAGCCAAGATCGCACCATTGAGCTCCAGTCTGGGCGAGAACGAGACTCTGACTCAAAAAAAAAAACGAAAAAAGAAAAAAGAAATAATGTCTCCTTTCTAAATTAATAAATTTGTAATTTTTCAATTGCTATATCTCTCACTTCCCAGATACAACACTAGCCTAATTATATTCATTCGTGGACATGCCCACATTCCATTCTGGTCAGTTAGAACATTTGTGAGTCAGTACAGCTTCAGTTACCATGAGCAGTAGGTCACAACAAAAGAATGTGATTTTGTCATTCAAACGTATATGAATGTTCTATTGCTTACATTAGATTCAAAAATTCCCAGATTAAAAAAAAATTAAATAGATACACAAAAAAAGATCCCTAATCTGTGAAGTAAAGCTATAAACACCAAAGGTTATTAAATTAAAAGAAATTATATATCTTAAATATATAAACTCAATAGCTCAATAAATGTAAGTAGCCGTTCCTTATAATAGTATATCAGGAATTTTAAAACTCTTTTAAATACAAGGTATATTCCTTGAAATATCACACCTTTCTCAAACAGTGTAGGCATTAAAAAAAAAAAAAAACCACTGCAATAACATATTCAAGAAGTAGGATAGCCCACATGTATGAATCTCAGGTAACTGAAGCTTATAGTCCCTGAACAACTTTTGCCACATACACCCCAAAGTCATCTCTGACAAATTTTTCTAGGAGATTTTACTAATTTCCTTGCCTTCTTTAACACAGTAGACTCAATATAAATTAACTTCTTATTATTTTCAATATGCTCTAGCAGCTCTTCCCCAGGGAACTTCATTTAATTCTGGAAAATAAGAGAAATTCCACTAAAAATGGTAGTGGCATGTTTATTTGCATACTTATTTATATGCAGCCTGCAGACATAAAAGGATCTAAAGCGTCTACAATAAAATATGCTTCTGTGAAGTATTTTAATTATAGCTTTTTCTCTTTTAAGGTTTTTATAAAGAAAGTTCTGGATTGGTACACTTCACTCTGGGTTTCTTTGTAGTATTCTTGTACTGGGATGACTATCACCTGTGAGTAGAGCTTCAAACTCTTGACGTTATGAGTAGTGAGTTTATGGTTTTGTCACCTGGGCGACACTGCGAGACTCCGTCTTAAAAAAAAAAAGAGTGCCAGAACAGTATCAGCGACCACAGGGAGGAAGACCAATGCAGAACAGTCTTGTTTGAGGAAAAGAGAGTTTACCATGATTGTAACCTTTCTCAACTGGAGTTACCAAAATAATTAAGCCCTAATACGCTGGCGTTAATATGATAGACTTATTTCCTATGTTTGTAGGGTGGCATTGAATTATCCTTGGGAGAATTGAGAAAATAGTCTCTCAATTTTCCTGTGTACCATGGTTCTGAGAGGAAACCCTGGTTGAGAGAGTCATTTTATACTGACTTTCAGTTGATAGACAACTGTACCAGTAGCTCATTTCACTGTGCAAATGTTATGAATGCTATAATTAAGCACCCAAGAGTTGGAATCAATTCAAGTAGTTCATTCATTACCTATTAAGGAAAAGACGTCTAAGCTGTTTTTCCAACTGCAAGTGATCTAACTTTTCATAATATAAACCATACATATTTCTGAGCACATCCTAAAACGATCTAAACAGGTAAAGTTTCTTTCAGTTGAGATTTGTACTACCTTCAGAATGACATTTTTAAGTAAAATGAAGTGCAATTTTCAGCCAACTTAAAAATGCTTTGTTCCTGTCTGTTACTTAGGAAGACACATAGGGCTAATGTTTTAAGGAATCGTATTCTAGTTTAGATAAAATAAATACACGCTTTTCGACCTCAGTGTAAGTGAAAGATACTTGGTGCATGACCAGCCCTATTTTAAGGCTAATACAAAAATAGGCTCTAGATTTTTCTATTAGAACCTTTAAGGAAGGTGAAAAAAATTGATGTATTTGTCCCAAGATGATTAAGAATTTGAAACAGAAAAATAGATTATGTCATGCTTGAATATAAGTAAACTCTAATTGCTGAAATCTGTAATTAATATCTCATACATAACTTATAGAATTATAATTACATCTCCCCGAAAGAATTACCACTCTTCACAGCATTTAAGTTTTTGAATCAGTGTAAACAGTTTTAGGTCCACTTTGCAACACTCAAAAACTAACAGTTTGAAATTTGCACAACAGCCTAAAGAAAGAGGAACTGTCCTGGAATAAAAGAGAGTGGACAACTGGCAACAAAACACTCCTGAATGTGACAACGCACATTCTCCACAAAAGCTAAAACTAGAGAAATCGACACAATAACCATGTAACCCATATGCAATCTCAAAGGAACAAAAGATGAAATAAGTACTGTAATGATATGCCCCAGAAACACCGAAAAGTTTATTTCTTTGCTCTAAAATCGTGAGCTGATAGTTTTGCTCGGTACACTTGCATTGTTTCAATTAAAATGGTCAGTCCCGGGTATGAACTTCTTCGTTAGTTAGCTGAACAATGGGATCTCAAGGAACTACTGGCTTTTTATGAACGAATGCAGTGGTTTCTAGCACCTGCTTATTTTAACGTTTTGCTGTCATTTCATTAGCATCTCCCCTGCGGGCTGCGTGAACTCCGCAAATCACACATCCTACTGCCTTTCCCGGCGGCAGCCGCACTGAGTCACCGGCCCCGGACCCCGCCCTGCAGGGCATTCCAGCTGCTTCCAGCAGGACCCGTTCCGCAGGCCTGCGCCTCACTCTTGCTGCGCCAGGACTGCAGAGGGACATGGTAAAAACGGGGGCTGAAAGACCTCTCGCAACAGCCTTTTAGGACAGACTCAAAGCCTTCCTCCCTGAGTTTTATCTGTAGGACCGAAACAACAAAATCTCAGAGGAACCCACCAACCACAGCAGGCCGCAGCCGCGGCGACCCCGGCCCGCACACACTGCGCACGCGCGCACACACGCGCCCTCCGCCCGGTGGGGGTTCGCCCAGAGGTTGACAGAGGAAGGTGGGTGGGGGCCTAGAGCGGTGGGTCATGGCTGGCTGCACCCGCAAACTCACTCACCTCCGTAAACGGATCCATCGCCCCAGGCGTCGGACTACGAGACGATGGAAACGGTGGTTCAAATTCAGGAAGAGAAAAGTGAGTCTCAGCTCAGTGTGTCTCCTGGAAAAAACCAGGAGTCTGAGGCGGGGGAACTCTCCCACAACCAGCTGTCCTCTCCTCTCGGCTTCCAGTGACGGACTCGGCCTCTGCAGCCGTTCAAATTTGAATTTCAGCGCCGAGCCGCGAGCATGCGCGCTGGGCGGAGCCGGGGCGCCCTCTCCCCGCCCCTGCGCTCGGTCACGTGGCCGCGCCGGGCCGGGTGGTTCCCAGGGGCGGCCCCGCCTCCTTCCCGGCCCCCTCCCAGCCCTCGCCGCGGGGTGGAGGCGGGCAGCGGGGCGCTTCCTGCTCTCCAACGGCGTCGGGTTCCTGGCTCCACCCCCAACAACCACACATTCCCCTCAGCTTTAAGGCGATTGCTTCACACCAACCGCGTTTGGGTGTTCCCGCCTTCCTTCATTCCTAAATAAAGTATTAAGGCCGGGAGTAGTGGCGCATGCTTATAATCCCAGCATTTGGGGAGGCTGAGGCTGGAGGATCGCTTGAGCCCAGGAGGTCATGGCTGCAGTGAGCTGCGATCTCACTACTGCACTCCAGCCTGGGCGGCAGAGTGAGACCCTGCCTCAAAAAAGAAAAAAAAAGGATTAAGAGCCCTTGTGTTGGCAGGACATAATCCCAGCACTGTGGGAGGCCGAGGCGGGCAGATCACGAGGTCAGGAGTTCAAGACCAGCCTTGCCAACATGGTGAAACCCCGTCTCTACTAAAAATACAAAAAAATTAGATAGGCATGGTGGCGCGTGCCTCTAATCCCAGCTACTCGGGAGGCTGAGGCAGGAGAATTGCTTGAACTGGGACCCGGGAGGTGGAGGTTGCAGTGAGCAGAGATCACACCACTGCATTCCAGCCTGGGCTACAGAGCCAGACAAAGAGCCCTTGTGTTTCAGGTGCTGCTAGCCCGTTGGCCTTCAGTAGCTTTGTTTCCTAGGTCACACCCAACTCCTAGTCCCCAAAAGGGGGACTGCAGGCCTGGCCCTCAGAAAAGCCAGTTCCGGTGGGTCCCCGACACTCTAAGCCAATGAAATAAAGCTAAAATTAACAGACTGTGTGAAGCGTTCATGCACAATTTTTTATTTTAAATTCCATCCAACTGTGTACAGTGTTAGAGCGGGAGGAATTCTGACAAGCCCTCTATCTAGTTCAATCCTTCCTTTTACTGCCGAGAGAAGGGACACCCGAAAACGTTAAAGAAACTGGTCCAAAGAAATGAAAACCCTGTTCTCAGCTCATGACCCGTTTTCCACACTAGCTAAGGCTGTGTCTCCTGCTTATTCTTTGTAGAGTACTCCAAATTGTAAGATAGGTTACATAATTTCTGTATCAGATTCATTTCTTCTATAACAAGTCTGTGCAGGTAAAGATGACAGTTCTTGATTTGTTCATCTGAAAAGTTAAGAGTGACTGTCCATGAGCTGAACAAAACAGAACTATTCCTCCCAACTGAGTGGTTTCAATATGTTTAATAATATGTCCATCTTAGCAGTCAATCAACATTACAAAAAGAATTTACTAATATTTTTAATTTGAATTTTTGTATGATAAATTGTACGTGACTGAAATCACGGCAAGAGGTAAGGGAAATATTGCTTGGGGTCAGGGCTCCACCCAGTTAGCCAAATCGGTTAACCCATGGGTTTTTTTTTTTTTTAACCTTTGTGGGGAGTCATGGACTCCTTTGGAAATATGTTAAAACTGACCCTCTACCTAGAAAAATGACCATTTAATCATAAACTATTTAACAGGATTTTGTGAAGTTCATGGACACCAGGACAAGAACTTCTGATTTAGCCTGTTTGTATTTTAGTTTACTTATCTGTGTAACAGGAATAATCATCTGCCCTGATTTCCTCAGAGTTGTTAGGAGGGGCAGATGAAAAATGGAGAGACATAATCCAAAAATATTTCATAATAAGTAATAAGACACTGTCCGAGTGTGTAGTATATGGAATTATTAATATTTAACCCAGAATGTGTTACTTATGAACAAAGGAAAAAGATACTTCCATTTTTTTCAAGTGTGACAAGAAAGGTGTGTATGTATTTGGGGCGTGTCTGTGTGTGTATGCGTGTTTTAAACAACGTTGGAAAATGAGTCATTAGAAATTTATGTAGCCGTTGTGCCTTCTGGCTATCACTTCTATGAGCCTTAGTTTCTTTGTATCTACCTCAACTAGATTCTAGTTAAGACTAAAAGAGGTAAAGCACCTAGCATAAGATAGCTACTCACAACATTTAGTGTATCTTCCCTCACCATCCCACTATGTCTTTGGTTTCTACCTTGATAATGATGATGATAGTGATAATGGCAACCATCACAATTAAATAACTCCTAAGACTGAAACACCTACTATGTGCCAGAAACTACGGTAGATATTCAAGTCTACTCTCCTAGGGTATTACAATTGTCTCCTACTATACCTCCTTTCATTCTTAACCCCCGGTAGTTCATTCTTCAGTTTCTAGGCTAGAATGACTTTTATCTTTTTAAAAATTGTGTTATATAACAAATAAAAAAATTTGAAAACAAAAAAATTATGTTATGAAATACAATAAAAATGTGAATAATAAAACATAACCATATACCAGCCACCTAGCTTAAAAAAATACAAAACATCCCACATGTAATTGAAGTCTCCTGTGTGTCCCTTCCTATTCTCATTCATCTTCCCACTCTTCCAGGGTAAAACTATCTTGATTTGATGTTTATCATTCCCATAGAAATATGTATACTTTTATCACATCTACATATATATCCATAACAATATCTAGTGTTTTATATATAAATTTTATTTGCAGAATGTAAGTCTTTCTGCAACTTTTTCTGGCCCAATAATATCTTTATGGGATTTATCCTCACTAATAACTGTAGCTGCATTTCATTCATGTTCACTGCTAAATTTTATTATACAAATATACTTGTAATTTATGTACCCATTATCCTGTTAATGGACATTTAGCTTATTTCCAGTTTTTCATTCCAAAGACCCCATGATGCCATGACTATCCTTTATATGCACATGCAAAACTTTCTCTAGAGCAATATACCTAGGAATATTATTACCAGATATTAAAAATAAACTGCTCTTCAAAATGGTCATAACAAATGATACTCCAGTCAGTAGTATATGCCCCTGGCTGCTGCTCTAGTTCCTCCCCAATATGTGGATACATTTTAAATTTTGCCATTCTTGTTTGAGTGCCTTTCTCTTATCACTAGTGAAGGTGAACATGATTTTTTATTTATTGGACTTTCAATTTTCTTTTTCTGTGATTTTCAACTTTATATCCTTGCCCATTTTTCTGTGCAATTATTTGCCTTTTTCTTATGGATTTATAGGGTTTTTGTTGGTTGTTTACTATTTTCTGGGAAAATAAACTTGGTTGGTTTTTCGGCTTGCCAATTTTTTGGTTTGTGGCTTGTCTTTTTACTTTATGATGTTTCAGATGTACAGAAATGTTTAATATAACTAATGATACACACACACACACACACACACACATACACACATACACATACACATATACCATATATATTTTCCTTTAGGATTTGTGTTTTTTATGCCTTAAGAAATCCTTCCATACCCTGAGATAATAAAGATGTTCTGCTGTACTTTCTTCTAAATATTTTAAAGTATGGCTTTTCATGCTTTTGTCTTTAAACTATCTGGATTGATCTTGTTTTTTGTATGGATAACCAGTTGTCTTAGCAGCAGTTATTAAATTGTCCATCCTTTCTCTCATTGACCTGTAATGCCACTTTTATCATATATCAACTTTTCTTTTTTTTTTTCCCGAGACAGGGTCTCGCTCTTTCGCCAAGGCTGGAGTGCAGTGGCCTGATCTCGGCTGACTACAACCTCTGCCTCCCGGGTTCAAGCGATTCTCCTGCCTCAGCCTCCCAAGTAGCTGGGACAACAGGCATATGCCACCAAATCTGGCTAATTTTTGTGTTTTTAGTAGAGTTGGGGTTTCCCCATGTTGGCCAGGCTAGTCTCGAATTCCTGGCCACAAGTGATCCACCCAACTAGACCTCCCAAAGTGCTGGGATTATAGGCATGAGCCACTGCGCCTACCCAACAGTTCTTTCTTTATCTTATTTTATTTTATTTTATTTTATTTTATTTTATTTTATTTTATTTTATTTTATTTTATTTTATTTTTTGAAATAGGGTCTTGCTCTGTCACCCAGGCTGGAGTGCAGTGGCACGATCACAGCTCACTGCAGCTTCAAATTCCTGGCCTCAAGCAATCTTCCCATCTCAGCCTTCCAAGTATCTGGGACAACAGGTGCATGCCACCACAACCCGCTACTTTTTAAAATTTTTTGTAGAGACAGGATCTCACTTTGTTGCCCAGGCTGGTCTCCAACTCCTGGCCTCAAATGATCCTCCCACCTTGGCCTTCCAAAGTGCTGGAATTACAGGTGTAAGCCACTATGTTCAGCCTCAACTTTTTATGTACACATAGGTCTATGTCGGACTCTATTCTGTTCTACTGGTCTATCTATTCCTCTCCCAATATCACACTATATTAGTTATAAATGTTGATATCTGGTAGGGCAAATTCCAATTCAACTTGGATTATTTTGCCTCATTGTTCTTCCACATGAATTTTAGGGTCAGATTCTCAAGATCCAAAAAGAAAAGAAAAGAAAATCCTCTTCTGATTTTTAATTCAAATTGCACTGAATTTATCACATAATTTGGAGAGAATTCGCATCTTTGTGACAGCAATGCTACCCATTTATGAGCATGGTATATCTTCATTATACCTGCTAAAAATGTCTATAACAAACTTACATAAAGATCTGTAAACTTTTGTTAAATTTATTCCTACGTATCTTTGTTGTTGCTGATCTTTTTAGTTTTAGTAATTTATTTATAGAGAGGGATCTTTTTCAAATGTAAATTTTGCAGTGTCAATTCCTTGTTTGGAGCTGCTCTATGTCTTTCGTTGTAATTAAAATGATATCCAATAATATCCTTATCATACCTACAAGGCCATGCATGATCTGGAATCTACCTGCCTCTCCGAATAACCTAGTATTCTCCTAACATCACAATACTTTCCTTTTTTTTTTTTTCTTTTCACTATGCTCCAGCTTCAGGCCTTTTTTCTGGTCATAAAAAAATGCCAAATTTCTTCCTGCCTCAAGGACTTTCCACTGCCTGGACACTCTTCCTCTAGATTTAGCACGTCTGCTCCTCGTTATTTGGGCCTAAGCTTGCATGTGCTACCTCCTGAAAGAAGACTTCTTTGATCAGGTGGCCACCCCCGTCTTCTCTGCCCACCAATCACTTTCCATTCTATTACTCTGACTTCTTCATCACATTTGCCACTATCTGACATTATTTTAGTTATGTGTTTATGTTTATTAGCTAGGCCTTCCTACTACAGTGTAAGCTGTGGCAGTGCAGGGACTTGTTTATAGCTGTAACCCAGCACCTTCTGGCACATGAGTGCAGTAGATACTTGTTAAATAAATGAATATAAGCATAACTCTTATTCCTATTTTAGAGATGGGAAAACTGAGATGCATAGAGGCTAAGGGATTGGCCTAAATCATCAAAAGTGTCTTCCCTACTTATTTATATAAAACACAAAACTTCCCAAGTTATTTAAATAAAACCCACAACATAATACATTAATTTAAGAATAGAACCAAGAGTCTGAAGTAGAAATAACTAGAGATTAAAGATAGCCCTGGAAAATGAGTATTTGCTCCAAGACCTGTTCTTTTAAACAAAGGAAATAATAATTATGTCTTTTGCAGATAAAATTGCTGATAAAAAGGCTGAAAAACACAAAAATTTGAAAGCAGGGACTGCAACAAAGACCCTCCAAATGCTGTATATTTACAGTTAATTTTTCAAAATACAGTCACACACATTTGTATTTTATATTTTATACTATTTTTATACTTTTTAAAATACTATTTATATTTAATTTTAAAATTTTTAGACTATTTATACTTAATTCACAAAGTAATACAATAACACAAATCTTTTTATTTTTACAGGGAGAGAAAAGGCCAAGACCTAATCATAAGGCAGTGGCAAGAAGAGCTAAACTCAAGTTCTCTACCTCAGGTTATTTGGCTGAAGGGCCACTTCTTTTACACTTTTTAAAATTATTATTATACTTTAAGTTCTGGAGTACATGTGCAGAACGTGCAGGTTTGTTACATAGGCATACACGTGCCATGGTGGTTTGCTGAACCCATCAACCTGTCATCTATATTAGGTATTTCTCCTAATGCTATCCCTCCCCTAACTCTCCACCCCCCTACAGACCCTGGTGTGTGATGTTCCCCTCCCTGTGTCCATGCATTCTCATTGTTCAACTCCCACTTATGAGTGAGAACATGCGGTGTTTGGTTTTCTGTTCCTGTGTTAGTTTGCTGAGAATGATGGTTTCCAGCTTCATCCATGTCCCTGCAAAGGACACGAACTCATCCTTTTTTATGGCTGCATAGTATTCCATGCTGCATATGTGCCACATTTTCTTTATCTAGTCTATCATTGATGGGCATTTGGGTTGGTTCCAAGTCTTTGCTATTGTGAACAGTGCCGCAGTAAACATATGTGTGCATGTGTCTTTATAGTAGAATGATTTATAATCCTTTGGATATATACCCAGTAATGGTATTGCTGGGTCAAATGGTATTTCTAGTTCTACACATTTATTATAATGAAGAAACAACAACCATCAAAGGATGTTATCTATATGTTATTGAAAAGGGCTATTTTACTTGTTACTACTCTCTACTATTAATGATTAATGGTATTAATCTTTACTATTAATGATTCTTAGTGTCACATAGATTTTTTTTCTAGTTTAATTGATGAAGATGTTTCAGATTCCAGAGTGAGCATGAACATATTGTGCTTTCTGAACATATTATATTGTTTCCAAAAACCAGTGCAACTACAGGCATAAGTCCTTTATTCAATAGACTAATCTCAAAATGCATACAACTTTAATCTCCTTTTTATTTTCTCACGTGGTTAATAAGGATATTAAGATAATTCATATTTAAAGGACCACAGTAAATCCTTTCATAAAGAGTAAGAATTATTTTATGTACTTATCACACTATACTTTTTATATTGGTAACTTTTCTTTTCCATACCTAGATTTCTTAAAGCTATTTTTGGCTGGGCGTGGTGGCTCACGCCTGTAATCCCAGCACTTAGGGAGGCCAAGGCGGGTGGATCACGAGGTCAGGAGATCGAGACCATCCTGGCTAACACGGTGAAACCCTGTCTCTACTAAAAGTACAAAAAAATTAGCCGGGCCTGGTGGCAGGCACCTGTAGTCCCAGCTACTTGGAAGGCTGAGGCAGGAGAATGGTGTGAACCCGGGAGGCGGAGCTTGCAGTGAGCCGAGATCACGCCACTGCACTCCTGCCTGGACAACAAGGCGAGACTCCATCTCAAAACAAAAAAAAAAAAAAGCTATTTTTACAAAACTTAATTTTTTAGTGATATCATAGAAGTCACTCTTAAATATTACAGAAGTAACAGAAGCCAGTGTTTCCTAAATATCAGAGTCAATTTATTGAACATCAAATATAACATCTTAAATTTTCCTCCCATGCAAACAGACATTTTGCAAATCTTCTTTTTTTTTTTTTTTTTTTTTTTTTGAGACAGACGCTGTCACTCAGGCTGGAGTGCAGTTGCACAACTCTGCTCACTGCAACCTCCGCCTTCCAGGTTCAAGTGATTCTCCTGCCTCAGCCTCCCGAGTAGCTGGGATCACAGGCACCCACCACCATGCCCGGCTAATTTTTGTATTATTATTGTTTTTTTTTTAGTGGAGACAGGTTTTCACCATGTTGGCCAGGCTGGTCTTGAACTCCTGACCTCAGGTGATCTGCCCACCTCGGCCTTCCAAAATGCTGAGATTACAGGCATAAGCCAAAGCGCCCAGCCACAAATCTTCTTAAATTTGATACAAGAGAATGTAACAGATTTATTGCACTCCATTGATGTCTGTCATGAATTTAGTGATCTTCTAAACACTTCAAAAATTTCTCCTCACATGCTATTTCCAGACCCAGGGTTCATTTATTCTTTCATTAATCCTTCCAAATGCTGGGGTTCAGGACATACACTTTCACTCTCCTCTTTCCTGCTTCTCAGAGTCTGACACCATCCCAGTTTTCCTCAGTCCCATTCATGCCTGGCACTTAATAGGCCCTCAAGAAATGTTTGCTGTTTGCTGGTGTATTCTCCGGGACCACAATCTCCTTCATTTTTTTTTTTTTTTTTTGAGATGGAGTCTCACTCTGTCACCTAGACTGGAGTGCAGTGTTACCATCTTAGCTCACTGCAACCTCCGCCTCCCAGATTCAAGCAATTCTCCTGCCTCAGCCTCCCAAGTAGCTGGGATTACAGGTGCCCACCACCATACCTGACTAATTTTTTGTATTTTAGTAAAGACAGGGTTTCACCATGTTGGCCAGGCTGGTCTCAAACTCCTGACCTCAGGTGATCCACCTGCCTCGGCTTCCCAAAGTGATGGGATTACAGGCATGAGCCACCGCACCTGGCCTCCTTCCTATACTCTGACCTTAACATTCCTCAAACCTTCCAACTGTACTGACCTTCTCCTCCCTTTTCATCCACCCACATGTATGACCACACATGGACTCCAATCAACACTTGGAAATGCTCCAACTCCAAGATTTCAAACCCCAAACCTGGTCTCCTGATTCTAATCTTGCCTCCTTATCTCTTCTTCACTGCTGCTCACTCCTCCTAAACCTGCAAGTCCCCTCCCTTCTCCCTTCCAGTCCTAACCTTCAGTTCATTCTCCTTTTTCAGCTTTGGGCCCTAACTGAAAATATTATAGCTTGAGCTTTATAGCTATACCCAGGTGTTAACCTTGACCTCCTACCATACCCTTTTCTAAGAGGCCACATGCCTCATACGTAGCTCAATCTATTTTGAAAAGGAGGCCAAGAAAAAAGGGAGTTTAAAACAAAACCAAACCACCAGCCTGGCCAACATGGTGAAACCCCATCTCTACTAAAAATACAAAAAATTAGCTGGGTGCAGTGAAGCATACCTGTAATCCCAGCTACTTGGGAGGCTAAGGCAGGAGACTCGCTTGAACCTGGGAGGTGGAGGTTGCAGTGAGCCGAGACCGTGCCACTGCACTCCAGCCTGGGCTACAGAGCGAGACTTTGTCTCAAAACAAAACCTTAGAGCAGTCAGAGAATTTATAGATCACCTAATCCAGCTTCTTAAAATAGTAGATGAGGAAACAAGACTGTGAATAGTCTAAGATTTCCAGATCCTGCCATCGTCCTTTCTTGGGTCTCTTCCCAAACACTGCCCATCCTCCTTTAAGCCTCACTTGCTCCTTCCCAGCCAGACTCAAGAGAAACTATTTTAATACCATTCTCCTTGGTCTCTTGTCCTTCTTGCTGCACTTAACTTGCTAATCTCTAACTGTTCTGTTTTCCTGGCTTGCTCAACATTGCCAGAAAAAGACAAGAAATTGAGCCAATTCCATTTCAAATTTATTCCACTGGACCATTAATGTTGCTCAGAATCCATTTGAATAATTTGAATCAGAATCCATTTGAATCCCTATCACAGTCTCGATCACATTTCCCATCCCACCCGTTTACTCTCTGCAAATGACCTTACCACCCACTTTGCTTAGTGTTCAGTGCCAAGGAAAGCACTCAGAGATGAGAACCCAATCACCTGCTGTTCATTCCTGAATAAACCCTGCTATTTGCCACCTCTATGGCATGCTCATCCTACTCCCACTACCAAAATGCCCTGCTCATCACCTTTGAATTTCTAAATACAAATCCAGCTGAATATTATATCTTACAAGATTTCTTGCCTAGTCCAAAGTGAGGTCATCATCCACCTCAGTACTCAATTTGCACCACTTTATTTTGCCATTATTTCAGACTTACAGAAAAGTTGTGAAAGGTTTACATGTAGACACATAGAGAGAGAGAGCAAAAGTGGAACAAAGATTCCTGGATTCCAGGCATCATTCAGATTCCCAATATAGTAACATTTTACTATATTGGCTTTATATTCTCTCTCTCTCTCTCTCTCTCTCTCTCTGTGTGTGTGTGTGTGTGTGTGTGTGTGTGTGTGTACTTACCATTGTGTTACAATTACCTCCAGTATTCGTATAGTAACACACTATACAGGTTTGTAGACTAGCAGCAATAGTCTACACCATCTAGGTTTATGTAAGTACATTCCATGATGTTCCCACAATGACAAAATCACCTAGTGACACATTTTTTTCAGAACATATCCCCATCAGTAAGTAACACACGACTGTACATATTCACATATATATATTTACATATATACATACATACTCTGAACTGTTTAGGGAGAAAAGGATATCATGTCTACAAGCTACTCTTAAAACAGTTCAGAAAAAAAGTCATGTATGTATATAGGTATCTTTATGTATATATACACATACACACACAGACACACACATGCATGGTTATAGTTACATAGTCATATATGTTACTCTCTATGTACACGTAGATAGATAGAAAGAAAGATAAAACCTTGTGGGTTCTTATTCCTCTGCCCCACAACCAAATGACTGAGAACTCTAAATTCTTCCCAGAATGCTCTTGTCTGCCTTCGTACACTCCCCAGGTGATCTCATCAGCCCCACTGACTTAAAAATTCCATCCAGGTAGTGGGGTTCATTCCAAGATGGCCAAATAGGAACAGCTCCGGTCTGCAGCTCCCAGCATGATTGACACAGAAGATGGGTGATTTCTGCATTTCCAACTGAGGTACCTGGTTCATCTCATTGGTACTGGTTGGACAGTGGGTGCAGCCCATGGAGGGCAAGCCGAAGCAGGGCAGGGCATCACCTCACCCAGGAAGTGCAAGGGGTCAGGGGATTTCCCTTTCCTAGCCAAGGGCAGCTGTGACAGTATGTACCAGGAAAATTGGGACACTGCCACCCAACTACTGAGCTTTTCCAACGGTCTTAGCAAATGCACACCAGGAGATTATATCCCATGCCTGGCTCAGCAGGTCCCATGCCCATGGAGCCTTGCTCACTGCTAGCACAGCAGTCCGAGATCGAACTGTGAGGCAGCAGCCTGGCTGGGGAAGGGGCGTCTGCCGTTGCTGAGTCTTGAGTAGGTAAACAAAGCAGCCAGGAAGCTCGAACTGGGTGGAGCCCACCACAGCTCAAGGAGGCCTGTCTGCCTCTGTAGACTCCAACTCTGGGGGCAGGGCAGAGCCGAACAAAAGGCAGCAGAAACTTCTGCAGACTTAAACATCCCTGTCTGACAGCTCTGAAGAGAGCAGTGGTTCTCCCAGCATGGTGTTTAAGCTCTGAGAACAGACAGACTGCCCCCTCAAGTGGGTCCCTGAACCCCATGTAGCCTAACTAGGAGACATCTCCCAGTAGGGGTCAACTGACACCTCATACAGCTGGGTGCCCCTCTGAGACAAAGCTTCCAGAGGAAGGATCAGGCAGCAATATTTGCTGTTCTGCAATATTTGCTGTTCTGCAGCCTCAGCTGGTGATACCCAGGCAAACAGGGTCTGCAGTGGACCTCCAGCAAACTCCAACAGACCTGCAGCTGAGGGGCCTGACTGTTAGAAGGAAAACTAACAAACAGAAAGGACATCCACACCAAAACCCCATCTGTAGGTCACCATAATCAAAGACCAAAGGTAGATAAAACCACAAAGATAGGGAGAAACCAGAGCAGAAAAGCTGAACATTTTAAAAACCAGAGCACCTCTTCTCTAAAGGATCACAGCTCCTCGCCAGCAACGGAACAAAGTTGGACAGAGAATGACTTTGACGAGTTGATAGAAGTAGGCTTCAGAAGGTCGGTAATCACGAACTTCTCCAAGCTAAAGGAGGATGTTCGAACCCATTGCAAGGAAGCTAAAAACCTTGAAAAAACATTAGACGAATGGCTAACTAGAATAAACAGTGCAGAGAAGAACTTAAATGACCTGATGGAGCTCAAAACCATGGCATGAGAACTACATGATGCATGCAGAAGCTTCAATAGCTGATTCGATCAAGTGGAAGAAAGGATATCAGTGATTGAAGATCAAATGAATGAAATGAAGTGAGAAGAGAAGTTTAGAGAAAAAAGAGTAAAAAGAAACGAACAAAGCCTCCAAGAAATATGGGACTATGTGGAAAAAGCATATCTATTTTTGATTGGTGTACCTGAAAGTGATGCGGAGAATGGAACCAAGCTGGAAAACACTCCCCAGGATATTATCCAGCAGAACTTCCCCAACCTAGCAAGGCAGGCCAACATTCAAGTTCAGGAAATACAGAGAACACCACAAAGATATTCCTCAAGAAGAGCAACCCTGAGACACATAATCATCAGATTCACCAAGGTTGAAATGAAGGAAAAAATGTTAAGGGCAGCCAGAGAGAAAGGTCGGATTACCCACAAAGGGAAGCCCATCAGAATAACAGCAGATCTCTTGGCAGAAACTCTACAAGCCAGAAGAGAGTGGGGGCCAATATTCAACATTCTTAAAGAAAAGAATTTTCAACCCAGAATTTCATATCCAGCCAAACTAAGCTTCATAAGTGAAGGAGAAATAAAATCCTTTATAAACAAACAAATGCTGAGAAATTTTGTCACCACCAGGCCTGCCTTACAAGAGCTCCTGAAGGAAGCACTAAACGTGGAAAGGAGCAACCAGTACCAGCCACTGCAAAAACATGCCAAATTGTAAAGACCATTGATGCTAGGAAGAAACTGCATCAACTAATGGGCAAAATAACCAGCTAACATCATAATGACAGGATCAAATTCACACATAACAATATTAACCTTAAATGTAAATGGGCTAAATGCCCCAATTAAAAGACACAGACTGGCAAATTGGATAAAGAGTTAAGACCCATCAGTGTGCTGTATTCAGGAGACCCATCTCAAATGCAGAGACAAACATAGGCTCAAAATAAAGGATGGAGGAAGATCTACCAAGGCAAAAATAAAAAATAAAAAAAATAAAAAAGCAGGGGTTGCAATCCTAGTCTCTGATAAAACAGACTTTAAACCAACAAAGATCAAAAGAGACAAAGAAGGCCATTACATAATGGTAAAAGGATCAATTCAACAAGAAAAGCTAACTATCCTAAATATATATGCACCCAATACAGGAGCACCCAGATTCATAAAGCAAGTCCTTCGAGACCTACAGAGAGACTTAGACTCCCACACAATAATAATGGGAGACTTTAACACCCCACTGTCAATATTAGACAGATCAACGAGACAGAAGGTTAACAAGGATATCCAGGAGTTGAACTCAACTCTGCACCAAGCAGACCTAATAGACATCTACAGAACTCTCCACTCCAAAACAGCAGAATATACATTCTTCTCAGCACCGCATTGCACTTATTCCAAAATTGACGACACAGTTGGAAGTAAAGCAATCCTCAGCAAATGTAAAAGAACGGAAATCACAACAAACTGTCTCTCAGACCACACTGCAATCAAATTAGAACTCAGGATTAAGAAACTCACTGAAAACCACAGAACTACATGGAAACTGAACAACCTGCTCCTGAATGACTACTGGGTAAATAATGAAATGAAGGCAGAAATAAAGATGTTCTTTGAAACCAGTGAGAACAAAGACACAACATACCAGAATCTCTGGGATACATTTAAAGCAGTGTGTAGAGGGAAATTTATAGCACTAAATGCCCACAAGAGAAAGCAGGAAAGATCTAAAATTGACACCCTAACTTCACAATTTAAAGAACTAGAGAAGCAAGAGCAAACAAATTCAAAAGCTAGCAGAAGGCAAGAAATAACTAAGGATCAGAGCAGAACTGAAGGAGATAGAGACACAAAAAACCCTTCAAAAAAATCAATGAATCCAGGAGCTGGTTTTTTGAAAAGATCAACAAAATTGATAAACCGCTAGCAAGACTAATAAAGAAGAAAAGAGAGAATAATCAAATAGATGCAATAAAAAATGATAAAGGGGATATCACCACTGATCCCACAGAAATACAAACTACCATCAGAGAATACTGTAAACATCTCTACGCAAGTAAACTAGAAAATCTAGAAGAAATGGATAAATTCCTGGACACACACACCCTCCCAAGACTAAACCAGGAAGAAGTTGAATCCCTGAATAGACCAATAACTGGCTCTGAAATTAAGGCAATAATTAATAGCCTACCAACCAAAAAAAGTCCAGCACCAGACAGATTCACAGCCGAATTGTACCAGAGGTACAAAGAGGAGCTGGTACCATTCCTTCTGAAACTATTCCAATCAATAGAAAAAGAGGGAATCCTCCCTAACTCATTTTTTGAGGCCAGCATCATCCTGATACCAAAGCCTGGCAGAGACACAACAAAAAAAGAGAATTTTAGACCAATATCCCTGACGACATTGATGCGAAAATCCTCAATAAAATACTGGCAAACCGAATCCAGCAGCACATCAAAAAACTTATCCACCAAGATGAAGTTGGCTTCATCCCTGGGATACAAGGCTGGTTCAACATACGCAAATCAATAAATGTAATCCATCACATAAACAGAACCAACAACAAAAACCATATGATTATCTCAATAGATGCAGAAAAGGCCTTCGACACATGAAAAAATGCTCATCATCACTGGTCATCAGAGAAATGCAAATCAAAATCACAATGAGATAGCATCTCACACCAGTTAGAATGGCGATCATTAAAAAGTCAGGAAACAACAGGTGCTGGAGGGGATGTGGAGAAATAGGAACGCTTTTACACTGTTGGTGGGAGTATAAACTAGTTCAACCATTGTGGAAGACAGTGTGGCGATTCCTCAAGGATCTAGAACTAGAAATACGATTTGATCCAGCCATCCCATTACTGGGTATATACCCAAAGGATTATAAATCATGCTGCTATAAAGACACATGCACACGTATGTTTATTGCAGCACTATTCACAATAGCAAAGGCTTGGAACCAACCCCAAATGTCCATCAATGATAGACTGGATTAAGAAAATGTGGCACATATACACCATGGAATACTATGCAGCCATAAAAACGGATGAGTTCATGTCCTTTGTGGGGACATGGATGAAGCTGGAAACCATCATTCTGAGCAAACTATCCCAAGGACAGAAAACCAAACACCGCATGTTCTCACTTATAGGTGGGAATTGAACAATGAGAACACGTGGGCACAAGGTGGGGAACGTCACACACCGGGGCCTGTTGTGGAGTTGGGGGCAGGGGGAGGGATAGCATTAGGAGAAATACCTAATGTAAATGATGAGTTAATGGGTGCAGCAAACCAACATGGCACATGTATACCTATGTAACAAACCTGCATGTTGTGCACATGCACCCTAGAACTTAAAATATAATTTTAAAAAATAATAATTAAAGAAAAAAAGAAAGAAGTCTTAGGGGTTTTTGAATCTTGTTCTTAGAACGTAAAAACGTTCAAGATATTATTAAATCTCCTCAGCGATGCCAAGGCAAGCTTTTAAAAACATAAATCATGTCATGTCACTGCACTATTTAAAATCCTCCAGTGGGCCAGGTGCAGTAGATCATGCCTATAATCCCAGCACTTTGGGAGGGCAAGGCAGGAGGATCACTTGAGTCCAAGAGTTCAAAACCAGCCTGGGCAACATAGTGAGACCTTGTCTCTACAAAAAAAAAAAAAAGTTAGCCTTGCATGGTGGCTCATGCCTGTACCTCCAGCTACTCAGGAGTCTGAGGTGGGAGGATCACTTCAGCCCAGTAGGTGGAGGCTGCAGTGAGCTGTGATCTCACCACTACACTCAGCCTGGGTGACAGAGTGAGACTGTGTCTCAAAAACATATATATATAAAATAAAATGGCCAGGCATGGTGGCTCACGCCTGTAATCCCAGTACTTTGGGAGGCTGAGGCAGGTGGATCATGAGGTCAGGAGATCAAGACCATCCTGGCTAACAAGGTGAAACCCTGTCTTTACTAAAAAATACAAAAAATTAGCTGGCACCTGTAGTCCCAGCTACTCGGGAGGCTGAGGCAGGAGAATCGCTTGAACCTGGGAGATGGAAGTTGCAGTGAGCTGAGATCGTGCCACTGCACTCCAGCCTGGGCAACAGAGCGAGACTCCATCTCTAAAAAGAAAAAAATCCTCCAGTTGCTTCTGATTGCACTTGGAATAATATTGAAACTAGGCTGGGTGTGGTAGCTCACTCCTGTAATAATGGCACTTTGGGAGGTAGTGGGGGAGGACTGCTTGAGGCCAAGAGTCCCAGACTAGTCTAGGCAACATAGTGAGACCCCCATCTCTACAAAAAATTTTTAAAAAATAAAGAATAAAGTCTAAACTCCCTTCCCTGGCCCCTGCCTACCTCTCTTTTCCTACCCGCTTTCCCCCAGCTTACTAGACTTCAATCATACTGACCTTCATGTGGGTCCAGGATCAGCCAAATTATTCTTATCTCAGGCCTTTTGGCTTTGCAATTCCTTTGCCTAGATCGCTTGTCCCCTAAAAATTCCGACTCTTATTCTTCAAGTGGCTGACATTTGTTCTTCAAGTCTTAGCTCAAAGGTACTTTCTCAGAGGCCTTTCCTGATCACTCCAAGTTACCTACCATCTAGCATACTTTACCGATTTGCCGTGCTTCATAGCACCTATCTGTATCTGAAATTATATCATTTGTTAACTTGGTTGTTGTTTTTTTCTCCCAGTATAAGTTCTATGAGAACTGGGACTCTGATTTACTTACCCCAGCATCCCTGTCATATGTGCTAAAGGACTGATTGATGCATGTACATCATTTTTATTGCCCTCTTTTTTTTTTTTTTTTTTTTAGATGAAGTCTTGCTCTGTTGCCCAGGCTGGAGTGCAGTGGCACCATCTTGGCTCACTGCAACCTCCGCCCCTGGGATTCAAGCAATCCTCCTGGCTCAGCCTCCCGAGTAGCTGGGACTACAGGCATGCACCACCACACCTGGCTAATTTTTGAATTTTTAGTACAGACAGGGTTTTACCATGTTGGCCAGGATGGTCTCGAACTTCTGACCTCAGGTGATCCGCCCACCTTGGCCTCCCAAAGTGTTGGGATTACAGGCGTGAGCCACCATGCCCAGCCATCATTTTTACATATGTATGTACATACCATCAGTAAGTTCTTTGAAGGTAGGTTTCATATCTTTTTCATCATCTTTTTACCTTGTATATAATAGGAACTTAAATATCTGTGGAAGGAGTAAGTTAATGCACATCTTGGTTTCTCCAAAATATAATAAAGAGCAGTATCTTTTTGGCTGATTAAAAAACATCCTTCCTCCCTTAATCATTTCCAACAAACATTAAAAACATCATTTACACACATGTAAAATCACAGTGTTCCCCAGGGTTTTTGTGCTGTTCTATTTTCATTGAGGTAAAAAGGCAGAGGCGTTTCACAAAGCATTCTTTTATTTGGCTTCTACTTAACGCTTTTCATTCTCCTGAATATAGACATGCTGCAAAACATTCCATTCTCTTGATATAGACATCCTGAAAGCATTCAAACTTCGCTGAAATTTTTTTTAAAGCCAAGGAAAAACCAATTCTACCAACTATTTCCTAGATTTCTTTTTTTTTCCTCCTCTTTTATGAATCAAGAAACAATGTTCACAGTTTGCCCTGAGGCGTCTGGTAATGCTTATCAGAATCTGAGGTATTGCAACTAGAGTTGCTCTGTTCTTTTATAATGGTAGGCTGCAGAAGCTTCCCTCCCCATTTTTTAAGTTTCTCATCTGAAACTTACAAGTAAGTAAATATAATGTTCTAATTCTTTTTGTGTTAATAAGATAAAAACCTCTTTTTAAGAAATTAAACTTTTTTTTTTTCAGTTGCAAGCATGATATGCTCTCAAAAAACTGAACTTCTGCTATAGAAAGTGAAGTATTACAGACTGGGCATGGTGGCTGACACCTTTAATCCCAGCACTTTGAGAGGCTACAGAGGGAGGATTGCTTGAGGCCAGGAATTTGAGACCAGCCTGGGCAACAAAGCAAGACCCCATTTCTATAAAAAGTGCCTGTGGTCCCAGCTACTTGGAAGGCCAGGGTGGGAGGATCGCTTGAGCCCAGGAGTTATGATCGCGCCACTGCACTCCAGCCTGGGCAACAGAGTGAGACCCTGTCTCTGGAAAAAACAAAACACAAAAAAAACCAAAGTGAAATAATATACTTTTCTTCCAGTAGCAACACTTTCTGGCAGCCTTGTCCATGCTTTACCATCTCTCTCTTCCTCTTTCTTGGTCTTTACTAGCCTCTATCCCCTATCAAGGTAAATGATCAAACTTCTCCTGAGTCTTTAACAAGCAGGATGTTGATCTTTTTTTCAAAAAAGAAAATGATCTTCTTTTATTACACAGATGGTTTAACTTACTTTTTTTAATACCAAAACTCCATCAACTTATGAATAGTAAATAAACATTTGTCAACATCTGTTCTACTATGTAAGAAGAATATAGAGATTAACATGAGTAGTTAAACAAGTTACTGACAAAATAAAAAAATACTGGCTCACATCTGTAATCCTAGCATTTTGGGAGGCGGAGGCAGGCAGATTGCTTGAGTCCAGGAGTTCAAAACCAGCCTGGCAACATGGCAAAACCCCATCTCTACAAAAAAATACAAAAAATTCGCCTGGCCTGGTGGCACATGCCTGTAGTCCCAGCTACTTGGGAGGCTGAGGCTTAGGTAAGAGGATTACCTGAGCCTGGGAGGTTGAAGCTCCAGTGAACCATGATCATGCCATTGCACTCCAACCTGGGCAACAGAGTGAGACCCTGTCCCAAAACAAAAAATGAAATAAAATAAATACGTTCTTTACCTATAACATAACAATCCTGCTACAAATAAAATAACAATATTTCTATCAAAACACCTATTTTTCTATTATTTTAAATCTAAAATTAAATGGAAATCATCCTTACAGATATTCATTAATCAAAATGTTCCACAATACAATGCTTCTAGAATTCATAAAGATGACCATAAAAGGAAAGTGAGTATATCTCAGTAAGACAACTGCAATGGCATTTTTGGTTATTATTGAAAAATTTAAGTTTAATAAAACTTTAAAAAGGGTGAAGGACATCCTTAAAGATAAACATAAATTATTAAAATCAGTTTTAATGGCGAGGCGTGGTGGCTCACGCCTATAATCCTAGCACTTTGTGAGGCCAAGGTGGGTGGATCACCTGAGGTCAGGAGTTCGAGACCAGCCTGGCCAACATGGTAAAACCCTGTCTCTACTAAAAATACAAAATTAGCCGGGTGTGGTGGCGCATGCCTGTAATCCCAGCTACTTGGGAGGCTGAGGCAGGAGAATCACTTGAACCCAGGAGGCAGAGGTTGCAGTGAGCCAAGATTGCGCCACTGTACTCCAGCCTGAGCAAAAAAAAGAGCGAAACTCCATCTCAAAAGGAAAAATAAATAAATAAAAATAAAAAACAAAAGCAGTTTTAACAAATTCCTAACTTGATCTTGAAATCAGTGCCCTAAAAATGGAGCAGTAATATAATTAAGTCGATCATCTTGTCTCAATATTAATGGTTAATATAGAAACAGGTATAAAGGAAAGTTTCTCAGAAAGATGAGATTGTTCATTGTTCTTGTGGATATGTAAAAACAATGCTGACTCAAAAGCAGCCAACTGGACAGCTGCAGATGCTGAACCCAATGGAAACACTAAGCAGGCATAGCACGAATCAGTAATTAACAAAGCAGATGCAGAAAGCTTGATGAGGATGAATAATTGCATAGATGGGAATAGTAAAAGGAGCTGGTAACAGTACAAGTTTTATAAGAAGTTAGATAAACTCTTTGTATTCATGAATTTGTTAGCAAGAGTGCTTCAATAATACACAGAGATATATTTTTTAAATGTTTTGATTACATTATAAATACCTTTATATGGTGCTTATCACTAAAGATATTTAAAAATTATCCACAAGAAAATATTGGTAGGGTGAACATAAAAATAATTATAAAAGTAAAGAATGATATAATATTCCAGGTAGGCTAACTACAGAGGCATCAAATTTGTTTATTTTTGGAATTCTTAATTGTAGTGAAGTGTTGAAATTAGAATGCACATCATTTTCTAATTTTTATATGTATGTATACATGTATATATATATACACACATATATGTATTTTATAGAAAATCTTCCCTGCTAGTCAGGACTGTCCTTGAGGATAGGTATCATCTTTTGTTATGTACTCCAAAAACACCAAGCCCAGTGTCTTCTATATAAATAAATACCTGTGGAATGAGGAAGATAATATGTATCTTGGTTACTTAAAATATAATGAAAATAGGCAATATGATTAAACATACTTTAGTAAAAGCACTGAACATATGACTTGGTAACATCTTTTAGGAGGCTTTCTTTTTTGAGAAATAGCTCTTAAACTGCAGTGACTGTGACTTTAAAAACTAGAAATTTGTAGAGGTAATAGATGCATTTATAGCAAACTTGGAAAACAGCTTTCAGAATTCTGGGTATATAAGGAAGCCAACAGCATGGTTAATTTAGAGCCTTTTTCCTTAGGACATATGTTGCAAGAATTACTACTCTTACAAATGCAGCAGATTCATTGCTCATTACTATAGCAAGTGTTTTAACTCAAAGCAGATTTGTTCTTCGTCTATTGGTCCATTTGATATAATTCTATATTATTTTAGTTATCATTGAAAATGCACACACTTTCTGTTGTCTACTTATTCATTAATTCACAAATATTTATTAAGGACCTACTACATGCCAGCCACTCTTCTTGGTGTGGGAATATAGCAGTGAACAAACAAAAATCACTGCACTTGTGGAAATTTTATTCTAGGGATGGAGACAGACAACAGTCATGATAAATCAATAAAATATATAATAAATTAGATAATGTTAAGTGCTAAGTAAAAAAAATAAAGCAGAGAAGGGCTATAGGAAATATGAAGGAGTAGAATTTTAAATAGAGTGGCCAGGGAAGGGCTCACGAAGAGGTGACATTTGGATTAAGTCCTGAGGAAGTAAGGGAGCTAGTCCTGCGGATATCTGAGGGAAGAACATTCCACGCAGGGAGGATTCCAAGTTGCAAAGGCCTTGAGGTGAAATAGTGCCTGGAATTGAGGAATATCAAAGAGGCCAGTGTATCCATCGGGGAGGAAGTAGTTGGGGATGAGATCAAAGAGGTGACAGGAGGCTAGGTCATAAAGGACTTCACAGGAAAGGAAGCCACTGAAGATTTTGAACAGAGTGACATGATCTGATTTTTTCACAGGTTCACTCTGGCCAATGAGTTTTGAGAACAGTGTGAAAGAGGGTAGGGTGGGAATACAGAGACTGTCTAGAAGACTGCCATAATCCAGACAAGAGGTGGTGGTGGCTTGAACCAGAGTGGTAGCAAGTGGCTAGATTCTGGATGTATTTCGAAAACAGTAGTCACAGGATTTGAAGACAGAATATGAAGTGAGGTTATCCAGTTTTTGTGATATAGTTACATTTCCATTGTTCTCTCCTAAGTGATGAAAAAGACACAATTTCTCACAAGTTGCCTGTCATTCTCAGGGTGTGACGGTCCTGATATTCAACTTTCTTTTGTTCCTGAGTTTGAAAACACACCCCAATTATTTCCATGTCTTAGCCTTGAGGATGAAGAGAAAATTTAACTGTCTGAAGACTGACAGTTGCCAGCACTATCTCAGCTCCTCCTAAACTGTAAGCTCCGCTAGGCTTATTTCATTTCCCTTGATATCCTCAAAGCCTGCCTCAGAACCTTGCACACGTTAGGGTCTCAAAAAATGTTTGTTGAATGGTTTAGTCTACATTTCCCATTCCCACCGTACTTTTTTTTTTTTTTTAGTCTCACTTTGTCACCCAGGCTGGAGTGCAGTGGCGCGATCATGGCTCACTACATTCTCACCTCTCGGACTCAAGCAATCCTCCCACCTCGGCCTCCCGAGTAGCTGGGACTACAGAAGTGTGCCACCACGATTTGTTCACTTTTTGTGTTTTTAGTAGAGATGGGTTTTCGCCATGTGGCCCAGGCTGGTCTCCAACTCCTGGCCTCAAGCGATCCACCCGCCTTGGTCTCCCAAAGTGCGAGGATTACAGGCATGAGCCACCGTGGCCCGCCTCCCATGGTTATTGTAAAAGATTAAATTTTCATACTTGCTAATGTGAAAATGAATAATAAACTGAAAATAACATTCAGCCCCTATCAATTGCACAATCACAAGCTAAAATGTGAATTTCAGCATTAAGGATAGTATGCTGAGGTACCGTCAAGTGGTCATTGAGCCTCCTGCACTTTCCACTCTTACTAGCTCATCCTAAACGTGTTTTAGCTTCCCCGCACCTCGTAAGGGGAAGGACGGGTAGACTGGCTTTGCTATTTGCAGCTAGGGCCGAGTGTCACAGCGCACCATGGAGTTAAGTCACCTTTGAACGGGTACAAACGTCTCTGAAAGATCAGTCAATATGCGTTACCCACTGGCTGGAGACCCCAGCGCGCTCGCGGGCACAGCCACAAGCCCCGGAGGCACTGGCCCGCGCTGTGCACGCCGGGAGTTGTAGTTCCTCCCACTCTCTCTCGCCGCCCGCGGGCCTTCGTCGCACGAGCGCCCCCAGCGGCGCGCAGGCTCCGTGAAGCGCAGCGCGCGCGGACCCCGGGGGCAGTTTCCTAGCAACCGGCGGAGCGGCTACGTCACGGTGGCAGGTTCTAAGCGCTGCTGGGCACCGTAAGGCCGCCGTGTGTACCTTCCAGTAGCTACGGGCTGGTGGAAGCGCTGCTCACAGTCAGTGTCGGTACGTCTTCGTCCGCCCTTACCCTCCTTATCCTGCTCCAGGTAGCGGAGAGCCGCCTCCCGCCGCGCCCCCGCCACCGAGGCCCGGGTCAGAGGCTAGAGGCCGCCCGCCCCTGCGCGGCCCTTTCCCCTGAGCCCGCGGAGCCCGCCGCCCCGGGCCTCGGGGCGACGATGCTGGAGTCCATTCGCGTGACGGGTGAGTGCCGGGAAGGGCTGGCCGCGGCGGGGGTGCGGGGCGGACCGGGGTCCCGCCGCCCGGGGCTCAGGTAATGGTAGCCACCGGCTGGGCGCGCCGCTCGGGACTCCACCCTGCGCCCCGACCCCTTCGGGGCGCGCAGGAGGCGCTCGCGAAAAACCTGTGGAGGGAAGAGAGAAATCGGCCCCTTATCCTTTCGTCACTTATTATCAGTAAGTACCTGCTGTGGAATCTCGTGGAAAAGATTGTAATATTAGACCGGTTGCTGGTCTTACAAAGGTACAATCCAAAGATTGTTAAATCCTATTTCAAAACACGCTAGGTGTGTGATTAAGCTTCATAATTTTCTAGAATGTTCAGAAAAAATAAGCTAAGCGAAAGAACACATCTGTATATTTCATTATTTATACTGTGTATATTTGTGTGTGTATGCTTTTATTCTTAAACAGTGAGAACGTTTTGAGTTGATATTATTAATAGGCCATTTTACAGTACGGATTATACCAAGTGTAAAACATGGGTCTTTAAACAGACCCCAGGTCAGAAAGTCTGGAAGTTTACCTGCATTTTTTTAAATTCAGTTCAATCTCTGGGAGCACAGAACTTGACTCTTATTATTTGTAAATCGCTATGCGTGTTAGCTATTAAAAAAAACCTTACATAATATTAGAGTAATTTTCTAGGCCATTTTCCCAGCATTTGATTCTGTACGCAAACATTTCTGCAAGCAGGGTTTTGGCAGTTCAGAATTATGACGAAGAACAACGGAGTAAAGGGAAATACTCCTCAAACTAGTGCCAAAATAAAGCCGGAATTTTACATTTTAGAGCAATGCAGTACCTACCAGACTATTTTTCTGTGAGCATTCTAACTGAAAAACCAAACCTCTTTCCAGTGAAAATATTTATGATTTTAATTTTATACTGTTTTATTTCACGTTCAGTGTTATACGGAGTAGATTTGTGCAGTCACAAATCATGACGTTGCCACGATGTATATCATTTATGTTGACAGGAAACATAGTTCCAGGATCTGAGATCGAAAAGGCAACTTTAATTGGCATTAGAATTTTTAAAAATGTGATTTGATGTAGATGCTACTTTCATCTTAAAACACAATTAAAATGTCAAAAGTTACTTAAAAGTACCATACCTCCTAAATATGGAGCAAGGTTTCTCAACCTCCGCACCATTAACTTTGTTGTTGTTGTTGTTTTTGAGACGGAGTCTCGCTCTGTCGCCCAGGGTGGAGTGCAGTGGCGCTGTCTCTGCTCACTGCAATCTCCACCTCCCAGGTTCAAGCGATTCTCCTGCCTCAGCCTCCGAGTAGCTGGGATTACAGACGCATGCTACCACGCCCGCCGGATTTTTGTATTTTTAATAGAGACAGGGTTTCACCATGTTGGCCAGGCTGGTCTGGAACTCCTGACCTCAGGTGATCCTCACACCTCCGCCTCCCAAAGTGCTGGGATTATAGGCATGAACCACTGTGCCCAGCCTAGCACTGTTAACTTTGGACAAGATAGTTCTTCCTTGTGGGATGCTGTTCTCTGCCCCGCCCCCATAATTGTGACAACTAAAAATCACAATTGGGCAGGGGTGAGGGGTAGGGCAACATCTCCTTCTCCATGAGAATCAATGCCTTGAAGAAAAATATAGATTCTGTCACAGTGCACATTATTTCATTGAGAAATCACATAGATTAAAATTATTTTCCCAAACCATAACAATCATTGTAGAGATACAAATAAATTAATATTAGTATTAGAAAGTAGATACTATGATCAATTAGTCATGCAGAGTGATCTCTTGATATGTCAACATGTTGAGTTAGAAGTTTGAGAAGAGATACTTTAGAAAGTAGTAGACCCACTCCTCTTGTCTCATTTCCCTTCCTATAATTTAGTGGCAGTACATTTATGAATCCAACCCTGTATGTTTGCAAACCCTGAGGTAGACAATTTGGCAGTGAATTTCTATAGTACAATAAAGTTCAAATAGCCATTTGAGACCATGCAAGCCTCTAATTTACAATTCCTTTAAAAATAACTGGGTCATTTTTCAGACTACTTTCTCTCTTAAATATACTTAACTGCTTGAAATAATTCTAGAGCCCTGTGCCCAGCATTTCACTGCGATATCAGAAAAACCCAGTTTGGACAGCCAGAAACTTCATGTAGAGAGTTAAGCTGAAAACATGCCCTCCTCTCCCCTGGTCATTCCCTCACGATTCATTGATATCTGAGATGGCCATGTTCTTCTTTCTGGTTAGCAGAACTTGATTGTGGTAAGAGTACTGATGGAAATGTGTTCATTTTTTTTTCAGCTCTAAAAGTCGTTACAAATATAGAACAGACTCATTTTATATTTCAGGAATGAAGCAATTACTTGTTTCTGAAATCCTTCCTATATAATATCTTACCCACTTTTGACTTATTAGTATATGCTATCTATGCTGTTTAAAAATGGAATCAAATCAGAAAAGGTTTTTTTGACTTCTCATGGCCTTTTAAAGAAGAAGGTTCTGAGGCTGGGTGCAGTGGCTCACACTTGTAATCCCAGCAGTTTGTGAGGCGGAGAGCAGGCGGATTACCTGAGCTCAGGAGTTCAAGACCAGCCTGGGCAACACGGCAAAACCTTATCTCTACAAAAAATTAAAAAATTAGCCGGGCATGATGGCCTGCGCCTGTAGTCCCAGCTACTTGGAAGGCTGAGGCAGGAGTATCACTTGAGCGCCCAGGCGGCAGAGGTTGCAGTGAGTCAGGATTGCCACTGCACTCCAGCCTTGGCCACAGAGTGAGACCCTGTCACAAAAAAAAAAAAAAGAAGAAGAAGATTCTACTTTAGCTTCCGGGATTTAAAAAAAAAAAAAGGGTTTATTATACCAAAGCCACTAAAATCTTGATTCTAAAATATAGATTAATTACCTTATTAACATGAAATTTGCCTTGGAATTCAAATTTAATGATTCAGAATATTTCCCTATGTACATTTTTCCATGCGGTGTTTCTATAGGAGCTGAATATAATATTTAATGTGATACTAATAATAGTTAACAAAGGCTGCTTACCTATAGTCCAGCACTGTTCTCAGCACTTCACACATATTCACTTTTAAAATCCTTACAATAATACTATGAAGTATGCATTATTATTATCCCATTTTACAGATAAGGAAACTGTAGCACAAAGAAGTTATGTAACTTGGTCAGGGTAATAGCTATTAATAAACAGAGCCAAGATTCATACCAGACAACTCCATTCCAAAGTCCATGTTGTCAACTGCTAGGAAAATCAGCTCACTATTATAGTGACTGTACACTGATTTGAGCCACAAAATCCAACATCAAGATTTCATGTAATATCAGTGTGACATTATCCGATGGTTTGCTCAACTGTTGGTTTTTAGATTTTTAATCACAGGCAAGTATGTAATAATTTTTACCTGGGAAAATCATATTTCACTTGAATAAAAATTTGTTGTTTTCAAAATAGAACGCATCTAGTTCATTCATTAACAAAATGCTGTGAGAAACCATATAAGATTATGTTCATTTATGATTGCCTATCGGCTTTATTTTGTATGTGATATAAGGAGAGATTAATGAGTCATTCCAGAAATGAAGTGTCTTTATATCAAAGATGAATGTTTAAAAATACTGGAAATGAAAGTCTTAAGGCCATCGTTAGGCCATACAGGTTGAATATACCTAGGCACATAGCTCCTGTTTGTCCTACAGCAGCAGGTACCTACCATGTTGTCTTCAACATCACTAATTGTTTCATTTTTCTTTTACCTTCCTGGGATAATTTTTTCCTCAACCGTCAGGCAACTAAGTCTTTTACCCTTTCTTTCCTCTCAAATATTCTCTTCCCTTGTCTACCTCTCTGGCCCCCCTTTCATAAGCAGGACAGTGAATAAGCAAAACCAAACACAGATGTATGTTGTAAAAGAGCTTATAATTTCATTGTTGACGAAGTCTGTCATACAACAAATATAAACCTGCAACCATGATAAAGTACTTCGAAGAAGAGATACAAGGTGTTATGAGGGTCTAAAATGAAAAAGTTAAGGAAGGCTTCCTGACCAAGTGCTATTTGAACTGAAAGATGAGTGGATATTAATCTAACAAAGAGAGGGATAGAAGGGCCCAGCAGACACAGGGAGCAGCATGTGAAGAAGTATGTTCGGAGAGAGCATAGTGAGTATGAGATATGGTCAAAGTGAGAGAAGGCTGGAGTGGAGAAATTGAGGAACACAGTGTGAGGTGAGGCTGCAGAGGCAGAAGGATCTGACCAAGAGTGACCTCATAGACCATGGTTAGGAGTTTTGTCCATCCCAAGGGAAAGCCATGGGAAAGTTTGTTTCTGGCACATTTAGTGTTATTTTAGATGATGTATAATGCTCACTCTTACCACAACCATCACCATCAAGGGTATCTAGACTACTCTGTATTTCTAACTGTAAAAACAACAAACACACAAGTTTCTGACCCCAAAACAACAGTGTCCCATTATAAGTTACTAATAGAGCAGCACTGAATTGCTCTTACCTGGGGCTGTGAAATTTTTAAGAATCCTAAAGTACAGTCAAGTTTCTGAATTCCTGAATGACATTAGCAGTGCCTTTCGTCTCATTTTCATACAGTCGATAAACTACATTGGTTGCTATTGAATTTAGAGATACTATAGTTAATAGATTATCTGTTATAGTGCAGACAAATTGAGCAATAAATATGTTTTTAAGGATACTGATTTTATACACCATTAAAAAAATTAAAGTGTAACTTAAATAAAGTCTACAAGTCTTAAATGTGCAGCCCAATGACTTTGTACATACATAACCATTGCCCAGAACAGATAGCGAACATTTCCAGCACCTGGTAGGTTTCCTGGTATCCTCCTAGATTGTGATTCATCCCTCAAAGGTAACTGCTATTCTGACGTCTAATACCATAAATTAGTTTTGCTGTTTTGGAGTACATATAAATGGAATTATACACTATAAAATCTTTTGATGTGGCTTCATTTGCTCAACATTGTCTGAGATACATCCATATTGTTGCTTACAACGTCAGTTTTCTTTTCATTGTCGTATAGTCTTCTGTTATATGAGCGTACCACAATTTATCCTTTCTACTGTTGATACTGTTTGAGGTGTTTTTGTTTGTTTGTTTGTTCATTTGTTTTTTAGAATTGGAGTTTTGCTATGTTGTCTAGGCTGGACTCAAACTCCTGGGTTCAAGTAGTCTTCCAGCCTCAGCTTCCTGAATAGCTGGGACTACAGGCATGTGCCACTGTGCCTAGCTTCTTTTGAGTTTTTAGTAATGAAAGTCTTGATAAAATTAAAGTTTATCTTGTTTGGGGATTATTTTGTTTTGTTTTGGCCTTTCTTTTGTTTGTAATGAAGTAACCTATTGTTTTGTGGTATAAAATTATCCCAGATTCTCAGGTTTCGTAAGTATTAGTGAACCATACGAAATTTCCATTTGTAGGTCAAAACTGGTTGAATAGTATTTGCCACCAGGCTTTGTTTCTGGTGATCTTCCTTTTCAGCCAGAGACCTCCTGATTACTATGAAACCTCACCTACTCACAGTTGTGAAACACTACTTTTAGAGAGCAGTGTCTCCCTTTTCCCCCATTCTTTTAGATGGGGAACGGGAGGTACCGATGGGTTTAATGATTAGGCTAATATTACAGAGAGGTCATTGAAAGAGCTGGGAATGGATGTCAGGAATCTTGGTATCCTTTTCTCCTGTTCTAGATATATACTAAGTTTTCATTGTGTTGATAACTTCAGTATATTCACCTACTTGCGAATAGACTATCAATTTTAATGTACAAATATTATTTACCCTTTTTTCCTCAGTATGGGTAATCAGGTTGGGGTGAACGATTTTCTTCTATCAACAAATTATTTTCATTCTCTCCAATATAGTGAAACAGATTGCTTATAGCTAAGTTTTACATTATATAATGACTACCTTTAATGTGAGAAAGTATGCTTTTTAATTACCTTATTACTTTTCTGGGAAAACACGAGTTACACTTCCTCCAAATAAGTCTGTTTATGCTTTTAAAATGTTTTAATTTTTCAGGAAAAAGGATTCAGAGAATAGGATGTTCTTTAATAAATTGTGTCAAATGTTATCGGCCTCTTAGTGTTCTTAACCATGTTCAAAAGTCTTTTTTTCACAAAGTAAGCAATAGTATTTAAAATTACAAAAACAATCTCTTAGGTTCTATGATACTTTTTAATGTAACTGAAATACAATTACTGTGACTCTGAGAAATTAATTTATATCCATCTTGTATGAGTTGCGTGAAGGACCATGTGCCCCACTTTTATGAACTTCATGGGCTATCCAGCATTTAACAGGATTGACATTTGTAAAATAAATAGACCATTAACACTCCCAAACTTTATTCAGCAGCAGATGGAGCTTCAAAAGGACTCGTGCTAAGCTTCTCAGGAGATAATTAGCAAGTGAACTGAAATGCTGTAATTCCTGGGGAGAGAGGTTCTGTCAGGCATATACTGTCACCCCGCTGCCATACTTCATTCCTCCTTGAGTATTTTGACAGGTGGTTTAGGACGTTTTTTTTTAGTATCTGGAAATGTGTAGGCTGTTTCAGATGGCACAAAATTATGAATTTGGAGGTCACTGATGCTTTACGACAAAAAACTCAGCAAGCTCAGTTCTTTGGTCGTAAAGCTACTAGGTCTTAGAAAACAGAGCATTTTCACATTGAGTATTCATTTTTAAAAAATCAGTACAACATATATGTAATGAATCATCAAAACAAATTCTTCAGAGTAGTCTTATTTATTGATTTTAATTTGGTGTAACTCTGTCCCTTTTTATTACGAAGATCAACTGAGAAAACAACCTGATTTCCTCCCTTTACGTTTCCGGCTACACCTAGTCCTTACCCTACTTCCTAGGCTTATGCTTATTTGAGTTCTTTCAGTCTTTCCCTTTTTGTATCTATTTCGGTTTTCTTTTCATTATCACCTCTTGTCTCCTAAGCTTGTGGTGTCGTTTGAGGGAAACCGACATTATTCCTGGGCATTTGGGCTACAGCCTGTGTCCTGGTATTCCTTAGCCTGTTTGCTTGGCCTGCTCAGTTTTGACTGTTAGTTGGCAACACGTAAGTCTATGAAACTCCTGAGAAACTGGGAGCTACCAGCCTATGATGAACGTTTTGTTTATTTGTCCAGTTAATTTTGTCTTGTTGAGTCTTTAACATTTATTGAACAGCTTCTTTGTACAACCTGTCTTCAACATGACCCTATGTGATCTAGCTCCTATCTCTAAACTTACACATATAATAGACATTTAGCCCCTGCAAGCTTTAGAAATACCTTTATGTTATCTTTTAGACACCAAAATTCAGATTTCACATGCTGGCCTAGAAAATGTAAGTAAAAGGACTTTTAAATACCTTACATATTTGGATTATTATCTACTTTAGTACTGTCTCTTTACCCTAGACTCTGTGACTCCTGGGTTTTAAAAACTAACATTTAGATAAGAGTTTCTCTACCTTGATACTGTTGACATTTTGGAATGAATCTTTCTTTGTTGTGGGAGATTGTCCTATGCAGTGAAGGATGTTTAGCAGCATCCCTGGCCTTTACCTGCTAGATGTCAATACCCTCTCCCCAGTTGTGACAACCAAAATGTCTCTAGACATTGCCAAATGTTCCCTGGAGGGTAAAATTGCCTTCTGTTAAGAACTACTGGTTTAGGGTCTTTCCTGTTATATTTTCAGGTCTGCAGTTATCTCATATTTGAATGGTCCCAGAACTACAAGTACATATTTATTCAGAATGGTTGCAGAATTGCATGTTTAGGGTCATTTATTTATTCATTTGTTTATTCAGTGAACACTTATTGACAGGAGTTGAGCTGGAGTCTTGTTCAGATGAGATGTATTTAAGACAAACTCTTCATCAGTTTAGAATTGAATCTGAAAACCCTTAAGGGCCTACTTGAAATCTCATCTGTTTCTCTTCATATTGCTTCCTTCCTCATCTGAACTGTAGGTTATTGTTTGTGTCTTTTGTTTTTCATGTTTAATTATATACTACATTGTATTATTGTTGAAATCTTCATAGGAATGCCTTGTCTTCAGAGCCAGATTAGAAGCTGGTTATAGGTAAGAACAATGTGTTTATACAGTTGTTTATCAGAGCCATGTGCTGAATTAGTAGCATTCTACGTATTTGTTGAATGAAAGAATGCAGATCAACACAGTTTTAAAGTAGTGAATGCACAACAGTATATCCAGTGATTCTTATCTGTTTAAAGCACTTGTGAGTTCTAAAAACAAAGCTGCCCTCTCCTTCACTTGCCATTTGATATATTAATACCTTTGTAATAGTTATTAAAATTTGTTTTTCTAACTTGCCAAGAAAAAACCCTTGTTTTTCTTTAACCTTAACGTACAGCTTAGAATTATGAAGAAAATCAACCAGTTATTCATACTAAGCGACATTACTAAAACATGCTTGAAGATGCCATCTGTTTAATCTTAACAATGGTTTTTGAGTAAATAAGGCTTTGTTGTCCTTTTACTGATAGCTACCTTTATATATATTTCCAAATTTCAAGATTGTATTGTCTTTGAAAGTGCCTTGGATTTTACTTTATTATAGAAAATACTATTTTAAAATATATCATTTCTATGAAATCCACATTCTTTTTTTTTTTTAAGATAGGGTCTCACTCTGTCACCCAGGCTGGAGTGCAGTGGTGCGATCTCAGCTCACAGCAACCTCTGCCTCCCGGATTCAGGCAATTCTCATGCCTCAGCCTCCTGAGTAGCTGGGATTACAGGGGCGCACCACTATACCTGGCTAATTTTTGTATTTTTTGGTAGAGACAGGGTTTCACCATGTTGGCCAGGCTGGTCTCCAGCTCCTGCTCAAGTGATCTGCCTGCCTCGACCTCCCAAAATGCTGGGATTACAGGTGTGAGCCACTGCGCCCAGCCAAAATCTACATTCTTTTGTAGAATCAAGTATTCAGATTATTTATGTATATTATCTCACATATTAGACTTTGATCATCTAAGTGGTTTGAAGCTGAGGATTTTTTAGATAATTTAACTTATATATACTCATAGAGAAGAGAAATGACAGTAGCTAGCGTGACCAAAGTTTAGTAATATATCCTTTTAATATTTAAAATGTTTTTTTCTAATGATTACTGCAAAATTACGAAGTTTATAGAATCTTCAGAATACCTTTCCTAATAAACAGTTTGCTTCATCTGGTATCTTTGTTATTTCTTTTGTTTTGATTTTGTTTATTAACACAGAAAAGCTTCACTGGCCTGAGCAAGAACTTGCTAAGAAGTCTATTCTAAATGCAGAAGATTCATTGATCATTGACAACAAAAGAAGCATTTCACATTTGTCCTCGGGAGTGCTAAAAGACATTTTCACAACTGGAACCAGTAGTTACAATGTCCTACTACAGAGCAAGGAGGAAAAAAAGTATCATTCACAAAAACAGTCTTCCTCCACCTACTCCAAAAGATGTAGAAAACCCAGCAAATCTCCTAACACTTCTCGTAGCAAAGATCCTCGCAGGATGAAAGCCCTGGTGCCTGTGACAAGCAGTGGTACTTGGTACTGCCTGGAGAGGCGGCCTGCTGTTTTTGTCACTAGTTCAGTGTCAAGTCCTGTAAAGTTTACACATGATATCTCTGTTACAGGGAATGGCATAGTACTGCCACCTAAACCCAAAAGCAAGGTCAAGTGGTGCCATTTCTCCACTCTTCCAAAGCCAAAGCCTCAGCTGTCTAGAAGCTTTGAAAAGGGAGATGACTTTTCTGGGAAGAAATTTTGTATATTGACTGCTATAAAACCCACCAACTTAGAGAAAGAAAAACTGAGATTCTTCAAATCTGACTATACCTACAATCCTCAGTTTGAGTATGCCAATCCTGCTCTGCCAAGCGTATTAGCTAAGCATAGCCACGCATCTGACCGATTTCTTAAGCAGGTAAAATGCCATTTCAATAGTGGTAGTTCATTTTTATGTACTAAAACAATTATCTGTGATCTTATAAGCAAAAACAAAGACATTTAAAAATATTCAAATTATTTCTATGTTATGGTTAATTCCCACTCAGGACATGTAAATGTGCGACAAGACGAGTATTACCTGTATATAAACTCCATTGCATTCATCAAAATTTATAATCTGTTATATAGGCTCTTTGTGACAGGAAGCAATTATATTAGGAAGACAGCTTCAGATTCTGGTTCTAAGCTTTCATGTGGGAGTTACAAACTTGTGGCCAATTTAGCCGCCTACAGACAAGTGTTGGGTAGCCCACACTACGTTTTTGTTTTCTAATTGATTTCTTTGTTGTTTTTTGTTTTTTTCTGAGACAGATTCTTGCTCTTTGCCCAGGTTGGAGTGTAGTGGCACGATCTTGGCTCACTGCAACCTCTGCCTTCTGGGTTCAAGTGATTCTTGTGTCTCAGCCTCCCGAGTAGCTGGGACTACAGGCACCCGCCACCATACCCAGCTAATTTTTGTAATTTTAGTGAAGATGGGGTTTCACCATTTTGGCCAGGCTGGTCTTGAACTCCTGATCTCCAGTGATTTGCCCGCCTTGGCCTCCCAAAGTGTTGAGGTTGCAGGTGTGAGCCACCATGCCTGGCCTCTAATTGATTTTTTAATGTCTTAGATGGAGCATGCAATCCCTGGTTCTTCCTATTGTGTTAAATTCCTGGCTTGCTTAGGCTCCGGTAAGTAGTTTGGGAACCGAAGCTTGATTCTTGTCCATGAACTTGTTAATGCTTCACTGAAATTGTTAATCATCATCAAATAAATATTTAAGCACTTATTCAAAGATAAAAATAATGGGATTTTCAAAATTATCTTCAAGTTTAGCAAATTATGATGTGAACGTTATGAATAATACTTTTAAATTGCTCACTTTAAGCCCTTAGCAGTTTTGTGTTTTACAGGGCTATAATACATTTCAGAACCTCATTTAAGCATTTGAGAAGAAATTAGCTAATGTTTATCTGCAGGGCATAGTTTTGAGATCATAAAGGCCGACAATATTTGGTCAAATTAACTTTGTTCAGGTTTTTATAATATATTAGCTTCAACTTGGCATTGTCAGTGACTGAAAATCTGTTTGTAGGATAGGTAAAACTGCATGGTTCTCTCGCCTGTGGTGCATGTCCTATTTTAGCATTTTTGCTGATAATAGTTATTTGGTCTTGCGGCCAGCAGATATTTTGCTGTTTATTATAGATAACATGGAATCTGGCCAGTCTTTTGAAGCCATTATGTAAAACTTAATTATGTAAAGCCATTATGTAAAGATTAAAATAATTTTAATCATGGTATTTACTTTCCTTTGTTAGGGTCTCTTTGCTTCTGCTTCTGTATTCTTTAATGGGTATTTGCTTTTTAAAAAATGTGCTGAGATTGTGCTAAAAATTGTGATTCAAATTGATAACTTACTAATATAAAGTGGCACTTCTGGATGGGAGAAGGCAGCATTAACATAGTGATTACATAATCCACTCTTAGGCTGTACTACTTCCACATTGTAAAATGGAGTAAAGAAAATACCTACTTTAGGAGATTATTTTGATAATTAAATGAGAGAATGCTTAGTGCATATATTGCAGTTATCATCGTGCTTGGCACCTACAAAGCACTAATAAAGAGGTTAGCTGTTATTTTTATTTCTATTTGGCAGCCATTCTTACATGTGGTTTTTTGTGTGTGTGGAAATTGTAGTCGATTGAACAAGGCTTTCACAAATATAAATTTTACAATGATAAAAATCCTATTTGCATTTTCCCCCTGATGCTGAAAGAGATGGCTGAGATTTATTTACCAGTATTCCTTAATTTGGAGACCTACCCCACCCCTACCTGTTGGGAAAGAGATTTCCAACCATTAGATGAAAAAGAATGCTCTTTGATTTCTCTGGAAGGCAATTTGGGAGCCTCAGCAGCCCCACAGTTTGAGAGTTGACATTGCTTAGCCTGTGGCTTTGCAATTTTAATTTTGATCCAATTCCAGCTTTAGGAGATTAATCCTACACTTGAATTGCTTGAGACTTCTAAGTAGCACTAGCAATCTTAGCTGACTTGTACTGCAAATGCCACCATTTGGGAGAATATTCTCAATAAATGCCAAGTATACTGTTTAAACCACTTTAATCAAAGAAATACATGGTACAAGACCTCTGGGAAAATATACTTAAATTCTTCTTCAGCTACCGAGTGAATAATGACATGATATCATACATCCATCTCCTCCTTAGATAAAGCAGCAGCTTCAAGGCTGGTCTCCAGGACTCAGAAACATGATACCCAAAGGGGCCAGGATGGCCAACTAGCCCCATGGTCTCTGGCTTCTACCTTTGAGGCCTTGCCAATCCACAGCTGACAGTCTCTTGAGTTTCACAATCTGAATCTTGGTAAACAGGCAATCTGTATTGTTTTGGAGGATGATTGTGGTCCTCTTAAGTGCACAGATTAGCAGAATGATGCTAGACTTTCGCGCACAGATAAGTCTGCCACAGTGGAACCGAGGCAGTGCTCATGCTCTGTTCTCCCCATCATTGTCAAGGAGTTCCAGGCCTCAGGTTTTTTGGTCTAGGCAGTATGTCCCTAGGGAGGCACTCAGACCACTGAGGTGATACAGGACATACAGCAGGCTGCAGGACTGGAATATAACTCTAGGTGTAGCCTGCTGAGCCCTGGCTTGCTGCATGCTGGCAGCCATGGTAGCCTCAGCTTCCTGACTCTTAGAGACGTTTAAACTTGACAGAAACTCAAGATGTCTGTTTTCTGTGGCTTTGGACCTTTGCAGGAAAGAGTACAGTGCTTCATAGGTGCTAAGGAAGGGATCTGGAATTAGAGCCTGCAGAAAGCTACTTGGGGTCAGGTGCATCCTCACCAGTGGGTCAGAAGTAGATTCTTAGTGGTGCTCTTGAGCAGTAAATACTTCAGATAAAATCTGCATATTATCTTAAGTTCATGTGAGTTTTGCATCATACTTCATATTGTATCTTTATTCTAATAAAGAAAAATGTAAATTGCCTATCTTCAAGTAAAATGGATACTTTAAGAATAAACAAGGAGGCTGGGTATGGTGGCTCACACCTGTAATCCCAGCACTTTGGGAGTCCGAGGCAGGCGGATCACTTGAGGTCAGAAGTTCGAGACTAGCCTGACCAACATGGTGAAACCCCGTCTCTACTAAAAATACAAAAATTAGCTGGGCGTGGTGGTGGGCGCCTGTAGTCCCAGCTACTTGGGAGGCTAAGGCAGGAGAATCGCTTGAACCTGGGAGGTGGAGGTTACAGTGAGCTGAGATCGCACCACTGCACTCCAGCCTGGGCCATAGAGTGAGACACTGTCTCAAAAAAAAAAAAAAAAAGAGCATAAACAGGGAGTATCTTCCCATGATTCTGGCAACCCCTCTATTCTCCCCCAAGGTGAAAAACAGAAAGTTAGTACTAAAGCTTTGCCAACAAAAAACAGCTGTTTTCATGAACAGCTTACTCTCAGAAGATTACATATTAACAATTGCTCACCTGTAAAATTAGCCCTGTCACCAAAAGACCTGTAGCATCTTTTTTTGAGACAGGGTCTTGCTCTGTCGCCCAGGCTGGAGAGCTGGGGTGTGATCATAGCTCACTGCAGCCTTGAACTGCTGGGCACAAGCGATCCTCCCACTTTAGCCCCCAGCCCCAGTAGCTGGGACTTACAGGCGTGCACCAGCACACCAGGCTAGTTTTTTAAAACTTTTTGGATAGGTGGGGGGGTCTCACTATGCTGTCTTGGCTGGTCTCCTGAGCTCAAGTGATCCTCTGGCTTTGGCCTCCCAAAGTGCTAAGATTACAGGTATGGGCCACTGCGCCGGGCCTGACCTGTAGCATCTTGAGGGGAAAGCATAGACAAGGCACCTTCTGGGAAGAAAAACAGCAATCAGGAAAAGCCAGAACACCATATGTCTCAGAGCAAGCAGAGGTTCTGATGAGAACAAAGTCGTAATTTACTAACTACAAACATAATACTTTTTTTTTTTTTTTTGAGATGGGAGTCTCACTCTGTTGCCCAGGCTAGAGTGGCAATCTCCACTCACTGCAGCCTCAGCCTCCCAGGTTCAACCAATTCTCCTTCCTCAGCCTCCTGAGTAGCTGGGATTATGGGCACCCGCCATGATGCCTGGCTAATTTTTGTATTTTTAGTAAAGACGACATTTCACCTCATCTGTTGGCCAGGCTGGTCTCGAACTCCTGACCTCAAGTGATCCACCCACCTCGACCTCCCAAAGTGCTGGGATTACAGGCATGAGCCACCGTGCCCGGCCCATACTGTCTTTCTAATAATAAAACATTAAGAGTGATATATCTTGATTTATTATAAAAAGACATATCCATGAGTGAAACAGTATAGTTGCAGTAAGAGTTGAAAAAGAAAGCTGCAAGAAAGGTTCTTTTTTTTTTTTTTTTTTTTTTTAAGATGGAGTCTCACTCTGTCACCCAGGCTGGAGTACAGTGGTGCAATTTCAGCTTACTGCAACCTCCGCTGCCTGGGTTCAAGCGATTCTCCTGCCTCGTCCTCCCAAGTAGCTGGGATTACAGGCGTGCGCTGCCATGCCCGGCTATTTTTTTGTATTTTTAGTAGAGACAGGGTTTCGCCATGTTGGCCAGGCTGGTGTTGAACTCCTGACCTCAGGTAATCCACCCACCTCGGCCTCCCAAAGTGCTGGGATTATAGGCATGAGCCAGTGCGCCCAGTGAAAAGTTTAATTTTAAGAAAGGGTTTGATGTTTCTCAAAAAAGGCATTTTCATCACAACCATATAATTTAAGAGTTAGGGTACATTTGATATCGATAGATGTCTATTTGAGTGGAAAAACTTATTTTCCTTGTGTTATTGTATCTTAAATTTTTTTTTTTTTTTTTTTTTTTAACAATCTCCCTTTGTCACCCAGGCTGGAGTACAGTGGTGCAAACATGGCTCACTGCAGCCTTGACCTCCTGGGTGCAAGCAATCCTCCCACCTCAGCCCCGCAAGTAGCTGAACTATAGGCATGTGCCACCATGCCTGGCTAATTTTTGTATTTTTTGTACAAACAGGATTTTGCCATGTTGCCCAGGCTGGTTCCAAACTCCTGAGCTCATGCAGTCCACCTGCCTCGGCCTCCCAAAGTGATGGGATTACAGGCATGAGCCACGACACCTGGCCCTAAATTTTTTTTTTACTACCTTAATGGAAGTTAATAGTTCTGTGCTGTCAAGAGTAACTTAGTAGAGTTATTGGAAACCTCAGATATATTTAAAATAGAGGTTTCATTCTTATTTGGCGGTCATTCTGCCAAAATAGAGAAAAGGAAAGGACTGTGATTCTGACAGCCCCTTTTTCCCTACACCAGAGCAACACAGCACACAACACTCTATGGCATAGCAGTGCATTTGCATTTATAGACTTCATATTTTATTTATTTATTTATTTATGAGCCAGAGTCTTGCTCTGTCACCCAGGCTGGAGTGCAATTATGCAGTCTCGGCTCACTGCAATCTCCATCTCCCAGGTTCAAGCAATTCTCCTGCCTCAGCCTCCCGAGTAGCTGGGACTATAGGCACGGGCTACCATGCCCAGCTAATTTTTGTACTTTTAGTAAAGACAGGGTTTCACCATGTTTGCCAGGCTGGTCTTGAACTCCTGACCTCAGGTGATCCACCCACCTTGGCCTCCCAAATGCTGGGATTACAGGCGTGAGCTACCACACCCAGCCAGAGTTCAAATTTTGAAAGTAAGTACCTATGTGGACCAACTTCATTATGTTAGGAAGTAAATTCTGATTTTCATCTTCCTTGGTTAGTAAACTATATAGTCATGGTATATAGGTTCACAAACTCAGATGCCTGTAGGATCTGGGCAAAAATCATAAATGAAACTGGCTGAGTATAGTAGTAAATTGGAAATCAGCAGTTATTTTGTTTGAGCCACAGTTTGGAACCAGTATCTGTGAGATTTTCAAGGGAAGGTAGAAACCTGAATTTTATATGAAGTCTTCCAGTTTGTAAACATTGATACCCAAGTCAGTTAAAACACAGGCTGAGGCTGGGCATGGTGGCTCATGTCTATAAGACCAGCCTGGCCAGCCTAGTGAAACCCTGTCTCTACGAAAAATACAAAAATTATCTGGGCATGGTGGCGCATGCCTGTAATCCCAGCTACTTCGGAGGCTGAGATGAGGATTGAGAGAATTGCTTGAACCTGGGAAGTGGAGGTTGCGGTGAGCCAAGATCATGCCATTGCACTACAGCCTGGGTGACGGAATGAGACTCTGTCTCAAAAAAAAAAAAAAAAAAAAGGAACACAGTCCGTCCAGGCCAATGAAGACCTCTCTGTGGGCCACATTTTCCCCTTGGATTGCCATTTTGCTACCTCTGATTCACCAGCTCTATTTCACATAGGCTCCATTTTATTAGAATCAATGATTAGTATGGCAAAGACTTAAATGTGATCCTCTGAAAACAGTCTTTTGATTTTAGCGTTTATAGTGTGAATGGAATAGGCAATTCATTGTTATATTAAAACACATAATAGGTACATATATAATATTACATTATTGTGCTTTAAAACAGGTCAAATGTTCATTTTTCTCTTTTGATAGAAAAAAATTTAATTGGAAATAAATTGCCTTCACTAATAGGATGTCTTGACGTAAAATTTCTTTAAAGCTAAGTTATAATTGTACTAGTATTGAAATATTATTTTATCTTTGTAGACCTCAGGTTGTCAAAACAATGAAGGGGAGGAAAAAGTAAGCCTTCTTTAAATTATACCTTTTCCTAGGTGACATGATATTCTGTTTAGCAAATCACAAACCTTTCACAGATACACTGAAGTTATAAGGTTTTTAGAATTTTGAGTTTAGTATGTTCCATAGTAGCCTTGTGTATTAGATCGGAGAACTGGGGTTATTTCTTAACCTAAATAGCAAGAAAGATTTTTTCACAGATCAGAGATGGAAACTCCCCCATCAGATTATATGTCCTTGGAAGAAGATATGAACTTGATGACTCATTGAAAGGCTTTGTTGATTTGCCTTTGAAAACTTGATTAACATGTACATTCTCAGGTTCTTACCTTAACAAAGTCTTTTCAACAAAACAGGTTGAATATCTGCTTTTCCCCTTGTAGGTGGTGAAAGAATAGTCTGCGGTATTTAGGCATTTATAAATATCTTATCCTCATAGCAGTTACCCTCTTATTTTCCCACTCACCCTTTTATACATCCAGAATACTCCCAGCCCTGATAACACAGAAATTCAGCCGAGAATACAAGAGGGGTATAAGGTGTGGGGTGGGTGTGTGGAGGCAAGGAGGGTCAGATAAGTTACAGGTGACAACTTAATTCTTTGCCTGGCTGTGTCATTCATTGAAGGCACAGTCAGTGTCTGAGATGTATTTATTTTCTAGGTTCTGCATAGGTAGAATATAATATTTTGAAATATTTTGGTTTGTTTCTTTTTATTACAATTCTATAATATTTTGAAATATTTTGGTCTGTTTCTTTTTATTGCAATCTGGTCCTAGTCTGCAGTTCACGTTACAGAAAACTGGATTGTTGGCAAAAGTACTTTTGCTCCTTTCTGTCTCTCCCCTGCTCTCCACACTGCTGTCAGTGTCTTCCTACGATGCAAATTTGATCATCTCACCTCTTCAAAAAAAACTTCAGGGCTCCTCATAATTTAGGATAAAGTTCAAAATCTTTGTCATGGCCTGCAAGGCCTTATACCAAGGTCAACTGTATTCTCCCACAGCATCCCACGTAAATATCGGTCACAGCATTTATCCACTGTTACCATCCTTCAGTTTCTTGTTTGTCTTTATCCACAGACCAACCTCCTTGAGAGAAGTGTGTTTTTCTTTGTTTTTCTTATTTCAGCTATTCCCAGAATTGAGCGCAGTTCCTGGCACTGAATAAACAAGTTTCCCAGTGCCTGTCCATCCCAGGAACCCTGCAGTCTTGTCAAATCAAGCTCTATTTCACTTTCTTTAGTTTCTATATGCTTATGATGATATTAGCCCCTTTTGCATGGAATGTCCTCTATTTCCTCTAATCCCCTACTTCTATTTCCCTTTTTTCAATGATCTCACAATACTTTATTTATAATTCCATCAAAGTATTACTACATTGGATCTGTTTATATGTCATCTCTGCCAGTCTAATGGTAGAACAGGGACTTAGATTCTAAAATATAAAACTGCATAAAAGTGACAGTGATTGTCACATAGAAGGTGAGGAATAGCTAGATAAATGAATGGTCCTTTTTGCTGGTATGTTAAAAATGTAGTGAAATACTTTGTAACAGTGGATCCAAATTTGTGACCCAGGGGTCAAGTTCAGCCTGCATATATGTTTTGTTTGGCCAGCACAGTGTTTTATAAAGCATTGGAATGTAAATATGCTCTTCTTTTGCCTCTTCCAGATGTCTTATAATCAGTAGCTTTACACAGTGATTGGTGCTTACAGCTGAAGGGATTTTAGTGTGTGACTACCACTGTCCCATTAGTTTGTGGCTACAATACCTTAAATGGAGGCCTAATGATCTGATTGAGTAATCACAAATCTTTATGTACCTAATTTGCTACCAGGAAGCAATGACCAGCATTGAAAAACTCATTTAGTATCTTGCTTTTCATTCTGAGAAGCTTAAAGAGCCAGAATATGTATATGTATGTATATATATCCCATGCTTATCTGAAGTAACCATTTTCGGACTGTTCTGAGGCGCACCACCTAAGCAAAGGAGCCATACGTGTTGGAAGACATAGAATATTATATTCATCTCCAACATTCACCACACATAGTATCATAATAAAAGCTTAGAGGAGTCTTTTGTTTAATATTTTCCAAACTATAATTTGGCCTTGAAACCTTTAAAAAACAGTATCTTGTTGACTGCTTTCCCTCAAGAAAGTCTGGAAAACACTGGCTTAAAGAAAAGGACTGTCTTGAGATCCTAGGGATTATTCTGTTTGGGGGGGAAGTTTTAGATTCTAGAATTTTCTGAAAAGGAGAGGAATGAAGGGAGAGTTGGAGTGGTATATTAACTAGTAAGGCAGGAAAAACATAACCTTGAGTAAAAAGTTGGAGGGCAAACCAATTACCTTAAATTCTGAAATTAAAACCCAGTGATCTTCTGTTAAAACTTAAGTACTTTCTACAGTCATATGGGAAATAAGCACATTCACAGCCCCTCCATGCTTTCATTTTGTCTTCACAACTCTGTGGGGTAAATAGGGCAGAGATTTTAATCTCCCTTTTGCCAGTGAAGAACCTAAACCTGAGAAAGGTACAACGACAAACCTAAGAGCACACAGTCAGCAAATGGTGGGGCCCCAATGTAAAACCAGGTCTTCTGACTTCTAGTGTTTCCACAGCATTATCCTACCCCCTATCATACTGGTGTCCTCATTGTATGTAGTTTTTCATTAAGTGAAAACTGCAGTTGAGAAGGGAGATAGTTTTTTAGCACATGATTGATGGTCAGGTTTCCAGATTGCTAAACATTAAACAAAATCAGCAAGTAAACCAAAAGTTTGTCATTAAACAAAATACTGAGATTTTTCAGAAACTTTATTATCTAAGTGTTGAAAGTTTTATATAGAAAACTTTTTTTTCTAGATTAGTGATTTCAATGTTAAATTATGCTATTCGATTACTCTTCCCTTTAAAAAAATAGCTTTATTAAGATACAATTCACATGTCATACTAAAGTATGCAGTTCTCCTGCAATGTAAAACTAAACTAAAAAAAATCATAAGCAATAAAATAGACCGGACACGGTGGCTCAGGCCTGTAATGCCAGCACTTTGGGGGGCCAAGGTGGGTGGATCATGAGGTCAGGAGTTTGAGACCAGCCTGACCAACATGGTGAAACCCTGTCTCTACTAAAAATATAAAAATTAGCCTAGTGTGGTGGCGGGCACCTATAATCCTAGCTACTCAGGAGGCTGAGGCAGGAGAATCGCTTGAACCCGGGAGGCGGAGGTTGCAGTAAGCCAAGATCGTGCCACTGCACTCCAGCCCGGGCAACAGAGCGACACTCTGTCTCAAAAAAGTAAAATAAAATAAATAAAACTAGAGTACAGTTCAGTGGTTTTTAATGTATTTAGAGTTGTGCAACTATAACCACTAATTCTAGAACATTTCGTCACCTCAAAAAGAAACACTGTACCCATTAGCAATCGTTCCCCATCTCACCAACCTTCCAGCCCTAGGCAACCACCAGTCTATTTTCTGACTTTCTGGATTTGCCTGTTCTGGACTTTCGATATGAATGGAATCATACAATACCTTGTGGTCCTTTGTGACTGGCTTCTGTCACTTATTATAATGTTTTCAAAGTTTATCCATGCTGTGTTCTAGCATGCATCAGCATTTTTTATTGCTGAATAATATTCCATGTATGAATATACTACATTCTATTTTTTTTATAATTTGATAGACATTTGGGTTATTTCTACTTTTTGGCTGTTAATAATGCTGTATGAACATTTGTGTACACATTTTTTATGGACAAATGTTTTCAGTTATCTTGGGTCCACATCTAGTAGTGGACTTGTTAGTACATATAATTTCTCTATGTTTAACCTTTTAAGGAACTGCCAGACTGTTTTTCAAAGTGATTATACCATTTTAGTTTCCCATGAGCAGCATGTGAGCGTTCCAGTTTCTCCACGTTCTCATCAGCCCTTTTTTTTTCCTATAGACATCCCAGTGGGAGTGAAGTGGTATCTCATTGTGCTTTTGATTTGCAATTCCCTGATGGTTAATAATGGCCATTTTGTATATCCTCTTTGGAAAATTGCCTATTTCAGATCCTTTGCCAATTTTTCAGTTGAGTTATTTGTTCTTGAGTTGCAGGAGTTCTTTATATATTTTAGATATCAGATATGAAATTTGCAAACACTTTCTCCCATTCTTTGGGTCACTTTTTATTTTTATGATAGTATCCTTAGAAGCACAATTTTGATGAAGTCCATCTTATCTTTTTGTTGTTTGTGCTTTTGGTGTCATATCTAAGATCCCATTGCCTAATCCAGGGTCATGAAGATGTATGCCTATGCTTGCTTCTAAGAGTTTTATTGCTTTAGCTCTTAAGAGGTTAAGGTCTTGGATCCATTTTGAGTTAATTTTTATATATGATATGGGATAGAGGTCCAACTCCATTCTTTTAAATGTGGATATCCAATTGTCCCAGCCCCACTGTTTGAAAATAATTTGATTACATACTGTTCTAATTTTAATAGAGGAGAATAAAAGTGCTTCAGGATCCTGAGATGACAGATCTGTAATATGAATAATGGTGCTATTCTATTTTGTGTGGCATTGTAAGTGACATTCAGGTGAGGAGAGAACAATTACTCATTTTGCTTTTATTTCCTCTTTGCTCTAGATTCCAGGTCTCTGAAAATCAATTTGTTTTGATGCCTATAAGATATGCAAAGGTTTATTTAAAATATTCTCTTCTTCAACTGTATGCTTCTGGTGAAGAAAAATCTTTTAAAAATTTAAAAATATATTCTCATTCTATAAAGTGGGAAAGATTCAGAAATGATTGATTTGTGAATAGAGATAATAACAATTTAGTAAAAATATGGGTTTTTTTGTTCAATGTTTTTAAAAAGGCAAAAATGTATTTGGTTGCTTGTTTCACATCAGTTTTAGCAAGAAGTGTTATCCTACCTGACAGTGTGTCTTGTGGAACTCAAGAGTAGATTCCGTTATACTATTTTCTAACAAGGTAATGGAGGAGTTGGCCAAGTACATTTTAAGATGTACACAAAGGGAAGGTCCAAAGTCAGATTCATGCGGACTAGGAGGCTGAGACCTGGACAATAGGGATAGGTGTGTGTACATTAAGATGTTCTGGTTCTAGGAATTTTAAAACTGATTTATGAAAATTTGTAATGTTACATTGCTTTCTACTTATGTCGCTATTCTTAGAGTTGGAAGGAAGCAAAGAATATATTTGATATCTGTGGGCAAATCTGGGCTGGATTTTTAGGGAAGTGGCTCTCTGTTCCATGAGTTAACCTCAAGAATGCAAAATATACCAACTGTTTTCCTGCTAACAATCATCCCTACCTAAAAATCTATTATAGAAAAATATTAGTTGAATTTTTAAGATTTAAAAACAATTTCATGTATTTCTTTGTTAAATGCAAATACTCCAGAGAAGGGATATCAATGCCTACCTGGCAAATGGGAAAAGGTAATTAGATAGTGAATAGAAAGGCCAGGAGATTCCAAAGTAGAAGGCACTTAACCATTTGTTTTTCCAGTTAGAAAAGTAGTTTATATTCAGTATAAAAACTTAGAAAAGTGTGGAGAATAAGAATCCCATAATTCTACCACCCACAGGTAACCACTATTGACCTTTGAGAGTATTTTTCTTTTCCCATGCTTAATGATCATAATTGTGGTCAATGTACTTTCACTTACTTATCATAAACATTTTCTCATATCATTAAAAACCATCAACATTTTTTATGTCAGCATCAGTTTCAGTGCCTGCATATTTTTCATATAATAGGTGTATAGTAATTAACTTGAATATTTAGATTGTTCCTTATTGGACTTTTTTATTTCAGAGAAACAGTTTTGTTAGTCATTTACTCTAGGGAGCTTTTTGCCTACAGCCTGTGGGAATGAGGCTAGTTAGTGAGATGTTCAGAGGAGAGTGTTTCTTTTTCAGTGCAGGTTATTCTAGACATCCTGATGTGTCTCAGAGTGCTTCTCTTCTTATTAACTTACCTAGAAATAATGGCATTTTTTAAGAAAATAGTTTTATTTATTTACAGACAATAAAATTTACTCATTTTAGGTATATATTGCTGTCACTCTCTTTCCCTGAACCGTGTCTCCAGGCAACCAGTGATCTGAAGTGGCCATCTGATCAGTTTTACTCAGGTCTTTTTATTGCTAAGAAAAGTTGCCTTAATTTTGAGTATTTCTCTGAACCATTTATTTTAGTTTTCTTTTATTCGTTTTTATAATTAACAGACTTCATATTAGCCATATGCATTTCACATGTCTCACCTTCCCTCTCATTTTGACCTTTTTTCTCTTTTCCTAAGATAATTTTTTATACTTCTTTAAACATTTTATTTTCTTTCCTTTTCTTTCTTCCTTCCTTCCTTCTTTCCTTCCTTCCTTTACTTTCTTTCCTTCCTTCTCTTTTCTTTTTCTTTTTCTTTTCTTTTCCTTCCTTCTCTCCTTCTTTCCTTCCTTTCCACCTCCCCTCTCCCTCTCCCTCTCCCTCTCCCTTCCCTTCCCTCCCCTCCTCTCCCCTCCCCTCCCCTCTCCCCTCCCATCTCCCCTCCCCTCCCATCTCCCGTCCCCTCTCCCCTCCCCTCTCCCCTCCCCTCTCCCCTCCCCTCTCCTCTCCCCTCCCATCTCCCCTCCTCTCCCCCCACCCTTCCCCTCCCCTTCTCTCTCCTCCCTTCCCCTCCCCTCCTCTCTCCTCCCTTCCCCTCTGCTCCCCTCTCCTCTCCTCTCCTACAGGGTCTCATTATATTGACCAGGCTGGTCTTGAACTCAAACTCCTGGCCTCAAGTGGTCCTCCTACCTTGGCTTCCTAGAGTGCTGGGAGGCTTGAGCTATCATGCCTGGCTTCTAAGAAAATTTTTGAAGATTATTATTGGTTTTATTAATTTGTAAGATGAAGCTTTTACTTTCTAAATTTTTATTGGTTTCCTGCAGAATGTATTAGGTTGGACCATTTTAAATTATTCATATTTAATCATTTTGACCTACAAAGATGGCAGTGTCATCTGGTTTAACCTAATATTCTTTCAGAGGTATGTTCTTCATTTAAGTTTTCAGGGTAATGCTTCCTATTTCCTTGGAACATCACAGTTCTTCACAGAGCTCATGTATCTTTGTAAAAATTACTCATCTGTGGCTGGGCGCAGTGGCTCACGCCTATAATTCTAACACTTTGGGAGATGGAGGCAGGCGGATTGCCTGAGCTCAGGAGTTCAAGAACAGCCTGGGCAACACAGTTAAACTCTGTCTCTACTAAAATACAAAAAAATTAGATGGGCGTGGCAGCATGCGCCTGCAGTCTCAGCTACTCAGGAGGCTGAGGCAGGAGAATCGCTTGAACCTGGGAGGTGGAAGTTGCAGTGAGCCAAGATCGCACCACTGCACTCCAGCCTGGGCAACAGAGGGAGACTCTGTTTCCAAAACAAACAAAAAAATTACTCATCTGTGATTAAGAAGCACCAGATCCAGGCTTAAGACTGGTCTGAAGACAGGCATAAGGAGTCATGTCTCTACTGGAGTCTTCAGAGTCTTGACTTCCTGAGAGTTGATTTCTCAAGCTTCCTGGTCCAGGCTCCTGAGCTTAGGGACCTGCTAAACGTTCATGTGGTGGTGTTCTGCAATATTTTAGTATGACTATGAGAACAAAGATGAAAGAGTGTTAAGACCAGCCTGACCAACATGGTGAAACCCCATCTCTATTAAAAATACAAAAATTAGCTGGGCATGGTGGCAGGTGCCTGTAATCCCAGCTACTTGGGAGGCTGAGGCAGGAGAATCGCTTGAACCCAGGAGGCAGACGTTGCAGTGAGCTGAGATCAAGCCATTGCACTCCCGCCTGGACAACAGGATGAGACTCCATCTCAGAAAAAAAAAAAAAAGACCTATGTAGTGTTTTACAAACTATACTCCACCAAAACATTGTGTGTTTTAGTGCTTCCACAAACACTGAAATATTTTCTAACAGACAATTAAAGTTTAAGGTGGAGTTCTGTGAGATTTTGTCTGAAAAAAGGTTCTGCTAAAAACAAAAGTTGAAAGTTAGTGTTTTAAGGAATCTAAGGTAAATTCTAGACCATTTTCCAGGAAATGCATGTCTTAGTCCAAAAAAATGCATTTGGCCTGCTATAACAAAATACCATAAACTGAGTAGCTTATGAATGACAGAATTTATTTCTCATGGTTCTGGTGCCTGGGAAGTCCAAAATCAAGGCACCATCAAATCTGGTGTCTGATGAGAACCCTCTTGCTAGTTGATGGAAGGCACCTTAGAAGGCTGTGTGTCCTCACATGGTGGAAGGGGCTAGCTAGCTCTTTGGGGCCACTTTTATTTAGAGGCAGATGTTGCATAGGTCTTGTCTTGAACTTCTGGCCTCAGGTGATCATCCCACCTTGGTCTCTCAAGGTGCTGGGATTACAGGCATGAGCCACTGTATTAAAGAGCCCTGGGGCCTCTTTTATAAAGGCACTAATCACAGTCATGAAGGGTCTACCCTAATGACCTAATCACTTTCCAAAGGCCCTACCTCCTAATACCCTCACCTTGGGGGTTAGGATTTCAAAATAAGAATGTGGGTGGGGCATAAATATTCAGATTATAGCAATGCAGAAAATTAAAACCTGCATTTCCCATGATGTATTACAATCAGGAGTCTACCTTTGGCTATAGGACTTCAAGTAAGGGAACCACATATCCCGGAATGCAATGTATCACATCTCTTTTTTCTTCTTACCCATTCTTTTTCTTTGGAGTTATATATTATATTGGGAGATGTATTTTTCTTATTAACATAAGTGATGATATAATGGAGAAGAGAGAGGTTTGACATGAAATTTATTGCCTCTAAAAGTGTTACCCATGTGCAGGTGTGTGAATGCCTGATTCTTCAAGTGGTGTAAACATTGATTCTCTGAACTCTAGGGGGAGCGGATAAACTACCTTTTTTCTCCCTTTTAAAATAAAATAACTTTTTACTTCTGATCATAGCACTAACATATTACATATTGTGAGGAATTTTAAAACTTCTGAAAAAATACAAATAATAAACATCAGTGTAACCCATCAATCATCTGATTCCCAGACATGAACTTCAGCCTTTCAGTATATTCCTCCAAGCTTCCCTGTGCCTTTTAAAGCTACTGTTTCCTTTTTCCAAAATTGGGATTAGACTCAAAATATCTGGCCTGCAGTTAAGAAGTTGTATAAGGAAGCAGAAATCATTGTAACAAAATATTCACTGATGAAGTGATTGACTCATTGCCATTCAACGTGATTTCTTTCTTCAAGCTTGAACTTATTTCACCAATTCAGCTACTGTCGCTATCTCTATGCTGTAGGATATTATAATGCAGATGGGGGGAGGTTACTTCTTAGGATCAGTGAAGGATGCTGCAGATCACTGATAAGTCTGTCTGTGTTGGACCAGTTGAAAAACTGATGAAGAAAAGAATCAAGATAATGAAAGGCTAGACATTCAGAGAAGAGTGATTGAATATAATGTAATATTTAAAGCTGAATATTAAGATTGCCTTTTAGGAACATTGATGTAGCTCCCATTAAGTGTTGACGCTATGGTGGTGCCGTGCAAGTCAAGATGAAACAAAGGAGGTGATATGCTGTTATGTACCATTGTGATAGAAGAAATGCATTCCCTCAGCAAAGAAACAAACAAAAATCCCACTGCTTTTATTCATTCTTTGATTTAGTCATTCATTCTGAGATCTGTGATAACAAGGAACACGTGTATTTAAGTTTTTCATAATTCTCTAGACTTTTATATTTGCTACAAGAAATAACCAGATAACCACATTTTCCTACCGAGTAAGCATATGCCTTAGAAAAGCTATTATAATTTTATCTGAAATTAAGTACATGCTTTAAAAGACCTATAAGCAGGCCAAGCGCGGTGGCTCATGCCTATAATCCCAGCACTAACTTTAGGAGGCCGAGACAGGCAGATCACTTGAGGCCAGGAGTTCGAGACCAGCCTGGCCAACATGGTGAAACCTCATCTCTACTAAAAAATACAAAAATTAGCCGGGCATGATGGCAGATGCCTGTAATCCCAGCTACTCAGGAGGCTGAGGCAGGAGAATCACTCAGGAATTTGAGAACAGCCTGGGCAACACCTGGAAGGTGGAGGCTGCAGTGAGCCGAGATCGTGCCACTACACCTCAGCCTGGCAACAGAGTGAGACTCCGTTTCAAGAAAATAAAAAAAATATCTATAAGCAGAAATCATAATACTTCTTAGAGATAATTTTTAACCATTTTTAAGTCTTCACAGTTCAATATATTAATACAAGGTACCACTTCTCTTCTGCAATTCTTCAGGCCACATTTGTCACATTCTTCTCACTCTTTGATACATGGATAACTGGTGACTATTAGGTTAGTGTATGCAAAGTATGCTAATCTGCTAAAATGGGTTTTTAATTATATGCTAATTTGTGCTTTTAATTGTCTTAGTTGTCATATGGATTAATCAGCTTCTGGAGCACTTGTATTTGCCCTTCTCTGAAATCCCTCTCACATTTTACATGCACTTGAATCACCTGGGGATCTTGTTAAAATGCAGATTCTGAATCAATAGGCATGAAGGTGGTAAGTGGCCAAAAATCTGCATTTGGCACCAGTTCCCATGCCACGCCAGTGCTGCTGGCCTTCAGACTATACTTTGAATAGCAAGGCTTTCAGTAACAGTTTTGGGACCAGAAGCCAGGCAAAGCCTATTGAAGCCATTTCTTATTATGATAACTTAATGATATATGCCTAGCTTATTAGTAATGTATATTTTTCAATTAGTGATATATATGTTGAATTATGACTTGCAGTATGTGAGCTTTCTTGTAATTTTTGTTTCAGGCATGTTACCTACAGTGGTGTTATTTATAGAGAATGGTGTTGACAAACTGTAAAAATACTTAAAAAAAAGGTTTATTCTAAGACAAATATGAAGGACCATGGCCTGAGACATAGTCTCAAGAGGTCCTGAGAAGATGTGTCCACGGTGGTTGGGTTACAGCTTGGTTTTATACATTTTAGGGAAACATCTTATGTCTCAATCAATACATGTGAGGAATGCATTGGTTTGGTCTAAAAAGATAGGACAACTCAAAGAGGGGGCTTACAGGATATAGGTGGATTCAAAGATTTTCTGATTGGCAGTTGATTGAAAGAGTTAAGTTATCTGAAAACCTGGAATCAATAGAAAGGAGTATTTGGTTTAAGTTAAGGGAGGCTAGAGGCCAAGGTTCTTATTACATAGATGAAGTCTCATAGGTGGCCACCCTTAGAGATAATAGATGACAAATGTTTCTTATTCAAACCTTTAAAATGTATAATCCTAGCATTTTGGGAGGCTGAGATGGGAGGATCACTTGACCTTGAGTTCAGGACTAGCCTGGTCAACATAGTGAGACCTTGTCTCTATTTTTTTTTTAATTAAAAATAAAAATAAAAGTTGCTAGAGACTGGGCATGGTGACTCATACCTGTAATCCCAGCACTTTGGGAGGTGGAGGTGGGAGGATCATTTGAGGCCAGGAATTGACCAGCCTGGGTAACACAGCAAGACTGTCTCTACAAAAAATTTTAAAAATTAGCCAGCATGGTGGTGTATGTCTGTTGTCCCAGCTACTCAGGAGACTGAGATGGGAGGATCCCTTGAGGCCAGGAGGTTGAGTCTACAGTGAGCCATGATCGCGCTACTGTGCTCCGACCTGGGTGACAGAGCAAGACACTGTATCCAGAGAAACAAAAATATATAAATACATTAAAAAGGTGCTAGACTCTCAGTTGATGTCTTCAGGACTGGGAGGGCCTGGAAAGGGAAAGGTCAGGTTATGTTATAGAGATTCAACAGATGCAGAATTTACCCCCACAAAAGAGCTTTGCAGGGCCATTTCAAAATATGGCAAAGAAACATATTTTGGGGTAAAATATTTTTATTTCCTTCTTTATCAGTCTTGTGATGTTATGCCAGAGTCAGGTTGGAAAGTAAGCCACACTATATAGGGTTAAATAAGACCCATCTTATGAGATTTTATGGTTTAAAGGGCATGAGCCTGCTGGCCCTTTAGATAGGAATTTGGGCAAGAGAGGAAAACAAAGATCAGAGTTTAGTCCTCAGTGGTAACATACCAATGATGATATAATAGATAATATGTATTGACTACTTATTATGTCACAGACACCATGCTTTATAAAGGTTAACTAAATTTTCTCAATAAAACCATGAAGTAGATGTTATTATTGTTATCCTCATTTACAAATGAGGAGGCTGAGGCCAGTCAGAAGGTAGTGAGTTATCTCAATTGATTGTTCACATCAGTTACAGGTCAAACTCCTTGCTCTACTCTTTTCCCTTTTCTCACTGCTGCACTGGACTAGTCTAATAATAATAATAATAATAATAAGAGTAATAAACAAGTTTAGTGACTTGCTCACGATAGCACAGCCAGAAGAGGACAGAGCCATGGCATCAACTCCAGATCTTGTACATGTAATCTCTTCACTAGTCTGACAGCTCAGAAACTACAGACTTTATATGACATGTATATGAATTCCCTAGGTTCTTACACAATTCATGTAAGATAGAGTTGAATTTTGTAGCTTTTTTTCCCAAAAGGCCTTTGAAAAGCAATTTTCTTTTTCCTCAGGTGTTCCTTTCTATGACTTTCCCATAGATACTGATAATTTGTGATTCCTTACCAGTTATTTTTAGTTCTCCATTCTGCATATGTGTGTTAATTTGTGCATATGTGAAAAAATATCTCAACTTTCTTATTCCTTTGCTGCAAAAATTTATGAAGAATGAAAAGTAGATAATATCCTGCCTTGACTGAAAGATACAGATATTTTTATTAATGTTGAGAATTTGTTTTCTGCCAAAGAGTAGCCCAGGAAAATAGATAGATTGTTGCAGAAGACTGATTGCTTTTTTTTTTTTTTTTTTTTTTTTTTTGAGATGGAGTTTCACTCCTGTTGCCCAGGCTGGAGTGCAATGGCGCGATCTCGGCTCACCACCACCTCCGCCTCCTGGGTTGTGCAAGGATTCTTCTGCTTCAGCCTCCCAAGTAGCTGGGACTACAAGCATGTGCCACCATGTCTGGCTATTTTTTTATATTTTTAGTAAAGACAGGGTTTCACCATGTGGACCAGGCTGGTCTTGAGCTCCTGGCCTCAAGTGATCCGCCTGCCTCAGCCTCCCAAAGTGCTGGGATTACAGGCATGAGCCACCATGCCTGGCCAATTCTTTAAAAAAATTTTTTTAAAATTTTTATTTCAATAGTTTTTGGGGTCAGACTGATTGATTCTTATGTGTGTTCTTAAAATTCTGAAATTTTTTTTTTCTCATTCAAAGGGCAATGGTAATCTATTTACTTGCGTGGAGACATACCTTCCACTCTGAGTTCTCCTGCCAAACCACCAAATTATCTTAGAGAAGCCAGGAGCCCCTCTCCCCAGCTTCTCAGCCTATCAGATGTTAGCACTTGAGATACGCAGTTCTTGAGCCCTCTGTCAGCATGTTAAGGAGAAATGAACACAGGGGAAGAGTTCGTATTGCTAAAGTGTACAGGCATTTGTACAAATTTGCGAAAATGAGTGGAAGTTGTTTAGGATTAGAAAAGTTTGGCACTTCAGTTGCAGTTTAATTTGGAAATCAATAAACCTAGAATAGGTCACAATAAATAACATAGCTAGCTTATGACATCTCAAAGTAATATGAGGCTGTTTACTTTCATTATCTCTCTTTCTTTTACAGTCTATCAATATTATGGAACTGACTTTACAGAAATATGGAAGTTATGAAAAATTTGAACAAGCCACTGGTGGTAGCTTGCTCTCTAAAACTCGAATCTGGAGTCACGTTAGGAAGTACATGATGAAGGAAGGCTGCCTAGGGGAGGTATGAACTGCGAGTGAACACAAGGAATTACTGTCATTGACAGTCATAGTTTATTTTATTTTATTTTATTTATTTTATTTTTTGAAATGGAGTCTCGCTCTGTTGCCCAGACTGGAGTGCAGTGGTGAATCTCGGCTCACTGCAACCTCCGCCTCCTGGGTTCAAGTGATTCTCCTGCCTCAGCCTCCCTAGTAGCTGGGATTACAGGCACCAGCCACCACACCCAGCTAATTTTTGTATTTTTAGTAGAGACAGTGTTTTTGCCGTGTTGGCCAGGCTGGTCTCGAACTCCTGACCTCAGGTCATCCGCCTGCCTTGGCCTCCCAGAGTGCTGGGATTACAGGCATGAGCCACTGCACCCAGCCTAGTCGTAGTTCTTTTCTGTAGATTTTGTTTTCCCAACTATTTTACTCATTAAATTAGTCGCCCAGATTTCTTACTCAATACTGTTAAGTTCCTGTTGCATTGAATTGTTTTGATGTGTTCAGTGTCTTTTTGTTTTTCTTACTGCCATTTCTGTATAACTTGTGGGATTAGATGAATTACTTTATGAAAATTGCTAATGAAGAGATTTGCCCGAGAAGCCTCTCTTATTAGTCTTCTTAGTGGTCAGTCTCAAAGCCTTGGTGCTGCCAATGAGCTGGATTCTGGCACCTGTATCTTCTTCTGCATCAGTTTAGTCAGGGAGCGTATTTACGACACCTCAGAGGTACAGTTTTAAGTCCTTCGTGTCTTCCTCAGCACAGCCATCTACTTTCCCTTAAACTCATGGAAGGTTCTTGAGTTCCCAAAGGGTCAAAATTAGAAGGGTCACAGGTGGTTTGGCTGCACATTCCTTCTTGGTTTCTGGGAGATTTAAGGTGGTTATAAACAAAAAACAGTGTTAATTTACAGGCCCATTGTTTTCTGTGAAAGCTTCTCCCCTTACCTTTATGTTTTGTTTTATGTCTGTGTACTTTTTCTCTTGCCCCTTAGATTGTAGTTCATCTCACTGAGGACCTGCTTTCCCGAGCGTCAATGACAGTAGTAAATGGATGTCCGACTCTGACTATCAATGTGTCCACTGCACGTGAGCATTGGCTGGAGGGAATGCTGAGGCATGAAATAGGTAGGGGCAATCCTTTCCATTTGTTTATTTGTAATATCAGGAATTAGCTCTAAAGAAATGTTCTTTTAGAAGGGGTTTTTTCTTAGTAGTATTTATTTTATTTTCTTAGTAGAAGAAAATTTAGCAAGAAGTCATGAGCTTCACTTGGACTGAAGCTAATGTATTTATGTCTCATTTCAAACTAGATTTTTTAAGGGAAGTGTTTAGGTGTATTGAACCTGGAAAGTCATTTAGCTGCTCTGGATTTCCCCTACATTAAACTGAGGGGGTTGAATTAAGGTATCTTTGAGGTTCTTTTCAAATATTAAGTCTGTGATTCTTCTCTTTAAAAAAGTAAATTGTTATAAAGGTTATACCTCCTCTCTTGAGACATGTGATCCTTTTGAAGGCAGTGTACTCCTTCACACCCAAGAGATGTTAGGATCAGGTCATTTTCTACTTTGTTTTGATTTGTAGGCACACATCAATTTGGCTTTAGAATTTTTTTTTTTTTTTTTTTTTTTTTTTTTTGAGATGGGATCTCGGTCTGTCGCCCATTCTTGGGCACAGTGGCAGGATCTCAGCTCACTGCAACCTCTGCCTCCCAGGCTTAAGTGATCCTCTTCACCTCAGCCTCCTGAGTAGCTGGGACCCCAGGTGCACACCACCACACCCAGCTAATTTTTTGTATTTCTGGTAGACATGTTTCACCATGTTGCCCAGGCTGGTCTCCAACTCCTGAACTCAAGTGATCCGCATGCCTCGGCCTTCCAAAGTGCTGGGATTACAGGCATGAGCCACCGCGCCTGGCTGGTTTTAGGATTGTTGATGGAATCTAACTTTGGGGGAAGAATTAAAACAAGAATGGCATTTCTTTTTCTTCATGTAACTTTTCTTCTCCATAGGTACACATTATTTTCGAGGTATTAACAACCTCCAGCAGCCATGGAACAGTTGGACTGGACGTAAAAAACATGAGCTAAAGCCAAATAATCCCACAGAGGAAGGACTAGCAAGCATTCACAGTGTTCTGTTTAGAAAAGACCCTTTTTTATGGAGGGCTGCCCTCCTCTACTACACTGTTTATCAAGCCAGCCAAATGTCTTTTTGTGAACTCTTTAAAGATATTGGCAGGTTTGTCAAGGACCCCAATACAAGATGGGATTATTGTGTACGGGCCAAGAGGGGATGGACTGATACTTCCCAACCAGGTGGGTGTCCCTTAACTCTAGGTTTTCTGACTTACTGACTAGTTGTCTAGTGATTTTGTTTATATCCTAATCCCTGAATCACAAAATTCACTTACTTAAAAAAATGAAATCTTTGTTACCTGAGGTCAGAACTGGTTTTCCCAAACCACATTTTCTTAGCATTATTTTTACCCAGCTCAATTTTGAAAAATCTCAGACCTATAGAATATGGAAAGAATCTTAGAATGAACACCCATCTACCCTTCATCTGGATTCACTTATTGTTAACATTTCTTTTTTTGCTTTTTTTGCTTTCTCTGTCTTTGACTTTTTAAAAAACAGCTATACTGAGATATAATTCACATGCCATACAATTTACCCATTTAAAATGTAGAGTTCAGTGATTTTTAGAATATTCAGAGTTGTACAACCATCACCATTGTCTAATTCCAGAATGTTTTCATTACCTCAAAAGAAACCCATACCCATTAGCATTCATTCCCCATTTCCTCCCCTCTCTCCAGCTCTAAGCAACTGCTTTTGGTGTTCTTTTCATCTCTAGATTTACCTGTTTTGAACATTTTATAGAAATAGAATTATCTAATATGTGATTTTTTGTGGTGGGCTTCTTTCAGTTAGCATGTTTTCAAAATTCATTCATGTTGTAGCATGTATCAATATTTTGATCATTTTATTGCTGTGAGGCAGTCTGTCCCTTAGCAAAGCTCGAGCACTGTGCTGGGAGATCCGCTGCTGTCTTCAGAGCCGGCAGGCAGGAACGTTTAAGTCTGCTGAAGTTGTGCCCACTGCCACCCCTTCCCCCAGGTGCTCTGTCCCAGGGAGATGGGAGTTTTATTTATAAGCCCCTTAGTGGGGCTGCTGCCTTTCTTTCAGAGATGCCCTGCCCAGAGAGGCAGAATCTAGAGAGGCAGTCTCTACTTTTTTTTTTGAGATAGAGTATGACTCTTATCACCTAGTCTGGAGTACAATGGTGCGATCTCAGCTCACCGCAACCTCTGCCTTCTGGGTTCAGGTGATTCTCCTGCCTCAGCCTCCCAAGTAGCTGGGACTGAAGGCATGCACCAATATGCCCAGCTAATTTTGTATTTTTAGTAGGGACGGGATTTCACCCTATTGGCCAGGCTGGTCTTGAAGTCCTGACTTCAGGTGATCCAACCGCCTCGGCCTCCCAAAGTGCTGGGACTACAGGCGTGAGCCACCATGCCCAGCCTAAGAGGGTTTTTAAACTATTTATTTGGAGCTTGGTAAATACTTACTCAAATTAGTGATGGTTATGTTGCTAGCACAGCCCACATTAACATTTCATACTAGTGTTGTAATCGTATGACAGCGTAGTGCCTTAGAGCCAGGAGCAGGGAAGATAGGAAGCAGGAAAGAGAAGGACATCTCTCTCCTGTCTTTCATGTGTGCATAGCCAATTCCAGGCGGGATTTCAGATAAGCAACGTGTCTGCCATTTCTTAGAATACTCTTCTCAATACTCTTAGAAGAAAATTTGTTGATATACTGAACTAACCTGAAATTCAAAATGACTGTTAAACAAATGTTTCTTAATTTGTACTCTTTTTTTCAAGGGCATTTTTGAGTGTTCTTTTTAGATTCCTTTGCCTGGATTTTAGTACTCTGTACCCAGATGCACAGGGCTTCCATGTTGCCTTTGATACCCACCCCGTGGAGGCTCATCATTTTTAGACTAGTCCCTTTTTTCTTTTTTTCACATACTTCTGTGTTTTTCATGTTTTATTATGGAAAATTTCAAATGTATACAAAAGAATGATTAATATGCTGAACTCCAGTAATATATTACCTGATCATAGCTATTATCAACATTTTCTAACTGTGGTTCGTCTATTCTTCCAAATTCGTTTTCCTATACTATTTTAAAGCCAATTCCAACATCATGTCCTTTTACCCATAAATATTTCAATGTGCGTCTCTGATTAGGACAATTTTTTAAATCATCCTCATGCTATTGGCATACCTAACCAAATTAACAATAATTCCTTAATATATGACTCCATGTGGTAGAATTTTAATTAATTTAATAGAGCAAAATTTTTTTAAAAATTACACAAATTATGTCAGGATGGGAAAAAGGTTCACTGTGTAAACAGAACATCCTTTTCTAACTACGTTCAGATTCATGAAATGTTCTACTTTTCATGTCTTTATCCATTTTTTTCTATTTTTTAAACCTACATGCTCTCCAAAATCTAGTTCTAGTTGTTTACATAGAGAGGAACTAATGTCAAATTTATGCTTTAAAACCACAGTTTGTTTTTGTTTAATGGAGGGTGAGGATTATTAATATTCTAAATACCAGGAGTTTCTAAAACCCTGCGTCTCTCCACTACCTTTATTGAGATGTACCTGCTCTAAAACTATCCTGCTCAGGCCTCCCCACTCAGATGCCTTCAGTGCACAATGGGAGTTATGACTGAACGGTGGGAGTAGGGGAAGGTGGGATAATCATATTTCTAAGACTCATATATTTAAAATTACCAGTCTCTATAGTGAGGAAAGAATTGTTATTTTAATAACGGGGAGGATGTGTGAGGAGAAGGAATTCTTAAGGGTCTAGTCTGCATACCATCCTGGCACTTCCCAAGACCTGACATTTTATGTAATGAAGATAGTTAAATAAAAATAAAAATAAATGTTGGCAAACTAGAATATTTTTAATACAGGACTGATTCCTACAGTAAATGGAATGGGTTGATATCTACTTAGTAATTTTTCTGAACATCAGAAAGTAAACACTATTCTGGTTCCTCCAGGGTGTTTTAGTAAAGACCAGGTATACTTGGATGGAATTCTTCAAATCCTCCGATACAGAGATACCATAGACTTCCATCTGCTGACTGCTCTCGGGAAGGTGAGTAGAAGCCATGGCACATAGTCCCCGAACACCCCAGATCAGCATTCCCCTCACTCAAGCTTAGCATTAAATAAGACTTAGCTTCACAGTATTTTTAGTTTATTGTCAGAACAAATTTTCTTTATGTCGTATCAAGAGGGAAGAAATCTGGTTCTGTAATATAACCAAATTGTAAAATTTCTTTATGGTCAATAAGAGATAAAGGAATAGGAAATTTGGGAATACATATTGTTTTATTTGTATTTGTGTATACATATTTTTCTAAAAAGCATTTTGAAGTAAGCTGCACCTAAAACACTTCCCCCCATAATATCTCCAAAGAACAGGATATTTTCTGACATTACGACATGATTTTGTTAATAATAAAAAGAGATTTATTAAATATAACATCTAAAATAGAGTCCACTTCAAATTTTCCAAAGTGCCTCCAAAATGTCCTTTGTAGCTCCTTTTTTGTGATCTGAGATCCAATCAAGATTTATACATTGCATTTGGTTATAATCCTTCGTCTCTTTTAATCTGTGATAGTCTCCCCTTGCCTCATTCTTTCTGTTTTTTTTCATGACATTGTTAAGACTCGGGCTGGGCAGGGTGGCTCACGCCCGCAAACCCAACACTTTGGGAGGCCAAGGTGGGAGGCTGAGGCAGGAGGATCACTTGAGGCCAGGAGTTTGAGAGCAGCCTGGGCAACATGGGGAAACCCTGTCTTTATAAAAAATTTTAAAAAGTAGCCGGGCATGGTGGCACACACCTTAGTCCCAGCTACTCGGGAAGCTGAGGTGGGAGGGTCACTTGAGCCCAGGAGGTCGAGGCTGCAGTGGAGCCATGATCGTACCACTGAACTCCAGCCTGGGAGACAGAGCCAGACCCTGTCTCAGAAAAATAAATAAATAAATAAATAAATAAAATAAAATAAAATAAAAATAAAAAAAAAAAGATCGGCACAGTTTTCTTGAGAATTCCTACAATATGGATTATCAGATTGTTTCCTTCTGATGAGATTCAGGTTAAACATTTTTGCCAAGAATACTACATAAGTGATGTGTATTTCCCATTGCATCACATTAGAAAGTACGTGTCATTTTGCTCCATTTGATCATCTGGGTGTTTGATAACCTGCTGTGTTTGATCACCTGGGTTAAGTTAGTGACCACCAGATCTCCCCATTGTAAAAGTACCTTTCCCCCATTGTATTAGTAAATAGTCTTTGGGGTGATATTTATGAATGGACTATTCCCTAATAACCCTTGATGATCTTTTCCCAAATCAATTACACTGGTGGTAACAAAATAGAGATCTTCTAATTCTTTTATATTTCTTTGTCACTCCCCGTTTTTGTAGTATTATTATGGACTTAATTGGACTTACTTTATTCAACTTTTTCATGGCTGTGCCTGTGTCTTAAACATGTCTCCATGTTTTCTGACACAGTAAAATGTCTGGGCACAGTTTGTACTTTTCCTACCCAAATCTCAGATCAGCCATTTCTCTAATGAAGTCTTGTTTCCTTTTAATTGGTATTTTAAAAACAGGAGCTGAGTTCTTGGTGTGTTCCTTGCTACTGGGGTACTCTTGCTTCTAGACCTTTTCAGTGAGCAAATCATATCTATTTGTTAAATCATAAGGGCACTGCAATTCACATCAGACCCTACAAGATTCTTTCATACCTCCTCTGCCATTCCATATTTGTATTTACCATCTCTTAAAATGAGAACCTTGTTTCTCAATGTCAGTATATTTAATCTTTCCTATAATAAACCAAGAATAGTTTAAGAATTATTAAACCATACCAATATCAACAAACCTATTTTGATTACATTTAGTGGTATAAATACCAAATAAATAATATTAATAGTAAAACTTTAAAAACCTTCATAAAATATAGATATAATATGAACATGAGTTCTTTAATTTTATTTATTTATTTATTTTTTTGATACGGAGTTTTTGCTCTTGTTGCTCAGGCTGGGTGCAATGGCGCGATCTTGGCTCACTGCAACCTTTGCCTCCTGGGTTCAAGCAATTCTCCTGCCTCAGCCTCCTGAGTAGCTGAGATTACAGGCATCCACCACCACACCCGGCTAATTTTGTATTTTTAGTAGAGACAGGGTTTCTCCGTGTTGGTCAGGCTGGTCTCAAACTCCTGACCTCGGGATGCGCCTGCCTCGGCCTCCCAAAGTGCTAGGATTACAGGCGTGAGCCACCGCTCCCGGCTATTTATTTATTTATTTTGTGAGATGGAGTCTTACTCTGTCGCCCAGGCTGGAGTGCAGTGGCGTGATCTCGGCTCACTGCAACCTCCCGTCTCCTGGGTTCAAATTATTCTCCTGCCTTAGCCTCCCAAGTAGCTCAGATTACAGGCACCTGCCACCACACCCAGCTAATTTTTGTATTTTTAGTAGAGACGGGGTTTCACCACGTTGGCCAGGCTAGTCTCGAACTCCTGACCTCAAGTGATCATCCCACCTCAGCCTCCCAAAGTGCTGGGATTACAGGTGTGGGCCACTGGCACCGGGCTGAGTTCTTTTCCTAAAGCCTTCCTACTGAGCCTGGAAGAGTATTGATCAGAAGACTATAGTTTTTAAAGTCAACTGTGTTTTAGAATTTGAAGATAATTTAAGGCTGGGCATTGTGGCTCACACCTGTAATCACAGCACTTTGGGAGGTGGAGGCGAGAGGATCACTTGAGACTAGGAGTTCGAGACCAGCCTGGGCAACATAGCAAGACCCCCCCCCCCTACAAAAACAAAAACAAATTAGCCGGGCATGGTGGCACATGTCTGTAGGGAGGCTAAATGGGAAGGATCGCTTGAGCCCAGGAGTTCGAGGCTACACTGAGCTGTGATTGCATCACTGCACTCCTGCTAGGGTGACAGAGAAAGACCCTATCTCTTAAAAAAAATTTAAGAATAAAGATAATTTATAGAACTTTAAAAGCTTCATCCTTAAACCTAATATAAGTACCTGTGAGAGACTAGCTTCTTAAATAGGAGAATTAAAAAGATGTGAACTTTTTTACAAAAATTCAAAATAAAAGCAAGAAGATGTAATACAAATCACAAATCATTATGTATCCTAAATTAAAGAGAAATAGGAACTTAATATATGGATTGAGTATCTCTTCTCTAAAATGCTTGGGACTAGAAGTGTTTTGGATTTTGGATTTTTTTGAATTTTGGAGTATTTACATTCTTTACTAGTTGAGCATCCGAAATCCCCAAATTGGAAATTCCACATGCTCCAATGAGTATTTTCTGTGAGCATCACGTGGGTGCTCCAAAAGTTTGCAGCATTTCAGATTTTGCATTTTTGGATTTGGGATGCTCACCCTGTATAATTGTGCTAATTTTTCTAATTTAATAATATGTCATTTATATTCTAGTTATTTTGATTCTTTTATTTCGATTTAGCCAGAAGACTTGTTTGGTTTTAGAGTCTCTCTCACACACAAATATATTAAGTATGGCTGTCTAATTTTTAGACAAACTGAGTAGGTTCAAGGTAGAGTATTAAATCAAATTTGACTTTTTAAAATAATCTTTTAGGCTGGGCACGGTGGCTCACGCCTGTAATCCCAGCACTTTGGGAGGCCAAGGTGGGTGGATCACCTGAGGTCAGGAGTTCGAGACCAGCCTGGCTAATGAAACATCATCTCTACTAAAAATACAAAAAATTAGCCAGGTGTGGTGGCGGGCGCCTGTAATCCCAGCTACTCAGGAGGCTGAGGCAGGAGAATCACCTGAACCCGGGAGGTGGAGGTTGCAGTGAGCCAAGATCACGCCACTGCACTCCAGCCTGGGCAACAAGAATGAAACTCCATCTCAGGAAAAAAATAATAATAATACTCTTTTAATATGGTCATGGTATAAGGGGCAGAGAAATACATTATTATTTAACACAGTGAAGAAAATGTAAGTCACTGATTTTTGTTACTTTGCAGCTATTAAAATAATTTGACAAATGATCTGTATACTTTCATTTAAGGCCCAGGGAAGAAATTCATCCTTAAAATGTACATTGTAGTTACATTTTTAATTTAACTCATCTTCCTTTTTTTCAGGTTTCTTATGAAGATGTGGATCGCTTAAAAGGATTGGCAGTTACCGAAAACATGAGGGTCCCTCATTTCCTGCAGGACCATGGCCGATATATGGAACACTTAGAGAAGATCATGGAAGTGAATGAACTGACTGACAGGGAACTGAAAGATCTTATATAGTAATTAGCGTTCTGGCAAACATAGCTAAGCTATGCCTCCATGTATATTACCAGTTAGGTGCAGTTAGCACCAGAAGATTTATAAAAGAAGAAAGACTACTTGTGTTTTCTGAAGAAGGGTCTTCAGTATTCAGCGGAATTTTTAGGTTAAGTACAGATCTTAAACTATTTCCCTAAAATGTTTCTATAGGTTGCAGGGGGAAGTTATTCCTATTTTCTGAATCTCGACAGAGTCAGATGAAAATACTACTGCTGAGCATTTTTGAAGACTCTTGGTCAAATTGCATGATAAATTTCTGCCTGAGCAGTAAGCACTGGCCTAGTGCTTCTGCCTAAATATGGAGGTCAGCTCCAACTGGAGACTGGCTGAATTCCATTGCTGTTCAGACTCCAAAGTTATATTTTATTTGATAAATAATGGTAATTATTCTCCTTTGAAAAATTAGTTTTGTGTTGCTCCAAAAAGCTAGCTATATATCTCAGCTTTCTTATTTCTTTTATATGTTGAGGGATTTTAAAGGGAGAGGAAAAGCAATTTGAAAATTTTTCATTAAGTGTTTTATTTTAACATTATTGTTTCACCTTATCAGCTTATAGGAACTAAATTAGAGAATCACCTCTTTTTGTCCGGTTATCTCTTAACTATGTTTTCATTTGCTGAAACATATTGTACCCTTTTAAATTTTTTACAGAGTTTTAACGTCTTTTCCACTGCATCCTTTATAAAAATAAGTACAAATTCCAGAGAGGTTTTCCTACACAAATACAAAATAATTGGGGAAGGGCTACTCACCTTTTTTATGAAACAGAATATGTAACAAGCAGAGGACAAATAGACTGACCTGGTTAAACGTAGGTTCTGGATGTTGATGGGTAGCACCTGCAGTAAACTTGACCATGCTCTGAAAAAAGAAATTTCTGGGTATTGATGGTTTATAAAGCCAGCTTTGTGCTATTGGTTCAGTATATTTTATCAAATCTTTGACTTCATCAACCCAGTAATGACATAGTTTAAATTTTAAAATGAGAGTTCTGTTTTGCTGTATTTCTCCTGCTAGCCTAGCTTTGTATTTTATCATCAGCTTCAGTATATACTTGTATATATATACCTGGATTCAAATGGTTCTTCATACAACTTAATGATCAGAAAGAATGCTGCTGTAAACACCCCACTCAAGATTGCTGCTGGAATTTCTACCCAAAGCTGTCTGAGAGTTTATCTTTACCTCAGTGCAGGCTTAAATAATGGTGCTAATACTGGTAGATATATACTGTGAAGCCTGGTTCACATTCATGCTAGAAAATGATTTTGGGAAATCTTTTATAGGAGAGGTTACATGATTTTTCTCTTTCACATATCTAGAAGGACTTGCCTCAAAGAAGAATGTTGCAGCAAACAGGATATACTCTAGCTGGTGCCCAAAGGTTCTTGCAAAACCATGAATCTTGCTTTTAGCAGTAAAGGGCCAGACACTTTGGAGCATTGAAAGGCCTTAGCCCCTGCTCCCCAACTACGTGCCATGCTGGGTAGTGTGTATCCTGTACATCTGTGTGCCAGGCTGGGGCAGACTGTGCCAATGCTCACCGAACACTAGAATCTGCTCTTACACCTCTAGCATGTATCTCGTTGTAGCAGAGTTGTGCACTTTCTCAGCATTGTGTAGTGTTTTCTAATTGCATCTAAAAACTTATCAAAAGTGATTGTGAAAACAGTGTCTTAGAAGTATAAACAGAAATGGCAATATTTATGTCCTGTGATTCAAGCCCAAAGGTTATAAATTCAACTTTCACAGGGAATAGCACTGCTAATCTTACTTTATGATTTAAATATAAAGGAAAATCACAGCAGCCTTAATTTCCTGTTGGTCGGATCATTTGCAGCAGTTCTAGTTCCTGACTTTTAAAATGGATGAAATTTTCTCTTTGTCTGATTTGGAAAAGGAACTGCTTTTTTGCCTTACTGCTTTGGTATAAGGATGAAAAACATGAGCACTCTGCAGACAAAATGACCTTAAATCACATTGATTAAGATATTTTAAAAGTTAGCAGTGAACCAAAAGTAGTTTCAGATTAGCAGAAATAAAGAGCTTTAAGTTTTAAAAGTTGAGATTGAATATTTAATGAAAGTTTATTAATTCTTTTTCCAGGAATAGCAGTAAGGTCAGTTTTTTTCCCTAAAATAAAAAGTTTTAATAAACAGAAAATTATAGCAACAGTACTTAGGAGAATAGTTGAAGATTGTATTAATTTTAATTATAATAGTTATTTGTCATAGGCTATTGATGATTAGAATTTCATTAGTTTTGTCCACTATAATTTTAAAAATAGTTGTGTCAAATACAAATTCTGGTAAACTGTTAGGTTTTAACACCAGACAGTATTCAAAGGAAATTAATGTTTGCAAACATAAATCCATAGTCTTCATTTCTTTATATTGTCACCTTTGTAAAAGTGTTTAAAATTTGTATTGTTTGTTTTGTATATCTTTGGGCATCTTGTGTCTAGCTATAATAAAAAGAAACGGTGCCAAGGTTCTCAGATGAAGTGTGTGGCTATGTATGCATGTAACTTGGTTTCTTTGAAAACCCAATTATATTTGTATTGTGGTGTTTCTTGTTTTTTATTTTGTGATAATTGTCAAAAGGACATTAATCATGCTTGTCTTCTAGTGCCGTTACTTCTTAGAAAAATATTATATTTACCACACTTCACCTTTTCCCTAATTATTTTAGCTTATACTCTCATGGGACATATGGAGAAAGGAAAAGGAGAGAGGTTGCATTAGTCTATTCTCATGCTGCTAATAAAGACATACTCGAAACTGGGTAATTTATAAAGGAAAGAGGTTTAATGGACTCATAGTTCCACATGGCAGGAGAGGCCTCACAATCATGGTGGAAGATGAAGGAAGAGCAAAGTGATGTCTTACATGGCGGCAGGCAAGAGAGCATGTGCAGGGGAACTCCCCTTTATAAAACCATCAGATCTCATGAGACTTATTCACTGTCATAAGAACAGCATAGGAAAGACTTGCCCCCATGACGTAATTACCTCGCACCAGGTCCCTCCCATGACACGTGGGAATCTTGGGAGCTACAATTCAAGATGAGATTTGGGTGGGGACACAGCCAAACCATATCAGAGGGACAATTTTTTTTCTTTTTTTGAGACGGAGTTTCACTCTTGTTGTCCAAGCTGGAGTGCAATGGTGCGATCTCGGCTCACTGCAACCTCCACCTCCTGGGTTCAGGTGATTCTTCTGCCTCAGCCTCCCAAGCAGCTAGGATTACAGGCATCCGCCACTGTGCCTGGCTAATTTTTTTGTATTTTTAGTTTCACCATGTTGGCCAGGCTGCTCTCAAACTCCTGATTTCAGGTGATCCACCTGCCTTTGCCTCCCAAAGTGCTGGGATTACAGGCATGGGCCACCATGCCTGGCCTCAGAGGGACAATTTTGTCTTAAGGTACTATCCTGTTCATTTAATAAACTTTTATGCAGAACGTATCAAGCAGGACCTGTGCTGATTACCAGAGATCCTCTGGTGAATAAGAGAAGAGAAGAGAAGAAGCACAGAAGAAGGTTATGGCACAGCCACATTCCCTTGACCAAAAAGTGCTACAGAAAAAATGTACACTCTGGTCAGTGGGCCTGCCTGTGTGTTTGAAGCAGAGGGGAAGATAATTTGCTAAATGGTGATTGTTCACAGGATTTTATTACTGCTTTTTGCACAGGATTTTATTACTGCTTTTTGCAAGGCTTATGTTTGGAATAAAAGCACCTTCCCAGGGGAAGTAGTAGACCAGGAATGCAGTTGCCTGGGTCATCATAGGCCTGTGGGAGATCCCCTGAGACCTCCTGCAGATGCCCATGGGAGCCAACACTGTATCTTTAAGAAGATGAGCATGAAGCCAGGATGGAGAGAAGAGTGTGGTGCCCTCACCCATCAGGGGCAAGTAACCAGGTATAATAGTTTTCATGCTGCTGATAAAGACATACCTGAGACTGGGCAATTTCCAAAAGAAAGAAGTTTATTGTACTTACAGTTCCACGTGGCTGGGGAGGCCTCACAATCATGGTGAAAGGTGAAGGTGAAAAGCCCGTGGTGAAAGGTGAAGGTGAAAAGCCCGTCTCACATGGCAGCAGACAAGAGAAGAGAGTTTGTGCAGGGAAACTCCCCCTTATAAAACCATCAGATCTCGTGAGACTTATTCACTACCACGAGAACAGCATGGAAAAGACCTGCCCCCATGATTCAATTACCTCCCACCAAGTCCCTCCCACAACACGTGAGAATTCAAGATGAGATTTGGGTGGAGACCCATCCAAACAATATCATTCCGCCCTGGCCTCTCCCAAATCGCATGTCCTCACATTTCAAAACCAATCATGCCTTCCCAGTAGTCCCCCAAAGTCTTATTTCAGCATTAACTCAAAAGTCCACAGTCCAAAGTCTCATCCGAGACAAGGCAAGTCCCTTCCTCCTATGAGCCTGTAAAATCAAAATCAAGTTAGTTACTTCCTAGATGCAATGGAGATACAGGCATTGGGTAAATACAGCCATTCCAAATGGGAGAAATTGGCCAAAACAAAGGGGTGACAGGCCCCATGCAAGTCTGAAATCTAGTGGGCAGTCAAATCTTAAATCTCCAAAATTGTCTCCCTTGACTCCATGTCTCACACCGAGGTCACATTGATGCACGAGATGGGCTCCCATGGCCTTGGGTAGTTTCACCCCTGTGGCTTTGCGGTCCCCCATCTGGCTGCTTTCACTAGCTGGCGTTGAATGTCTGTGGCTTCTCCATGTGCAAGCTATCGGTGGATCTACCATTCTGGAGTCTGGAGGACGGTAGCCCTCTTCTTACAGCTCCACTAGGTGGTGACCCGGTAGGGACTCTGTTGAGGCTCCCACCCCACATTTGCCTTCTGCACTGCCCTAGCAGAGGTTCTCCATGAGGGACCTGCCCCTGCAGCAAACTTCTGCCTGGGCATCCAGGCATTTTCATACATCCTCTGAAATCTACGCAGAGGTTCCCTAACCTCAATTCTTGAACATGTGGGAATTCAAGATGAGATCTGGGTGGGGACACAGCCAAACCATATGACCAGGCTTTGAATCCACACAACATAGAAGCTGCCAAGGCTTGGGGCTTCCACCATCTGAAGCAATAGCCCAAGCTGTGCCTTGGCCCCTTTTAGTCATCGCTGGAGCAGCTGAGATGCAGGGCATCAAGTCCCTAGACTGCATACAGCACAGGGACCCTGGGCCCAGCCCATGAAACCATTTTTTCCTCCTAAACCTGAGGGCCTGTTATGGGAGGGACTGCCACAAAGGTCTCTGACATGTCCTGGAGACATTTTCCCTATTGTCTTGGTGATTAACATGCAGCTCCTCGTTACGCAAATTTCTGCAGCCAGCCTGAATTTCTCCTCAGAAAATGGGATTTTCTTTTCTATCACATTGTCAGGCTGCAAGCTTCCCAAACTTTTATGCTCTGCTTCCCATTTAAAACTGAATGCTGTCTGGGTGCGGTGGCTCACACCTGTAATTCCAGCATGTTGGGAGGCTGAGGCAGGTGGATCACCTGAAGTCAGGAGCTTGACACTAGCCTGGCCAACATGGTGAAATGCTGTCTCTACTAAAAATACAAAAAATTAGCTGGGCATGGTGGCGCACGCCTGTAATCCCAGCTACTTCAAAGGCTGAGGCAGGAGAATCGCTTGAACCTGGGAGGCAGAGGTTGCAGTGAGCTGAGATCATGCCACTGCACTGCAGCCTGGGTGACAGAGTGAGACTCTGTCTTAAAAAAACAAAAAAACCAAAAAACCCAAGTCACTTCTCCAATGCTTTGCTGCTTAGAAATTTCTTCCAGCAAATACCCTAAATCATCTCTCTCAAGTTCAAAGCTCCACAAATCTCTAGGGTAGGGGCAAAATCCTGTCCCTCTCTTTGCTAAAACATAACAAGAGTCACCTTTGCTCCAGTTCCCAACAAGTTCCTCAATTCCATCTGAGACCACCTCAACCTGGATTTCATTGTCCATATCATTATCAGCATTTTGGTCAAAGCCATTCGACAAGTCTCTGGGGAGTTCCAAACTTTCCCACATTTTCCTGTCTTCTTCTGAAGCCTCCAAACTGTTCCAATCCCTGCCTATTACCCACTTCCAAAGTCGCTTTCAATTTTTTGGGTATCTTTTCAGCAGCACCCCACTGCTGGGACCAATTTACTATATTAGTCAGTTTTCACATTGCTGATAAAGACATACCCGAGACTGGGCAATTTACAGAAGAAAGAGGTTTATTGGACTTACAGTTTTACATGGCTGGGGAGGCCTCACAGTCATGGCAGAAGGTGAAAGGCATGTCTCACATGGCAGCAGACAAGAGAAGAGAGCTTGTGCAGGGAAACTCCCCCTTATGAAACCATCAAATCTCATAAGACTTATTCACTGTCACGAGAACAGCATGGGAAAGACCTGCCCCCATGATTCAATTACCTCCCACTGATTCCCTCCTGCAACATGTGGGAATTCAAGATGAGATTTGGGTGGGGACACAGCCAAACCATATGACCAGGCTTTGAATCCAAACCTTTGTCTGCACTTGTGAAAGTCTTGTCAGTCACCTGTGGTTTTTATCCATTTTTGATAGCTAAAGGAGTTAATGTCTTGAAACTCATGGCAGGATGTAAAATACCTATGCTTGTCAGCAAGTTGTGGGAGCACTTTATGAATACGTGGAACTTCAGTGGACAATCATTTCAAGAGACTATAGAGTTCTGGAGATTTTTTTCCCCCAACATCGGGGTGAGATAAACCTGAAAAAATCCTGTCACCATATAGATTCAAATTCTTAATATGTAATGACCTAAGGTGTAAATATCCACATTTAGATAAACCAGATATTTTGTTCTCTTGCCATTTAAAAATACCTCTATTATATTAGGAGTACTTTCCTACTTAATTACTGTTACATCTTCATGAAAATATGGTCCTACACATCAACTGACACTCCTGAATGGAAGAAGACAGTAATTCTTTTTGTCACTCATTTGTGTTGGAGCTCTAATTTGCTCTTTGGTGAGACAGTTGGAGTGTTCTAGTCAGCAATTAGACTTTAATAAGCAGAGGCTGGGCACTGTGGTTCACGCCTGTAATCTTAGCACTTTGGGAGGCCGAGGCAGGTGGATGGATCACTTGAGGTCAGGAGTTCAAGACCAGCCTGGCCAATATGGTGAAACCCCGTCTCTACTAAAAATACAAAAATTAGCCGGGTGGTGGCATGCGCCTATAATCCCAGCTACTCGGAAGGTTAAGGCAGGAGGAGAATCGCTTGAACCCAAGAGGCTGAGGTTGCAGTGAGCTGAGATTGCCCACCACTGCACTCCAGCCTGGGCAACAGAGTGAGACTCTGTCTCAAAAAAAAAAAAAAAGAAAATAAAAGAAAAAACAAAAATTAGCAAGCAGAGAACATCCTCCAGCTTTTGAGCATCAAGGGCACCAAGAATCTCTGCATGCTTCTCCACAATTCCCCACTAGAGGGAGCACTGGCTCTTTTATTTTTCCCTTCTCCCGCTCTTCTCCCTTCCAGCAGTTTATCTTTGACTGGAGGTCCCCTAAAATGTTTAATCTTGCAAGTTGACACTTGCAGCTAAATCCTAACCTAAACTCTGATTTCAAGCAAGTGTAAGTGTTGTAGGAAAGATGTATATATTTTAAAGAACCCAAGAAAGGGAGTTACCGAAGTCTCCTGTAGGCCTATTCTAAAAGGTTTCCTCCTCCATCCAATGTAAATTTCACACTGACAAATCTGTCATAAAATTCCTTGAGATGATTTGGCCTTAAAAACAATATACATATTCTGTATATTTCCAGTTTTCAGTCGAGAAATATTTTGAGTAATATTTCATTGTGTCCATTTGAAGTAATATCTGTGTGAGAGATGAGCAATTCGAAATTCAGATCCTGCTTTATCTCAACAGCACAACTGCTTTAGACACTTCTCAGTGAATCCAGCTTTTTTCCCTGTTAGAGAAATGGGAGAAAGGAGGTATTTGGGAAAGTCACTAGATCCTCTGGCCAAGAGAAGCTTCTCAGCTCAGCAAGTAATAATGTCCCACAAACTGAGGTCCCCATTGTTTCTTTTTGTTGGTTTGTTTATTTGTTTTGAGATGGAGGCTGGCTTTGTCGCGCAGGCTGGAGTGCAGTGGTGTGATCTCGGCTCACTGCAACCTTTGCCTCTTGGGTTCAAGCGATTTTTGTACCTCAGCCTCCCAAGTAGCTGGGATTACAAGCATGTGCCACCACGCCCGGCTAATTCTTCTATTTTTAGTAGAGACTGGGTTTTACCATGTTGGCCAGGCTGGTATTGAACTCCTGCCCTCGAGAGATCTGCCCGCCTCGACCTCCCAAAGTTCTCGGATTACAGGAGTGAGCCACCGCACCCAGCCCCATTGTTTCTAGAGCACAGGCAAGGCTGGGAAATTCAGTTTCTAATCTTAAACTCCCCTTTGCTTAGATAACAGCTTTCTAGCTTTCACCAGACCCTGGATTCCCAGTAATAATGCATCCTTCAGACCCTTTAAGCCTCTGGACTGTCTTCAAATAAAATACTGGAAATTGCAGAGGTCTGACTCCCTCTCATCCCAGCCCACCCTCCTCCAGGTACACAGACCTCCTATAAACTGAGGTTCCTTCCGAGGGCTGTTAGGCAAACTTCTGAGGTTTTTAGGAGTTAGATATGTGAGTGGCTTTATCTGAGACAATTCTACAAGAACATGAACATACTAAATGTTGAGGATGAGAATGAAGGCCTTTGCCTCCACAGCCTGCAGAAGCCATCTGGAAGCTGCCAATGGTGGGGACCGAGGCTGAGGCTGGCTCCTAGAAGTTTTCATCCTCTTATGCTTTCACTGCTCCTAGCTGGCAGCACATCTTCCACCCAAGAACCTCAATGCCAAAACCACTCAGAGTCTGACTGCTTCTTGCCAGGAGACCTATGAGACCCCTCTAGGAGATAAGAATGAAAAGATCTGATTTCCAACTTCTCTGCAATTTGGTCTTCTTAGATAAGTAAATGATGATCAATGCTGTTCAGAAAAATTCAGAAGAAAACTTCAGAGAAATTCCTAGAGCTGCAGTTGCTTACCAGTTCTGTAAATAGTAAGGATTTACCCAACATCAGTCTTGTTTGGTAATTAGATTAGTGAAAAAATCCTCACTGCCAGCTCCATTAGGAAAGTGAAGCCAAGGACTTAAGACTTTTAATAAAATAGCCACAGTAACAATAGTTCCCCTGCTGTTATCTGTCTGTCAGCTTCAATCCTAAACTTTTTCAGCTGCCTGGCTGATCTCTGACATAGGGCCAGGTAGCTATCATCCTTGCTACTGAAAGAATCCCTTACCTAGCCATTGAAAGCCACACCAAAATTCCAAGTAAATAAACCACCACAGTTCTTGACATTTTAGTCAGCCCCGTCTATATCGTCTTTAGTATTATTTATGGTAGGCTCAAACTGGGCATGACGGTACGTTCCCAGCTACTTGGGAGGCTGAGGTGGGAGGATCGCTTGAGCCTAGGAGTTTGAGGACAGCCTAGGCAAGATAGCGAGACCTCATTTCTGTAAAGAAAATATGTAACACACACACACACACACGGCAGCACCCTGTTTTAACCAACTCCCTCCACATCAGTATTTCTCAAAGTATGAGCCTCAGAGCATGGCCACCAATTCAACTGGGCCACAGGCCAGGCCTAGTCAATGTTTCTTCATCAGACTCTGGGTTAGGGCTTAGGAATCCACAGGTCAGGAAGTCCCACGGGTGATTCTTCCAGGTATCTACGTGTGAGGACCACTGCCCCGGGAAAAATTCTCCTTGCTGGATATCATGAAGGAAACTGGAGGCCTGGGGAATTGCCCCCCATCACTCAGCAAGTCTGGTGGTATCGACGGCCTAGTCCTTGTGTTCCTGATTCTGTCCTTGGGCTTTTAGAGTCCAGAGAATGGGGGAGATTTATAGTCCAGAAAATTCATAGGAACCCTTCATGCATAGAACAGGTATGGTGCCCATTTGCCAAGAGGTAAAGCCATCTCTGGAATTTCTATTTTAAAATGCCACTTCCAGGTATCTCAGAACTCAGAGCAAAGAGACTACCACACAATACACAGCAGGCCTGGGGCTGGAGCCTGTCACTCTTCTCTGGCTGTGTCCAAAGTAGCTGATGCTGGTGCAGCCACAACCCCAGCCAATCGCACTCACTCCTCATCACTGGAGTCCTCCTTAGTGCGCCTCACCCTGAGCATTGATCCTTTAAGTAAATAATTCATCATGATGAAAGTCAGCAAGACACTGCGTCCTCCATCACTGACTGTGGATCGGAATTCGGCCGGCTAAGCAGACACTATATTAGGCACTCCCAGAACCAAAAGCACCAAGCGAAGCCTGCCTTATGTGGTTTGACCCCAGAGCTCAGGAAAACAGAAGCAGGTGAGAAATCCCTTCCATGGCCTTTTATCTCTCTCCCTTCTTCCTCGTCCCCAGGCCACCTGGAAGGAGGGAGTCGGTGAACCATCTCTTTTCCTGCTGCTCTCTTTAGCAGGCCTTCGAACTTCACTGCCCTTGCAGACCCAAGTTTTCCACATTACCAAGCCCAGCCTGGCCACCCAGGCACACAGATTTGAGAAAAAGAGGGTGCCTCCCTCCATCCCTACCTTCCTGGAGGGATAAAGGCAGAAGCAGGAGACACCCCTGGGAAGCAAGAGCAAGGCCCCAGGGTGCCTAGGACAGGGCCTCACCTTTGCCTTTGAAGCTTATCCTTGCTATCGCAGGCTGCGCCTGCACTCCTGGCCTGCAGTGGCCCGGTGGCCTGGCTACCCCTGAACCTCTGCCGTCTCCTTTCTGCTGTCTGTGTGTTTCTGGGGCAAAACCAAGCTCTCAGGTCAACCTCAGCTACTCAGCCTTCTAAGCAGTTTCCAGAAAGCAGGAAGTAGCAGGAAATGCTCCCTAGACTGTCTCATTTGCATGAGCCCCGCCCACCTTTGTCAAGGACGTTTGTTTTCCGTGACCCTCCTTCCAATCTGACTTCTTTCATTATCCCCCACCCACTGCACTCACTCCTTAGCTCAGTAAAACTCGAGTCCCTAATGCCCTCCCAACAATAATAATTTAATTAAATAATTTGTCGCAATAGAAGTCAGCAGAGTACTTGGGAAATGGCATCTTCCATCACTGACTACTGGCAATTGGCCAGACACCAAAACCAAAAGCTGCAGGGCAATCCTGCCTTATGTGGTTTGACCCTGAAGGTCAGGGTTGCCCCTACTCTCACTGGTGGCCTCTCTCATGCCCAGCAAACTCCTTCCAACAAGGGTCCCCTTGCCTATTTTCAGTGGTGGTTTAAACTCTGTGCCCCCCACTTCTGATGGGGCCCTGACATCTGAACTTGTCCCCCTGTATGGTGTTGGCTCCCACAAAGGGGCCTCCTCATGCTTGGCTGGGGACCGTCCACCCCTGGACACTGCTCAGCTCTGCACAGAAGCCAGGATTGAAAGACATCCTCCAGACTGTAGAAAATTGCCCCCATCCCCAGGGCATGTTCTGCATTTCTCAGTGCCATCCTGCTCACAGATTTGGGTGGTCTGGGAACTCCCCAAACCTTTCCATCCACATTGCACTCCTGTCTTCCCTAGAGACACTTGGCCACCACTGAAGATAATGATGGTGGTGACGATTTCATGCCAAATATATTTCATTTAATCTTTATGACAATATTAAAGGTAGTAGACATACCTCCATTTTTCAGGTAAAGAAACTGAGAGGCTCAGAGGGGTCGAGTGACTTTCCCAAAGTCACACCAATAGTAATTTCCGGAAAGGATCTGAACAGGAGTTTGGGCTCATAACACCCATTATAGCCATGCTCTTAGTGCTACCCAGGGCTTCCCTCACTCTCTTCCTGTCAATGCCCTGAAACTTGCTTCAACCTCCAGCTCCACCTGGCACCTTTCCAGGGACCCACTCCCAAAGGGTGGGTAAATGTCACCCTAGCTCTGATGCTCAGACGCAGAGATACTGCAGAGAGGATGGGGTAGTGGTGGTGGAAGAAAGCAAGGAAGGGAGAGGACACCCTTGAGGTGAGAGACAAGCTTCACTGGTAACCCCAGGGTTTCTCTGCTCTCTGCTCTCTCCCTCCCCACATCAGGATCTGCCCTGGGTGACAAGACCAAGGGAGGTGAGCTGGTGGAGACCGGCACCATCCCAGGTCTCCCTCAGCCTATTTGTTGCTGCTCTTGGCTACAGAGCCTTCTTTGGGGAGGCGGGCAGAGCCACATTCCACCTGACTTTGTGGGGCTGAGTAGTTCTCCTGCATTCCCTCTCTGAACTTCATTCATTCATTTGCTTCTCCAATGCCATGATGTGCCAGGTTCTGGGGATACAGACATGATCATCTATTAGTCTCCTAGGGGTGTCATAACAAATTACCATCAATTGAGAGGCTTACAACTAGAGAAATTTATTCACCCATGGTACTGGAGTCAGGGAGTCCAAAATCAAGGTATGAGCGAGGCCACTCCCTCTGAAGCCTGCAGGGAGGACCCTGCCTCTCCTCTTCCAGCCTCGGACGCTGCTCCGCAGTGTTCCTTGGCTTGCAGCTCCATCACTGTAATCTCTGCCTCCGTGGCCACTTGGCCCTCTCCCTGTTTGTTTCTGTTTTTTCTTCTTCTTATATGAATACTAAGTCATATAGGATGAAGGGCTCACTCTACTCCAGTAGGACCTTATCTTAATTGTGTCTGCAATGACCCTATTTGCAAATAAAGTCACAGTCTAAAGTACTAGGGGTTAGGATTTTAATATAAATTTTGAGGGGACACATTTCAGCCCATAAGAAAAGGTAACAGCCTCCCTGCTCTTAAAACATCATCATGATCAATCATCACCATCGTCATCATCATCATCATCATCATCGGGACTGTCATCTTCAGGTAAGCTTCCCTCTACTTCTCTACATGTGCAGTCTGGCTGGGAGGCAGGCCTGACAGCCGAGGCACTCCACGGTTTGATGTGTGTTCTCATAGAGGAATGTCCCACCCTTGACGGGAGCACAGCAGACCCATCATGGAAGGCTCTGGAAGGGCAGGTTTCCCCACCCGCTCCCAACTGCCTGGGCAGTTGACCTATAGGCACCCTAGTTCAACTTGTCCAAAACGGGGATTAGCATCTTCTCCCCAAACCTGGCTCTTTTCCTGAATTTTTCTTTTTTCTTTTTTTTTAAACCTAACAAAGATCAACTTCTTAGAAACCTGAAGCTGGTCAGGGTGGAGGCAGAACTCGAACCCATGTCCTTGTGACACTCAACAGTGTCCCAATAGCCCACCTCTGCACTTGCTTTCCAGCCCCTCAGGCCTTTCTCTGAGACTAGTGTGACCAACCTGGCCCCCACCAGCTCTGCTAACACCTTAGCCGAAGGACCGCACAATAATATGCCGGCAACGAGAGCCATCCCCCATCCCTGCCCCGATACCTGCGCCGCTCCCGGCACTGCGGATGCAGGCCCCCTCCTCTACCTGTTCCTACTCCCACACAAGCCTGCAATGCTCCCCAGCGCCGCAGAACCACCTCAACATCCTTAGCCTGCCTTGGAAGAGCTGGCCTGTGGCTCCCGTCAGTCTCCTCTCCATATCTCGTCCTAAGCTCTTGCCAGGAGCAGCCACATCACTGCTGTCCTCCCTCCACACCCCGGCCCTCCTGGTCCCCTCTTCCGGGGATGCCATCTGCTACTCACCCGGTCAGGTCCCCGCTCAAGGGGACCTCTCCCAGGAAGACTCCTCAGACTCGCCTCCAGCTGAGCAGGTTCTCCCTCCTTCCTCAGGTTCACACAACACTCTTTATCTCCGCTGCAAACGTTTTTCTGCATTTATTCTTAATTGTGAGCCTCCCTCTAAACTGTTAAAAGCCAGGCCACAGGTGTCGGAGCTGAGCTGGAATCCTGACTTTGTTGCCTCCTGGCGGCGAGGCCCAGGTACTGGTTACTTATCTTCTGAGTTTCGGTTTTCTTTTCTGCACCATGGGGCTGAGGTGAGGTTTAAGGCGCCTTGCCAGGTGTGTGGTGCTGACAAGGCTGGCAGCGAGCACCTGTTCACTTCGGTGCCCTCCCTTCTTCCCCTAAGGAATACCTCCCCACCTCTTTTCCATCTGCTGGACGCCCCGCCCTCAAATATGGGTTCTTGTAGACCTTGTGGGTAGTGCTGGGCTCTTCTCTGACAGAGACAAACATCTCTGGGGCCTGGCAACTGGGGAAGGGACTGATTGTCAGGCAGGAGGTGGCACTCAGAGGCTGGGCACAGTGGCCCCCACCTGTAATCCCAACACTTTGGGAGGCCAAGATAGGAGAATTGCTTGAGCCCAGGAGGTCCTGACCAGCCTGGGCAACATAGGGAGACCCCATTTCTACAAAAACTGGGGGAAAAAAATAACCTGTGGGGTGGTTGAGTGCCTGTGGTCTCACCAGCTACTTGGGAGGCTGAGGTGGGAGGATTGGTTGAGCCCAGGAGGTCGAGGCTGCAGTAAGCCATGCTTATACCACTTCGCTGCAACCTGGGAAACAGAGTAAGACCCTGTCTCAAAAACAGTGGCACTCGGATGACAGCCCTAGACAGGCAGGAGGGCTCATCGCTGTCCACTTCTGGGCCTCACTCAGAGAGAGGCCTTGTTGTCCAGTTCCACTCAAGGTCCTCCCAGGAGGCAGGGGCTGCTGGCGTCTGCCAGGTGGGGTCAGGCAGGGAGACCACCCATCTACTCCCACAAGCTGAGGATGAGAACATTCCACCTTATAGGCCACATAAAGCTGCTTTCATGATTCCCTGGGGTTGTTTCTTCTTTGCTCTCCTTAAGTCTTGGGTAAAGGCTGGGTTACCTGCTCCAGCTAGGCCTAGCTGTGCTGCGGACAGAAGTGTTGCAGGTGGGAAGGTGAGTGCCCCGTGGCAGCCCTGTGGCCACAGCAGGAAGGAAACTCTGGGCAGAGGGCTGGGCTGGCCTGCTCAGGCCCTCTCAGCTGAGGAGAACCAGCCCCAGGCATCCCCAGCCTGGAGGCTCAGGGTTCAATTTCATTAAGGCGGGGGTGGTAGCCGGGGCAGTGGGCACGGGGCCTCACACCTGTAATCCCAGTACTTCGGGAGGCTGAGGCGGGTGGATCACTTGAGGTCAGGAGTTCAAGACCAGCCTTGTCAACACGGTGAAACCCCGTCTCTACTAAAAATACAAAAATTAGCCAGGCATGGTGATGTGCGCCTGTAATCCCAGCTACTCGGGAGGCTGAGGCAGGAGAATCGCTTGAATGCAGGAGAATTGCTTGAACACAGGAGGCAGAGGTTGCAGTAAGCCAAGATGGCACCACTGCACTTCAGCCTGGGCAACAAGAGGGAAATTCCATCTCAAAAAAAAAATAAAAATTTCATTAAGGTGACCCACGGTTTTCTTACACATGATAGAAGATGGAGGGATGAATTGTTTTGCCTGGCTGTTGGGTGAGGCTTCTCTGAGCCAGGAGAGAGAGAAAGAAGTTTCCCTTTGACCTGGTGGGTGCTCAGACTCCTCCTGGCCACATCTTTAGTGGAGACTCACGGAGAGGTGAACATGGAATACAAGAGGATCCCACTCCGGCCTGGCTAGCAGCTTCCCATCCAGGCTTGCGCAGCTGCAGGAGCGCTGCACTGGAGACCGTATACCCAGACCAGGGAGGAGTGGCCCTGGAAGGCAGGGATCTTCCTGCTCCCTCTCCCCCAACCCCACTCCCAGGGCCTATCCTGGTGGGTGCCCAACAGGTGATTAACGCACAAAAAGCAACCGAGGGCTTTTAAATAGCCCTTTCTTCTTTTCTCTCTGGGACTTTTAATTTACCCTTCAAATACATACATTTTAATGTTCCCCTTTTAGGATTAAACACTGAATTCCTTTTGGTGATTCTTTCCAGGGACTGGCATAAAAGGAAGGAATTACAGAGGCAAATCCCTTCCACACACGCCCACCCCTAACTGCGAGAACGCTGGCACCTCGGTCTACAGGGAAATGCAGTACTTGCTGATTCTTTTAAAAAGTATACATTTTGGCCAGGCGCAGTGGCTCATGCCTGTAATCCCAGCACTTTGGGAGGCCAAGGTGGGTGGATCACCTGAGGTCAAGAGTTCGAGACCATCCTGGCCAACATGGTGAAAGCCCATCTCTACTAAAAATACAAAAAAAAAATTAGCTGGGCATGGTGGCGCATGCCTGTAATCCCAGCTACTCGGCAGGCTGAGGCAGGAGAATCGCTTGAACCCGGGGAAGTGGAGGTTGCAGTGAGCTGAGATCACGCCATTGTACTCCAGCCTGGGCAACAGAGCAAAACTCCGCTTCAAACAAAAAAAAAAGTTATGCTTTAAATAAATATGTTTTTATTCCTTTAAAAAGTGTGTTTTATTATTTTTTGTGGCTTGGGCTTTTTATTATTTGTGCATTGTATTCATTGTGTTGTGAAACATTTCAAACATACACAAAAGTAGAAAGAAATATATTATGAACCCCTATGTTCCCTTGACCCAGGTTCAACAACTATCTACGTTTTGCAAATTTAAGTGGATTTCTAACTCTACTCAACCCTTCCCATGCCGGGGAAGGAGGAAGAGATAGACCATCTGTTTATTAATTAATCCTAAAGTTTCTAGAAAACTTGCACTTCTAATTCTGTTTTATGAAACCTCCTGCCTTCTGGGCTGATGATGGGCAGGCCCAGGCTGCAGGGCCCAGGGGGCTCTCGGCAGGAGAGGCTGCTAACCGAGAGGAGGAAGCCGGAAGCCCTGGAGCTCAACCATTCATTCCCACAGCAGAATTCTCTGCTGGGGAGGCGCTCCGCCATTCCTCAGTCTGGGCTGGAACTGAGGCTTTCAAGGGCTAAAGGTACCCACCATGAACCAAGCAAGGATACCCCTTTCACAGCTTCGCTCAGCTCTTACTCTTCTGGGAGGCTGAAGTTCCTCTGCTGTCTCCGCTCTACCCAACCAGCAGAGCTGTCCTGCACTGCAGCCAGCTTGTCTCACCCTTCCACGGAGGCTGCTCCTGCCCTGGGTAGAGGCGCTGACTGAGAGGGGACACCAGGCAGGAGCCCAGGGCCGGAAGAACCTCCTCACCCACCAGGCCCAAGGGTGCTAAGCCAGCAGCAATTTTCCAGATGGCTGCTGCCTGGCGTGATTTGAGACATCTTCCCCAATTCTACTTAGGAAATACTCCAGACACCTGAGGCTGGGCCCAGGTGTGTGGGAAAGGCCGTTGGGCTGACCCGGAAGAAGTTGCCTAAGGGTTGTTCTGGTAACTTTTGAAGAAGAGAGTGGTGCCTGAGGCTCTGCTTGGATAAGTCACCGCTGTCAGGACCTGCTGCGGGGAGACCAGCGTCTCAGTCTCTCTCTCAAGACAGCTCCCTAAGGAAAGATGAGATAGGAGGGGGCTGGAGCAGCAGCACCCCCAGGGGAGGAAGGGGCCTGCAGGCTGCAGGATGAAGGGAAGTCAGTTCAGTCCGTTTTTTCTTAACTCAGCTTTGTGCTCGTGATTATATTATTTCCTTTCTGATTACCAAATTGATGCTTTCATATTCATTGCAGAAAATTAAGAATATATTTAAGAATGGAAACAAAAATGCTCTGTTACACATACACACACACACACACACACACACACACACACAGAGAGAGAGAGAGAGAGAGAGAGAGAGAGAGAAAGAGAAAGAGAATAGAGTAAAAGTATGGGCTAAGAATTCCGGCTTTGGCCGGACGTGGTGTCTCATGCCTGTAAACCCAGCACTTTGGGAGGCCAAGGCAGGCTGATCACCTGAGGTCAGGAGTTCAAGACCAGCCTGGCCAACACGGTGAAATCCCGTCTCTACAAAAAATACAAAAATTAGCTGGGCATGGTGGTGCGCACCTGTAGTCCCAGGTACTCGGGAGGTTGAGGCAAGGGAATCGCTTGAACCTGGGAGGCAGAGGTTGCAGTGAGTTGAGATTGTGCCGCTGCACTCCAGCCTGGGTGACAGAACAAGATTGTCTAAAAAAAAAAAAAAAAGAACACGGGCTTTGGAGTTAGGCTGTTTTCAGCTCCCACCTCCACTTCTGGCTTCTGGAAAATTGTTCATCTCTGAGCCCTGGCACCCTGGGTACTAAGCCATGTTTCACCGGATTGTCTGGAGAACTGTATGAGAAATATTCATAAAGTTTCTAATATAACTTCTGGCCCTAATAAGCCCTTGATAAATACCAATTCTAATGTGGCTGAAAAATTCTTTGAAAAATTTAATTTTGCCTTCATTGTCCACCTAAGAGATGGTCCCTGCTCCACTGGAAGGCAATCAGCCAGCAAGACGCCACCTCCACCCAGTCATCCTCACACGGGGCACTCACTGTGGTCAGAAGAGAAATGAAAGGACAGTGACTCGAGGCCAAACCAAAGTGCTTTTCCAGGATGCAGTGTTGATTTGCAATTTTCCCACAAGCTTAGGCCATACCTCATTCATCCCCAGAGTCTCTGGGGACAGTCGGAAACAGGCCTTCCCAGGAGGGCCACGAGCTTCCGCCAGCCCCGTTCTCCAGGATGGGGCCAGAACAGCACCTGCCCGTGGTGGTGCTGCCTTTCACTGGGGCCTTTGCTGTGGTCCTGCCTTGCCCCTTCCTAGTATCATCGTCTGCCTGGGTGTGTCCGTGTCTGTCTGTCTCCCTGGCCCAGCTCCTATTCTAGTGTCTGATCTGATTGGTTAGTGGTTAGTGTCCTATGGCTGTCAAAGATACAAGCTCACCCCTGCTTAGTACAGTGCCTGACCCACTACAGATGATAAAGAACTTTTTTTTTTTTTTTGAGATTGATTCTTGCTCTGTCACCCAGGCTGGAGTGTGATGGCATGATATCGGCTCATTGCAATCTCTGCCTCCTGGGTTCAAGTGATTCTCCCGCCTCAGCCTCCCGAGTAGCTGGGATTACAAGCCCAGCACCACATCTGGCTAATTTTTGTATTTTTAGTAGAGACACGGTTTCACCATGTTGGCCAGGCTGGTCTTGAACTCCTGACCTCAGGTGACCCACCCGTCTTGGATTCCCAAAGTGCTGGGATTACAGGCATGAACCACTGCACCTGGCTGATAAGGAACTATTTTTTAATGTGGATGGATGGAACCATCCATAAATTATTCTTACAACTACATTTGGCTTCTGTGCAGCAAGAATGTCTCTGCAATCTGTATGACAACAGCTAAGCGGATGAAGGGCAGAAGTAAAGCCACTGGGAGGTGGCCAGAGAGAGAACAGGGTTCAGCTTGCAGAGGCTTAAAAGGCACATTTCTGGAAAGGAATGCAAGTCCTACAGTACCCAGAAGATGCAGGTGCACCTCTGACACTGCAGGCTTCTATTGATAACCCGTTCTTTTTATCTATCAATTTATGTAACTCGTACTTGTTTATATTTTCAATCAGGGTTTGGAAGAGGGAGGAGGGAGGTGGGAGTGGGTGGTAATCATGGTAGAAGAAATGTGTTCTGGAAATAAGCCCTGAGGTGAGTAAAGGCACACTTGCCTCGAACAATTGAAGGTCTATGACATGCCTGGCTCTGTGCTTGGTTCTTTGGAGAGTAAGTTTGAACTAGGATGTGGTCACTAGTGTACAACAGGGCTTCCTAACCTCTGCATTATTGACATTTGGGGTCAGACTTGCTGGAGAAGCAGGGGTTGTCTGCGTTGTAAGATGTTAGCAGCATCCCGGGGCTCTACCCACTAGACGCCAGTAGCACCATCACCCCAGCTGTGACAACCAACGATGTCTCCAGACATTGTGAAATGCACCTCTCCCCATTGGAAACCACTTGAACCTCCATCTGACGTTAAGTAGCAAGGCAAGACAGTGAGCAAATAAGTGCCAGGAAATCCCATGGACGTTTAGGACCACCGGAGTCGAGGCAGGCAGGGAACCGGCATGGGATGGAGTGGTTGCAGAAGACCCTGGAGGTGGATGTTGGGGCGGGGATTGGGAAGGGTTTCTGGGTTGGGTGGATTCCAGTGGATAGAAGATTTTAGGCAGGAGGAAAAGCACACGCTAAGGCTCAGGGTCAGCAATGAGGAAGGGTGCTAGAAGGGCAGTCAAGACTCTGAATTGACTGCAGAAGAGGGTACTTGTTTTCATTTTAAAATAACAGAATCCATGCTTTAAAAATTGCAAGGCTCAATGAGGAGTCTGGGCTTCTCCCTCAGTATAGTTTGGCAGTTTGTGTGGTTTCGAGACTTTTTTCATATAAGCCGACAGGCCGTGTCTTTCCAGACTGAAGCATCTCCATCCTCTGGATATCTTCCCAGCTATGGAGGAGCTGGGTCTCCACCCATGTTTTGCACTGAAGAACCAAGCCCTGGCCTTGGTGATGTGCTGGTAAATGTCTAACAACGAGCTCTCAGTGGAAAGTGTTCTGATTTGTAGCCTTTGTCAATCTTCATGGCGTAAATACTCTCACCAAGGGCAAAGCCTAGCTACCAATAACTAACAGCCGGCTGGTAAAATTCCTGAAACTTGAACAATCAGCTCCTATGAGCAAGTAGGAGCTGACTCCAGCCCACCTCTGCCTGCATAGCTCTCTACGAGTCCTGTGGAGAACTTTATTCTTTTAGCAGCTCAAAAAAAGTCTTACATATTTATTACTAAGCCAAACTACAAGTTCAGAGCATAGGAACAAAGAGAAAAATCCTTTCCCTAATAAAATATGTTGAACTGTCCCAATAGTGGTAATGTTTTTGGCTTGATGAGGTCAGACACTAGGGATCTTGCATCAATATGTGCGTATCTCAGACCCAGTTCCCAAGAGGCCCAGCTTGGTTCTGCTCCAGTGTCTCTCCTGGGAGTTGTACCTGATGGTTTTTGCCATCACAGCTCTCTGCAGCCTGGAACTCACAGACTCAAGCAATCCTCCTGCCTCTGCCTCTCGAATAGCTGGGACTCCAGGTGTGCGCCACCACGCCCGGCCAGTACCTGTCTTTATTACCAGTTTCCATCTGAATCCACTGGGGAATGGGACAATTTTGTTTTTGTTTCTTGGCTAGGAATTGCTTAATCCTGAAAGTTTTGTGAGAAGACATGGTAGGAACAGGGACGACAGCACACGGCACAATGGTGGAGCTTGGCAAGCATGGGAGTGTAGGAGCTCAGAAGCGCGGGAGACGGGGAGCATGGGAGCGTGAGAGAGCGGGAGCATGGGATCATGGGAGCATGTGAGAGTGGGGAGCATGGGAGCCTGAGAGTGGGAGCATGGGAACACGGAAGCTCGGGAGATGGGGAGCATGGGAGCGTGAGAGAGTGGGAGCATGGGAGCATGGAAGAGGGGGAGCACGGGAGCATGAGAGAGTGGGAACATGGGAGCATGGGAGAGGGGGAGCATGGGAGCACGAGTGTGTGAGAGAGTGGGAGCATGGGAGCGCAGGAGAGTGGGAGCGTGGGGGCATGAAAGAGTGGGAGCACGGGAGAGCGGGCCTCGCATGCTACGCTCATCCAAGGTGGCCTTTAATTTGTTCAAACACATGTGGCCTCCATTTCAGGAGTCAGCACCATTTTTGGGGGGGGGTCCTAATTTTAAAAATGTTTACTGAACTGGATTATTTATCTTAAATCGGGGCTTTTTTCCCCCTAAATTTCCATGCAACTTTTTCAGATGGCTTTTTAATAATTGTTATTTGTAATAATGTCAATAGCTATGAATAATGAATTCTGTCTTCCCTGCTAAACTGTAAGCTTCACACAAAAGGGATTATCCCGTGAAGTGTCAGGCACACATTAGGCCTTCAGTAAATATGAGTTGGATGGATGGATGCTTGGGCTTTGATCATTCTCTCCCCTCCCCCTTCCTCTCTCCCTTATTTCACTTACTTAATTTATTCTAACCAGCCAGCTGCTAAGTGGGCAGGCTGGAGAAGGTGCTATTCATGAAGTTCCTAGGAAGGAAGTGTCCAGTGTCAGCCTGGTCCCAGAGGCTCTGAATGAGGGTTCACTGCAACTTCCAGCCTGGCCCAGAGAGAGAGTTCTGTACCAACGAGCCACTCAGATCCAAGTGATGGCTCCATCCAAACCACTTTAGAAATCACACCTCAAGGCCATACTGAATTGGATTGTCCTTATTTAAAGCATTTCAAAGTAAAACATCCAAGTATTCCTTTACTGAGGGGGGAGAAGTAGGAATCAAGCCCAAGAAAACATCTCCAGGCACTGAACTGCTAATGCAGCCTTGCACCAGCCCAGCCCTAGGACTTGTCAGCCGGCACCCCGAAAATCCAACAGGCCTCAGGCTGCTTAAGCCCATTAATGAAGCACAGTACACTAGGGTATCTGGTGTGCACACATGAGCACGTGTCGTTGTGTACACATCCTCACAACTCTGCATGGCCAACACCTTTGCTCATTCACCCTCAAACCTCAATTCCTGCACCAACAAAGCATCCCTTGGCAAACACTGCCCCTCTCAGGGGGGTTTTCTCTCCAGGATGCAGTGGTGGATCATGCCGAGGCACGAGCTCTTAAGTCGTCTCCAATCCTCTCCCGGCTGATTCCTCTAGAAGCACAATGACCTGCCCCCTGACTGCATGACCTACCCTTCCCAAGCCCCTCACAACACCACTCACAATGTGTCTGCTCATGCAGGCTGCTCTGCGGACACTCCTTGGAGAGGCTGGGCCTGCCAAATTCAGTGACCATCCCAGGGAATGTTGGCTGTCCCTCCCCACAGGAATTCACCCAGTGGCCTCCTGTCCTTGTGCTCATGGTAAATCCAAGGTGCTGTGTGTGTGTGGTCCCCAGAGAAGCTTTATTGAGTTTCCCACTGAGTTTCTCTACCAGGAACAGCTGGAGCCTGGGAGCAGCGGTTTTTGGCCCTGAGAGAGCCTCTGGGTTTTTCTTAATAATCAGTGTGCATGTGACAGGTACCACTGGCCCAGGGGTCCCTACTTCCGAGGGCCCAAATTGACCAGTGGAAAGTATAGAATTCCATGCTATTGGGAAACCACAAAGCTTGGAAGGAGCAGAGAGAGCCTGGGGATACAATGTAAACACTAAGAAATAAGCAGTGAAAGATTATTTTTAGAAACGCTGCCACTTAGTGAGCCCTTATGATGTGTCAGAGCATTTGAAACAAATGGCTTCCCTGCAGTGTCACACCACTGGCCCTGCAGTCAGATGCCCTGAGAGCTGGGCAGATGTTTGTTTTTCACAACCTTCTCAGAGAGGTTTTGTCCTCACTTAATAGACAAGAAAACTGGGACTTTGCCAGACATCTTGAACGTGCAGGGGCCAGCAGCTATGACACAGAGAGCTGGGACAGAAGCCAGGCCTGCTGCCTCCAAATCCTGGGCATGTAGCCATGGAGCAGTGACAACACACCCGGGGTCCTCAGGGGAGAAGTGCCACCCACTCTGTCTGTGGTGTAAGAGTTTATGTCCAACTAAGCCCAGGCAGAGGCACTTTGCCTCTGGGTGCAGGGCGTGCTGGTAGAAGTGCAACGCTGGTGGGCAGGCATTCTGGCTCTGCCCTTTCTCCTTGTACAGCCCTAGCCTGGTTACCTTCTCCATGCCTCAGTTTCCTCCTCTGTGAAAGGAACAGAAGAAAGATAATAGGACCAACTTGATTGCACTGTTCTGAGGATGAAGTCAGTTTAAAGTATGAAGTGCTTAGAACAGTAAGGGGTCAATAAGTGGGGGCATGGGTTATTTGAAACTGTATGCTAAGTTTAAGACCCGTGAGTGCTGTTCAAGTCATTAATTCCTCTCCCCAGAAAACAAACCCTGTAGCTGTCTCAGGTGAGATTCACTTAAGGTGGAGACTTAAGCCACGCTGGGCAGAACCGAAAACCCAGGTGTTAGGATTCTCACCCATTCCAGAGGGCAATGTTATCTGCACTGAGGAGAATTCTGATGTCAGAACCAAAGAAACACAAAGAAGAAAATAGCATCCCCTTGACTTTGAAAGAAAGCAGCCCTTTAGGAAAGGCCAAGCCCGTGTCCTCCCTTGCAGTCCCTAGAGCAGCCATGAGGGAGTCAAAGCTTGGGCCTAGTTATTTGAGGCCCAGGAGGGCTTCCCGCCTCTAGTCAGTCACCCCTGCAGTGCCGGCAGAGCTGATAGAGATGGCTGGGTCCCCACCCCTGCATAGAAAGAGCCATCTCTGATCTGTGGTAGACAATGGGCAGGAGAGGAGAGAGGTTCCATTGGGGCGTGGAAGGGACAGTTGGCTGCCTGCGGTTCTCCTATGATAGGGAGAGCAGGGAGAATGCCGTGGGCTCCTAGTCAGCGCCTGTGGGACTGGAAGAGCTTTTCTTGTACTTAATCCCTTCTTCCCCTCCCAGCCCCGGTTCAGCAGCAGGGGACTTCCCTTGGCTTCTCCAACAAAGTCCTTCGCAGTTAGGCCCCTTCTCAGACAATCTTGGAAGATGGAGAAGCAAGAAAAGAATGGAGAGGGAGAATGGAAGAGGTGGACTCAGAAATGCCGCATTTGTGGGTGGAGCTGGGGCTGGGGTGAGAGGAAGCTCCGGGGAAGGCACAGAAACAATCCAAGGGAGGCAGGTCAATTCCACACAGCGGAACATGACTCAGCAGGAAAAAGAAAGGAGCTATCAGACCATAGAAAGACACAGAGCAACCTTAAATGCATGTGGCTAGGGGTAGAAGCTCACGTGAACAGGCTGCATACTCTATAATTCCAACCAAACGACACCCTGGAAAAGACAAAACTATGGAGATGGTGAAAAGAGCAGTGACTGTCACGGGTTAGGGGGAGGGAGGCATGGGTGAATAGATGGAGAACAAGGGTATTTTTTTTTAGACAGAGTTTCGCTCTTGTTGCCCAGGCTGGAGTACAATGGCATGATCTCAGCTCACTGCAACCTCTACCTCCCAGGTTCAAGCAATTCTCGTGCTTCAGCCTCCCAAGTAGCTGCGAATACAGGCATGCGCCACCACATCTGGCTAAATTTTGTACTTTTAGTAGAGATGGGGTTTCACCATGTTGGTCAAGCTGGTCTCGAACTCCTGACCTCAAATGATCTGCCCGCCTCCACCTCCCAAAGTGCTGGGATTACGGGCTCGAGCCACCATGCCCCACCACAAGGGCATTTTTACATCAGAGGAACTATTCTGAATGATTCTGTAGCATGGTGATACATGTCATTCTACATTTGTCAAAACCCATAGGATGCACAACACAAAGAGTGAACTTTAATATAAACTATGAACACTGTAGCTAATAATGAATACAAGTTCATCAGTTGTAACAAAGTGCCATGCTAATGCAACATGCTAATTAGAGGGGGAAATATGCAAAGAAGAGGAGGGATATGGGAATCCCTTTGTGCCTAATTTTTCTGTAAACATAAAACTGCTCTTACAAATAAAGCCTATTAATTAAAACAACAAAATACAAAACAACAACTAAAACCAAAAACAGCCAACACCCAATGGGTTGAGCTGGAGTAAGAACAGGCTGCCCAGCACACTTCCTGGGCCACTGAGCCCTGGGCGTGAAAAGCAAAAGGGCCAGTGAGGTTTGGCTGGGACTCAGCTCCCCAGCCTCTGGCTCAAGCCCGATTACGAACACAAAGGTCATCTGATTGGATTTCCTGTCCCCTCAGCTCACTTAAGGAGGCTTTTCTGTCCACAGCTTTGGTTGCAAAAAGCAATCTGGCTAAAGGGATTTGGGACATCCGGCTGGTGAATGTAGGGGAGGTTTCACCTTTAGATGAGGCACCAGAAACGATGTGCTCCCTGGTAGCATCCTGAGCTGCCCCTCTTGACTTTAATGCTAACCCTGCTGCTTTTCCTCAAGGCTCAGACATCCCATTTCGATGCTTCCAGAAGCACAGCCTGAACCCAGGGACAGGAGCTGCCGCCCTCCCACTGGAGAGACCTCAGAATGGACACAATTGATTCCCAAGTACCCTTAGAGCTCCTGGAAGAGGGTTCCCTTCCCGTCCCCAAGACCAGCGATGCTTCTTGGAGCCAGGTGGCCCCAAAAGGATGGCCTTTGGAGAAAAATAGGCCCCCTTCACGGCCCATCAGCTCCAGGTCAGAGAAGCCACTGGGTTTACACTGCGTGGGGACAGGAGGGTTCTTGATACTGGTCCACATTTAGTGTTCGGTGTGGAAAGCGGAATAAGTCCTCAGCTTCCATGGGATACTGGAATAATCTAGGTAATCTAAGCTCATAACTTACCTTTTCACTATTTACTTTCATATTTTTCCATTCATGTTAAGCATAAAGTTGAAATGTGAGCACATAGCAAAACCTGAGTCTGCATCCCTCTATTTACCCAGTGGTGTGACCTTGAGGAGGTCGAGCTCTCTAAGCCTCAGCGTCTTCAGCTGTGAAACGCAAATTGTGGCAGATCTCCCTGGGATGGTGTTGCCTAAGGGAAATCCCTCCTGGCTTGGGCTCGGGGATGCAGATGCCTAGTGGCAGGCACGCATCCTCGCTTCCTCCCCACAACCTCTCTCCAGCCCCACAACCAACTGTCCCTACCTCCAGCCACTAGGAGGGACACTCTCCATGATACCCCGAGGTCAACTTCCTATGTATCCTGACACAGCACACATTCCTGATAGTCAACCACAGGAGGCTCCGGGCTAAAAACTGGAGTGAGTGGGGAGGAGGGAGGAGGTGATACCACCCTGAGAGAATTCTTGTCCTGCAAAGAGAACTAAACAAATAGTGCTCCAGGCAAAAGCCAGGCTGGTGAAGGAGGCAGGGGATGAAGGAGGGGCTGGGAAGGGGAGATGACAGAGAGGCTTCACAGAGGTCCCGGCGAGCTGATGGGGCCTTGAGAGGCGCCTCTGCAAGGCCTCAAGGTGGGGACATAAAAGGCGCAGGGGAAGTGAAGCTGCTCAGGGCTTGACCCTAGCTCCACACAGAGGCACCTGCCGTGGTGCAAATACACACTGCGCGTTGGGGGGCGGGGGAAGGGGGCGGGGGAGGGCTGTGGCGGACTTGTCCCATGCTCTCACTGCAGCGAGGCAGGTTAATCTGTTTATTTTTTCAAAACAAAACTAAAAATCGCCACTCAATGTATCTGAGCAGAGTGCCTGATCACAGTTAAAAGCTTTCTGTAATGCGCAGCAGGAACGTCATAGCCTGGTGGTCAGAAATGAGTGCTTCTGGCGCTGCTGGACTGTGGCCCGCAGCCTGAGCACCCCTTCTTCTCCTCCCTCTGCTCATATTGTCTTTGTGCTGCCATCCAGTCAGCAGCGGACAGCCAGCCCAATGCTGCTCAGGTCTGTGGCATCCAGAGATAAAAGGCGTCTCCGCTCCCCGCAGGTTTCTGCTTTGCCCACCTGGTGGGGTACGCGCCTGGCACGCCACCCCCACTGGAGGTCCTGAATGGTCCACAGAGAAGGCGTGGGGCAAGGCCTCAAGTGCTGATGCTCTGAGAATAAAAATTAAAAGGCAGCTCTGCCCTGAAGCGTCACCCCACAGGGCTCATTCCTTGGCTGTGCCCTCCTGGGTCCCAGGGTGGACACATGGATTTGGTGTCATCATCGCTCGTGCTTGATGTTGGCTTCACTTCGCTCCAAGGCCACCCCGCTGCCGTTCCGAGGGGCATCCTTCTTGCTCCAGTCCTTTTCAGTGTAGAACTCGGCTAGCACTGGGCAGTGTTCAGAAGCCACCCCGCCCCAAGACCAGTTATCCGGAATCCAAGGGTTCGTGAGGCCTTCTCTCACCACAGCCCAGTGACCTGAAGGGAGAGGAAGGAAAGAGACCGGGAATCAGGATGGGGGGTTGGGTGCGGGAGGTCCTGGATTGGCAGGTGGAGGGTCACACCGCATGTCTGCAGGCCGGGGTGCCCGGAGAGGCTGCCTCAGGTAGCTGGAAGGTGCCTGTGCATTTGCCTGTGCATATTAAAGGTCTCGGCCAGTTTGATTTTCCACATAAAGGAGAGTTTCTGCATTTAGGCAGTGAAAACACCCAGAGGCCAGGCCTCCTGTCCATCCAGACACACATGGGCACATGGGCTGACCTGTCCTCATAAACGCGCTGCTGTGAATCTGATCACAAAACAGAGACAGACGCCTCATAAAGACATCCCAAGTCCAAAGCAAAGGTCCAGTTTTGCAAAGCAAAAGACACTAAGGGGGTTAGGGGTGGAAATTCTTTCTACACAAAGGGTAAAAAAGAAAAAATTACAGAAGCTTATGAGAAAGTAATGGTATTTTTAAAACGAGGATTTAGAAATCTATGAAGCAGGAAGTATATTTGAATATAATTAAATAATGAATAGTTACAAAAACAACTACAGAATAGCTAGAAAGCACTGTGTGGTCCTTAGTGCAGGATTGACATGGGCCTAGATTCTGGGTGGAGCTTTGGCACACACTGCTGACCATTCTGTAGCGGGGGCAACTCCTCCCTGAGCTCAGCAACTTCACAGGAAGGGAACCACTGAAAGGATTTCCAACTTCCTTCCAGCCCTGTTGGCTCAGCTTCCCCAGCTCTCTTCCTTCAATAGACACCTTCCTGGGGGCCTGCAAAGGCCGTGGGCTGGCCTCTTTTCCTGGCCCATAGCGCATTTCTGCAAACCGAGGCTAGTTTGACAATTGTCATTCTCCCTGAGACCCACTTTCTTCATCATTTGGGTCCTCCCATGACAGAGTACAACAGGAAACTAGTGCCCCAAGAGAGAGGGGAGAAGCAGGTGACAGTCAAGCCTAGATGTCCTAGTCTTGAAGATCTTGGCCTTGGCTGCCCATTAGTCTCTCTCGCAATAAAAGCCAGGCCCTGCAACTTTTATTTTTAAATTTCTCATTGAAGTATAATAGGCATCCGTGGGGCTTCGCAAAATGTCCAGTCAGAGTTTAGAAATACTGTTCTTGTCTTTCATCAAAAGACCCTACTGTCTCTTCCATATTGTTGACTGTGTCCTGACTCAGCAGGTTACCAGTCTGCAGAGAGGGTGAAATCACCCCCATACCCTGCTCCTTGCAGAGCACTGAGCATTTCTCCTGTCCCATTGTGACACTATATGAGACACCTGTTCACCTCACAGCATGTCCACCTCATAGCATGTCTACACACTGCATCCTACAACACAACACTTGCATGTTTGACAAATGTTTGCTAGAAGACTAAGTGTCCTAAAAGTAACGTTATCAGCTCATCTCTGAATCAGGACTCTGCCAATCTATAACCAGGTTTGCCTGGAACACATCTGCTTGCTGTAGGTCAGTGGGTGTTCTAAAATTATTTGTCACACTCCCTTTCACTTTGAAAAATGAGGATTTAGAAATCTAAGCAGCAGGAGGTATATTTGAATAAAATTAACGAATAGTTACAAAAACAATTAGAGAATGGCTGGAAAGCACTGTGTGGTCCTTAGCGCGGGACTGACAGGGGCCTGGATTCCTGGATTCTGTCTCTGATTAAATGACAGTTATACAGTCACGTAAACCACAATCCTATGTATGCCTCAGAGGAGGTGAGATGACTTCTGTCAGTTCAGACATGTTTCTCTCACTCCATTCCTGAACAGGAGAAAGGACAAGTGAGTTCTGCCTCACCTGTGAAAACCTTCTTTAAGCTTTTACTGATCCAGATGTTGTCCAGAGACTTCGAGCCTTGAGGGTTCTTGGTGCTGATGTTGGTGAAGGTGTGCGCGGGGATCAGGTGGTGGAACTTTTCTTTCCTCAGGATATCATAGTCATTGCTGTCTGGCCCTTGGCCAAAATCCCCTAAGATAATGACATCCTTTTCTCCTGGAAGTGGAAGGAAGAAAATGAGTTTAAGAGTTGTTGGGAAGTAAAACCCAACACTGACCGTGGCCCTTTGAAACGGGATTGAGATTCTCTGACTTGACTCCCATGGGGTTAGTACTGTGGCATGGTTCTCACTCTCCTCACTCTTCCACATTTCATGTGCATATCACCCTGCCACCAATATTAAGAGTAAGTCAGCAACACGTTTGGAAATCAGGGGCAGCGTGACACAAAAATCACCCTTGTTGAAGCCTATGGGTTCCAAATCTTATCACAAAAAAAAAAAAAAAAAAAAAAAGACCTAAGGGTCTTACCCAAATATTTAACAAAAACTCAACATACTACTGGGCACTTACTATGCAGGAAATCCAGAGATGAATAAAATGCAACTCCTGCTCTGAGAGACAGACTAGAAAACAGACAAGAGCACAGAGTAGGTGCAAAAACAAACACACATACTGAAACCAACACAGCACAGGGAAAGGTGGTCAGGGAAGGCTTCCCGGAGGAGACAATGCCTGACTTGGGTCTCAGAGGATGCACAGAAGTGCTTGGGTCAACATGGATGAGAGGGAACCTATGCAAGGCCAGGGAGCTAAGAAACAGCCTGGCTTCCCAGGGGTGGGGTGGGTACCTGAGGTTCAGTTGGCTACTTCTCTAGGACAAGGTATCAAGAAGCCAGATGTTAAAGATGAGGTTGGAGATATAAGCAGCAGCCACTCCTCGATTGGGAACTGTACTCTGTCTGCTTGAGGGTCAAATTCAGATCAAGAGACCAAGGGAAAAGCCTGGGTCTTCCTGGCATTCAATGGGCAGCCCACAGTATCCATCCATCCATCATGTTGATGCACATAATGTACCATTTTCCTGCTGCTGGTCACTTTTAAGGCTGTTCCCAGTAGCCACTGCTATAAATAATGCTGAAGTGAGCATCTCATTTTTTTTTTTTTTTTTTTTTTTTTGTGAGACAGTCTCACTCTGTTGGCCGGGCTGGAGTGCAGTGGCACAATCTCGGCTCACTACAACCTCTGCCTCCTGGGTTCAAGCGATTCTCCTGCCTCAGCCTCCTGAGTAGCTGGGACTACAGGCACCCACCACCACGCCTTGCTAACTTTTGTATTTTTAGTAGAGACAGGGCTTAACCATGTTGGCCAGGCTGATCTCGAACTCCTGACCTCAAGTGATCCGTCCGCCTCTCCCTCCCAAAGTGCTGGGATTATAGGCGTGAGCCACCACACCTGGCAGCTTTCTGTTCTTAGAACTATAGAGAGTCCTCATGAAAAACTATGGCCATTGTTAAGGCTCTGGATAAATACTGCCAGCCTGCTTTCCAAGGCTGCTCTGGTTTCAACCCTCCCCAGCAACCTAAGGAAATTCCTCTCACTGCATCCCTCATCAAAACATTCATTTGATATGTGAAAATGATGTCTTCCATTTGTAGAAAATGAAGTTGTGCTCCCCCTCCTTTAGGCTAGAGTATCTACACATGTTATCTGGAATTCTGCTGCACAAGGGATGGATCTCTTCTTCCCATTTATTAATTTTTTCAACCATTTACTTAGATCAGTACGGACTCATGGATACTTATGAGGTATAAGTCAGGTATACCTTGAGTTATATCCAGTACTATGTCATTGACTTTGTTCCTGAAATATTTCCAGCTTTGGTCACTGAGAGCTCTTTCAGTTGGCTCATGCGTCCTTTTGACATCCACCCAGCAGGTTTTTTTTGTTTGCTTGTTTGAGCACTTCCTTCTGACACGACAAGATGCTCCAAGATCATGCTGTATATACATATTTTTTCTTTTTTTCTTTTTGAGACAGAGTCTTGCTGTGTCACCCAGGCTGGAGTGCAGTGGTGGATCTCGGCTCACTGCAACCTCTGCCTCTCGGGTTCAAGCAATCCTCCTGCCTCAGCCTCCTGAGTAGCTGGGATTACAGGTATGGACCACCACGCCTGGCTAATCTTTGTATTTTTAGTAGAGATGGGGTTTTACCATGTTGGCCAGGCTGGTCTTGAACTCCTGACCTCAAGTGATCCGCTCACTTCGGCTTCCCAAAGTGCTGGGATTATAGGCGTGAGCCACCGTGCCTGACCTACCATACTGTGTATTTTCTCAGTCCTCGCATCAGCCATTTCTCTGAGGAGCCCTGGTTCCTTTCATCAGAGAACGGCATCAGAAACGATGCCTGATAGGTCTATTATTTGTACAGGGTATTAGTGTTTTGTTTATTGATTTATATGAACTCTCCATATAAAAACATATTAACCCTTTATCATATATAGGAACTGATTTTCTTTTTAGTTTGTGATGTGCCTTTTCATTTGTCTATGACCAAACTGAAGCACACAAAAGTTAAAAAAAAATTTTTTTTAAATGTAGTACAATCTGGCAGAATTTTCCTAGAGTGCCTCCAAAATCAAACGAATACCCACTAAGTTCTTCTTATCATTTCATTTCTTACATTTCACTTTTTTCCCCCACTTCCTCCTATGTGATGATACATTTCACTCTTTAGCTTGCCTAGAATTTACTTTTATTTTTTCATGCAAATAATTAACCCCCTCTGCCAGTATCATTTCTAGAAAAATCCTTTTTTTCTCAACTAAATTGTAATACTGGCCTGTTATCTTAAATATCTTTTTGTATAACATTTCTATTTCTGAGCTTTATTCTATCATATTGATCAATATTTGAGTGAGTACTAGATGTTTTAATATTCTTTCATTTAAAATGTTTATATATTCTCATGATATTGAAATTTTCATTCCCAAATTTTATTTTAAACTAAACTCATGTTAACTTTAACATTCTTATCTTTGGTTGGCAGGAGGAGAAGGCTGTTCTCTTGTTCCTTGTGTCCCCTTCTAGACACTCTACACAGAGGAGCAGACGTGTATACTTACATAGTTATTTTCACTCAAATGTTAGCAACTTTACCTATCAATTCCTACTTTTTTTTTTCTTATCAGTACATCCTGGAGATGGATGTGCTTCAAATAAGAAGTTTTGAAACTTTTTTTTTTTTGAGATGGAGTCTCACTCTGTCGCCCAGGCTGGAGTACAGTGGCACGATCTCGGCTCACTACAGCTTCCGCCTCCCGGGTTCAAGCGATTCTCCTGCCTCAGCCTCCCAAGTAGCTGGGATTACAGATGTGTGCCACTGCGCCTGGCTAATTTTTGTATTTTTAGTAGAGATGGGGTTTCACCATGTTGGCCAGGCTAGTCTTGAACTCCTGACCTCAGGTGATCTGTCCGCCTTGGCCTCCCAAAGTGCTGGGGTTACGGGCATGAGCCATGGCGCCCGGCTAAACATTTTTTCTTTTTAAAATGTATGGGGTGGGGGTGTTCCTTTTCTCAAATGAGATCCTGTAGGAAGCCCCAAAAGTAGAGTGGGTAAAAGTGGAGCTTATCTGACTGAAGTTGGAGCCGGGGAGCTCTACAAAAAGCCCTTGGGGCATCAGGAGTTCATAAAAATATTAATGCTTGAGTCCCACTCTCAGAAATTGGAGTTCCACCTGTAGAGATTCTGATTTAGCATCTCCGGTGGCCTGGTCTTCAGCATTTCCTGAAGCTCTCTGGGATTGCATGTCCAGCCAGGTATGGGAACCACAACTAGAATATTAAAGAGCTCTGCTGAGACCTGGTGCAGTCAACTACACGGAAACATGGAAAGGACGGGTACCTCGAACTGTTAACACGTCTCACCCAAGAACACTTTGCCATGTTTCTCCATTGATTGAAGTATTTATTAAAAAAATTCTTCACTGAAGTCTTATTATTTTCTTCACTTTACCACCACATTTCTAAGTATTTTATATTTTTGATTTTTATTATGAATGGGATCTTTGTTTTATCCCATTATATTTTCTCTAATGGTTATTTTTAAATTTTTTTATTTCCACAGGTTACTAATGATATATATCAAAAGGACTAATTTTTTATTTTAACTTTTTAACTAGGCAGTTTTCTTAATTCTCTTACTGGGAATAATTTTTTTTTTAACTTTAGGTGTAACAAACCAACAATCATATTCTCTGAAAACAGTGACACTTTTGTGTCCTATTCTTCCAAGTCCTCTTTTCGACTTATGAATCCAAATTAGCTAGGAGGAAGAGTGGTCACAGAGGGGCTGAAAATGAAACAAAACCTGACACAGGAGAATATCAGAAAACAGTGGCTCTAGGCCAGGCACAGTGGCTCACACCTGTAATCCCAGCACTTTGGGAGGCTGAGGCAGGGGATCCACTGAGGTCAGGAGTTTGAGACCAGCCTGGCCGACATAGTGAAACCCCATCTCTACTAAAGATGCAAAAATCAGCTGGGCATAGTGGTGGGCGCCTGTAATCCCAGTTACTTGGGAGGCTGAGGCAGGAGAATCGCTTGAACCCGGGAGACAGAGGTTGCAGTGAGCCAACATGGCTCCACTGCACTCCAGCCTCGGCTAGAGTGAGACTCTGTCAAAGAAGAAAAGAAAGAAGAGAAAGAGAAAGAGAAAAAGAGAGAGAAAGAGAGAGAGAGAGAAAGACAAGGAGGGAGGGAGGGAGAGACAGAGAGAGAGAAAGAAAAAGAGAGAAAAAGAAAGAAAAGAAAGAAAGAAAAGAAAAGAAAACAAAACAAAAGAAAAGAAAAGAAAAAAGAAAGAAAGAAAACAGTGGTTCTCGGCCCCGGTTCTAAGAGAAAACAGCTGGATGACTCTGAGTGTGGAATTTGAAGTTTGTCACTTCCCAGCTTCGTGACCTTGGGCAAGCCTTTTAGTCTATAAAAGGGAAAGAACAAGCCATTTCCTCCCAGGTTGGTGTCAGGATTAGAGGAGCCGCCAGAAGCGCCTGGCACGGGGCACTCACATGTAGCGTGGGCCCCCTTCCTGATCAGTTTCCTGATACAGCTTCACAGGTTTGTCAGGGAGAGACACACAGTGGAAGTTAAATATGTGTGCATAAGAACTACAAAGTGATTTCAGGGCCAAGGGGGAAAGGTTTTCTCCTAAAGCATTTTAGACATTTCTCCCACAGTCTGATTTACCCTAGAGGAAGTGGGATAGTTATGAAGTATTTTCCAAGCAAAGCGAGTAGAAATCCTGAAAGAACACTCGCCCCCCAGCTGGGCTCTGCGGGATTCCCCTGGGCTCTGCTTGACCCTTGTTGTCCCACAGCAGGAGGTGGCATTTCTGCCACACCTTGTGAAGGAGGCTTTAGGGAAAGCAGTTCATAAACGAAGTCATAAATGTATCCACGACACTTGGCAAATCTTTTTTTCCTGGCCACGGGTGTGCTTCCGTAATAACAACTGCAGGGAAAGGAATCTGAAGGGAAGCCACTCAGGCCACCACCAGAGGGCGCATGTGCATTGCAGATGGCGCCCTCCTCTAGGAGGAGTGAGGACAATGGGTGGGATGGAAGGAAGCCTCTCCTGCAGGGCCACCCACACCATGGAGAAATCAGTGCCAGCTTGAATAATAGTCATGGCACTGTGCTGACCACTTCCTCGATAGCACCGCACTTAACAGCCACGACCCATGGGGCAGGTGCTGTTACCATCTCCCTTCTGCAGGTACGAAACAGGCTCCCAGAGGTGGGAAGGTTTGTCCAAAGTCACCAGGCCAGGCCTCAAATCCAGGGCTCACCACAAAGGGCTAGGATGGAAGACCACACGGAAGTGGCTGCTGTCCACTGCGACACCAAGTGCATCAGCAGGCACTCAATAAATATGTGAGCAACAGACAAGCGGAACCACAAATGTCCCAGAATTAGGGTGCAGTTTGATTTGGAAAGGAACAAAGAGAAAGATGCTACATTCATTGAATATCAAAGAAAACAAAGTTCCCATATAATGAGGGAGGTTTTCGTTGGGATGCAGGCCTGCAAAGGTCTGGGCTGAAAAAGACAATTCTAAAGCCAGGAGAGACGCTGGTGTCAAGGGTCAATAGAGCCAGCTCTGTGTAGCTTCAGGAGTGACAACGGTTCCCTTTTTGAATGAGCACATCGGATTTCTTACAACTCATGTTCTTCCGATTGAATCCGCGTCGGTGATGACATCAAGGCAGTTGTTGCTTCTGAGAATCCACAGGTAGATGCGCAGGAGCCTGAGTTATCTTCCTAAAAAGCCACCCACCTGGGCTGGGCTCCTTTGTCGCTCCCTTGATTCCCAGCAGTGAGGGGAGAACGTTTTGGGCTGACTTCCTCAGAGAGTCTCTAGATTTATAAAACGCCAATGACAACTACAGGAACCAGTCCCCACTGAGGGACCATCTGCCAAGATGTCAAGAGTTACTACACACCCTGTTTCACTCTTGCTCAGTTCACAGAGGGAGACCCTGTCCCCAAGTCCTGGTGAGGTCTGAGGGAAGAAGGTTCCACTAGGGGACTGGCATATCCCCACTGACGTCAGCCTGCATGCACGTTCCAGACAAAGGCAGAAAGGCCCGGAGCTTGCTAACCACATCGGTTCTGTTTGCTCTGATAGAAGCTGTGGAATGAAGGCTTTGTCTTTGCTTTAGCTGAACCCCTCTGCTGACTTGTCTACCCTTGTTAGACCTGGGCAGGCTGAATTGCTTCCTGAACCCCTGGGTCTGGAGTGTCACCAGTTAATAATTAATTGGGTACTAGTTACAAGCAGGGGACACAGGCAGCATGAGTCATTGTCCCTACTTGGATGAGTCAAGGCCAAGCCAGGCTGTGGGTCAATAGTACCTTGGCAATTTGGAACATAACCTGCCCAAGGTTTTCTGCCAAAATCCTGACTACTCCCTGGATACCAGGGGTGGGGTGGGGGGATGGTGACTGCCTAAGGCTGTCAAAGAAGTTATGAGCTGGCATCTTTCCTTTCTGCTTCCACAAAAAGTTTGAGATCAAGAACAATAGTAATGTCCACAGATGTGACAAGCTATCAAGTTGTCCATTTTACAGATCAGAGTCTAACTATAGGTGGACAATTTCCCACACAGTTGCTTCTTGGATAGAGCATCTTCTGACTGTTTTTAGCCTGAGGACTCATCCTTAAAGTAGAACGTTGGTCACGGCATGTCCTGGTTCAAAAGAAAAGCTGCTGCACATCAATCTTCACAGCAGCGTTGTCACAACAGGACAAAGGTGGAAGCTACCCAAGTGTCTATCAGAAGATGAATGGATAAGCAACAAACTATGGTGGATGGATGCACAGTGGGATATTACTTAGCCTCAAAAAGTGAGGAAATTCTGGCCAGGCGCTGTGGCTCACGCCTGTAATCCCAGCACTTTGGGAGGCCGAGGCGGGCAGATCACGAGGTCAGGAGATTGAGACCATCCTGGCTAACACGGTGAAACCCCGTCTCTACTAAAAATACAAAAAATTAGCCAGGCGCGGTGGCGGGCGCCTATAGTCCCAGCTACTCGGGAGGCTGAGGCAGGAGAATGGCGTGAACCCGGGAGGCGGAGCTTGCAGTGAGCCGAGATCGTGCCTCTGCACTCCAGCCTGGGCGACACACACACACAAAAAAGTGAGGAAATTCTGACACATGCTACAACATGGATGAACCTTGAAGACATTATACTAAGTGAAACAAGCCAGACACAAAAGGACAAATATTATCATTCTACTTATTTGGGGCACCTAGAGTAGTCACAATCACAGAGACAGAAGGTAGAATGCTGGTTGCCAAGGGCTGCAGGGAGGGGCGCATGGGGAGATATCGTTGAATGGGTACCGAGCTTCAGTTTGGAAAGATGAAAAGGTTCTGGAGACGGATGGTGGTAATGTTTGTACAACAATGTCAATACATTAGTAGCACTGACTTGAATATGTAAAATGATTAAAATGGTAAATTTTATGTTACATATATTTTACCACAGTAAAAAATCTTTTTTGTTAGAAATGCAAATTCAAATACATATATACATATATACATACATACATCTTTTGAAATGTGAGCCTACAGTTTGACTGAAATATTTTTGTAGTAAAATCTTCATGAATCTCCCAATTTGAGGGGCCAGTTTAACGAGGAAGTCTTAGAAAGCTAGAGAATATTGGTCCAGACTCAAAAGATAGAAGAGAATTCCAAGCCTCCAACTACAAACTCACCTAGACAAGGTCAGTGTTCTGAAAAATCAAGCCAGATGGATAAGATCACAGTCTTCACAGCCTTGTCAACCTTTTCTTTTGGTAAACCAAGTGCAGAAAACCATCTATATTAGTTGGGGCATAGCCCCCCTTTGTCCTGGAGTTCAGCTCCTTTTTTTTTTTTTTTTAAGAGATGGGGTCTTGCTGTGTTGCCCAGACTGGAGTACAGTGGTGCGATCAAAGCTCACTGCAGCCTCGACTTCCTGGGCTCAAGTGATTCTCCCTCCTCAACCTCCTGAATATCTGGGACTACTGGTGTGTACCACCATGCCCGGCTAATTTTTTTCGTTCTTTGTAGAGACAGGGTCTCACTATGTTGCCCAAGCTGCTCTTGAACTCCTGGGCTCAAGTGATCCTCCCGCCTTGGCCTCCCAAAGTGCTGAGATTACAGGCATGAGCTACCGTGCCTAGCTAGAATTCTGCTCTTTTCAGTGTTCTCTTAATTCTTCTCATGTTTTAGAGTCAACTCGTGTACATGAAGTCCCTACTATGTGCTTGGTATTGCTGCAGACACTGTTACTTAGCCCTCTGGGTACTGCTATGAGATGAGTACTGTCCCCCATCAGATGGGGGCCTGAAGTGGTTTGGTGGCTTGCCTGAGGTCCTACAAGATTAAAATCCAGCATTTCTGACAGGTTCAGGGCTTCTTCAACATGCTCTGTATCCCGCCAGAGAGAAAAACTCAATTCACCAATCATCAGCAATTTACCACTTCCCCTTGTCACCCCCGTCTCTCTTTCACAGGAAGAGCACATGCAAATCTGCAGGCGGCACCACCGGAGTGATGCCCGAGGCAGCTGGTCCCAGGATGAGCTGTCTTCGGGGAAGGGCATCATCACTTATATTCTTCCCCCCTAATCCTTTCTATCTAAATGAGGCTAAAAAGCCACAGAGCTGACAGCTTGGAACGCATATGCTAGGTCCACAGAGGCACAGATGTGGCCGTGCAGGGTCAGCTGGGCTCCATGAGATGCCAGAGGTTTGACTGTCCCCTGTACCCGCGACTCACATTGCTGACAAACAGCCAGCCCAAGTGGTCAGAGATGGCTCAGAAGAGGCAGCCCTGCTGCTCTGCAAAACAGTGGCCGAGTCACAGCAAAAGACAATGTCCTACCTTTCAGGGTTTCCTGTAGGGTCTGTGCAAAGCTCGCCAACCGGTGGCCATCACTGTGATTCTTGCTGGGATTCTCGCTCCCCAGGAGGGTCAGGGCTGCCAGGTGAAGGTTAACAAGGGTCAGGTCGTGACTTCCCACCTAGGCAGCAGGAAACAAAGCAACAGGGAGAGGCTCAGAAGCTCATATTTCCTGTATCCGTTACAACCGACTCATAAATAGCTTTGTGCACAGAGTTGACAATGGTAAACAAGAACAAGGCTGGCTCACACCCCCAGGAAATAATGTAAGGTCTTTCATCTTCGATTTTTCCAAGGCACCTGCAGGAACAAGGCCTATTTTGTTCTACCAGTCCACCCCTAACATCCCACCGCCTACTCCTCACTTAGAGCCTAAAAGATTGGGCATATCTGCATATCTGTAAATGTTTGAGTTTTTTTCTTTCTTTCTAAGCAGTCCTATATAAGAAGGAGGTGGAAGGCCAGGCATGGTGGCTTATGCCTGTAACTCCAGCACTTTTTTTTTTTTTTTTTTTTTTTTTTTGAGAAGGAGTCTCACTCTGTCACCCAGGCTGGGGTGGAGTGGCATGATCTCAGCTCACTGTAACCTCTGCCTCCCGGGTTCAAGTGATTCTCCTGCCTCAGCCTCCCAAGTAGCTGGGATTATAGGTGTGTGCCACCATGCCCAGCTAATTTTTTTATTTTTAGTAGAGACTTCACCATGTTGTCCAGGCTGGTCTCAAGCTCCTGACCTCAAGTGATCCTCCTGCCCTCAAGTGATCCTCCTGCCTCAGCCTCCCAAAGTTCTGGGATTATAGGCATGAGCTACGTACCCGGCCACAACCCCAAGCACTTTGGAAGGCTGAGGTGGGAGGATCACTTGAGGCAATTTGAGACCAGCTTGGCCAACATAGTGAGACCCCATTTCAATCAATCAATCAAAGGAGGTGACTCTGACAGCTGGTTGTTATTATAGACTTGGGGCTTTTCTCCAGAGGGCCAGCCTGAGGTCTCCTGCCAGGACCCACCGCTGGGATGTGCCTCCTCCTCCTCCCTACACCTCCCACACACGCTCCTCTGTGTTCTTTTCTCTCTGGAGCCCACTATAGCCAGATGCTGACTTTAACCTAATTTCAAACGTGTCCAAACCAAAAGCTTACAGAACCTGGCCAGCCTAGGACATGCCCTAGCCCTGCATCCCCAAGGGCAAGTGCAGAAACACAGGGTCAGAGTTTGTCTCTGGGCATCACAGCACTGCTCAGCTGCTCAGGGCTTAGCAATCTTGCCCTTCCATTTGTCATGGCAACCAACATCAACACTGCCAGGAAGGGAAGGGGTATAGGGGAAGCCCCCAGGAAGTGGAGGGTGCCCGTCTTATCTTACGGATGTGGTCCCAGTTTGCCAGCAACCAGGACCAAGAGCTCTGCAGCTGCAGCTCTGCCTGCTAGAGAAAGCATCTTAAGGCTGGGTGGGGGGCACAGTGCCTGAGGAGATGAGCCCCATCTCTGTACTGCACCAACTGCCAGGCCTATAATGTGACATGAAGTACAAGAGGCCAAGTGCCTGTTTAGGGGGCTGCTTTATTTAGAGGATTTGGGCTAACCAGCATTTTCTCATTATACCCTTAAAAACAGCCTGCGTTGTGGTAATACTGGATTATCAGTATCACCCATAGGGTTACATGGCCATAACCCCAGGTGGCCAACACTGGAACAGGAACTTGACATAAAAAAAGGGCCCAGGGTGGTGTTAGGAGGCTTAAAGGTGATACCTGGCTGACTTACACGTCAGTACCACAGATACAACCCATGGACACCCCCAGGTGTACATGTGCAGACAGAGCCCCATCAATATCACAGACAGAGGAATGAGAGGGGCTGCTGGGTGTGACAGATACCCCCAGGGTGAGCACACACCCACCCTCATCAACTCACAGTGTGCAAGGTGGCACAGGGCCTTGTAGCCTCAACACAGGGGCTGCTCCCAACCCTCAGCTGGCAGATACTCCCTGGGCTGGGGTTTGAGGTGACTGTCAGGTTCAAGAACTGCTCTGGAGCACACAGAAAGCAGGGGGTCTCCATGCCCAGGAGGGGATACGCTTGCTGAGCTCCAAGGCACCGGACCTGCTTGCCTGGCCTGTGAGCTCATGGTCAAGGACCACGGGGATAAGGCTCACTGACTGCCAACTTCATGACCTGCTTTGGCTTCTGCTGTCCAGCTGCTGACCATTTTGCGGTTCATTAACACTTCCCAAGGGCATCCGGGGAGAACCAGAGAGACTGCGCTCGATCAATCTGCTGAGCTGCTCCCAGATGCTGGGGGGACAGAGATTCCCACATGGGCGATGCCAGTGACAGGACTGCCCCTGGCCCACAGCCCAGAGCTCCTCCTGAATCCCCTCCAAACCCAAACCACCCCTTGAGAGGCCTTTCTCCCTGGTAATAAAGGAATCGGGCCTGAGATGCAGCCGATAAGAAGGGGCTCCTCAGGCCAGTTCTGCTGCCCTTGAATCCAGCCATTCCCTAACACCTGGCCTTGTGAACCAGTGCCAGGAAGGTGAAGGATCACTGAAGGGGCTTTTGGAAAGTAGGCCATCCGGATAATCCCCCAAATTCTGTATGTCTGAGGTGGGGTCTAGGAATCCCTGACTGTAGGAAAATCTCCCCAGGAGACTCTAATGAGGGTCAGGTTTAGGAGCTATACCAAATCTCCCTCCTTCCCCCCTCTCCTGCTCAGATGCCAGAGTTACTGGGGCTGTCTCAAAATCCCTTTCATTCCTGCCCTGGACAAGTTCACCTGCCAAGGAAGCCCCAGGAGAGACAAAAATCTCCAATCATGAGAGGCTGAAATCAAGGCAAAAAGACGAGACTTCTCTTACTCATGCTATTACAAAATGAGCCCTTTTCTTTCCTTTTTAGAAAGAAGCAGATTCCACGTCACAGACGGCGTGGAGCGGGTACCTTGAACCTCCCGAGGTATGGGCTGGGGCCCGCCAGCTTCCCGTGCCCGTTGCTTGGCGAGCTCTCCTGTGAACCCGCGTCTCTCAGCTCCATGCCGGCAGCCGCGTCCCATAGGAATCCTGCATACCCAGCTCCCTGCAGCGGAGAGGGAGACAGAGTCTTGGTGCCAGAGCCCTAGCGCCACCTGGGGAAAGGAGGCAGAGAGGCCAGAGAGACCGAGAGGCAGTAGGCCCTACTCTGGCTCAAGCTGTTTCTAAACCAAAAGCACACCACGAAAGCCACAGCCACTCTCCCTTGCCCTTCCCCAGCCCAAATAATTTCACATATTGCCAATTTCAGAGCTTTCCATACAGACAGGGTGGCCTGGGCTCTTCTGTCTTTGGGGGGAGGTGGGTGAAGCCCCGGCTAGGCACAGAGATATCTTCAGAATCATCACATCCCATGAGGTAGCAATTCATGCTTCCATTTCCCAGATGAGGACACTGCTGCTCAAAGAGGTTAAGTGACTTTCCTGAAATCCCACAGCTGATCACAATGCTGAGACTAAAACATATAACTCCAAGGGATGGGTTTTGCTTACTGATTAGCTGCAGCTTACAAAAATGGTGCCTGGCACCTAGTAAGAGCCCACTCAGTGTTTTCTGGGTGAGTGGAGGTCGCAGTTGACCTAATGGCTTGGGGCTGCTCGAGGGCCCTCCGCAGGTGGATGGGGCCATGGCAGAGGTGTGAAGCTTAGGTCAGAGGTGCCAGGGCTGGCGGTGGGGCAGAGTCCTAGTGCCTAGTGTTAAACCCTGCTGCTCTGAATATGCCTGCTTTGCGCTGCTGCCGCCGCCACTGGGGGCTTGTGGAAGAAGACACACTTCTCCTTTCTACCCCACCACAGCCTCTGCTGTCCATGAGAATGCTTCCTCAGCACCCGCTGCCTGGGAGCCATCTGCATGTCATTTGAGAGGCCAGCAGTGCTCATCACCACTCTTCCCCATTGCAAAAGGAGGGGAAGTGACTCTGCACAACCACCCTCCTGAGCAGCCACCACAAAGTCCCCAAGGTCAGCTCTGGTCTAAGCCACATGCCTTGTCTGAACATGCGTGTTTTTAGGAGGAGGGAGGGAGGGAATGAATGTATTGTATGCTGTGCACTTCTATATTTGAAATTATCTCCTTGCCCACCCCCTGGAGAGTGTGCTGGTTTGAGAACGAGAAGACCTGGGCCTCAGTCCCACCTGAGTCACTTAGCCGCGGGACCCTGGGCGACCCACTCAGTTTTTCTAAACCTCAGCTTCCTCTGGTTTGGAGGGAGGTATGACTGCCCTGCTGGCTTTGGAGGATTATCTCTCCATCTGCCATTTCCCAAGTCATGGTGCCAGAGTAACTTACCTAAAGCATCACTCGAGTCATCTTCCGCCCAAAAGCCTTCAGGGGCTCCCCGATGGCCCTGGAGGGGAAGCCTCTGCGGTGGGGCCTACTCCTTCCTCTGCCTCCCTCACCTGCTCAGCACTGTTTTCCCCACCCCCACTTCCCTGCGTGCTGCTCCTTCCACCGCTGGTTTCTTGCCCCTCCTGGGAGCCTTTCCCAATGCCCCTGACCTAGGCGCTCCCCTCTCCTCCAGAACAGCAGCCGGAGGAACAGGGTTTCCAGACAGAGAGAGTGAACTGGGCTCAGGTCCGAGCACCTCACATTGCAAAAGGGTGGCTTGTGGGCAAATCATTTCATCTTACTAGGTCTTCACCTTCACAGCTGGAAACCACCCCTCTGGCTATCGTGTAAGCCCTAGGGAGCTGGGGAGAAGATGCCTGGGGCAGAATTTCAGGCATCGGAGAAATGGCCCACTTTCTTATGTTTGTCTAGGGACAGAGATTGAACATTTTCAACCTGCAGATATATTCTGTTTGATTCACATAGTGTTTAAATTTTTTTGGATTATCTGTTCATCTTTAAAATTCAGGAAATTTCCCATTAAAATGAAACTGGGAGGTTTGGCCACATTGGGCCCACAATACTGCAGGGTAACAACTGGGTAGACATGGACCCAGCAGCAGCCAGAGCCAGGCATGAGCTCTCTCAGTCCACTGCAGGCGGCCAGCCTGCCACCTCATGCCCGTTCCGCCTGGCCCTGGCCTGCGCTACGTTCATGATGCATTCCAATGCATAGTATCTTTTAAAATCCTATAGCCACCCTATAGGTGAGCTAAGAAAGGGCTATCGCTCCCATTTTACAGATGAAGGAATTGAGGCCGAGAGGTTTTGGTGGATGGAACTCGGGTCTCCCTGCAACCTCATGTTGTTTTCCAATGGCCTTGACACCCTGACCTGGAATGGGGTTACCTGTCTTGCTCTCCAACAGGCTGTGCACTCCCTGCGGGAGGGGCCAGGTCAGGCTCCAGCCGGGATCCCCACTGTGTCTTGCAAAGAGTGAAAACATGCAGGCATGGAGTTTTTCTCACCAGTGTGTACCTGGCATGAAACAATATGCCTGGTACATAGCCACCTTTCATTAATGATTTGTTGAATGAATGCAGTGCTGAATGGACTATAAAAGGCTTGTGAAGCTCAGACACCTACATACATGTAAAGTGCGATCAAAAAAGGAAGGTGGTATTATTCTTATTATTTCCACGTGGACTGGAAGGGAGAACCCTGAACTAGATGCATTCAAATTCAGCTTTATCTCCAGCCTTCTCTGAATGTGTGCTGACTCACTGTCAGCTGCAGGAGCCATTTACACCCCCAAACATAAAACCCAGAGACAGAAGATTTACATGTACCTCTTTAAGTAGTAGCTAAAAAGAGAGTAGGGGCTTACTGTCAAAAAATGGCCACTTTTAATCCAGTATACATTTATGATTTAAGAGCCTACATTATAAACATAATCATATTAAGTATAAATCACATGTGTTTGTAAGCATGTTAGGTATACTAGGGATTTAAAAATCTGCATTTATAGGAAAATTATGTAATAATACATTTTCAACTCCTGGTTATTATCAGGAGTCTGTTTAAAAATCTAAAACTCCATTGATGTTAAGCATTGCAAGGTGAATAAATCTGGCCTTGAATAATAATATGAGGGAAAACGTGTATTTACAGAGATTTACCCTTACCTGCTCATATGGGTGATACTGATGAAAGAAAATTCAAAACCAAAATCTGCTGAACATTTCAATAGAACATTTCTATGTTGAAATTATGTGCATAATTTCTACCACTAGAAGCAAATACTTCATGTGTGAACTAAGGTGAATCTGAAATTTTCAGTCAACGAGTAATGAGCTCTGCACAAACTTGGCAGAAGACAGAACTGTGGCGAAGGGATTAGAAGGACAAAGGACAGAAATACCCATTTGTTGCCTTTCTCCCCTCCTCTCCTCCCAACACCCTAAGCTCTCATTTCCTTCTTGGCAGGAGTCCATTCCCAATCTAAACGTGAACCGAAAACCAGGGCATTTGGAAATGAATGGCAAGGATTTAAAAATTGGGCAGAAATACAAAATTGAACCGGGGATATTGGCAAAGGAAATTTTTAAATGCCCTTGATTAGGGGAAAAGTATGTATAAATTAAATGAAGGGAAAGGCCAGGCTTTGCAGACGAGGGTACCTTCTGGAGCTGACTCGAGGGCTTCTCAGCAACAACAGCCTTCCAGCATCCCCGGGGCCCCTTCCACTTGCGGATGTTGGGCAGGGTCGGCTGGTTTAGCTCCGTGCAGAACTGCAAAGACAGAGCACAGGTCAGAAGCGTGGGTTCGCGCCTAAAGCAGTCCCGGCTGGCGGCGGCCTGAGAAGCCAGGCACTGCATGATTCTGAGTCATCAGCCTTATTCAGACACTGCTGAACTACATCCCTGTTTTTCAAACACTAGGGTTTGCAAGAGCCAGATGACTAAACAAGCACCACACATTAAAAAGAAAACTGCCTGTGTGTGAAACACCAAATTATCACCTGGGGACTCTCAGTTCACAGAAATTGATTCTCTCTGTAGCATTCCTGCCCAAACAGTTCAAAAAAAGTCATCAGAATCCTTTTCATCCTTGTAAAAGCAGCGGATTGAAGGTCCCAGGAGGATCTGGATCAGCGTCAAATCCAAAAAGGTAACAAGATGGATACATGGTGACTTTCTTCTTCAGGGCTCAGCTTACAGGGGCAAAAAATGACCTCCAGCTTCAACTTGAACCACCGTAGTGCTTGTCTTGTTTACCTCTTGCTGCGGAGAGCTGCTGCTGCACCCACACACGTGCACGCGGCATGCACTTCTTTTGCTAATGCATGTTGCACCAATATGGCTGTAAAGTGACTGTCACTGAGGCAAAATAAAATTGCACACAGTAGGATGAGGAGTGGAACAACTATCCACTTCAAAATATGGAGACCAGCTCCTCTAACTCATGCCTCAAACACAACCCCTTCTCTTGGGGTCATGCCCCCTTGTCCTTCACAAGCCTTGGAGCACTCCACTTGTTTATTTCTCTAACCACCCCTACGAGTGAGAGCCTCTTGGCTTCCAAGCACATCACCACTCTCTCCGCTTAAGGACTCTCATTCAGCCCCACTGAGGCAGCTTACACCCCTATCCAGAAGACCCCAGCATCTGTACCCGTCGCCAGCTGCTCTCCTGAGTTTTAAAAGCATTTCCCACTGCCTCCTTAGCATCTCCACCTGGAGGTCTCCTTAGCCCCTCACAGCAGCAGGTCCCAAAGGGAACACATTATTCCTTCCTCCACCCAGTGCCCATCTTGGTCCAAAGCACTTCCATCCTTCCCGCTGCTCGAACTCCTTCCTCGCCTCCCACCAGCGCACTGATTCCACTGTCGCATGTGTCTTGGGTGCTTCCTTTCTGTTCTCCAGCCCCACTGCTGGAGCCTGTTTCAGAGTCCTGTCTTCTCTCACGGGGGTCACTGGCATAGCTTCTAAGAAGTCCGTCACTGGACCCACCCTGCAGCTATTCACTAAGTTCACTGTCATGGCCATGCTGATGCACCTCTCTGCGGTCCTCAAAGTGTGGTCTAGGGACCAGTAGCCACAGAATCACCTGAGAACGTGCTAGAAATCCTAGACCTACTGGATCAGCAGCTCTGAAGTGGGCCCAGCAATCTGTGCCTGAACAAACCCACTGGAAGATTCTGATGCACGCTTGGGTTTGAGAGCTGCTGTGGCCGCCCAGGTCCTCCCTCAGCCTCTGCCCCAGATCCTGGCGGTGTGTGAGCAGCCACCCTCTCAGCAGAGCCTCCCAACGCCTCTGCTGCAGAAAGCCACTCTCATGCCCCCTGGGCAGCCCACATACAATGGTTGGGAGAGGCCAGGGTCTAAAGGTCTGGTCTTTCCCCTCACATTGCTTTATTTGTAAGAGGGAAGATGAAGCACCAGTACTTCATTACTGAGTACTGAGCTAGTCATTTCTAGAGGGACAAGCGCTGTGGGGAAGATGAAACCAGGCAAGGGGAGGGAGAGTGCTGGGAGGTCTACTTTAGAAATGGGCTATTCTAGGAGTGACGCTGCTTTTACAGTTAGTCATGTAAGCATCTATCTTTCTCCAGCAGTGGACTCCACAGGGCAGGGACTGTACCTGAGCCTCCTTTATAAACCCCTACCTGGCACAGAGCACAGCACCCAGTGATGCTCTGAAACATCTGCTGGTGAAGCAGAAAACTCAAGGCAAGACTGCAGTCTTCAAATCTGTGCATGACAGCATGACAAACAAAGCAGGGGCAGGGAAGGGGGTCGGGGATGCGGGGGAGTCGGGGTGGTGGGAATTTCTCCTTAGGCTATTATCCAAGTAGTTGCCTCCATTGTAACCTGACTCTTTGCATACAGATATGTTCTCTGCTGCTGAGTTTGTCTGGGAAGCATTCTCTCTGGAATTTGCTCAACCATGACTTTTATAGGTTCTACTTTCAACACAGCCCAGAGCAGAGTGGCTGTGGAGAGAGTCACTGCTGACAGGGGCGAGGGAGTGGGGAAGGCGGAGAGGGTGGGGTTTTACCCTGGATAAGTCCCCCTGGCCAGATGCTCCTGGCTGGAAGCCATCCTCAGATGGGAAATAAAACACTTTGGAAGATGCAGCCAGAATTTATCGACTGTAACTTTAGGGATCCTGCAAGGAAATGTACTTCACAAAGGGTCCCATTTCCTGCCAGGGAATCATTCGCTTGCTGAGTGATCATTAGTGCTGCATCCAAGAATCATTAAAAACAGAGCAGCTCTCCAGTGCCCAGCTGGTGCTTCACTGTTTTCCTCGCAGGGGGTCCCAAACCTGGTTGCTCATCAGAATCTCCTGGGATGCACCCTGGAAAGCTCTATTTTTAAGAAGCGCCCCCCCCACCGCCCCCCCACCAAGGGATCAGCCAACCAGGTAGATCAGAGAGGCCCAGCCCTGGGGGTGGAGAAGGAACACACCAAGGTGCTGTGACTCCCTGTCTGCAGCGGTGCCACCAGGATTGTTCTCCTTTTCCAGAAATCTAATCTCTCCTAACCCCCAGGAGGACCTTCAGATACCTGAGGACAATTGTATCTCCCATTCATACCCAAACCCCACCCTGGCTTAGAAAAACCCCTCCCTGGCAACACCATTTTGATGGGAGGGGTCGGAAGTCTGAAGAGGTGGCCCAGGCTGACAGCACTGATTCCCATGCTCGTGGCTGGTGGTCTTTTGAGCTGGTCACAGTGTGAGCACCAGTGTCACCTGGGAATGTGTTCAAAATGCAAATTCTCAGGCTCTACCCCTGACCTACTTAACTAAAGATTCTCAGGGGCGGGGCCTAGAAGTCTGCATTTTAACAGCCCCTCTAGATGACTCTGATAGGTTCAAGTTGATTTCATGGATGAAGAAAAGACATTCTCATTTTTCTTTGCTTTCTATTAATATTTAAAAACTTTTCACTCACAGGTAAGCTCTAGGAGCCCTAAGGAAGCAGAATCCCTGACCCTTAAGGGCCATCTTTATTCTGTATGCTTGAAGCCCTGTCCTTTAATAACCTCTCTCAGCCCACAGAGCAGATCACCGACCCCTCGCTCTGCCTTCTTCTTCAGTATTTACGTTATTAGGGATAGTTAATAACTTGAGCGACGAGGGAGATAAGTGTTTATGGCTACAAGCATTCTATGTCCTAATTTTCATGACCAGAGTTAAGGAAGGAGTAAGTATTTTCTTCTATTTTTAGGACTGAAAAAAGAATTGTTAACTTAGCTATCTGCACTAACTATTCACAGAAAACCTAAGGAGGTGAGCACCTTTCAGACGCTTGCTACTCAAAGTGTGGTCCATGGACCAGCAACATCAACCTCACTTGGGAGCCTGCCAGAAATGCAAACTCACAGGCCCACCCTAGACCTGCTGCACGAGAATCGGCATCATTTTCTCAAGACCCCAGTTGAGCTACGAGCTTCTCAAGCTGGAGAATCCTGGTTTAGAGCCTTCCTGTTGACCTGTACCAAGGCAGATGCCATTGCACGCACCGTCTTTATTATTCCTGGCACAGCCCACAGGAGGTAACTGCTACCAGTGATTCATGAGTACAGTGCTGCACAGAAAGGTTAAGCCCAAGCTCAAGTTCAAATTCAAGGTTACACAGTTAGCGGGAGGGTCTGAACCCAGGGCTGGTTCCTGCTGCTCTACTTCCTGGCCTCGACAGGTGGAACAGGGGAGGCAGGGCAGATTCAAAAGGGTTGGGGCTGGCCCCCTCTACTGAATCTTTGGCTCCTTTCTCCCAAAACTTTCAAAGGAAAACAAAAGCAGCCACTGAGAGCTCTCAATCTGAACTCCACCTTCAATTGTTTTATTTAGAGCAGCTGGTTCTCACACTTTTTGCTTTGCCTACAAAAGGAAGAAATAATACTCTTACGTAAAAGCAGCCCACCAGGGCAGAAAGGTCAAAATGGAAGAGGGAAGGTTTGTGTTCATCACAAAGTGTCCCAGACCAGTCTGGCCTGCAAAGCCCAACTACTGCCACCCCACCCTCTCGGGTTTCTGAATCCCCAGTGGCTAACTCATCACCTATCCCCATCTGGTTCTTGTTTTTAAAACCTTGGATTGGTGGACCCCATCCTGGATTGCCTGAGTCTGGTTCTTTGAGGTTCTGGCCAAGGTTTGTACTTCTAACAAGTTCCCCCAAGCAATTCTAAAGTACAGTTTGAGAAGCTCAGGCAAGGCTAGACAATTGCTGATTTAGCACTCCTAGTTTTAATTCCTGTGGCCTGGGAAGACAGCTTTTATTATTCCAAACAAACAAATACTATTTTGGCTCTCCCGGGACCCTGTACGTCAAAAGCCTCTGACTTGTGGCTGTTAACAGATAACCTTGTGAGGTAATGAATGAGGCAATATACTGAGCCCGTCACACTATGGCACACAGTAGGTACGCAATGGGCATTTGTTGAATGAATGACTCAGTGGAATCTCTCCTAGGGATCCCAGTTTCCCAGAATCAGTTATAAGAGCTACCAATGAGCTCGATTTGTTTCTCCAGCATCAGACCAAATTGGGTAAAATTGGGTCTTTTAGCATGCTAATGCATTATAATTAGTGTAAAAAGAGCAGTGAAGACGACCAGAGATGGCACTTTCATTGCCATCTTGGTTTTGGTGGGTTTTGGCCGGCTTCTTTACTGAAACCTGTTTTATCAGCAAGGTCTTTATGACCTGTATCTTGTGCTGACCTCCTACCTCATCCTGTGACTTAGAATGTCTAACCACCTGGGTATGCAGCTCAGTAGGTCTCAGCCTCAGTAGGTTACCCAGCCCCTATTCAAGATGGAGTCACTCTGGTTCAAATGCCTCTGAAAGTCAGATATTTAAACTCCAATCTACGAGATGTACAAGGTGCTGGCATTTAGAAATGCCAAGTCCTAAAAGAAAGACTACTTTGGCTACACCCTTGAGCTGTGTTGTATCTTGGGTCGGCCGTGGATCAGGTGACTCTGCAGTGACAAGGGGTTCTAAGGCTTGAAACCAACCGATATGTTGCTTGTGGACCTTTGGACTTTTTTTCTCCTACTTTGGCTCCTCCCTCTTTCTGAAAAGAATATTCCATAATTCATCTGGTGCTGACTCGGAAATAAAAATAATAAAGGTGGTTCGGGCGCAGTGGCTCACACCTGTAATCCCAATACTTTGGAAGGGCGAAGCGGGTGGATCACGAGGTCAGGAGTTTGAGCCCAGCCTGACCAACATGGTGAAACTCTGTCTCTACTAAAAATACAAAATACAAAATACAAAATACACACCAGGCGTGGTGGCGCGTGCCTGTAATCCCAGCTACTCAGGAAGCTGAGGCAGGAGACTCGCTTGAACCTGGGAGGTGGAGGTTGCAGTGAGCCGAGATCGCGCCACTACACTCCATCCTGGGTGACAGAGTGATATTCTGTCTCAAAAATAAATAAATAAAAATAATAATAATAAAAATAAAGGTGTTCCAACTCCACTCAGTGGTCTGTCCAGCTACCACTAAGTTCAGAGATCCTTTAGTCTTTCCCTTCCAGTGAAATTAAAATGCAACCTGGGACTCTGTGAGCAATTTATAAAGATGTGTTGCTAATGGTGACCACACAGCTGGTGGCAGAATATCAATAGTACTGGTAGGCATTTTAAAGTAAACTCTGAATGGCCATCCTCATCCTGCTTCCTGGATGGGTGGGGAGGGCATGTTTTCATTTTGAACCCTCTAGGTCAAATTTCCAGATGAAGCTGCTACACCGAGGTGGGTGTTTCACTTGCTTTCCTGACTCTGGACGTGACTTCCCTTTGACAATGAGTTTTGCAAATGGTAACACTTTCCTGTGTGTTCTCAGCAGTAGCACTGAAAACGCAATCTATTTTGGTGGATGAAGATGCACAGGTGAGTTCTCCTTAAAAAGATAAATCCTTACCATAAAAGAAAGAAGCCCTTGTCTTAGGCCGTGCAAGGTCAGGAGACTGAACTTTCATTAGAATACAATAGGACACAGGGCAAATGACAGAGGCAACATTTTTAGAAATGTGAACGGTAAGCAAGGGTGTCCGCGTGCCAGGAGCTTGCGTATGGGGATGTTAACAACCGATATTAGAAGGCACTGAACCTGAGGATATCTGTGGGTGAGCACACGGGGGCTGCAACTGAGGAATGCCTGGGGTCATTACAAAATGTCAATGGAGGGACAGCATTAGGAAAAATAGCTAATATATGCTGGGCTTAATACCTAGGTGATGGGTTGATAGGTGCAGCAAATCACCACGGCACACATTTACCTATGTAATAAACCTGCACATCCTGCACGTGTACCCCAGAACTTAAAATAAAAATGAAAGTCAATTTACTCTATGAGAAAAGTGAGAACACAAAAGCCAAATTATGTCCAAGTATAAACTAAATATTAACCATGTTTGGTCTGCTAAATATAACAAAGAAGCCTACTACAAAGTTTTTCTAGGATATTTAAAATATCAAGATATTAATATTTTTAAAGGCCACATGGCCTACAGGGCAGAAATACACTCTCTGCTGAGGTCTACTGAGTGCCAAGGGACTTCATGGTTCTTAGTGGCTTGTACATGCCCTGGCTCTCCTTAGGGCTGAGGCAGGAGCTCACACACTGGATGTAACATGGTCATAAAGCAACAGCAAGGAGTATTTCAACCTTCTTTCTCCCTCAGTCTGTATGAGAGAGATTTCTCATTGGCTCATGCCCTTCAAAGAGAGGAGGTGGGTTCCTGCAGAGCCAAGACAAGGTGTAGCTACCTTTGCTCCAGCGCAAACGCAGGTATGCATCCCAGAGGGGGCAGGCCCAAGGTAGGGCAGGGAGCAGTGTGTCTTGGGGGCTCCAGGGCCACTTTGAACCCTCACACAACACTGCCACAGCACTGCCTCTAGGATCCATTCCTACTGGCCCAGGAGCTCATGGAGGGAGAAGAGGCAGGCCATTCCCCGGGTCACTTAAAGGCTCAGTGAGCAATTATCCTTTTCCAGTAATGAAAGAATGAGCTGGGCTTGCTTCCTCGTGGCTTTGGAAGTTTCCTCAGAGGGCCACATTTATGGGTGGAAGGAGAGGAGCACAGAGGAGCTCTGGGACCCTGCACACATCACTGAACATCTTTGCGCCTCAGTCTCCCCATCTGTTAAGCAAAGGGATGGGGGGAAATGACTCCAGACCAGGGCACCTCTAGTTCTAAAAGTGCATGATTCTAGAACTCTGGGAGGAAAAGGCAGGAGGGAGGGGCTAGCATACAACTGAGAGAGGAAATATGAGTCTCATAAACATTAAAACCCCTTTCTCCCTCCTTCTCTGTGATAATTGCCATGTGAGCTCCACCTAAAGACCCCTTCCTAAACTGCCTGGAATAAGAGCTCACTTTTAAGCTCTTATTTACTTAGGTAGTAATCCCAAGAGGTTAATTTGGGTAAATCCAACAATGGTAAGAAGACACAGGTGGCCAAGAAGCTATGATGAGGTTGGCTCCTGAGTCCTGTTTTTTAAAAAAAGCCAGGGGGAGGAATGGGGAGAAAAAGGAAACCAACATTTACTAAGTACCAAGGATATGGCAGGCACTAATCACAGCTCATATTCAGTCCTCATAACAACCCTGGGAGGTTGGGAATAACAGTCCCATTCGACACACGACGAAACCAGGGCTCAGAAAGGTAACATAGCCGGGTCACTTACTGACACTCAGTAAACAGAAACCAATCGACCCGTGAGTGTGTGTGTGTGTGTGTGTGTGTGTGTGTGTAAGCATGCACCAAATGCATTCCAACTTGTGAGTTCCCTGGAGCTGCACAGTCACCACCCTGCTGAGGTCAATTTCGTCACTGATGCCTCGGGTCACATAGGCCCTGATGACCCAGATTTCACACAGAGGTCAGTACATCGGTCAACTTTCCTCCCAGGAGGGGCCGGGGCTGGTGGGCCATGCCCACTCCGTGCCACATGCCTAGCATTCAGAGCTTTGTAAGGAAGCCCTGTTCTAAATGCTCAGGTCCCACCCTTCCTTGTCAAGAGAAGCCATGGGCTTCCTGCTCCTGTGTCACAGTGTGCCACTTGAAGGGTGGCTCTTCCCCATTCTTCTTCCATGGGGGCCAGGAAGGCATTCTGCATGATGGTGCATCCTTGTTTAAAATTCTTATCATGCAGAGGAAGGTAGAAAGCAAACAAGGAGACATTTCCTCAGCCCCCGCCACCAGCTAATTATTAGCTGCTTTTACAGAACCAAGGTAAGTGACACCCACGTGCTCTCCCACCACGAGCGACTGCTGGTTCTGTTAGCCTCTCCATGTGCCCCAAAGATACCAACCACATGGTTCCTGAGCAAGATGGTTACAAATAAGCGAAGGGAGCACAAAAAAAAAAAAAAAACAACAACAAAAAACCAGAAAAACCTTGCAAGGGCTATTATGAAACTGAGAGCAAGATGCAGTGGCAAGTTTGTGGAGACTGAAGTGAAGTTAGGAGGAGGGAGGAGCTGTGTGGGGTGCAAACACACTCCTTAGGGACTCTGCACTTTCACACTGTGGCCATTGTCATCAGCGTCATCTTCATCACTCATCTCTGCCCTTTAGGAATGTTCCAAAGGTTCTTTACTTCTCCAAAGGTCTTTGGATGCTAAGACTCTTAATCCTAGATGGGAATTAAGACTTCCATAGTAATTTCATCGGCTTTTTTTTTTATCTTTAAATTAATGGCAGGGGGTGGTGGTTCATGCCTGTAATCCTAGCACTTCGGGAGGCTGAGGCAGGTGGATCACTTGAGGTCAGGAGTTCAAAACCAGCCTGGCCAACATGGTGAAACCCTGTCTCTACTAAAAACACAAAAAATTAGCGGGGCGTTGTGGCAGGCATCTGTAATCCCAGCTACGTGGGAGGCTGAGGCAGGAGAATCACTTGAATCTGGGAGGTGAAGACTGCAGTGGGCCGAGATTGTGCCATTGCACTCCAGCCTGGGTGACAGAGTGAGACTCTGTCTCGAATAGAATAGAATACAATAGAATAGAATAGAATAGAATAGAATAGAATAGAATAGAATAGAATAGAATAGAATAGAATAGAATAGAATAGAATAGAATAGGAGGCTTATGTTCCTTACAGCTTATACAAAAATTAACTCCAGATGGATTAAAGACTTAAATGTAAAACCTAAAACCATGAAAACCTAGGCAATACCATTCAGGACATAGGCATGGGCAAAGACTTCATGACTAAAACACCAAAAACAATGGCAACAAAAGCCAAAATTGACAAATGGGATCTAATTAAACTAAAGAGCTTCTGCACAGCAAAAGAAACTATCATCAGAGTGAACAGGCAACCTACAGAATGGGAGAATATTTTTGCAATCTATCAGTCCGACAAAGGGCTAATATCCAAAATCTACAAGGAACTTAAACAAATTTAAAAGAAAAAACCAAACAACCCCATCAAAAAGTGGGCACAGGATATGAACAGACACTTCTCAAAAGAAGATATTTATGCGGCCAACAAACATATGAACAAAAGCTCATCATCACTGGTCATTAGAGAAATGCAAATCAAAACCACAATGAGATACCATCTCATGCCAGTTAGAACGGCGATCATTAAAAAGTCAGGAAATAGGCCAGGCGTGGTGGCTCATGCCTGTAATCCCAGCAAGGCGGGCAGATCATGAGGTTAGGAGTTCTAGACCAGCCTGGCCAACATGGTAAAACCCTGTCTCTACTAAAAATACAAAAAATTAGCCGGGCGTGGTGGCGGGCGCCTGTAATCCCAGCTACTCGGGAGGCTGAGGCAGGGGAATGGCTTGAACCTGGGAAGCAGAGGTTGCAGTGAGCTGAGATTGCGCCACTGCACTCCAGCCTGGGTGACAGAGCAAGACTCCAACTCAAAAAAAAATAATAATAATAATAAATAAAAAGGAAACAATAGCTTGCTGGAGAGGATGTGGAGAAATAGGAACGCTTTTACACTTGGTGGGAGTGTAAATTAGTTCAACCATTGTGGAAGACAGTGTGGCGATTCCTCAAGGATCTAGAACTAGAAATACCATTTGACCCAGCAATCTTATTACTGGGTATATACCCAAAGGATTATAAATCATTCTGTTATAAAGACACATGCACATGTATGTTTACTGCAGCACTATTCACAGTAACAAAGACTTGGAACCAACCCAAATGCCCATCAATGATACTGGATGAAGAAAATGTGGCACATATACACCATGGAATACCATGCAGTCATAAAAAAGGATGAGTTCATGTCCTTTGCAGGGACATGGATGAAGCTGGAAACTATCATTCTCAGCAAACTAACACAGGAACAGAAAACCAAATGCCACATGTTCTCACTCATAAGTAGGAGTTGAACAATGAGAACACATGGACACAGGGCAGGGAACATCACACACTGGGGCCTGTTGGGGGTTGGGGGCTAGGGAGGGATAGCATTAGGAGATATACCTAATGTAGATGATGGATTGATGGGTTCAGCAAACCACCATGGCACGTGTATACCTATGTAACAAACCTGCACGTTCTGCACATGTATCCCAGAACTTAAAGTATAATAAAAAATAAATAAATAAAGGCTTATGTCCTGCTATAAATAAATACAAGTGCAGGATAATTTATAAAATAGAGAGTCAGAAAAAAATTAAGTATAATACCACTGTGCAAAGACCACTACTGCTAATATTTTTGGTGGAATTCCTTCTAGGCTGTTTCCTGTGCATTTTATCAATATATCTTATATGTCTGTATACACACACATACACACACATATGCACACACACATTCTGCTTTTCCCACTTATACTGTGCCATGTTATCATAAGCTCTTCTAAAATCAAGTCCTTCCTGGGCCATCTAACCTGCTGTTGTTCAGTGTGCCATCTCCTTGGTGGCGAAGCTTTCATTGGCTGGAGGAACTTTCTGCCTTTTTGAGGTTCATTTCTAATCACTATGAAACATCCTAAAATCACCTAGCAAGGTAGCAATAAAACTTCACCCACTATGCCCTCTCATGTTCGAAATGATTTTTATCTATATGTTTAGAAAAGAATCCTAAGAATTTCAAATGGCAATATCTTTGTTTCCAAAAGTAAATCAGAAGGTTTTGTTGCTGGGTTTTGCTTTATTTTTTAAAATTTTAAATTAGAATAGAGATGGGATCTCTCTATGTTGCCCAGGCTGCTCTTAAACTCCTGGGTTCAGGCGATCCTTCCGCATGGGCCTCCTGAAGTACTGGGATTCCGGGCGTGAGCCACCGCACCCAGCCTGCTTTGTTTTAATATACCTGCCTGTGATAAACAGATGGCAGCACAGGGGCCTGGAGTATGAATGACCAAAGACATTAACCCCTCAAAACATATGATCAGAAAGGACATGACTCTTTAGTTTTTCAGAGACAGGGTCTTGCTATGTTGCCCAGGCTAGACTCCAACTCCTCAGCTCAAGCAATCCTCCCGCCTCAGCCTCCTAAGTAGCTGGGACCAGTTGTGAACCACCACACCTGGCTTGACTCTTTCCTTTTTAAATCGCTGACTGACACAAGACAAGAGTCTTCATAAATAGCTTAGTTTTTTTCATCTGAAGACAAATAGTCCTCACCTTAATTTTTTCCCTCTAGCTTTATTTATAATAAAGTGGTTCTTTAGAGAATTTGTCTTGACATCAACCTGTATTTGTTAGGACCTTGAGGAGCGCGTGAAGTCCTAAATAAGCTGAGTAGTTTGGTTATCTGTGTGTTTAAAATGGCCATGGGATTGCCAAGCCAGAACTTGGCGGGAATGTCTACTGCCCACTCCAGTGCTTTAAACAAACCCATGCAGACTCCAGAAGGAAACACTACTGCCATCACTCAGATTTCTCTTCTATGAGAAGAATTCTTCCATGTCCTGAATGCTTAAGTTCACTCATTATTTAATAGTAAGGTTAAGAACGCAGACTCTAGAGAAAGGCTGCCTGGATTCAAACTTTGGATCTACCACTTACCAAGAGTTTTGACTTTGGGCAAATGACTCATGTATTCTGTGCCTCTGTTTCACCATCTGTAACAAGGGGCAAAGAATCATTCCCGCCTCACGTATTTGCTATTTCTAAAGCAGGTAGCACAGGCCTGGCACCCAGCAAGTCTCTGTATGTGCTCTCCTGGTTGTTAGACACACTGGGCTGCTCCCTCAGGCCTAGACTACAGAGAGACAGATCCCCCTTCGACATTCCACACCTGGCAGCACAATTTCTGAAATACACCAGTGGAGGAAGGAGGCAAGAATCACGGTTGGGGCCAGGAGCCAGCATTGCATGCTGGGAGGTACAGTCCCCCAAAATAAAGCACTGCTGGCATGGATAGAGGGACGGGAAGCTGTGGTTGGTAACATTCTCTGGTGAGGAGAATGGACTCATCTGATCATTCGACAAAAATTTAGCAAGCAGCTGGGTAAGGTGGCTCATGCCTGTAATCCCAGCACTTTGGGAGGCCGAAGTGGGTGGATCATGAGGTCAGGAGTTCGAGACCAGCCTGGACAAGATGGTGAAACCCCGTCTCCACTAAAAATACAAAAATTAGCCTGGGATTACAGGCACGGTGGTGGATGCCTATAATCCCAGCTACTCGGGAGGCTGAGGCAAGAGAATCACCTGAACCTGCGAGGCAGAGGTTGCAGTGAGCCGAGATCACACCACTGCACTCCAGCCTGGGCGACAGAGCAAGGCTCCGTCTCAAAAACAACAACAACAAAACACTTAACAAGCACCAAACGGGGGCCATCCTGGGCTAGGTTCTTATCTTAGTCAGTTCAGGGCTGCTTCAAGGAATACCACAGACTGGGTGGCTCAAAAAACAAATATTTACTTCTCACAGTTCTGGAAGCTGGAGGTCCAAGACCAAGGTTCCAGCGATTCCATTCCTGGTGGGGGCTCACTTCCCAGTCTGCAGATGGTCACCTTCTTCCTGTGTCCTCGCATGGCAGAGAATAGATAATCTATCTCATGTCTCTTCTCATAAGGGTACTAATCTCATTGATGAGGGCTGTACCCCTCATGACCCAATTACCTCCCAAGGACTCTACCTCCAAACACCATCATACTGGGGATTAGGACTTGAACATAACAAGTTGGTGGGTGGCAGGGGATACAAACAGCTAGTCCATGACAATTCTGGAGCTATAATGGGGAGTAAAATAGACATGGTCCTTTGCCCAACCTGAGCTTACAGTCTTACAAGTAATCACCTGCATGTAAAACTGCAGCTGGGGCCTGGGCTGCAGAGGAGTGGTTCCAGGAGCTTGTGTGCATCCAGGATGGTCTTGGTGTTGGTGTTCACTTAGTTGGGGAAAGCTTCTCCAAAGAGGTGATGCTTGAGCTCAGAACTCAAGGATAAGAGGAGTTAATTAGGCCAAGAGGAGGGGAGAGCATGCTAGGCAGCACAGACAGCATGTGCAAAGGGCCTGTGGTGGGACAGAGCATGGAGAGTTTGCAGGACAGAGAGGCCAGTGTGGCTGTGGCACAGATGTGGAGGGAGGGGGCAGGGTGGGGAGATGATCTTGCAGAGGCCTGGCCATGCAGGGGCCCCCATACCCTGAAAGAAATGTGTTTCTTATCCCTTGAGCAATCCTAAGATCACTGCAGGGTGTGAAGAGGGGATCTGAATTTTGAAAAGTCCATGGGGCTATGGTATAGAGTACAAGTTGCAGAAGGGCCAGGGTGGCCACAAAAATGCCAGCTGAGTACTGCAGTAACAGAGGTGAGTAGCTTGACTGGGAGGATGGCAGTGGGCAGACTCCAGAGATAATTAGGAGATAATGTGCTTGGCACCAAAGAAGTGAGAATGGTATTCAGACAAATACTTGTACATGAATGTTCACAGGAGCACTACTCCCAGTAGCTCGAAGATGGAAATGACCCAAATGTCCACCAGCAGATGAATGGAGAAACACAATGTGGTATATTCATGCAAGAAAGTATTACTCAGCCGTGAAAAAGCAATGAAGTACTGATACATGGATGAACCTTGAACACATTACACTAAGCGAAAAAAGCCAGACACAAAAGGCTACATATTGTATGACTCCATTTGCACAAGACATCCAGAGTAGGTAAATATTACTTTGGACAGAATCCAGATTGGTAGGTGCCAGGGGCTGGGCAAGAGGGGAAGGGGGAGTGACTGTTTAGTAGGTTTGAGGTTTCCTTTTTGGATGATAAAAATATCTTGGAACTAGATAGAGGTGATGGTTGCACACGATATGACTCTCCTAAATGCCGCTGAATTGTTTACTTTAAGATGGTTGATCATTAATTTTATGTTATGTGAATTATACATCAATAATTTTAAAAGTGACTTGAGTGATGGGCTAGATGTTGAGGGTAACACAGAGGAACCACACCTTCGTTCAACAAACACTGAGGATTTTGCAGGAAAGGATGCTGCTCTAGGCTACCGCTGTCGTGGAGCTCTTGGTCAGGGGAGAAACAGGAGGTCAGTGCCCTGCCCTGGGGAGGCTGCCTCTAGACTGCGAGGATTCAAACGTCTCTTCACATATGGTTACTGAGCACCTAGGAGAGGAATGCACAGCCCAGTAATTCTTGGAATACTGGCTCTTTGAAGTGCAAAAAAAGACAGTTTTAGGGCAAATAAGATAAATACTTCTTTCCAAATTAGGCACTAAATTTGTGAGTAATTATTGAAATGAATTATTCTAAGTAGAAGCAGTTCTGAAAATAGCACTGATTTCTGGAGGATTTTGTGGCTATTTTGTGAGAGTCTAGGAAAGGGGAGCGTGGCAAACCCCAAGTGAGAGCGGAAACACAGGGATGGCCACGCCATGATTTGCACCAGACATGCCCTTCCATAGATTCTAAGGTTTACATCGCCTGAGATGCATGCCAGTAAGGAAGGCTGAGAAGGCGGAGTTGCACTTGGCACTTCCTACTGAAATGCTGAACCCCAACTTTGGCAGGAAATGCCAGCCATGCCTGTTACAACATTAGCTTGTAAGCAAAAAAGGGATCTGCCCCAGGTTTGCAAGCTGATGATAACTTGTTTCCTCAAACAAACCATGTTGATTTACCCAACCACTGCTCTCCCTTTCTAGAATTTTCTTCCTCTTTGATGTTTTCAAGTTTACAGGCTGAAAGAATGTGTTAGACAGACACAGGAGAGAGATGGTTTCCTAACCCAAGAAACCACCCAACAAGAAAACTGAATAGTAGGAGCATGTTTACCCCTGAGGTATCAAAAGCCAGATATGGCAACAGAAAGGGTAGGGACGAGGAAAAGGAAGATGGAAGAGAGAGAAAGCCAACACAAAGGGGGAAAGGATTAATAATTATTTAGGTACTCAAATCCAAAGAAAATGAGTTATGAGTAGGACCAAGCTGGCAGTTTACAATAGCTCCCCATTCCTACCCTCTTACATGAACACCCACTTATTTTTTTAAACCCCAGGGATATATTTTCTCTGTCTGTAAACACTGAAGACTAGTTCACTCTCAGGCGGGCTCTAGGCAGCCAGGCTCCCAGAACTTCCCAGGCACATTTCTGTGAAGAAGCCAGAGTTGTTCAGGAATTGTCACTCTGTCTGTAAACACTGAAGACTAGTTCACTCTCAGGCGGGCTCTAGGCAGCCAGGCTCCCAGAACTTCCCAGGCATATTTCTGTGAAGAAGCCAGAGTTGTTCAGGAATTGTCACATTAAACAGAATTAGGACTCATGGACCCTCAGGGAAATCGCTCTGGTTGCCATTTTTCTTATGCGATGCCAGCCTTCAGCTATTCTAAATGGTGTTTATGCAGCCGGCTCTGCTCTGCGGTGGCAATAATCATAAAAATAAAGGCTTCAAAGCCCTGGGTGAAAGTCCTACTGATTCATGACTTATTTTATTTTGATCTGTATTATGTCAAATCCTAGTCTTTAAAGGCTGCATGTTTCCTATTTTATTTCAAGGCAAATCACACAGATTTTTGTTTTTTTTTTTTTCAGTGTGGGCAGCAAGAACTATAGGTGGCAGCTCATGAAATAGCATTCTCACTTTGGAGAATGTCCTCAGAGTCACTGGTTCTGTTTTCTTTCGTGCTAATGGGAGAAATGGAAAGCCAAATACCCAAGCTATCTTTTAGTTGAGCTCCCTTCCTGTTAAATTTTTGGCCGCAAGCTCTTAAAAGAAGAAAAACTGTTTGGTGCTAGTTTCACAGGCTTTTCTGGCTCCCTCCAACATACTGGGCACTGTGGGCCAAAAGCAAACTGGACACAGAGAAGGAGAGACAGGTTACAAAAATCAAATTAAATACCAGGCAAGGACCATATAATGGATGCCATGACAGTGTCCTGCAGGCCAGGAAGAGACACTTCATATTAATGACTTGGAACCACAGCAGCTTACATTTCCTAGAATGCTCACCCTGTGCCAATGCTGCAGGCCCTTTACACACACGCCACGATGTGGTCCATGTGATGGCTCTGTGCGGGTGGGAGGTGTCATCATCCTTGCTCAACAGAGGACGAATGCAGGGCTGAAGTAGTTAAGTAACAGACTCAAGATTATCCACAGGGCAAGTGGCTGGGTGAGGACCCAAATCCATGTCTATCGTCCTGACCCCACTGCGGGCTTCCCCCTGAAGCAACTCTAAGGAAGGAGTAATAGGATCAAGCTTGTGTTTCTGAAGGATTACTCTGGTAACAATATAAATGAGGAACTGAAACAAAATGAAACTAGAGAGACCAAACTGCAATTCTGTATGCCTTAGTTTTTCTTCTTGCTTTAAAATTTTCTAGAAATTTCACTTTTCTAGTCATAGTATGAATACTAATTAACTGGTGTGAGCTTTATCCATGTAAAAGTCTCTCCCCCACAAACATATATAATTTTTTCATAAATAAAAGCTGGTTTAATGCTGTTTCCAAATAAATTAAGCAATGAAACCATCAAAAATGTCCCTGCCACATCCTGAAATGAAGCATAAAAATACTTGTTACTTCCTCCCCTCTTACTCGCAAATGTATCCTTGCAAAGCAAGTGCCGGACAAGAATGTGTGGGTCAAGAGAAACAAAACAATCGATACATAGCAATTTATTCTCCCACTAAGAGATTTAGGCAGGTGGATGGAGGGAAGGAAGACAGAACTTACCTGCTAGAGGTGAGCTATAATACAAAACTGTGGTCTCATGAATTGTAATCATGGGAGAAAGGCCCTGATGCTCTCCCAGGAGCTGATGCAAATGTTGGGATTTGGGCAAAACCCAGAACGTGACATCTTCTCTTCCAGGTTTACCCCTTCGAATTGTACATGCTAGGGATCTTGTTTTAATCCTGGACACTTCTGACCCCTGAAGATCCCCAGAGCTATACACATTGGGAAGATGCTCTGCTCTGTGACTCCACAGTGCTTCCATGTAGCCTCTTAGATAGATTTCTTGACTGTCTCCTTGTGGAGGAAGCCACTAACAGGTGAACCAAGAGAGCAGGTAATTTCAGAGTCATTCCTGTGTGAGGTGCTGCTTTGTTTTCTTTGGCTGTCTTCTTCAAACCTAATTAACTCTGCTTTTTCCCCCCCCTCCCTTGAGACAGGGTGTTCTCTGCCACCAAGGGTAGAGTGCAGTGGTGCAATCACAGCCCACTGCAGCCTCAACCTTCTGGGCTCAGGCAATACTCACGCCTCAGCCTCCCGAGTAGCTGGGACTACAGACGTGCATCGCCACACCCGGCCAATTTTTGTATATTTTGTATAAATGGAGTTTCACCATGTTGCCCAGGCTGGTTTTGAAACTCCTGAGCTCAAGCAATCCTCAGCCTCCCAAGTAGCTGGTACCACAGGCATGCACCACCATGAACAGCTAAAGTTTTTTATCATTTTATTTCTTGTAGAGACAGAGTCTCCTATTGTTAGAGCATGTAGCTAGTCAGACATGAGCAGGACAGGAGAGAGCCCTCCCCTACCCCATACACCAGGACTGTCAAGCGACCATCAGGTGATGGTCAGGCGGTTGTAAAACTGTCTCTCTAAAATAATATTTGTTTACAGCTGCCCCCAGGGAATGGCAGTCTCCCAACAGATAAACACCTGAAGCTGGTGATCAGCAGCTTCCCCATAAGATCTCAGGAGTTGGGTGAGTGGGCTCAAGCATGTGTACTTAGAGGCACAATGGCAGAGTTTAACTGGTATATGACCTTCCTCCAGGAACACTCGACTGGTACAGGCGAAATGCCTCAAGTGAGCATGTGTACAACTTCACTAAACACACTGTACATGCTCCCCTCCCAAATGCTGGCAGACCACTGGGCATGAGGACAGTCCACTCCAAGAGAAGAATCAGGGGAGACGAGACACAACCCCCTGAATGCATGCCAACATATGAAATCCCAAGACAAAGGTCAAACCATGCACTTGAATCTCTCAAGTCACTCACTTGGCCCTCTTCCAAATGTACTTTACTTCCTTTTGTTCCTGCTCTAAAAGTTTTTAATAAACTTTCACTCTTGCTCTAAAACTTGCCTTGGTCTCTCATTCTGTCTGATGACCCTCAGACAATTTTTTTTTCCTCTGAGAAGCAAAAACTGAGGTTGCTGTAGATCCTATGGATTCACCATTACTAACACTACATTGCCCTGGCTGGTCTCGAACTCCTGGGGTCAAGCAATCCTCCGCACTTCACCCTCCCAAGATGCTGGAGTTATGGATGTGAGCCACTATGCCAGGCTAATTCTGCATGTAAAAATGCGTCTGCATTTCATGGACAAGAGTTAGGTAGGGCAGGCCTTAGGGCACGGGAAAGAATAGAGCAGCAGCAGAGTTTGTGGGTGGGGGGAAACCAAGTCCAGGATCTAGAAGGGAGCTTTGGATAATGCTTCTAAGGAATGTCAGTGAACGCTTTTGAATTTCTACAAAGATGGAGCAAAATTTCTGAAACAAGGTTGGATGCATTTCCAAAAATTTGAAATCTTGTTCAGGCCTAAACTCATCATTTCAATGCCTCCTGAAGGTTAATAAAAAATATTTTATCAGCTGTAGGAATTACTCATTCCAAATGCATTGTTAGCAATGTGACAGAACTCTCCACTGAATTATTTTCTGGCAAAGCAAGCTTTAATGGCCTGTTCAATCAGGATAATTTTATCTGCTGAGAATATCGAGCATAAATGTGTTTAGCAATGTAGCAAAAACAGTTTCACCTGCCTGCCCTTCTATTGCACTTAAAATTACTGACTAGCCCAAACTTTGCTGAATACAAAGTCATGTTCTCCAGAAATGAATGAATGAATCATTAATGAAAAGTCTCAGAATCCTCTAAAAAAGTGAATTGAAAGTTCTCTCAGCACCAAGTCATTGTTAGCATTTTCTGATAAGTGGTATTTGAGGGTGGACTGAAAAAGACAGGAAATTGCATGTAACTCCTGTCGTCATGGCTGTTGTGAGAGTTTGTATGAGGTGGTGGCTAGGTGCAACAATTTTGAAGGAACAGCAGTGAGTTGGGCACATTTTCTTTCTGCTAAAAAGTAAAACAGAGTTAAGAGACTAACAAGGCAGGAGGGAAAAGTGCTTAGGATATACCCAAGGGCAAGCAGAGGCCCTTCCAGTACTGGAAAAATCCCAGAGCAGGCCCTCTTCCAACCCAATAAATGGACTGGAACAGCAACTTTCAAACATTCTGGACCATGACTCATAGCAACAAATAAATCTTTATATGGGAACCTGGTATATTCTATTTTTCTGCCTGCCAACAGTCATCCATCCACCCACCCATTTGTCCATCCACCCACCCATTCGTCCATGCACACATCCACACATACATCTATACATACACAGTCATTCCTTGGTATTCATGGAGGACTGGTTCCAGGACCTCCCTCAAATACCAAAATCCACAGATGCTCAAGTCCCTGATATAAAATGGTACAGTATTTGTTTATAATCTATGCACATCTTCCTATATATGATTACTTATAATACCTAATACAATGTCAATGCTATGTAAACAGATGTTATACTGTATTGCTTGGGCAATAATGACAAGAAAAAAGTCTGTACAAGTTCAGTAGAGATGCAACATTTTCGTTTTTGAATATTTTCAATTCATGGTTGGTTGAATCTACAGATGTGGAGGGCTGACTACACTGAAACAAAGACTGGGGGAAATTTACTAAAATGATTTCATGATCTATTATTTGAGAGTCAAACTCAGGTCTTTCTCACTACAAGGTCCTTGATCTTTCTAGACTATCACGAGGCTTTCTTTTTTGCATTTTATCTTTGCCAAAAGCATCTGAAATGTTTTTGTTGGACTTTATGCAAATAATGCCTTAGAAATCCCCTCAAACAAAGGAAACTGTCACCAAAGCCAGTGCAGCTCTGGGACACTAAAGAAGTATGAGTTGCTCTTCAGAAGCCCATAAGTGAAATACCACACTCAGTAAATATGGTGGCCTTCAGCCCCCAGCAATATACCCAGCTTTCAAAAATCACTCATTGCCAGAAAGATTAACTGCTGAATTTTCATCAGAAACAAAAGAGATCAGAGACAGTGAAGTGGTATATTCAAAGCGCTGAAAGAGAAAAACTGTCAACCAATCTTACATCCAGGAAAACTATCTTTCAAAAATGAAGATGAAATACATTCCCATACAAAAACTGAGAGAATTTGTTGCTAACAGACCTGCCTGATAAGAAACCCAAAAGACAGATTTTTAGGCTAAAAGCAAATGACCCCAGACCAAGTGGAATCCCTATGACAAAATGAACAGCATCAGTAATTATAAAAGACACATATGTGCATATTTCTTCTCCTTCATTTTCTTAACTGATTTTAAAAGCAGCTGTATAAAACAATATGTATATGACTGTATTGCTGGGCCTATAATACATAGAAATCTAATATAGGTAAAAATAATGGCACAAAGGAGCTACATGGGATTAGAGATGTATTGGAGTGAGGAAGTATACCAAATAGTAAATGAAATTCACAGGAACAAATGAAAACTAGAAATGGTACACAAAATGGTTAATATAGCTAACTCTGTAAATACACACTAATCTACTGTCTTATCTACTTTAGAAGACATAAAAATATATAAGATAATAGGCCCGGCATGGTGGCTCATGCCTGTAATCCCAGCACTCTTGGAGGCTAAGGCAGGAGGATCACTTGATTCTAGGAGTTTGAGACCAGCCTGGGCAACATAGAGAAACCCTGTCTCTACTAAAAGTACAAAAAATTATAATAGCCGGGCATGGTGGTGTGTGCCTGTAATTCCAGCTACTTGGGAGGCTGAGGTGGGAGAATCACCTGAGCCCAGGAGATTGAGGCTGCAGTGAGCTGAGATTGGGCCACTGCACTCCAGCCTGGGCAACCAGAGTGAGACCCTGTCTCAAAGAAAAAAAATTATATATATGAATAATTATTATAACAATGTATAGTTCAAGGTGTAACATGTATAGATGCATAGACAATAGCACAAAAGGGGGAAAGACGGAATACAGCTATACAGTAGTAACGTTTCTATATCTTACTAAAATTAAGTGAGCACAAGTCTGAAATAGAGTATAAATTTGAACTAAGTACAAATCTGGTAAGTTAAGATATATATGGGGAGGCTGGCAAGATGGCCATATAGGAACAGCTCCAGTCTGCAGCTCCCAGCAAGATCAATGGAGAAAGTGAGTGATTTCTGCATTTCCAACTGAGGTACCTGGCTCATCTCATTGAGACTGGTTAGACAGTGGGTGCAGCCCACGGAGGGCGAGCTGAACCAGGATGGGGTATCACCTCACCTGGGAAGCACAAGGGGTCCGGGAACTCCCTCCCGTAGCCAAGGGAAGCCATGAGGGACTGTGATGTAAGGAACGCTGCACTTCAGCCCAGATACTATGCTTTTCCCACAGTCTTCACAACCCACAGACCAGGAGATTCCCTTAGGTGCCTACATCACCGGGCCCTGGGTTTCAAGCACAAAACTGGGTGGCCGTTTGGGCAGACACTGAGCTAGCTGCAGTTTTTTTTTTTTTTTTTTTCATACCCCAGTGGCACCTGGAATGCCAGCAAAACCGAACTGTTCACCGTTCACCGTTCACTCCCGTGGAAATAAGGCTGAAGCCAGGCAGCCAAGGGGTCTAGCTCAGTGGATCCCAACCCCACGGAACCCAGCAGGCTAAGATCCACTGGCTTGAAATTCTCGCTGCCAGCACAGCAGTCTGAAGTCGACCTGGGATGCTGGAGCTGGTGGGGGGAGGGGCGTCCGTCATTACTGAGGCTTGAGTAGGCTTTCCCCTCACAATGTAAACAAAGCCGCCTGGAAGTTCCAACTGGGCGGAGCTCACTGCAGCTCTGCAAAGCCACTGTAGCCAGACTGCCTCTCTAGATTCCTCCTCTCAGGGCAGGGCATCTCTGGAAGAAAGGCAGCAGCCCCAGTCAGTGGCTTATAGATAAAACTCCCATCTCCCTGGGACAGAGCACCTGGGGGAAGGGGTGGCTGTGGGTGCAGCTTCAGCAGACTTAAGTGTTCCTGCCTGCCAGCTCTTAAGAGAGCAGTGGATCTCCCAGCACAGCGCTCAAGCTCTGCTAAGGGACAGACTGCCTCCTCAAGTGGGTCCCTGACCCTGTGCCTCCTGACTGGGAGACACCTCCCAGCAGGGGTTGACAGACACCTCATACAGGAGAGCTCTGGCTGACATCTGGTGGGTGCCCCTCTGGGAAGAAGCTTCCAGAGGAAGGAACAGGCAGCAATCTTTGCTGTTCTGCAGCCTCCACTCGTGATACCTAGGCAAACGGGGTCCGGAGTGGACCTCCCGCAAACTCCAGCAGACCTGTAGCAGAGGGGCCTGACATTACAAGCAAAACGAACAAACAGAAAGGAATAGCATCAACATCAACAAAAAAGATGTCCACACGAAAACCCCATCTGAAGGTCACCACCATCAAAGACCAAAGGTAGATAAATCCAGAAAGATGAGGAAAAACCAGTGCAAAAAGGCTGAAAATTCAAAAAACCATAATGCCTCTTCTCTTCCAAAGGATCACAACTCTTCACCAGGAAGGGAACAAAACTGGACAGAAATTGAGTTTGACGAACTGACAGAAGTAGGCTTCAGAAGGTGGGTAATAACAAACTCCTCCGAGCTAAAGGAGCATGTTCTAACCCAATGCAAAGAAGCTAAGAACCTTGAAAAAAGGTTAGAGGAATTGCTAAGTAGAATAACCAGTTTAAAGAAGAACATAAATGACCTGATGGAGCTGAAAACCACAGCATGAGAACTTCGTGAAGCATATACAAGTATCAATAGCCAAATCGATCAAGTGGAATAAAGGATATCAGAGATCAAAGACCAACTTAATGAAATAAAGCGTGAAGACAAGATTAGAGAAAAAAGAATGAAAAGGAACGAACAAAGCCTCCAAGAAATATGGGACTATGTGAAAAGACCAAACCTACATTTGATTGGTGTACCTGAAAGTAACGGGGAGAATGGAAACCAACTTGGAAAACACTCTTCAGGATATTATCCAGGAGAACTTCCCCAACCTAGAAAGACAGGCCAACATTCAAATTCAGGAAATACAGAGAATACCACAAAGATACTCCTTGAGAAGAGCGACCCCGAGACACATAATCATCAGATTCACTAATGCTGAAATGAAGGAAAAAATGTTAAGGGCAGCCAGAAGGAAAGATCAGGTTACCCACAAAGGGAGGCCCATCAGACTAACAGCTGATCCCTCTGCAGAAACCCTACAAGCCATAAGAAAGTGGGGGCCAATATTCAACATTCTTAAAGAAAAGAATTTTCAACTCAGAATTTCATATCTAGCCAAAATTGAGCTTCATAAGCGAAGGAGAAATAAAATCCTTTACAGACAAGCAAATGCTGAGAGATTTTATCACCACCAGGCCTGCCTTACAAGAGCACATGAAAAAAGCACTAAATATGGAAAGGAAAAACCATTACCAGCCACTGCAAAAATATACCAAATTGTAAAGACCATCAACATGAAGAAACTGCATCAACTAACAGGCAAAATAACCAGCCAGCATCATAATCACAGGATTAAATTCACACATAACAATATTAACCTTAAATGTAAATGGGCTAAATGTCCCAATTAAAAGACACAGACTGGCAAATTGGATAAAAAGCCAAGACCCATCAATGTGCTGTATTCAGGAGACCCATCTCATGTGCAAGGACACACATAGGCTCAAAATAAAGGGATGGAGGAATATTTACCAAGCAAATGGAAAGCAAAAAAAAAGCAGAGGTTGAAATCCTAGTCTCTGATAAAACAGACTTTAAACCAACAAAGATCAAAAAAGACAAAGAAGGGCATTACATAATGGTAAAGGGATCAATGTGACAAGAAGAGCTAACTATCCTAAATATATATGCACCCAATACGGGAGCACCCAGATTTACAAAGCAAGTTCTTAGAGACCTATAAAGAGACTTAGAATCCCACACAATAATACTGGGAGACTTTAACATCCCACTGTCAATATTAGACAGATCAACAAGACAGAAAATTAACAAGGATATTCAGGACTTGAACTCAGCTCTGGACCAAGTGGACCTAATGGACATCTACAAAACTCTCCACCCCAAATCAATAGAATATACATTCTTCTTAGCACCACATTGCACTTATTCTAAAATTGACCACATAATTGGAAGTAAAACACTCCTCAGCAAATGCAAAACAATGGAAATCATAACAGTCTCTCAGCACACAGTGCAATCAAATTAGAACTCAGGATTAAGAAACTCACACAAAACCACACAGCTACATGGGAACTGAACAACCTGCTCCTGAATAACTAGTGGGTAAATAATGAAATTAAGGCAGAAATAAATAAGTTCTTTGAAGCCAATGAGAACACAGACAAAACATACCAGAATCTCTGGGACACAGCTAAAGCAGTGTTTAGAGGGAAATTTATAGCACTAAATGCCCAAGGAGAAAGCGGGAAAGATCTAAAATTGACACCCTCACATCACATTTAAAAGAACTAGAGAAGCATGAGCAAACAAATTCAAAAGCTAGCAGAAGACAAGAAATAATTAAGATAAGAGAAGAATTGAAGGAGATAGAGACACAAAAAACCCTTCAAAGAATCAATGAATCCAGGAGCTGGTTTTTTGAAAAGATTAACAAAATAGATAGACCACTAGCCAGACTAATGAAGAAAAGAGAGAAGAATCAAATAGAAACAATAGAAAATGATAAAGGGGATATCACCACTGATCCCACAGAAATACAAACTACCATCAGAGAATACTATAAACACTTGTACGCAAATAAACCAGAAAATGTAGAAGAAATGGATAAATTCCTGGACACATACACTCTCCCAAGACTAAACCAGGAAGAAGTTGAATCCCTGAATAGCCCAATAACAAGTTCTGAAAAGCCCAATAACAAGTTCTGAAATTGAGGCAGTAATAAAGAGCCACACATCTACAACCATTTGATCTTTGACAAACCTGACAAAAACAACCAATGGAGAAAGGGTTCCCTATTTAATAAATGGTGTTGGAAAAACTGGCTAGCCATATGCAGAAAACTGAAACTGGATCCCTTCCTTGCACTTTATACAAAAATTAACTCAAGATGGATTAAAGACTTAAGTGTAAGACCTAAAACCATAAAAATCCTAGAAGAAAACCTAGGCAATACCATTCAGGACATAGGCATGGGCAAAGACTTTATGTCTAAAACACCAAAAGCAATGATAACAAAAGCCAAAATTGACAAACGGGATCTAATTAAACTAAAGAGCTTCTGCACAGCAAAAGAAACTATCATCAGAGTGAACAGGCAACCTACAGAATGGGAGAACATTTTTGCAATCTATCCGTCTGACAAAGGGCTAATATCCAGAATCTACAAGAAACTTAAGCAAATTTAAAAGAAATAAACAAACAACCCCATCAAAAAGTGGGCACAGGATATGAAAAGACACTTCTCAAAAGAAGACATTTATGCGGCCAAAAAACATATGAAAAAAAGCTCATCATCACTGGTCATTAGAGAAATGCAAATCAAAACCACAATGAGATACCATCTCACGCCAGTTAGAATGGCGATCATTAAAAAGTCAGGAAACAACAGATGCTGGAGAGGATGTGGAGAAATAGCAATGCTTTTACACTGTTGATGGGAGCGTAAACTAGTTAAACCATTGTGGAAGACAGAAGACATTATGTGGTGATTCCTCAAGGATCTAGAACCAGAAATACCATTTGACCCAGTAATTCCATTACTGGGTATATACCCAAAGGATTATAAACCATTCTACTATAAAGACACATGCACACGTATATTTATTGCAGCACTATTCACAATAACAAAGACTTGGAACCAACCCAAATGCCCATCAATGATAGACTGGACAAAGAAAACGTGGCACATATATACCATGGAATACTATGCAGCCATAAAAAGGATGAGTTCATGTCCTTTGCAGGGACATGGATGAAGCTGGAAACCATCATTCTCAGAAAACTAACACAGGAACAGAAAACAAAACACTGCATGTTTTCACTCGTAAGTGGGAGTTGAAGAATGAGAACACATGGACGCAGGGAGGGGAACATCACATACTGGGGCCTGTCAGGGAGTCGGGGGCTAGGGGAAGGATAGCATTAAGAGAAATACCTAATGTAGATGATGGGTTGATGGGTACACAAACCACCATGGCACATGTATACCTATGTAACAAACCTGCTTGTTCTGCACACGTACCTCAGAACTTAAAGTATAATAAAAAAGATACATATGGTAAATCCTAGCTCAATCACTAAGAAAATAACTCAAGAAAGTATAGTTAAAAATTATTAAAATAATTTAAATGCCATATTAGAAAATATTCACTTAATGCAAAAGAAAGTAATGAGGAACAGAGGAACAAAAAAAGACATAAGACACAGAAAACAAGAGATAAAATGGCAGACATAAATTCAACTACAGCAATAATAGCATTAAATGTGAATGGACTAAACAATCCAATAAAAAGGTAGAGACTAAAAGTGGATTAAAACCAAGGTCCAACTATATGCTGTATACAGGAGACACATTTAAGATGCAAAGATATACGTAACTGAATGTAATAGGATGGAAAAAGATATATCATGCAAATAGCAACTGTAAGAAAGCTGAATTGACAACATAAGAAAAATAGACTTTAAAAAAATCTGTTACTAGAGGTGAAGAGGAACATCCTATCATAATAAAAGAGTCAATCAATTAAAAAACCAAGCCATTATAAATATATGTGTAGCTAATAACAGGACCCCAAGATACATAAAGCAAAAACTGAGAGAATTCAAGTAAAAAACAATTCAATAATAATTGGAGAGTTCAATACCCACTTTCAATAACAGAACAACCAGATAGAAGATCAACAAGGAAATAAAAGACTTGAACTACAACATAAACCATAAACCAACTAGACCTCCAGATAGTCACAGAAGACTCTACCCAACAAAAGCAGAATACACATTTTTCTGAAGTGCACATGGAACATTCTTTGGGACAGACCTTATGTTAGGCTGTCCCTAACATGCCTCAATTCATTTACAAGGATTGAAATCAAACAAAATATGTTTTCTGACCACAGTGATATGGAATGAAATTAGAAATCAATAACATGAGAAATTCACAAATTTGTGGAAATTAAATAATACACTTGTAAATAACCAACGGGTCAAGGGAGAAATCACAAGGGAAAACTAAAAATGCTCTGAGATGAATTAAAATTAAGATACAACATACTAGCTAAAGCAGTGTTTAGAGTGAAATGTATGGGGGTAGATCTTCTTTACTGATGTAAAGAAGATGTCAAATCAATAACCTAAGCTTCCACCTTAAGACACTGGGCAAAGAAGATCAAACTAAACCTAAAGGAAGGAGAAGGAGAGAAACATAAAGATGAGAGCAGAAATTAATGAAATAGAGGATAGGAAAATAAAAACCCAGAAAAACCAATGGAACCAAATGTTCTTTGAGAAGTTTAGCAAAAACTGAGAAACCTTTACCTAGACTGATCAAAAAAAAAAAAAAAAAAAAAAAAAAAAAAGGAGAGAACACTCATGCTATCACACCAGAGACCTCCACTTTCTGTCTGAGCTCTGCCTGCCCCCACAGTCTGGGGCGTACCATAAGGGGGAAAGCCAGATTGATGCAGAGCTCACCAACAGCTAGTTCCTCCTCTCAGCGGCTGAAGCTCCTCCATTTCTCCCTGTTTTGGCCACACTTTGGTACCTTCGAATACACGTGTGCATTTTCCCTGGCGCTTATATTGTTATTTGAGGGAAGGTTATTCTGATATAAGCTACTCTTGTCATTCAGAACTGGAAACTCCAGATGCTTTCCCAGAAAAAAGAGGGCATCTCAAGGAGATAGAAAGCTCACAGGAAAAGTTTTTAGCATGGCCACACTATGCTTAAACCATGGGCTAGACAAGTTCACAAAACCAGCCTATCATTTACAAGCCACCATGACAGGCCAGCAAAACTCTCTCTAGTTGATGCTAACAGAAGTCATAGCAAAACATGGAGGGGGGCGGGGCATGATTCTTCACCGCCAGAATAAACCTGGCTCTCCTGTCCACATTTAGACCCAAACAACTGCAAAAGGCAACTGCGCCCCCAAAACCTTCAGGTCTGACTGAAATGACCTTTCTGCCCTTGGTGTAGGCCCTGCCTTGGCCTCTGCCTGAGTCTGTAATCCGCATGGATATTATAAGACTTCTGTTCTTTTTTTCTATAAATCCAGAATCAATAAGAAGACTAAGAAGTAACGAAACTTTCAGAGTATGAAGAAAAATTAATTAAACAACCATCGTGAGTAAAAGATGGCAGTGGATGCAGGTTCCCCAAGCAGCTCAGCTGACCTAGATAAGCTAAGCTCCGAGCAGGATTGATTTCCTTTTCTCACTCCTGAATTCATATCACTGCGTCTAAGTGGCTGCAAAATTAAAATATATATTTCAACATAAAATCAATGTTTTCATTATAAAAATCAAATAACTGTACAGAAATTACCAAAAAATCATTGCATATATGTAATTTTAAATTCTACATAAAATTATTTCATAATACTTTTTAATACTAGAAAGCAAAAAACTTTTGAAAACTAAAATGCTTTGGGTTAGGTTAGAAGTTGGGGAAGGTGAGCTATGATTTGTTAGATGAACTGGGACAGGGGCCAGGTTCCTAAGAGTTAAGGAGAGTCGAGGAGGGATGAAGGTTGGCTGTGTAGGATGAGAATTTACCTTTAAGAAAACTACCAGTAGGGGGCCAGGCACAGTGGCTCATGCCTGTAATCCCAGCACTCTGGGAGGCCAAGGCGGGTGGATCACCTGAGGTTGGGAGTTCAAGACCAGCCTGACCAACATGGAGAAACTCCGTCTCTACTAAAAATACAAAATTAGGCAGGCAAGATGGTGCATGCCTGTAATCCCAGCTACTCGGGAGGCTGAGGCAGGAGAATTGCTTGAACCCGGGAGGCGGAGGTTGTGGTGAGCCGAGATTGTGCCATTGCACTCCAGACTTGGGAACAAAAGCAAGACTCCATCTCAGAAAGAAAGAAAGAAAGAAAGAAAGAAACCTACCAGTAGAGGAAAGAAGAGAAATAGGACAGTGGCAAAAATGACGGGAAGGCAAATGCCAGCACAATTGGAGGTTTAGGAAGACCTACATTTGTCTGAAGTTATAGAGGAAGGAAATGGCTCTAGAAAGAAGAGGATTAAGAATGGGAGCATAGATGTCTATAAACCAGATAATTCCTTTAGAATAACCCATATGGGGTCAAACCATAAGCCAAAGAAACAGAATGGATGGGATGTTGTTTCTGTGCCAGTGGGACATGATATTGTCTAAAATCTGACTGGACTCTAACCACATAAATGGCCCCCCTGTTGACTGGGCACTAAACCCCACTGGTAAGGGTTGATTCATTTCCTCACTAGGCTCATCTCATTTGGTAGATGAGAGAAGCTATTTCAACATTTTGGGGGTAAAGAAATGAATCCTACCTCCACTAGTGTCAAGAAGTATGAACCTGAGGGCTCCATGGAGAAGCTTCAACAGTGCTGGGACCTCCTGAATGTGGAAACTCAATGAGTACCTCTATATGTGGAGAGGTACATATACGCATCTTTCTGGGATGAGGGCATGAAGCTTTCATCTGATATTTAAAGGGGTCAATAGCCAAGCACCACTGATCTAGAACGAGAGCTGGCAAACTCTAACTCTATAAAAGGCCAAATAAGATACATTTTGGACTTTATGGGCTATACTGTCTCTGTCACAACAACTTAACCTGTCGTTATAGTGTAAAAGCAGCCACAGACAATAAGTTGAATGGGTACATTTGTGTTCCAATAAAACTTTATAAAAACAAGCTATGGGCCAGATTTCACCTGCAGACTGGCCATAGGTTGTTCTGATCTAGAAGGGCCTCCTGTGCAGGATTCTGGGCCACTCAGGGCAGCTCCATCTCCATGCACCATCCACCCTTCTAGCCTTGTGCACCTCCATCCCTCTAGTCCCTTCCTCCTGCTCCTCCAGTCACAGCTGCCAAGTGGATCTTAAAAAGTTCAGTCCAGGAATATTAAATTGATTTTAAAAACTGAAAATGGAAAAAAAGTTATGTAATTAGTATTTTTAATTTTTTTTTCTTTTGAGGCAGGGTCTTGCTCTGTCACCCAGACTGGAGTGCAGTGGTGCAATCATGGCTCACTGCAGCCTTGGCCTCCCAGGCTCAAGTGATCCTCCCACCTCAGCCTCCTGAGTAGCGGGGACTACAAATGTATGCTACCATGCTCAGCTAACTTTTAAAAACTTTTTTGTAGAGACAGGGTTTCACTATGTTGCCCAGGCTGGTCTCCAACTCCTGGGCTCAAGTGATCCTCCTGCCTCAGCCTCCCAAAGTGTTGGGATTACAGGTGTGAGCCACTGTGCCTGGCCTTAAATATTTTTTTGATATCATAAGAACATTAGGTGAGGACCTCCCTCTTGACAACCTGTTTTTTTTAAAGCACTTATTGCTACTGTATTTAAATAAACATTTGTGTCACTGCTAAGGTTTTTCTCTTAAGTTACAATGCGAGCTACAGGAGATACGAAAGGGAAAGGTCTTGTCCACAGCTGTAGGCATGTTCCAGCCTTGAATAAGCCCTGACAAAAGGAGGTACTCAATACACACTGGTTCAAAGAATAAATACATGTTTTACAGAGTTGTAACCGCAGTAGGTACAGCGGCTTATTCTCCCTCATAGCAAATATTATACCACAATTCTATGAGGCTAAAAGATCTTATCATTTTTGATGGATATATACTAGGCCCTTGGGTAGACCTACCACGGATTTTTTTAACCTCTCCCTTCCTACATAGCACTGAACTGCCTCCCACTTATTCATAGTTATAAAGCATGCCATAGCGTGTTTATTATTTCTCCATTTTTATCGATCATTTCCTTAAGATACAGTCCCAGGAACCGGATCACAGGTCAAAGGATGGGGACATCACAAACACTAATGAAATGCTCTGCCCAAGAACTTGGAAAAGGCCAGCACCATGTCACCTGCCCTCCCCAGCAGTGGCCGGGGGCACTGATTTCAACACAACTTCACCATTACACATCATGCTTTAAAACTTCACTAATGCAATAAATTTAAAATGAACCCTCATGGTTTAATTTGCTTATCTTTGATAGCTGAGGGAACGAAAGACAGTTTAAAAGTCCTGTTTGGGGACTCTGTTTTTTTGCTCACTTAGAAGAAAAGCTTTTCATAAAAAGAAAAAGGTAGTGAGAGCCCCTGAATATACCTGATATCTTGTGATGATTTTCAAAGAATAAGGAGAAAATGTGTGTGTGTGTGTGTGTGTGTGTGTGTGTGTGTGTGTGTTTAATGAACCACAGAGCCTAGCCCATAATTAACTAAAATGCCCACTTTCCGGCAGCGAGGTCCTGGGTGGACCCTGAGCACTGAGTTTGTGAAGTGGAGCTAGTGGCAGCTGTGGTGGCTGCAGTGAGCCTGAGTTAGACTCCATACAGCGGAGTCTGGGCTCCACAATGGTACCCACCCCCAATCTGCTCACCAGCTCTTTCAAGGAGAAGTTGCCATCTTCCTGCTGATAGAAACTTAGCCAGGAAAGTGATTACAATGAGTTTACTCATGATTAGCCACTGATCTTGCTCAACCCAATGCAAATTTATACAAATATATGAATATTGATCACTCAAGGTGGTATTCAAATTCAGCTCTGACTACATGAAGGGCTAAGTGTGGCGGGGGTGGGGGAAAATAAATAAGGGATCTGAAGAATCTCATTCTGATATTTTTGAAATAACACAGTGTTTTTTTGGAAAAAAAAAAAAAAAAAAAGAGTATCTGGCCGAGGGTGGTGGCTCATGCCTGTAATCCCAGCACTTTGGGAGGCCGAGGTGGGCAGATTACTTGAGGCCAGGAGTTTGAGACCAGCCTGGGAAATGCAGTGAAACCAACTCTCTACTAAAAATAGAAAAAATTAGCTGGGTGTGGTGGTGCAAGCCTGTAATTCCAGCTAGTCGGGAGGCTGAGGGGGGTAAAATCGCTTGAGCTCAGGAGGTGGAGGTTGCAATGAGCTGAGATTGCACCACTGCACTCCAGCCTGGGGGACAGAGTGAGACTCTGTCTCAAAAAAAAAAAAAGTATCTTAAAGTATATATATTTTTATAAGTTAAGATTCTTGAAGTAATTCATTTGGACACCAAGCCCAAATGAAAGGTGTGTCCAGTCCACGTCCTCCAACCTCTCACGTGTCCTCATGGCTCCCATAACCTGCTAGGTGGATGGTCTCTAGGCAGCCCTCACACCCTGTGTGTTCCTTCACTTTTAGGTGCTCCTTTGACATTGTCCACATCTGGAACCCAGAACCTCCTTCTGCGTCCTCTATCCCCCATCCCACATTCTCTGCCTCTCCTGCTGGAGGAGGCTAACACCAACTGTGCAAGTCTGTTTTGCTACAAGTCACACTATGAGAAGATCTGGGCATTGGTTCCCCATCACCTGGGCCAGGACTGATCCTATGGACCTGCTCCCACTCCTGGGAAATGCGGAGATAGGATCGTCCAGTATGCCTGCTAAGGCTGATGTTCAGATTAAATGAGATCACAGAAGATGGGCAGCTGGTTGCACTTAAAGGAGCTGGGAAATGGAGCCCAGTCTGCTGTGATGGGTCCTGGATTACCAACACACCTGCTGTGGACCTGGGGCAGAGGGCACTTCAACTCCCTTGGCCTCAATGTCCTGTCTGCAAAATGACAGGGTTGGATTAGATGGTTTTAAAAGTCTCCCTTGATTCTGAAGTTCTGGGATTCTATGCCATTCAAATGTAAATGTATCTTTATAATCACATGTATCTTTATAACTTTATCCCCGTTGGTAAACAGTATAATTTTGGCACTGAGCAAGCACTCAATTGTTGCAGAAACTAAGTTAATTGCAAGTCCAAATCATAGTGAATAACACTCCAAAAGCACGTAATAAGAGAGGTAGTGTTTATGGATGTACATGTGTGTATATTCAGAAAACACCCTCACCAATTACAGACACAAGCACTTTGCATCCTTAGGTTATTCACACACATCTATGTGAAAATGGCTTATCATCCTCTTTCCTTCTGAAAATTCCCAGGAAGCTATCATTCTAACGTTGCCCACCACTAGGGTTTGCCTGGAAACTCCCTGACTAATCTGTCAAGTTCAATTTTTTTCTTTTCTTTTTTTTTTTTTTTTTGAGATGGAGTCTCACTCTGTCACCCAGGCTGTAGTGCAATGGTGCGATCTCAGCTCACTGCAACCTCTGCCTCCCAGGATCAAGCAATTCTGCCTCAGCCTCCCGAGTAGCTGGAATTACAGGTGTGTGCCACCACGCCTGGCTAATTTTTGTATTTTTGGTAGAGATGGGGTTTCACCATATCGGCCAGGCTGGTCTCGAACTCCTGACCTCAGGCGATCCACCCGCCTTGGCCTCCCAAAGTGCTGGGATTACAGGCGTGAGACACTGCGCCCAGCCCAAGTTCAATTTTTCTAGTCCCAAGCTTGCTGATGAAATGCACATACTCTGTCACACATGTAAAGCACTCTAAGACATCTTAGAGGTCTGCTCCATCTTCAGGAAAACTAGAATAGGAGTTGGGCTCCAAAGCTGAAATTCTAAAAAAAAAACACCTATCAGCAGGGAGGACTGACAGGCATCTTTTCCTAGACAATTTGGCAAAAGGAGCAGTGGGGATGCAACTTCTTTCACATCTTTTAATGGCAACAGATCGATCTCAAGTTGGGCTTCTCCAGAGAGAAGTAAGGACGAGATGCCAGTGATGATGATGATGACGACCACAGCAGCAGCTAATTAGCAGTAGAGGGGATAGTACCAGCTACTGCCACTTTGGTGCTTACGATATACATAACGGCTTTTATTTCACACATCTCACTTAGTTCTCATAACAATATCCTAATAGGATAGGTATTATTCTGAAGCTCCATGTTAAAAAGAAACAGAGGCTAGCCAGTACCTGGCCTCCTATGTCCCCCAGCTGGCAAATGGCAGGGCTGGCTTCAACCCCCACCACTGCCCTCACAGCATGAACTCAGTGGACTTGTAATTATAACAGAGTCATGATCTGGGAGCGGCAGCACTGGCAAGGCCACCAGGTGGGTGGCCTGTGTCTCCTGAGGGCCCAGCTCACACAGGCAGCTTCTCAGGCAGGCACTGGTCTCAGGTTGGGTCAGCCAGTGGTCCGCCCTCTGGTCCTACCACGGTCCAGCTGGAATGACCGGCCAAACTATTGTTTGTGGCTTTGCAGGAAGCCATTTGAAAGGGTCATTGAAAAATGATCTTTCTAAATCAAGCTGTACCAATATTTTTATTTCCTTTTATGAAATGCCACTTTTAAAGGCTTTAGATGGGCCTGTGTTTAAAGCCTGGGAAACAAGTACCTGTGACTTAAGTTCAGAAAAACAGAAGTGTCCCACTCTCAGAGCAAAAACAACAGAGAACTGCATGACATGTATCCTTCTTACAGCAAGTTCTTGCTCTTGGGACCTAATGGATGTTTGACAAAAAAAGCACATCTAAATCCAAAACACTTTTTCAGACCAATGTCACATGCACTGACACTCACACATCTTAGATCATCTGCTCATGGTTCTAACCATTTTTCAAAAGAAGAAATTGGTTGAAGAATTTAGATTGTTAATTGTATGGTTTATAACATTTTAAAAATAAGTGACAAGTCACTTTTACTAGTCTGGGAACTGGCTCTGTGTAGCGTTAGGAGAGAAGAGAAACTCAGAAGCCTGATCCCACAAGGGGCCCCCACCTCCTACCCAATCTACTGCACCTAAATGAAGACAAAGAATAAGAGGCAAAAACTAGAACCCTACTGATTTATGCCTTGGGGGTCTCTGTGTATCTATGTACTGGGCTTGTGTTCACCATTCACCTCTTCCCAGAACACGTGATTTGATGGTAAGTAGGGCAGGTGAAACAGGAAAGCCCCCAAACACAGTAAGGACCACTGGAGCAAGGAAGTGGAGAAAATACGAGAAAACTGAGTACACAAGGGCAAAATGTCCCCCTCTTCACAATGTGATCAAGAATCAACTCTGTGGCCAGGCGCGGTAGCTCATGTCTGTAATCCCAGCACTTTGGGAGACCAAGGTGGGTGGATGACCTGAGGCCCGGAGATCAAGACCAGCCTGGCCAACATGGTGAGATCCCATCTCTAATAAAAATACAAAAAAATTAGCTGGGCATGGTGGCAGGCACCTGTAATCCCAGCTACTCAGGAGGCTGAGGCAGGAGAATTGCTTGCACCTGGGAGGTGAAGGTTGCAGTGAGCCGAGATCATACTACTGCACTCTAGCTTGGGCAACAGAGCGAGACTCCATCTCAAAAAAAACAACAAAAAAAAAACATTAGCCGGGCATAATGGCAGACACCTATAATCCCAGCTACTCAGGAGGCTGAGGCAGGAGAATTGCTCGAACTCAGGATGCGGAGGTTGCAGTGAGCCGAGATCACACCATTGCACTCCAGCCTGGGCAACAGGGCAAGACTCCGTCTCCAAAAAAAAAAAAAAAAAAAAAATCAACTCTGAAAAATGAAGCCCAGGTATCGAAGAGTGGGAAGGAATCACAGAGAGCAGTTTCACAGGCTAGGAAAGGGGCTGGGGCCTTCAGGGAAGATCCTCTGCCAGACACAGCAGCTCAGCAGAGGCCACACCGGGAGGAGAACTCGGCTCTGCCAATTGGGAACCTCCTCAGAGCTGGCTCTGGGCTCTGCAGAAAACAGGAAAACCTTGGCACGTCTAAAAATGGGAAGGCTGTCTACCTAAAACCAAGTAATGTTTAGGCAAATGGCTGGTCATTTTAAGTTAAAATACTAAGATCCTAATAACAAGGCCTAATATTAGCAAGAAAAAGCACTTATTTTCTATGAGACCTTAAAAGACTACTACTTCTTTTTAGCTTTTTATATTAGGTTTTACATAATTTAAATCTTTTATTGTTCAAATTTAATCTACCAGTACTTGTGAAGGAAATGGCCCCTTTAGAATAGCTTCCATCTTAAAAGAGGAGGCCTGTGCAGGTCCCCACTGTTGGGACTGTCTGGCTAGAAGCGACCAGTTCTATCATAGCAGGGTGTTGGGAGTTCAGTGATTACAAAACTCAAAGGCAGGTTGTCATTTGAAGCTCAGCTGCATGACAGTAAAAGAGGTTTGAGGTTTGCAGAATGTGTGTCTAACTAAGCCCTTTTTTGCTGGCTCTACCTATTGAATTAAGACTATTTTCTTTTTTTTTAATTATTATTATACTTTAAGTTTTAGGGTACATGTGCACAATGTGCAGGTTAGTTACATATGTATACATGTGCCATGCTGGTGTGCTGCACCCATTAACTCGTCATTTAGCATTAGGTATATCTTCTAATGCTATCCCTCCCCCCTCCCCCTACCCCACAACAGTCCCCAGAGTGTGATGTTCCCCTTCCTGTGTCCATGTGTTCTCATTGTTCAATTCCCATCTATGAGTGAGAACATGCGGTGTTTGGTTTTTTGTCCTTGCGATAGTTTACTGAGAATGATGATTTCCAATTTCATCCATGTCCCTACAAAGGACATGAACTCACATTAGGTTTTACATAATTTAAATATTTTATTGTTCAAATTTAATCCACCAGTACTTGTGAAGGAAATGGCCCCTTTAGAATAGCTTCCATCTTAAAAGAGGAGGCCTGTGCAGGTCCCCACTGTTGGGACTGTCTGGCTAGAAGCGACCAGTTCTATCACAGCAGGGTGTTGGGAGTTCAGTGATTACAAAACTCAAAGGCCGGTTGTCATTTGAAGCTCAGCTGCATGACAGTAAAAGAGGTTTGAGGTTTGCAGAATGTGTGTCTAACTAAGCCCTTTTTTGCTGGCTCTACCTATTGAATTAAGACTATTTTCTTAATCAAAGGAAGACGCAGGTGAACTAAAAATAAAAACTGGGTTCTCACAAATAGAATGACGGTGTTTACTTCTTCTCTTTTGGTGCCAAAAAAAAAAAAACCAGGCTTAATTGGCCATAAAAGTCAAATTGACAACTCATAGATTCTTTCTGACTAGTTAATAATAGCGATGGTGATAATAAACGATACTCTACAGCAGCGTTCTTGAACTTTCGAGCACATAATCACCTGGGGGCTTTTTAGAATGTAGCTCTGATTCAGGGGGTCTGAATTCAGGGAGCTGAGATTCTACGTTTCTAACAGGCTTCTAATGCTGCAGGTCTGTGGGCCACACTTCGAGTAGCGCAGTTCTATATTTGACAAATAACTTTTCTTGTTGGCTTTTTAATCAGTCCAGGTGGAAGGGAATCTGTAAGTCACGAGGCCCTTTAGGAACTCATCTTATTCCAGCATATCAACTGGACCAATCCTTTATTTTTTGAGACAGAGTTTCACTCTGTTGCCCAGGCTGGAGTGCAGTGGGGCGATCTCGGCTCACTGCAACCTCCACCTCCCGGGTTTAAGAGATTCTCCTGCCTCAGCCTCCTGATTAGCTGGGAGGCACCTGCCACCACACCTGGCTTTTTTTTTTTTTTTTTTTGTATTTTTATTAGAGACACAGTTTCGCCATGTTGGTCAGACTGGTCTCGAACTCCCGACCTCAGGTGATCCACCCACCTTGGCCTCCCAAAGTGCTGAGATTACAGGTGTAAGCCACTACGCCTGGCCTCAACTGGACCAATCTTGATGCACAAAATAGCACTATGCCAGGTAATATATCATATGTCACTCAAAATGTAACTGGCTATCAAGCTCATGATGAATGTTTGCTTCTGAACTTTTCAAGAAATGTTTGCCACTTGCCTGGCACACTGGAAGCTCAACAAATTCCTGTAGCATAAGGGAATGAATGAATGAATGAACAGAAGGAAGGAGGAGGAAACTCAGCGAATTTGGCTCCCTGCTGGCCCCTGTACACATGCAGACCATCTTGTAAAGCTTCTTACTGGTCACATTTTGAGATGGGGGGAACAATACAAAATCATCAGCAGACTCGGGGAGAGAGAATCAGGGTGGGGGAAGAGGAATAGGAAAGAACATGGGCAGCAGCTAACTCTTGGAGATCACTGAGTACCAGGCACAGTGTTGCAGTCCTTTATGTGAACTATCTAATTAGTCATCTTACAACCTCTGTGAGTTAAGAATTAGAATAGTTTCAATTTTATAAACTGGGAAACTAAGGCACGAGAAAGTAAGTAATCCAAGATAAACTAGTTAGGAAGGTGGGCTTAGGGTCTGCTCCGCCGCAGCCTCAGCATCAAAATCACATCCTCAGGGCAGCACAACTGGCTCCGCCACCAGCCACAATAAGCCCTGACCCTATTTCTCTGATAGGTTTTGAAAGTAGTTAATACTCACAGATTGGGTTAGCTCTGGGACCTCTCTAAATCAGGTGTACACACAGCTCAAAAGATATAACTGTTATTTTTGGGTTTTTTTCTGGGACAGGGTCCTACTCTCTCGCCCAGACTGGAGTGCAATGGCGCAATCTCGGCTCACCACAACCTCTGCCTCCCAGACTCAAGCGATTATCCTGCCTCAGCCTCCTGAGTAGCTGGGATTACAGGCACATGCCACTACCGCCTGGCTAAGTTTTGTATTTTTAGCAGAGACCGGGTTTCACCATGTTGGCCAGGCTGGTCTTGAACTCCTGACCTCAAATGATCCACCCGCCTCAGCCTCCCAAAGCGCTGGGATTACAGGCGTGAGCCACTGTGTCCAGTCATAACTGTTATTTTTGGCACCTGCATTTTTATTATACTGATACACCCCAGCACTAGGCTCCACATATGCTAGCTTTGTCTGATGGTTATTTATTTATTTATTTATTTATTTTGAGACAGAGTCTCGCTCTGCTGCCCAGGCTGGAGTGCAATGGTGCAATCTCAGCTCACTGCAACCTCCGCTTGCCAGGTTCAAGGAATTCTCCTGCTTCCGCCTCCTGAGTAGCTGGGACTACAGGTGCACCACCATGCCCAGCTAAATTTTTGTATTTTTAGTAGAGATGGGGTTTCACCATGCTGGCCAGGCTGGTCTTGAACTCCTGATCTCATGATCTGCCTGCCTTGGCCTCCCAAAGTGCTGGGATTATAGGTGTGAGCCACCGCACCCAGCCATCTGATGGTTTTTTTAAATTGAGAAATAAAATGAATAACCATAATGAATACTAAGATGACAATTTTTTGAGGGGGGATACTAGAAAAGTTTCAAGAACATACAAGGAACTCACATACCCCTTTACACAGAAGGATCAATTGTTTGTATTTTGCCTCATTTACTTGATGAGTTATTCTCATCTTTCTCTCTCTGGATCTGTCTGACATATATACATCACTATTTCTTTTCCTTGAATCATTTGAGAATAAGTTATAACCATGCCCCTTTATTCCTAAATACTCCTGTGTTAATTCCTAAGAACAGGGGTCCCCAGATTGTGCGCTCCTTATGAGAATCTAATGCCTGATGATCTGAGGTGGAACAGTTTCATCCTGAAACCATCCCCCCAACCCAGGTCTGCGGAAAAATTTTCTTCCAGGAAACTGGTCCCTGGTGCCAAAAAGGTTGGGAACTGCTGCCTAAGAACAAGGCCATTCTCTTACATGATCACAAGCCAATTATCAACTTCAGGAAATGTTAATGTTAATACAATACCTTCATCTCATTTACTATCCACATCCAATGTTGCCATTTGGCCCGATGATGTCTTTTATAGCCTGACCCACTATGTTTTCATGGCTGAATGCATATTAAGAATTAATATAAGTAATTAAGAATTAATAATGAGTAGAGTGCTTTGGCATTTAGAAAGCCCTTTTGCTACATTAACTCATTTGCTTCTCACTTTGCCTCTCTGAGGTCAGGCAGCAGCTCTATCCTTGGTTTACCCAAGATAGAAATGAGGTTGAGGGGACATCAAATCCAAAGCAGTGCTCAGACCTCATTCTTCCCTCACACCACTGGTTGGTGTTCATTTTAAAGACTTTATTTGTCTTAGTGCCAACCAGCAGACTGACTACTAACCCAGATATTTTATTTTGTGAGACAGGGTCTCTTGCTCTGACTTCCAGGCTGGAGTGCAGTGGCATGATCTTGGCTCACTGTAGCCTCAGCCTCCTGGGCTCACGTGATCCTCCTGCCTCAGCCTCCTGCGGAATTGGGACCGCAGGTGTGCACCACCACACCTGGCTAATTTCTTGATTTTCTGAAGAGATGAGGTCTCACTATGTTGCCCAGGCTGGTCTCAAACTCCTGGGCTCAAGCAACCCTCCAGTCTCCCAAAGTGCTGGGACTACAGGCAGAGCCACCTCACCTAGCCCCCTCAAATATTTTAAATTCCAAAAATAAACGAATATAGTTCAAGTGCTTGTCTCTCTAACCAAAAACAAATGAATATCGTTTGGGTGCTGTTGCTTCATGTTAGCAACACAGATTCTAATTATCACCTGCGGCTACACATGCAGGAAGAGTCCTGAACTCCCCAGGGTCTGAGAGCTTGGTATCAGCTGGGAGGCCCCTGATGGGCAAGTAGGGGGGCCTGGCTTCCTTGGTGCCCACCCAGCCTGTTTTGTGGAGCCCACCCCACCATGCATGCCGAACTTGAACCCACAACTGGCAAAAAATCCCCAATCCCAGGCTTGACTTGAACATAGAAAGCCGAGACACACTGGGGATCTCTTCCAGGGCACAGTGAAACGTTGGTTTGGGGGCAGAGAGGCAGTTTCTCAATCCTCAGTAGTAGCCTAAAAAGAGATAAAAACGCATGAACTTGACTACTGAATAGAGAAGTACTGGTTTTGGAAATGGAACTATTGGGATTCAAATCATCACTCCTCTACTTAGTTCATTTGCCTTAGGCAAGTTACTGGGTCTCAATTCCATCATCCCTACACCCAGATAATAACACACAGCAAGCAGAAATGCAGTGAGGTGGCCAACACAGACTCCGGCATGCGTGAGGCCTCTGGCTCCTAATGGCTGAAAGCACAGAAAGCCTCCTCCAGAGTATGGCCCCTTGCAGCACGGGCCTCTGCCTTTCACACAACCTGCACACAACCCAGAGGGAGCCAGGTACAGCCGAGTTTGTAGGTGTGAACACAATGTCAGCAAGGTAGGGGGCTCAGATTAAAATTCTGCATGATTCGCTGTCAGGAATACAAAATAACTGACCGTCTTTTCAGTAGGGGCTGTCTCTGGTGACAGGGAGTTGAATTTTTCTTATGTGTGGCCCTCCGTTCTTGGTTTGTGAATGTGGAAGGAAGAGTAAAATATTTACCTTTTCCAAGGCCTCTCTGTCAAGCAGTTCTTGCACAGCTAGAAGCTTGATGCTGTAAGAAAAAAAATCAAAACCACACTTGAAAACAAATCATTTCATGTCACCAAGGATCATCTAACAAGTCGCAAGAACAAAAGGCTGAAATTTCATCCTGCATTTCTATGTCACCTGCCATCTTAAGGTGACCTTTTATTTAAATCAAAATGACCGTTTTGAAAGTATTTAAAATGCTTCTAAATTTAAAAGTAATTTTTACCATATGATCCAGCAATTTCACTTTTAAGTATATTCCCAAAAGAATTGAAAGCAGGAACTCGAATAGGTAATTGCACACCAATGTTCATAGCAGCATTATTCACAATAGCCAAAAGGTAGAAACAACTTAAATGTTTACCACAGATGAACGAATAAGCAAAACGTAGTATATACTTTTAATGGACTATATTACTCAGCTTTAACAAAGAACATTCTGATACATGCCACGCCACAGATGAACCTTGGAGACACACTAAATGAGGTAAGCCAGTCACAAAAGACAAATACTATACGATCCCACTTATATGAGATATCTTAGAGTAGTCAAATTCACACAGACAGGAAGTAGAACTGTCAGGGGCATTTGAACCACAGCTATTCCATCTTGAATAGGGGCTGGGTAAAATAAGGCCAAGACATACTGGGCTGTATTCCCAGGAGGTTAGGCATTAAGTCACAGGGTGAGATAGGAGGTCGGCACAAGATTCAGGTCACAAAGACCTTGCTGATAAAAGAGGGTGTGGTAAAGAGGCTGACCAAAACCCACCAAAACCAAGATGGCCACAAAAGTGACCTCTGGTCACTCTCACTGCTCATTACATGTTAATTATAATGCATTAGCATGCTAAAAGACATGCCCACCAGCACCATGACAGTTTACAGGTGCCATAGCAGCGTCAGGAAGTTACCCTATATGGTCTAAAAAGGAGAGGAACCCTCAGTTCTGGGAATTGCCCACCCCTTTCCTAGAAAACTCATAAATAATCGACCCCTTATTTAGCATATAATAAAAAAACCCATAAAAATACCTAGCCATTCTTTTTTCTTTTTTTGAGACAGTCTCACTCTGTCACCCAGGCTGAAATGCAGTGGAGTGATCTTGGCTCACTGCAACCTTCACCTCCCGAGTTCAAGCCATTCTCCTGCCTCAGCCTCCCGAGTATCTGGTTTTACAGGCGTGTGCTGCTACATCTAGCTAATTTTTGTATTTTTAGTACAGACAGGGTTTCACCATGTTGGCCAGGCGGGTCTTGAACTCCCGGCTTCAAGTGATCCACCCACCTTGGCCTCCCAAAGTGCTGGGATTACAGGCGTGAGTCCACTGTGCTTGACCTCAGGCAGCCATTCTTTATTCCTTTACTTTACCAATAAACTTGCTTTCACTTTATAGACTTGCCCCAAATTCTTTTTTGCACAAGGTCCAAGAACCCTCTTTTGGGGTCTACATGGGGACCCCTTTCCGGTAACAGAATGGTGCTTACCAGGGACTGGGGGAAAAGGAGAATGGAGAGGTATTGTTTAAAAGGTATGGAATTTCACTTTGGGATAAAGAAAAAGTTCTAGAGGGCCAACGCAGTGGCTCATGCCTGTAATCCCAGCACTTTGGGAGGCCAAGGCAGGAGGACTGCTTGAGCTCAGGAGTTCAGGAGCAGCCTAGACAACATCACAATGTGTCCAGAATTGGTGGGTTCTTGGTCTTGCTGACTTCAAGAATGAAGCCGTGGAACCTCGCGGTGAGTGTTACAGTTCTTAAAGATGGTGTGTCCGGAGTTTGTTCCTTCGGATGTTTGGACGTGTTCGGAGTTTCTTCCTTATGGTGGGTTCGTGGTTTCGCTGACTTGAGGAGTGAAGCTGCAGACGTTTGCGGTGAGTGTTACAGTTCATAAAGGCGGCGCGTGTGGAGTTGTTCGTTCCTCCTGGTGGGTTGGTGGTCTCCCTGACTTCAGAAATGATACTGCAGACCTTCGCAGTGAGTGTTACAGCAGCATGGAACCAAAGAGGGAGCAGCAGTAAGATTTATTGCGAAGAGCAAAAGAACGAAGCTTCCACAGCCTGGTATGGTAGGCGAGCGGGTTGCCCCTGCTGGCTAGGGGGCCTGCTTTTATTCCCTTATCTGGCCCCACCCACATCCTGCTAATTGGTCTATTTTACAAAGAGCTGACTGGTCCATTTTACAGAGCACTGATTGATCCGTCTTGACAGAGTGCTGATTGGTGCATTTACAAACCTTTAGCTAGACACAGAGTGCTGATTGGTGTGTTTACAATCCTTTAGCTAGACAGAAAAGTTCTCCAAGTCCCCATCCAATGAGCTAGACACAGAGCGCTGATTGGTGCGTTTACAAACCTTTAGCTAGACAGGAGACAGCTAGAAAAGTTCTCCAAGTCCCCACCTCTCAGAAGCCCAGCCAGCTTCACCTCTTACTGGCACTGGCAGCGGGACTTTGTGGCACCTAGCCTGGGCACTAAGGCAGCCCAGAGGGAGCTCGTCCCAGACAATCAAGAGGAAAAGAGGGGAAACGAGAAAGAGACGGAGACCGGCTGTCGTGGCCAACAATCCCGCGAAGAGGGAACGGCGGTCCACGCACGGGATTCAGCCTCCGATCAAGCCCAGCAAGTGCCGGCCGGCGGCGCCTAGTGCGGGGCTTGCCAAGCCCGCGCTCACCTGGAACCCGTGGCCCGCCAGCGCCGCTTCCGCCCGCGCCTCTCTCTTCACACTTCCCTGCGAGCAGAGGGAGCCGGCTCCGGCCTCGCCAGCCCCAGAGAGGGGCCCTCACAGCGCAGCCGCCGGCTGAAGGGCTCCTTGAGCGCGGCCAGAGCGGACGCCGAGGCGGAGCCGAGAGTGAGCGAGGGCTGCTAGCATGTTGTCACCTCTCAACAAGACCTCATCTCTACTAAAAATACAAAAAGTTAGCCTGGTGTGGTGGTGCATGCCTGTGACCCCAGCTACTCAGGAGGATGAGGTAGGAGAATTTCTTGAGCCCGGGAGGTCGAGGCTGCAGTGAGCAGAGATCACGCCACTGCACTCCAGCCTGGGTGACAGAGCGAGACTCTGTCTCAAAAAAAAAAAAAAAGGAAAAAGTTCTAGAGACAATGTTGGTGATGATTATACAACAACGTAAGTGTACTTTATGCCATGCCACTGAACTCTACACTTAAAAAGAGTTAAAATGCTAAATTTTATTTATAAACATTTTGCCATAAAAAATTCTAAAAGTATCTGATAGCTACTTACTGTGAGGAATTTGAATACATTCAGAAGAATATAAAGAAAAACAGTCACCCAAATAGCTAAAGCCATCGCTTGCAAAGGGACCCTGCTCAGCCACTCATTTGTTTTCCAAACATTGACAGCGCCCTACTGTGTGCAGGTGACCAAGGATCCATGATTGCTATGGCATTCCCTGCCTGGAAGGCACTCACAGCCAGTCCAGAATATGATGTACTGTATGCCAAAGGGGCACACAGAGATGCAGAGGGGAGCCGGGCCCAGCCAAGGCCAGAGGATTCCTGGAGGGACCAGGTTAGCTTTGTCAGGGAAGGAAGGCTGGGAAAAAAGGCGATCACAGAGGAGGTCTATAGAGGCTCCAAGGGCAGAGATGACTAGCTGGTTTCCAGTGCAGGTGCCTGAACTGAGGCTACAGCCAGCAACCAGGGTGACAGAATTGAGAACTGCATGTAGGTTGACAGGGGAGGTATTTTCCCCTTTTTGACATGTTGCTTTTGAAGTGTTCATGGACACAATGAGCAGGTGGTCGATGCTGTGGGGGAGGCCTGGGCTGGAGGCTGTGGGGAAGGCCTGGGCTGGAGGCTGTGGGGGAAACCTGTGCTGGAGGCTGTAGGGGAGGCCTGGGCTGGAGGCTGTAGGGGAGGCCTGGGCTGGAGGCTGTGGGGAAGGCCTGGGCTGGAGGCTATGGGGAAGGCCTGGGCTTGAGGCTGTGGGGGAAACCTGTGCTGGAGGCTGTAGGGGAGGCCTGGGCTGGAGGCTGTGGGGGAAACCTGAGCTGGAGGCTGTGGGGGAGGCCTGGGCTGGAGGCTATGGGGGAGGCCTGGGCTGGAGGCCATGGGGGAGGCCTGGGCTGGAGGCTGTGGGGGAGGCCTGGGCTGGACTCAGCACACAGTAAAAGCATGAGAGCTCCAAGGGGCTGTTTAGGGAGTGGGTCAGCTATGGATGGTGTGACGACACTCCCTGCCCACCCAGAATGCTCACTGGTCATTTCCTCTCCACCTCCAGCAACCCGCACAGGTTCTACGGAATAGAAATAGGCCCACTCTGAAGCACATGCCTCCCTCCAAAGGGATTAGACAATTTATCTTTTTTTTTTTTTTTGAGACAGGGTCTCACTTTGTCACCCAGGCTGGAGTACACTGGCACCATCTTGGCTCACTGCAGCTTTGACCTCCAGGGTTCAAGTGATTCTCCTGCCTCAGCCTTCCAAGCAGCTCGGACTGCAGGCGCACGCCACCACACCAGGCTAATTTTTGTATTTTTAGTAGAGATGGGATTTCATCATGGTGCCCAGGCTGGTCTCAAACTCCTGAGCTCAAGCGATTCGCCTCCCTCAGCTTCCCACAGTACTAGAATTACAGGTGTGAGCCACCACATCTGGTCAGAATTAGGCAATTTTTAAGTTCACCTTAATTTATAGAATTCTTCATACCCTTTGTACAACTAAGCAAACACTGTCTCACCAAATACAATGGCTAATTTAAAAGCAGCTTCAAGAAGTGCAATGAAAGTTTTCAAGGCTTATAAGAAACCACCAACACCAACAACAAATCAGGCCGGGCACAGTGGCTCACACCTGTAATTCCAGCACTTTGGGAGAACAAGGCAGGTAGATCATTTGAGGTCAGGACTTCGAGACCAGCCTGGCCAACATGGTGAAACCCTGTCTCTACTAAAAATACAAAAATTAGCCCAGGCATGGTGGCGGGCGCCTGTAATCCCAGCTACTCAGGAGGCTGAGGTGGGAGAATCGCTTAAGCCTGGAAAGCAGAGGTTGCAGTGAGCTGAGATGACACCAGGCACTCCAGCCTGGGTGACAGAGCGAGACTCTGTCTTAAAAAACAAACAAACAAACAAAAAACAAAAAACCCACCAAAAAACAAAACAAACAACAAATTAGCAAACATCCAGGCTCATGGACAGGAGTGTGGGCGTTCTCTCTGCTCCAACCCCGTTGGCTTTTGTTCCATCTCTTAGGCAGGTTTGCGTTTGTTGTTTCTCTGGCTTGGAGGGGTCTTCCCCAGGATCTTTCCAACACCATCTGTCTCATCCCCTCATTCCAGTCTAACTGGGAGTGCCATCTCCTCCAAGCAAACTTCCCTGGACACCCGAGTTAAACCAGCATCCCAGATCACAATATGTTATTTTCTTCAGTGGTCTTTGTGCTACCTTGAAGCATGAGTATATCGGGGTGCTTTTGTCTGTCTCCTCCCAACAAGCGTGGAAGCTCCTTGAGGCTGGGGGCTGAGACATTCTTGCTCATAATTACATTTGTGGTGTCTACAACTGGCACATGGAAAGCGCTCAAGGAATTTATTTGCTGACCAGGCCTGGAGGCCTTCAGGCCAAGTTGCTATCATAGCTCATACATTCCAGCCTGAATGGGTAATAGCAAAGGCCATGCCTCGGTTTCTCCTTCTGAAAAGAATGCCTCAAACAAGATGACTGGGTGGATCCTCCCTTGTTGAAAGGTACTACGTGAATTATGTAACTGACTGTCATTCATGAAATATGCCTGGTGGCAGGTCAAGGCCATTGGCCACTCCTCAGCACATTCTGATTCCCACTGTGCAAATCTAGATTCCAGGTTACCAATCTGGACAGCAACTTATATGCTAAGTTAGGACTATCCAGTTGTAGCTCAAATTTCAGAAGCCTAATCTGCCTCTGAAATAACCATGATAAATATTTACACTGGAGGGACTTTTCAGATAGTCTCCCATTCCTGCCCCTTTTATGGTCATGAAGTCCAATTTAGTATCAGGTATCAAATGGCAACAGCTTAAAGAAAAGATCTCAACACTGTTAAAATATTCAGCTCTATTTTTCTCCCTACTATTCACTAAGATATTACATTCAAGCCACAGCAGAACAAGATTTGAAAACCAACAATTTCAGGCTCTAAAATGAAAATGACATTAAAATAACTTCAACTGACTCTGATTTAAGTCAAAACCTGAAGGATGCCATGTCCTGCTCTCATGAGTTACTGTCCTCTAGAACACACCTGGCACAGGCCTGGCATGCACAGTGCTACCCTCCAACCCCCCAGCCTCCACAGAACTCTCCCCCACTGAACTTAGATTCAGCTTCCAAATTCTTCTCAACACTCCAGTGAGCCACAACCAATCTACTGAAATCGGCATATGAGATAAAAACCCATTTATTTTCTGCTCTAAAACCAATACCAAATAGTATTATGCATTAGGAGTAGGGGGAGGGGCAAAAACAAACAAACCAGAGACATTCTTATACTACTAAAACCCAGCAAGGGCTGGTGCAGTATCACGTCTGTAATCCCAGCACTTCAGGAGGCCGAGGCGGGTGGATCACAAGGTCAGGAGATCAAGACCATCCTGGCTAACACAGTGAAACCCCGTCTCTTCTACAAATACAAAAAATTAGCTGGGCCTGGTGGTGGGCGCCTGCAGTCCCAGCTACTCGGGAGGCTGAGACAGGAGAATCGCTTGAACCTGGGAGGCGGAGGTTGCAGTGAACCAAGATTGTGCCACTGAACTCCAGCCTAGGTGACAGAGTGAGACTCCATCTCAAAACAAAAACAAAAACAAAACAAAACAAAACCAAAAAAAAAAAAAAACCAGCAACATAAATGGAATAGCTTTAGGGGCAGAGGGAGAGAAGATGATAAGACACTCAGATCTACACAGTTAAGTGTTTCAAAATGAGGGCAGTGCATATTAATATTAAGAAGCTACTGCTAGAGCTGTTCATAACTTTGGATTTCTTCAGAAAGCTGTTTTGTCCTCCTGAGAGTTGCAGTCCTTAAGGGTATTCTGAGGTGCTTCCTGTTATATAACTGTCCTGATTTTATTTCTAACCTTATTGGAAACCCTTCCAGTTTATGGTATTTATTTCAGTATTTATGATATCAGATTCTTCTAGCATATCAGATACTCCCTGGGAGGAAATTTCAGACATATGAAGCAGCAATAAGCCCACGTACTAAATCCTCCACTTGACACCATCTAACTTTTTGCCCTGGAAGGGAATCTGGTATCTCATATTTTCAATTCTGCCTCTTCCTCCCCGCCTTTCTTCTGCTGATTCTGCAAACTTATACTGAATACCTCCTATATTTCAGAAACTGCCGTGTGTCTGGGGGACAAGATGAACACACAGTTCCTGCCCTCCACAAGGGCCCGCAGGGGTTAGGAAGCTGCTTCAGCGTATGCCCGAGGAAGAGAGAGGTGTCTTCCTGAGACTCTCCTGGGTTCCAACATGGACCAGTAGATCCGGGCCTAAGAGGTTGTGTCTGTTAGTGGCCTGGAGCTTGGTCCTCATCCTCTGAGAACAGCACAGCCCCAAGCAGATGAAAACTGCAATGAACTATAATTTCTTTTTCTGTACCCTACTTTGAGAAGAGTGGCAAATCACACAAAAGCAGCTGATAGCAATGATTTATTTAGATAAATGACAGCTTGAAGGGCAAGTTCTGAAGTCAGGATGAGCAACACTTAGAAAGACCTAGAATGCGTGCAGTTAAGATCTACAATGGGATTAGAGAGGGTGATGGGGAAAGTGCCAGGCAGACACTGACAGCACAGAAGACAAGCAGCAGCACTGAGGTGACAGAAGCCAGAGGGCACCCCTGCAGTCCAGGACGGCATGGGACACGGACCACATAAGCCTCGATGGCCCCCAAAAAGACAGATATGGGATAACTCTATGGATGCTTCAAAAGCACTTAAAGGATAAACCCTCAACTATAGAGACACTTATGCTTCCAGAATAGATTATAACCTAAAGGATGCTAGAGTCAGGATTCACCCTGGCTCCCTTTCTCTGAGGATTCTGGCACTTTGAGTTCCCACTGCGTTTATTAAATGACATAGTATAGTCCATGAGACACAGCAATATGTAACAGACAATGAATGCTATATGATGGATCCATTCATTCACTGTATGGATAAAATATCTAAGGTTATGCAGTATGCACGAGGCACTCCTGGGTGCTAGGGACACACTGATGAGCAAAAGCAGCCTCTGCCCCTAGACATCTGAGTCTAATGGAGGAACCAGGTAAGTGCATCAGCCGCGTGATGGGCACTCTCAGGAGGCAAACACATGGCGCCATGTGCCTGCTGGAAGGGCACTGCACAAAGCTGGGAGGCTTCCTGAGGAGTAGCCCATCAGCTCACACCTTCAGGCCTACACAGCAGAGGGGAGGACAGGAGCATTCCAGGTAGGGTGGCAGGAACGGCAAGAGCAAAGGAACAAGGGGACAGAGTGAGCATGGCCTGCTCAGGGACTGCATGCTGACCATGGACATGGGGAGGCAGGACTGAAGGTAGGAGGTAGGAACTCAAGGATTATTCTGCAGAAACAGGTGGGGCTGGCCCTGCTCAGAGGGTCTGTCAAGCCACATCAAGGAGTCTGGCAAGGAGTAGTCACAAATAATTTAGGGCAGTGATGTGGCAGAGGCCCGGGGGCACAGAAAGTAACTAATAAAAATATGGCCATGGTGTTGAGAATGGATGGGGATGGGGTGGGGGTGGCAATGCTGGAGGTAGAGAGACCCAGGACGGGTCCAGGTAAGAGATGAAGGTGGCCTGTGCAGGCAAATGGCACTGGGCTAATTCTACACAGGTGAGCAGCTGGTAGGGCCTGATGAATGAACAGATGAGGGGAACAAGAAAGAAACATTACTCCAGTTTCCACCTTGTGAAACTGGGGGCTGAAGGGATCATCTACTTAGGGAGCCAAGCAGTGCTGAAGATGCGAGTCTGGTCTTGGATACACTGGGGTTCAGGGCTTTGGGACCTTTGAGTGGAGTTTGAGGAGGTAACTGGCTGTACCTCAGCAAGTCCTGGGCTATAGATTTGGACATCAGGAGCGGGAGGATGGTGACGAAGGGGAGAGACCATCCAGGAGGCTGTGAGGACAGAGAAGACAGTCCAGGGTAGGTGCCCAAGGGCCATCAACAATTAGCAGCTGGAAACAGGAATGGGAGGCTGTTATGGAAGCGGCAAAGGGACTGCCAGGAAGGTAGAAGGGAAACCCGGAGAACACGGCCGGCAGCCATAGGGGGAGAGTGCTGCAAGAGGGCAGGTAGCCAGTTGTTCAGAATTTACAGAATGCCAGGTAAGCAAAGGCTGGTGGCATTGGAGAGAGCGGCTGCAGGGGGTGGTGGAGATGATGCCAGGTTTCAGTGGGTGAGAAGTGGATAGAAGTGAAGGAGGAGAAATGACGACATTAAAATCTAGGTACAACATGTTGGGTGGCTTCTCACAGCATGATTTTCCAAGGAGAAAACGCAAAGCCAGCAGGTATTTAGCCTTATCCAAGTGAAGGCAATTATTAAAGCACAAACAGTCCCTCTCAAAGCTGTGCATTCACATTCTCTTTCTCTCTCTTTCCTCCATGCCTTCCCTCCCTCCCCAAATGATATAGTCACGGGACCCAGTTTTTCTCTCAGAGTATAATCACCATTTGCAGGATTTGGAAGAAAACTAAAGATCATGAAAGTTGTTAATGATGCCTGGACTAGTTTTGTTTTATAATATAATACTTCCACACCCTCCTCTGCAAGAAAAAGAGAAGAATGTGAAGACCCTAAATTGAAGAGCCCACACCAAACCCCAGCACCTCCAGCAATGCTGGCGACACAGGCCCTGTACCTGATGTATCAGCCCACACTGTCTCCCAGACTGTACAGCAAGTGACAGGGAAGGGGTTTCCGCACGTGCCTTTAGAAGAGGGGTTCAGCAGTGTAAACCTGGGGAAAGGGGCTCTCCAGGCAGCCTTTCTCTCTAAGGGAGAGAGGAGGCCCAAGAGGAGAACATGGAGCAAAGGTGTAATCACAGCCAGGGCCCGGAGGCCAGGGGCAATGGCCACTCTCTACTCACATGTCTCTGTGACAAACCTATTAATCAATTTTCATCCTTAATAACAGCCCTAGTAATAAAACTAGGAATAGTCCCCTTTCATTTCTGAGTCCCAGAGGTAACCCAAGGAACCTCCCTAATGCCTGGCACACTTCTCCTCACATGACAAAAACTAGCCCCTATCTTGATTATGTTTCAAATTCTCCCATCAATAAACACGAATATCCTCCTATCTATCACAATCCTATCCATTATTGTAGGTGGTTGAGGAGGACTTAATCAAACACAACTGTGTAAAATCCTGGCAGGCCTGGCCCCAGCTGTGTCTGCAGAATAACTTTTTCCTTCATTCACGTCACTGATTTGATTTTCCACAGCAGTTTTTTTTTTTTTCTTTTTTTGAGACGGAGTCTTACTCTATTGCCCAGGCTGGAGTGCAGTGGCACAATCTCTGCTCACTGAAACCTCTGCCTCCCAGGTTCAGATAATTCTCTTGCCTCAGCCTCCTGAGTAGCTGGGACTACAGGTGTGTGCCACCATGCTTGGCTAATTTTGTATTTTTAGTAAAGATGGGATTTCACCATGTTGGCCAGACTGGTCTCAAAGTCCTGACCTCAAGTGATCTGCCTGTCTCAACCTCCCGAAGTGCGGGATTAGGGCGGGTAGCCACCATGCCCAGTCTGTATTTGTTTTATGTGGGGTGGAGTTACTTAAGGAATTTCATGAAAGTCAGATTCACAAATGGCATCAATCCAGATGTCTGAACACGCCTCTTTTCCCTTTCAAGCAAAGTTCCAGGTTAACTTCTGAGGAAATTAATGAAGGAATCCCCCCACCCTTCTTTAATAGAGATGGGGGTCTCACTGTGTTGCCCAGGGTGGTCTCCAACTCCTGGGCTCAAGCGATCCTCCCATCTCAGCCTCCCAAAGTGCTGGGATTAGGCCGGGTGTGGTGGCTCATGCCTGTAATCTCATCACTTTGGGAGGCTGAGGTGTGCGGATTACCTGAGGTCAGGAGTTTGAGACCAGCCTGACCAACATGGTGAAACCCCTTCTCTACTAAAAATACAAAAATTAGTTGGGCATGGTGGCATGTGCCTGTAATCGCAGCTACTTGGGAGCCTGAGGCAGGAGAATCACTTGAACCTGGGAGGCGAAGCTTGCAGTGAGCCAAGACTGCATCTGCACTCCAGCCTGGGCAACAAGAGCAAAACTCCCGTCTCGAAACAAAAAACAAAAACCAAAAAAACCCAAAGTGCTGGGATTACAGGTGTGAGCCACTGCGCCTGGCCAAAAATTTCTTGTCTCTTGTTTTTATCACCAAATTTTAGAAGACATCATGGGTGTTACATGCAGGCCTGTTTTCCCCCATGCTTACTTTCCTCCTCTATTGGCTCAGAGCTGAGGAAACACAGGGGCCGTCAGCATCTGCACATCAGTGGACACGCCCAGGAGGAGGGATGAGCTCTGGAGAAGGAGCTGCTTTTCCTAAATATGTCCTTGACAGCGTTGCATCCTGTCACTGCCAAGACACCCTTCCTTGCCAAAGCCAAGTGCGGGATTAGGATGTCAGCACAGAACAATCTCTGTGGAATTTAGCTTGGGCAGTAACTGTTCTTAGCGGGTTTGAAAGAATTAGTCTGCAAAACAATCTGGGCAGGAAACTTCTTTGATGACAGTGCCCAAGTTTTTTATTCCATTCAGGTTTTCAACTGCTTGAATCAATTACAGTATATTCTATTTTTTAAGAAAATTATCCAATCCATTCAGATTTTCAAATTTTGAGCACAAAATTATACAAGTAATCACTTTAAACTTAATAATCACCTCTGCATCTGTTTCTGGCCACCCCCCCTCCCTTCTTTAAGATGGGTAGATATTTTTTCTCATTTTGAAAATTAGATCTGTGAGAAATCAGTCTACTTTGTTGGTTTCCTGAAAAATTAGCACTAGGATTTATCAATTGTACCATTCTTTTTCTAATTAAGGTTCACATTTATCTTAATTCCTTTCTCCAATTTTCCACTGTTTTCTTTGGTTTCTCTGTCACCTTCTTTTGTTTAAATGATTTATTATATATATAAAGCCATACTTTTTTCTCTAAGTATGTATTTATCCTTGTTTCAAATTTCATTATGCAGTCTTCTTGTTACTATCTATGTAGTCTACAGTTGTAGTGTTGACCTCTTGTTGGATTCAATGGTTATTTGAATTGTGTTTTTCTATCTCTAAGTAGTTTGGTTTTAAATTTTATTTTCTATAGTTCTAGTGCACTCTATTTAGGGGAAGCACCCTGTGTATTTATTTCCTGATTAGTAAAGTGTATTGAGACTCTTTTGGGTCTACTTTGTGCTGAGTTCACGTTTCCATTTCCCAAGCATTTGAGTAGTTCCTGAACATGTTTTTGGATCTATCAGTGTTCACTTTAAGTTTTTCATATTAATGTAGGAAACAAGAGTCAGTTCAAGCTGCACTGCCTACTGGCTGCAGGGTCTTAAGGAACCTGAAGAACTCAGCAGCAGGTGGGAAGAGAAAGAGACTGACGCCCGCTTCTGTGGCCGGGAGCAGAGGTGACTAAGGTAAAGTACTTAGCACGCTGCTTCCCTCATAAGCCTCTCGGAATGGCGGCTATTAGTACTCATCATTCAGAGCCTTTCTTTAGCCACTAACACTTCTTGAGGATTAGAATAAAGACTGAAACAACTTTTTCTTGATACCATCCCATTTCGGACAAGCAGCATTACAACCCTTATCTCCCCTTCCCTCTTTGATCTTCATTAGCAATACTCTAAGGCTTAGATCCAGAATACAGGCATTTGGTTGTCTTTCCATTACATAGTTTATTGTAAGAACAATTTTTGACATTTGCATTTGTTTGCTAATCAGACTTATAACAATAATTTAAACTGCTCTCTAGTTTTATGGAATCTGGTGCTTATGTTAGCTACTCTTGAGCTCTGTTTTAACTCTTGAGCATCTAAGACATGTCTTTAAAATGAATTTTAAAGAAAGGAGCATGTTTGTATACTTCCCTAAGCCCCTGCACATCTGAGAATGTCTTTCTGATTGGCTTCACAGACAAAAGGCAACTCAGCTGAGCATAAAATTGTTTGGGTTGCTACATAACCCCCAAATTTTGTAGAGGGTTCATAAACTTACTTGATAATCGAAGAACTTTTAATGCTTCAGATTCTCAGGCTCCACACGTAGGTTGGTGTTATGGGGCCTGGGAATAGAGCCAAATTTTTTTTTAATTCCCAGATGTTTTAATCTTCTGACAGGTTCTGTAAACACAGTCTCTTTGTTATACAGAACAAGTCTAAAGTCGACTTAATTTTTGTTACTTTTTTCTCTGTTTGGATGAAATGCTTGTCCCCCTCTTATCGTTGTTATTCTTTATTATTCCCAGGGTATGCTCAGATGTGGCCGTCTCTTTCTGAGTTTGTTCAGAATGTGGTTGAGTGAGGCCTTTGATATTCACGCACAGTCCCTCGTGAGCACGGGGTTTCCTTCCATCACAGTTTGGATGACGGATCACTGATTTCAATAATCACCAACGCCAAAAATCTGAATGTGGGTGGTCAGTTCCATCTTCCACATGTATAACCCTGTCTCTTGTTCTTCTTTTCTCATATTTTCCAGAATCTTTCTCGACTTGTTTCACCCTGACTCATATCACTGATTTGATTTTCCATGGCATTTGTGTTGTTTTCTGTGGCTGTTCTAACAAATTATCACAAACTTGGTGACTTAACACAACAGAAAGTCATTCCCTCAGTTCTGGAGGCCAGAAGTCTCAGGCTCACTGGGCTGAAATCAAGCTATCGGAATGGCCGCACTCCCTCTGGAGGCTCGAGAGGAGAGCCTATTTTTTTTTTGTCTCTGGTGGCTGCCTGCATTCCTTGTTTTTGGCCTCATCACTCCAGTCTGTCGCCATGGTCATGTCGCTTTCTCTCCTATCATCACATCTCCTTCTTCCTGTCTCTTACAAGGACACTTGTGATTGCAATTAGGGCCCACATAGATGACCCAGTATAACCCCCATACCCCTCAAGATCCTTAATTTAATCAAATCTGCAAAACTTTTTTTTTTTCCATGTGAGGTAACATTCACAAGTGCCAAGGATTAGGATATGGAAAACTTTTGGAGGCCATTATTCAGTTTACTATACATGAATACTTTTCTATACTCTTGCTAATTTGGATTTTAGTTCTGCTATTGGATCCTTAAAACCTTTCCTTATGGAATCCATCTCCTTGCTTTTCCCTTTCTGTTGCTTTTCCATGTCAAATATCCTTTCTTCACGTTTTACTGTTCCTGGCCCTGGGAGACCATGTCCTTTTGCTGTATACTGAGGATGCCACATATTTTCCCAAAACTATCTTCTGGAGTCTGCTGTAGATGGTTTTTCAAAATAGAAACTCCATCTCAGTCTACAGAAGCTCTTGCTTTTACCTTGTTCTGCAGGACTTTTCCACAGCCTTTTTTTAGTCTTTATGCATCCTTAAACAAGGAAACATTTGTCCAGCTATTATGAGTGGACTGACTGTCGGCCCGTTTTCTATCCACCTGTGTAAAGGATCGATCTCTCCTTCTCATACCCACCTTGGGAAGGCACAGAGAAAGAGCTCTGCTTCCAGTCAACTTGAAACCTTTCACTCCACTGAGATCCCACTGAACAGGGGTGATGATGAACAGTAAAAGTCAGGCTGGCTGCTGACCAAAGACTAGGAAACACTTCCATATACAAGCTTTTTTTCCCAACAGCAAATTGCCTATTTAATGCCACTTTTTAAAAAGCTGAAACATTTAACCTAATTTAAGATCTGAGGCTCCACAGGAAAGTCCATTAGAAAGTTAATGACTTGGCTTAACTGCAGGAGATAAAACTAAAGTAGACTAGGCAATTTTATTCCTGGAAAATTTGGAAGAAAAGGCAGGGGAACAGACTGAAATGTAGAAAGAACCAATGAAGAGGAGAAAGAGGATTCAGTTGAAAGTGTTTTCCAGATGTTGGTACCCTGCTAAGCCTTGATTATATTATTTTACTTACATCTGCAAGTTTCTCCTTGCAGACACAGTTGTAACAAACTGCAGATTCTAAAGCTAAACTAAGTATTCAAGGACTGACTGTATGATTTGTACACTACAATATTAACTTTTCATCCTTCTCCCCCTGACCCTTGGCTTTGGGATACCTTAAGCCTTAACTGAAGAGGCAGGGATTTCGATTTCTATTTTACAGCTTCAGAGCAATGAAGTGGCTTATTCAGGGTCCACACAGGGATGAGGCCAAGCTTATATAATTTAAAAGCATGCACTGCTTTTTATTTATTCAACAAATATTTACTACGCATCTACTATGTGCCTGGCATAGTTCTCAACACCAGAGATAGGGCAAGGAACAAAACAGAATCTTGACTCTGACGAAGCTTACGTTCTAATGAGGGGTGGGGAGTGGTGGCCTGCAGGTCAATGTTTAACCACTGGCTCTAGGGGTGGGGGATGCAGAGGAGTTGCCTCATTTGCCAATTTCTGTGGTGTCTTACATACTCCCACCAAGGCCCATTTCAAGTCACCAGTCTGGTGTGACTCAGTGTGGAGCTGGGAAGAGATGCGCACAAAAAGCTCCCAAGAGCCCTTGCACACCAGCTCCACCCAGCATGCAATAGTGAGGAGGTGCTGAGGTCTGTGTTAAAATTTATTTCTTATTATTACTGTGTTAAAATTTATTTCTTATTATTACTTTTATTTATTTATTTATTTATTTATTTTTTGAGACACAGTCTCACTCTGTCGCCCAGGTTGGAGTGCAGTAGCGTGATCTTGGCTCACTGCAACCTCTGCCTCCCGGGTTCAAGCGATTCTCCTGTCTCAGCCTCCCAAGTAGCTGGGATTACAGGCACCCGCCACCACGCCTGCCTAATTTTTGTATTTTTAGTAGAGATGGGGTTTTGCCATGTTGGCCAGGCTGGTCTCGAACTCCTGACCTCAAGCGATCTGCCTGCCTTGGCCTCCCAAAGTGCTGGGATTACAGGCGTGAGCCACCTGTGTTGAAATTTAATGACCAGTGTGATGGCATTAGGAGGTGAGGCCTTTGGGAGGTGATTAGGACATGAGGGTTTAGTGACTTTATAAAAGAGGCACGAAGAGAGCTGCTTTGCTCCTTCCACCAAGTGGGGACCCCGCTAGAAGATGCCATCTATGAACTAGGAAATGGGCCCTTGCCAGACACTGAATTAGCCGGTGCCTTGATCTTAGACTCGCCAGCCTCCAGACTGTAAGAAATAAATGTCTTTTGTTTATAAATCACCCAGTATATAGTATTTTGTTATTGTACTCCAAAAACACTGAGACAGGAAGGATCTGCAACAAACATTATATAATTATCACATAATTATATAATGTGCAATATTTCTGTTATATATACAGTTCACCCTTGAACAATACAGGTTTGAATTGTGCGGGTCTACTTACAGGTGGATTTTCTTCTGCCTCTGCCACCCTGAGATAACAAGACCAACCCCTCCTCTTCCTTGTCCTCCTCAGCCTACTCAAAACATGGAGATGATAAAGATGAAGACCTTTATGATAATCCACTACACTTAATGACTAGTAAACATATGTTCTCTTCCTTATGATTCTCTTAATACCATTTTCTTTTCCTTAGTTTACTTTATTTGTAAGAATACAACATACAGTACATATGACATACAAAATACTTGTTAATTGACTATCAGGTTATCAGTAAGGCTTCTGGTCAACAGTAGGCTGGTAGTACTTATGTTTTGGGGGAGTCAAAAGTTCTATGTGAATTTTCAATTTTGCAGGGGAGGGCGGGTTGGCTCCCCTAACCCCCATGTTGTTCAAGGGTTAACGATCCTGAATACAATATAAAATAAATGCCACTATATAATGTGTCTAGTGATGATAAATGTATTAAAAATAAAGCCAGGTAAGGGAGTATGAGTGACAGGGAGCACAGGTACATGTGTGGCCAGTGTGCTGTGGGGGGGACACAGAGGACCTGTCCCATAAAAAGGCATTTGATCAGAGATTGGATTTTCTCATCTGTAAAATCAGGATAATGACTGCAGCTATTTAGAAAATCATTGAAATGGCATTTATTACAATATATTGCTTCTAGTATATAATAGGTACACCATAAATGACAGTTATTATATTTATCTGAATTGAAATGGACATGACCTCATACATGATTCTTACCTTTTTTAGAACTGATCAGAATATAAAGCTTTCATTCCTCAAAATCACACTGGTATTCTAGCCACTTAAAAAAACAGGATCTAAATGATTGACCCACAACCTGAAAATGTTCCTGTTACGGTGGAATTGCTGAGTTCAGATTTTATGGTGCCAGGCTGGTATATGCAGTCCTGCAGTGTCCCTGTTATTATTATTAAATAATCTGATTACATTCTTTAACAGTTAGCACTTTAATTCCAGATCAATCCAGGCTCATCCTTCTTAAAGAAGTACAAAGAATATTATAACTTTTCTGGAGCTGAGTATACAAAACAGTTTTGCTCTCCATCTTCTAAAGCTAAAAGTAAAAAGATACACAGATAATAAGCAAAACACATACCATAGAGCTGGCTCTTAAATACTTTCAAAGCTGTAACATTCATTCAAAATGCAAGTTTATTAAAAGATGATACGGAACAGAGCTCCAAAAGATAAGGTTGTATAAAATGTTGAAAAGAAATTACATATTAGGTTATTTTAAACTGAAGGATGAAACTCTTCCCTCAAACTGAGAAAAATTACTACCTTGATAATTTACAAATTCAGTGTAGTTGGCTGGACGCAGTGGCTCACGCCTGTAATCTAAACACTTTGGGACGCTGAGGCAGGCTGATCATTTCAGGCGAGGAGTTCTGGACCAGCTTGACCAACATGGTGAAACCCTGTCTCTAATAAAATACAAAAATTAGCCAGGTGTGGTGGTGTGTGGTGGTGGGCACCTATAATCCGAGCTACTCAGGAGGCTGAGGCTGGAGAATCACTTGAACCCAGGAGGTGGAGGTTGCAGTGAGCCGAGATTGCACCACTGCATTCTAGCCTGGGCACCAGAGCGAGACTCCATCTCAAAAAAACAAAACAAAACAAAACAAAAACCGAATTCAGTGTAGTTATAAGTTTGTTATGGGCAGAGGGTGAAAGGAGAAGGACAAAGCATTTTTCAATACCATCTGACACACTCTGAACCACAGACATCAGAGACATTTTCATGTTCTCTGCAGGATATGAGATGGAGTCGATGCCATTAGCTCTGCTCTAGAGATGAGGACAACGGGGCCAAATGAATAGAAAGAGCAAAGTGCCATTTGCCACTGGAGCTCAGGGCTTCTACAGGTACCTCTTTCTTTCATCCCAAACTTCCTCCCCAGTGTCACATCCAATTGGCAAGAGATGAAGCTATGGAACTTCCATGAGGTTCTTTTTGGTTATTCTTAATCCACGTGGTTATGATGATACAAGTCCAGATGTCTTCAAAGCAAGGAGGGCTCTCTGACTGGTACCATTCACCTCCCTAACCCAAGTGAATTGGGGACTTCTCCTTGGAACTTGAGCCTTTCCCTTCCCCCTTAAGTTTTTCAACATGCTTTCACCCAAGAAGGAGCCATCTGCTCAATAAAATCAGAAAATGCTGCAAACATCATCTGAAGGTATTTGTTCCTTCAGGAAAAAGTCATTTTTACCGCCCTTCTTCCCAATTGTTCTTCCTGAATTGTTCTTTGATTATTTCTTGGCTTTCACTGGAGGAAGCATGAGAAACAACAAGATCAAACTAGTTTTCTGCATCTACTGTGGGGACAGCATCCCCATCCTCCACGACCTCACCTGGTAGCAGAGGGGACTCTAGCTGGGCCTGTTCCCTTCTGTACTTCCATTTTCCTGTGCTCTTCTTCCCGCAACCTGCTCAGGCCATGTGGGATGGACTTCCAGGGGCCAATCATGTCTGATTTTCCTACCTTTCCTTTCCATTCACTAGCTTCCCCTCAAATACTGTAATCTTTCATGTTTTATATATCTCTTTATGTGTATCCAAGCCTGTGAGAATGAACACACACACACACACACACACACACACACACACTCTCTCTCTCTCTCTCTCTCTCTCTCTCTCTTTCTCTCTCTCTCTTTAAATGCATGCTGGCCAACTATCAGGCCAGTAATTAGGGGATTGGGCTGTTTTTGGTCCCCACTTCTTTCTTCTTCTTTCCTTCTTTCCTTCTTTCCTTCCTTCCTCTTCCTCCTTCTTCTTTTCTTTCCTTCTTTCCTTCTTTCCTTCCTTCCTCTTCCTCCTTCTTCTTCTTTTCTTCTTTCCTTCTCTCTCCCCTCCCTTCCCCTCTCCTTCCTTCCTTTCCTTCCTTTCCTTTCTTTCCTTCCTTCCTTCCTTCTTTGAAATAGGGTCTTGCTAAGTTGCTCAGGCTGGTTTCAAACTCAAGCAATCCTCTTGCCTCGGCCTCCCAAAGTGCTGGGATTACAGGTGTACACCACCACACCCAGCCAGGTCCCCACCTTTTGTATTTTGGAATTCATAGGAGATTCCTTGTTACTTGATTTTTTTTTTCCTGTAAAATGACCACGAGTTTAGGCTTTGCCATCTAGTTGCTCTTTTGTTCCTAACGTTTAAATTTTGAATTTTTTAAATCTACAAGAAAGTTTAGGGCACTATATGGTGAAGACTCATAGACACACTGCCTACATTCCACAATTAGCATTATCATTATCACACATCTGCCCACCCAATCAGACATCGATCCATCTTATTTTCTAAGATGGATTTCAAAGTATGTTACAATCCAATGATTTGGTTTTTGATATTTCCCACAAAGGAAAAATAATTTCTCTTATTTTCTGCAGGGAACTTCCTACAGACTTCCAGATACCAACCCGAAACCCCACTTTCTTGCTCTACCTAAACCCAGTATTAACACTTCTCCTCCAGGCCTTTCTCCTAGGCTCCAGCCTTAAGCTTTTATTAACCAAATTCCCTCCTCATCTGGACAAAATCGCCATTCTCCTTCCCACCAGCCTACTTCTCTTCCACCTTCTAATGTTCCCATCCTAAGCTTGTCAAGCCACCATAACATGCCTATTTCTAAGGCCCAACTTTACATTTGATCACATATTTTTAGCAAAAAGAGGGTGATATTTTCACATAGTACAGCAGTCACCCCATATCTGCAGTTTCACTTTTTTATGGTTTCAGTGACCCACAGTCAATCACAGTCCAAAAATATTAAATGGAAAATTCTGGAAATATACAATTCACAATCTCACACTGCACCGCTGTGTCTCACCAGGGATGTGAACCCTCCCTTTGCTCAGCGTCTTCATCTGCAGATGCTTCCCATCCTTTAGACACTTAGCAGCCTTCCTATTATCTCACATCAGCACAAGAAGAAGGGTGAGTCTGTACAGTATAAGGTGTTTTGAGAAAGAGAGAGACCACATTCACATAAATTTTATTACAGTCTATTGTTATAATTTTTTTTTTAGTTTTTTCCTCCTCTTCCTCCCCCTCCTATTAGAATTTTTCTATTTTATTATTATTGTTGTTAATCTCTTTCTGTGCCTAATTTATAAGTTAAACTTTACCATAGGTATGTATGGATAGGAAAAAACAGTATATAGGGTTTGGCACATCTGAAGTCTTGGAAGATAACCTCCGAGGACAAGGGGGACTACTGTATTCAGTATAAATGAGCCCCCCTCGTGCACTTGAAAATAGAATGATACTGGCTCTGCCCTGGGCCCCTAGGGACCGTTACGCAGTTCTTAATAACAATCAGAGTATCGTTTCTGCCCAGCCAGGCTTACTGCTGCTGTTCTCAACCACTCATTGCCACCATCTTAAGAACTTCTTGTTTCATTTCTCTAGGAAAGAGTAAGAGTGATTAACTGAACACACAAGAGAAAAAGAAATTTCTGCTTTCAGAGCATACTGAAAATTAGAAAGTTAGCTAACACAATACAGGGTCTGTGATTGCAAATTAATACTCCAGCCAAAATTCCTCCTTTGGCATTCACTGCTGACCTTTCACCTCTTAGCAAGGTTTCTCTTCCTTTTAGGCCAGGTGAAATTCACCTCTGGGTTTTGTTAGAGCCCATGGCCTCTCTAATCAGTAAAAAGCAATCCCCCCTCTCTCCCTGTAACACAAACCAGCCAGTTAGGTTCTCTGGGCAGGGAGTTGTTTACAATAGCAATTATAAGAGCACATTTCACAGGAATCTTTTGGTTATTTGTTTTAAAAGTTATCAGAGGCATTTGAACCAGAACAACTCCATCTTGAATAGGGGCTGGGTAAAATAAGGCTGAGACCTACTAGGCTGTATTCCCAGGAGGTTAGGCATTCTAAGTCACAGGATAAGATAGGAGGTTGCCCCAAGATACAGGTCATGAAGACCTTGCTGATAAAAGAGGCTGCAGTAAAGAAGCTGGCCCAACCCTACCAAAACCAAGATGGTGATGAAAGTGACCGCGGGTCATCCTCACTACTCGTTACACACTAATTATAATGCATTAGCATGCTAAAAGACACTCTCGCCAGTGCCATGACAGTTTGTAAGTGACAGTTTATAGGAAGTTACCCTACATGGTCTAAAAAGGGGAGGTACCCTCAGTTCCAGGAATTGCCCACCTCTTTCCCTGAAAACTCATGAAAAATCCTCCCCTTGTTTAGCACATAATCAAGAAATAACCATAAATATGGGCAACCAGTGGCCCATGCCGCTGCTCTGCCTATGGAGTAGCCATTCTTTATTCCTTTACTTTCCTAACAAACTTGTTTTCACTTTACTCCATGGACTTGCCCCAAATTCTTTCTTGTGCAAGATCCAAGAACTCACTCTTGGGGTCTGGATTGGGACCCCTTTCCACTAACAAAAGCAGTCATTTATAAAGCATATAGTTATGGCAGAAAAGTTTTAAAATACAGAAAAAAGTAAAGGAAACATCAGCTATAATTCTGCTACCTAGGAATTACCATTAAGGTCTTGATATGTATCCTTCTAGACCTTTAAAATATGAATGTATACATTTAATAAAATGGGAATCATATTGTATGTGCTGTTGTCTGTTATTTTAAGTTGCCACCAAGTAATGTTGTAAATTACTGTCATTATTATTCATTGTCATATGACCTCATGTCATTAAGTATTATTTGACATAATTTTAATGGAGATATATACACATATATAGATACATGCTATAATTTAATAAGTCTTTTTGAACATTTAAACATCAAGGCCATTTCACATTTTTCGCTTTGGTGAAAAACTTTGAACTCTGCACAACTTTAATTGTTTCAAACAATACCTTCCCAGGTGTGCCAGGTCAAGAGCTGTGTGCATTTTTAAGGTGTGTAATAACTTTTGCAAAATTGCTTTGCAGATTTACAATTCCACTAGCAGTTGCACAATCCACTCCCTTGCTCTGGGTAATTTTGAAAATCCTTACCAATCCAATAGGTGGAAAAGGTGTTATTACGCAGTTTAAATTTACATTTACTTGAGCACTAAAGAGACTGAAGATTTTACTGACGATTGCCAATTGTTTCCTCAGAACCAGTGAGCAATGGTGACAGGAGGGGAACAGTTCCAGGGAACTGTCTCCACCACTGTGAGTCACATGGAAAGGTCCTCTAAGCTCAGCAGCCTTGTGCGGGGCAGTCAATAAACAACTTAGCTGAGCTTTGGAACCTCTTCTCTCCTTCCTCTCCTTTGATAATTGGATATACTTCTCTGGATAAACTAGAATACTATGTATAGGATTTTTAGATTCCCAAATCTAACTACTATCAATATTTTGCCCCAAAGGTTTTATATGGGGGCCCACCAGCTGTAATAAGCATGATTAAAGCCCACTCACTGGAGAGAGAGGGAAAAAAAGGTATTTGAAAAGATTTACCCATTGGCTCAAAATCATATGGGTAAACTAGACCCAGGAGGAGGTAGGGCTCCCATCCTCTCTTTGTCTTTGGCTAAAAAGGAAGACTTACCCACAGAAGTGTACAAAATGTAAAAGAATTTAGTTGTATTGGACACATGCCTGCAGTCTGCAGGGAGGCCCAGAGATTTTCCAGAAGGGGAGCAGGGTCTCCCAGAGATACTGCAGGCACTTGCCTGCTCTCACCTCCCACCCAGAAACAGCCCTAACATCAGGGGAAGGGGACCAGCCCTTACTCCCCAAGGATCTAACCACAACGCTGCACTCAACAGTGCAGAACAGACTGGCACAAAAATCCCAGGCAGCAATGGCCCCAACACATGGTGCCTACAGGCTTTGAGAATGCAAGTGGGCATCCCTCTTCAGGGACAAATGGGCACTTATTCTGCATTGAGAGCTTTGGCTGGCTGTGAAATTTCAAACCTGGTTTCTGGAATCAGCTTCCGGATGTGTGGGGATCTGGTTGGCCTCTAGATATCTGTGCATCTGCATTACAAAGAGGAAAACGTTCCACCTACCTCTCCAGCAATTAACATCTGCTGCTGGATGTCCATACTGAGAGCTGCAGTTAAAAGGTTGGGCCCCTTAAAAGCAGCAGCAGCAGCCCCCAGCCCCGCCAAATCGGCTTTCATCTCCTGGGGAACAGGAGGGTGCATTTAGGGGCTTGATGACCCCGCATGGCGCCAAGGCGCCTACTGCCCTGGTGCAGCGCTGCGGGGTGCAGAGTCACAGGGAGGGCAGCAGCGGGTGGGCTCGGCTCGTGTCTGGTTATCGTTAAGCAACAGCATCTCACCCGTGTCTTCAAAGCTATGGGTCCCAGACGCCACTGCTATGAATTCCAGCTGCTATGCATGAAACCCTATCCTCCAGCCTGCAATTGAGGCCCCTCTGGTCCCTCATAGTCTACAATTTAAAATACCAAATTCAGGGGGGCCCAGGAGCTCCTCACTGGCTCAGAACCTCATGTGCAGATCAGAGTCAAGCCTGGAAAGCTGCCTGGGATCCCAGCAGAAACTGCTGACCCCGTAATACCGAGTGGCTGCATGACAGGGGCCTCTAATTATACCAGCTTGATTCTCTCCGCTCAGGGAATTCCAAAGGAGGTTCTGAGTGGAGTCAACTTCAAAAGCACTTCCAAGAAGGCGGCGGGAAGAAACATCCATTCCTGCTGGGAAGCTCCTGCGTCAATGTCAGCCAGCGCTAGTTAGGTTGCAACAACTGCTGGCTTGTATTTCTGGAGTAAGATAAAGGTTCTCCATGTTTAGTGAACATCACCCGGGAATGTTCCTAAAACACACGGCTGGGCCCCAGCCCCAGACTTTCCTACTTAAGTCTCTCTGAGGTAGGGCCTGAGAATTTGCATTTCCAACAAGTTCCCAGGAGAGGCAGATGCGACCAGACTGAATGGGATATAAGACCAAATTAAGATGCCACTTTGACGAAGACTACACCACAGCCAACTTTACACAGAATCACTGATGATCTCCCTGACCAGACCTGTTGATGAGGAGCCACAGCACGCTCTGGGGGATAGCCAGTGGCTTTGTGGGGGTGCAAGATGGGACAGCCCAACATTATCTCTCAAATAGGACAGCTACTTCCTGTGGATGCTGTCTGAAAAACCAAATGTCAGCCCAGTGGACCCAGAGCCATGATGTCAGTTTACTATGTGAACTTCTTTCCTTCTTCCATATTTGTCCCATCCTCTTTGCTGTCCTGCCCACTCTGAAGAGCTTCTACGGCTTTTCCCAAGACCAGTGAACCCACCTGTGCTCTGGACAGAATCGATCCATTCCTTTCCCCCAGGACCTGCCTCCATCCCTACTCTAAGACAGCTTGCTCTTTCTAGATCTTTCCAGAGCCCATCTTTCTTGATCTCTCATCATTGGCACTGGTGTCTGCTGTCTCCTTGAAACTCTTCTCTCAAAACTCTCCTGGACCACCAACATCTTCTCTGAATTCTTATCCATCCTATGGATCCCCCCTTATCCATCACTTCCCAGGTTTGGCTGCCACATGCTTTCATTCACTCAGCCTCCCAGAAAACCTGTGTCAAGCACTGCTGTAGACAACAGTGATGAACAGAGGACAAGACAGACCCTGCCCTGCCCTTGCTCTTGTGGAGCCGACAATCCGGGGGGGTACACGCCCACCAATCAATTTCATGACAAACATGTCAGACCCTCCAAATGACAAGCATAGGATGCTGAGCCTACATGTGATGGGGTAAGGGGTAGTTAAGGCTGTGGGCAGGAAAGGTCTTGTGAGTGGAGTCACACTGAAGCAGTGTCTGGAGTTAGAGCTGGCCTGACGCTTCCTTTGCCAGGGCCTTCAATGTTGGTGAACTCAAGGACCTGTCTTCTGTGCTCTTTCCGACCTCCTCTATGCCACTCCTGGGCAATCACGTTTTCTCCCTCACAATGACCACCAATAATCTGAACAATATTTCTGTCCAATCCTCGCTTTGCTTCTGAACTCCAACTCTGTCTTTTCAACATCTGTTGGGCCTCTAACTACAGTGCCTCGCAGGAACTTCAAACTCAACATGGTAAATGAGACTTTCCAAGCAAATTGCACCACATCCCTTTTCCCCATCTCAGACACCATCAGACCAAGCCCGAGTCACACTATTCTTGAACGCCCCCATTCCCCACTTCATCCACCACATCTAAAAAGCCACCAGTGCCAGTTAATTCCATCCACTCAACCACCTCCTGAATGTGTCATAATATATTAGGTTAGCTTCTCCATATCCAGAGCCATGCTTTCTATTTATTTATTTATTTTTATTTTTTGGAGTTGGAATCTTGCTGTGTTGCCCATGCTGGAGTGCAGTGGTACGATCTGGGCTCACTGCAACCTCCGCCTCGCAGGTACAAGCCATTCTCCTGCCTCAGCCTCCCAAGTAGCTGGGATTACAGGCGTATGCCACCATACCTGGCTAATTTTTGTATTTTTAGTAGAGACAGGGTTTCATCATGTTGGCCAGGCTGGTCTTGAACTCTTAACCTCAGGCGATCTGCCTGCCTTGGCCTCCCAAAGTGCTGGGATTATAGGCGTGAGCCACCTCACCCGGCCACAGCCATGCTTTCTTAAGGTATACTTTTGTTAATGATGATAAAATATATGCTTGTTATAGGAAATTTTGAAAATACAAATAATAAATTTAAAATAACCACTGTTTACATACTGGTATATTCCTACATGTACATGTGTCTTTGTGTCTTATATTTAGAAACTGCAATCATATCATGAATACATACGGTAGATGGTTACACAGTGGCCCCCTAGTACTCACCTCTTGTGTAGTCGGCTCCCACTGAGTCTGGGCTTGGCCATGTGACTTCCTTTGGCCAATGGGACATTAGCAAGCATGATGCAAACAGAGGTTAAGAACCACTACATTAAATAACCTTAAAAAATATTTTTAATGGTTATATTGTATTCTGGTGTATATGTACTATAATTTACTGTTTCCTCTATTGCTGGGTATTTAATTTTTTCACATTTTTCTGACTTATGATTAATGAATATCTTTGCATATATATGGGATGCATTTCTGACGATCTCCTTAAGCTGGATTTCCAGAGGTGGACCTATTGGGTCAAAAGATTTGTACATAGTTAAGCCTCTTCAAACTGTGTGACAGAAAAGCTATTTCTAGCTACACTCCCCCCAGCAATTTAGAAATGTATCTTTCTTAACACAGTCCCCACTGGGTTACTTCATAGAGGAAAACTGACATCTCATTTTACTTTGCATTTGTTTGATTACCCGTAAGTTAAACATTTCCCCTATAGCTACTTGGCTGCATGTATTTCTTCTGTGCAGGTTCTATATCTTTCCTTTGGCTAATTTTTCTATTGAGATATAAATGACCTTCCCTTTAGATTTATGTAAGTAATTTCTATATTACAGGCTTTAAACATTTTTTTCTGTCACTTGAGGCAATTTTTCTACATTAACTTTACATTTTGTTTCTAATGCTTGTGATACACAAAAGTTAATTTTTTTTTTTTTTTTGAGATGGAGTCTCGCTCTTGTTGCCCAGGCTGGAATGCAGTGGCGCAATCTTGGCTCACTGCAACCTCCACCTCCCGGGTTCAAGCTATTTTCCTGCCTCAGCCTCCTGAGTAGCTGGGTTTACAGGCGCTTGCCACCACGCCTGGCTAATTTTTGTACTTTTAGTAGAGACAGGGTTTCGCCATGTTCGCCAAGCTGGTCTCAAACTCCTGACCTCAGTTGATCCGCACGCCTTGGCCTCCCAAAGTGCTGGGATTACGGGTGTGAGCCACCACGCCCAGCCACAAAAGGTAATTTTTAAAAGTAGTCGAACCCACTGCTCTTTCTTCTTTCTGATTTTTTTCTCAGGGTTTTGTGCTTAAAAAGACAACCCTTCCCTAGAAAAGAAGATACCCTCATATATTTTCTTAGTTTTTCTTAGAATTTGAAATGTCTAGTTGGAATTTATTCTGATAAATGTTGTGAGGAGAGGATCTAATTTTTTTTCATCGGTCATTTACTAAATTATCCTTCTTGTCTCCCTACTAATTTGTGCCGCTGCTTCACCATCTATTAAATTCTCATAAATGCTAGGGTTGGCTCTGGAGTTATTATGCTGTTCCTTTAATCTGTATCTCTACTCAGACACCAATTGCTATTTTAACACTGCGCATGTATAGCATGTTTTACTATCATGCTATTCATTCAACAGTTATTTACCATGCCACAGAATGTGCCAGGTATAGTTCTGGGCACCGAAGGGCACCGAAGATACTGCCAGTGAACCAGGCAAGGCGCTTCTGTCTTGCTTCCCTTTCTGGTGTGGGGTGAATGAAGGTTGAACAAGCAACAACATCTGTTGACTCTGTGTGACAGGCTCGTGAGGCTCTTTTCATGTCACATTACAACAGCCCTATGACATAGACACTGTTATTCCCATTACATAGATGAGGAAAACTGATGCCTAGATGGGCACACAGCAGTAAGGGGTGAAGCCAGATGCAAATGCAGGCAGCTCAGGTCAGAGCCTATGCTCTGAGCCACCACACTATAAATAAAGTGTGTAATTCAGATGAAAATAGAGGAGAAGAAATGACAGGAACAAGTGTTAGGAGATGGGGTGGTCAGGGAAGGCTTCCTGGAGAAGCCATTTGAGCAGAGGCCACAAGAACATCACAAGAACAAGTGAGTCATGAGAAAGGAAAAGGTCTACGCGGAGGCAGCAGCAAATGCGCAGGTGGGAAGAAGCTTGATGTTTTCTAGGAGGAGAGGGAAGGCAGGACAGCTGGAGCTGGGAGAGCAAGAGAGTGAGGGAGGAGGTGTCAAAGGCCAGCCAGGCAGGCCACACAGGTCCCAGGGAAGGGCTCAGGTTTATTCTAATAGCCGCAGGATGACAGAAGCAGCCAGGATTTGATTCATGTTTTAAAAAGACAGCTCTGGAAGGTATGCAGGGAACAAGCTGAAGGAGACATCATTATCCTCTTTCATGAAAAAAAATCCTCTCGCTATTTTCAGCTGTCATTCTTTCAGAGGAATCTTAGAACTATTTTGTTGTGTTCCTAAAAATTCCATGGGGATTTCATTGGACTCATATTAAATACCCTTTGCATTGGTTTAGAAGAACTGTCATCTTTATGAAATGTAGTCTTCTCCACCAAGGAATCTGGTTTATTTTTCCTTTTATTCAAATCACTCAAAAAACCCATCAGTAACAAGTTTGAAATTTTCTTTACAAACACTCAACCTGTATTTCTGGGCCCTTATTATCACTTTCCTGCTCTGTTACAACAATTAACTCTTAAAACTGGGGTCCTGCCTTCCCTCCACTTCCCCTACCCACCCACCACCTCATCTCCAGCTGCCTGTCTGCTTTGGAAACCCTCGCTGCCTGCAGGAAGTCCAAACCTGCCTCAACGTCCTCTCCATCCTCCCCCGAGACCTCCTCCACCCTCTAAGGGAGCTTTTCCTCCCTCTGCACTGGCTGGACTCAGTCATCTCCACAGCCAACCAGCACGAGGTGCCTGATATAGTTTGGATGTTTGCCCCCCAACAAATCTCGTGCTGAAATGTGATCCCTAATGTTGGAGGTGGTGTCTATTGGGATATGTGTCTTATATCCCATATACAGAAATGGGATAGTTTCCATATCTGTATTTGGGTCATGCAGGTGGATCTCTCATGAATGGCTTGGTACTCTTCCCACAGTAATGAGTGAGTTCTTGCTCTGGTAGTTCACGCGAGATCTGCCCAGAAACCACATGCAGTCTCCTGATAATTGGCCCTAAACATGTGCAGCCAAACATGTGCAGCCCACATGACTCCTCTGGCCCGCGGTATTCAGTAGTGGCTCTTAATAGCCTCCCATTAAAACCCAGCTACAGGAAAGGATCAGAAATTCACACTAAGTTGACTGGCAAAAACCAGCATCAGCAGAGGAGGGCACATCACACCCCTGCACACCCACGACAGACATCTCTCATCAATAACGGCACACGTGTATATGCCTAGCTCAGGCTTGGCTCTACAATCCTCCTCACAGGGCACCAGGTGGCCCCTACTACAGAAACAGAGCCGGCAATGAGAAAGGAAACCACCTTGCTAGCCTTGACCTATAGAATAACCTACTTTTTTTGTTTTTGTTTTTGCAGAATTAGACACCTGAATCACTAACTGAGTTAGGTTGCTAAGAGACAGTGAGTATAAAATAATGAGTAAACAGCCTTGAAGTTAAACAGACATGGGATCAAAGCTAGTGAGTTACAGCAAGCACTTATGGTATGCTTACCACATGCCCAGTACCATGGCTGGTTTTAACATACATTGCTTAATGTAATCCCACACAACCCCATTGTTATTACCCCCACTTCATAGATGAGAACACTGAGGCACAGAAATGGTTGCACAACTTGTCGAAGGCCAAACACCTGAGGCCTGAGACCAGTCTAGCTCCAGGTCTGCGCTCTACCTCTCCAGGAGAGGTTCCCAAGCTTTAGCGTGCACGGGGATCACCCAGGAGCTTGTTAAACCACAGACTGCTGGACCCCGTTTGAATCCTCATTTCATAGACCATGGGCAGGGCCTGAGAATCTGCATTCCTAACAAGTTCCCAGGTGACGCAGATGCTGCTGTCTGGGAACCACCCTTGAAGCATCACTGCCTCTAATGAGGATATGCTTAGTTGTGTGGAACTCACAGGAATACACAGGAAAAGTACTTAGTACAGTTCCTGTTACAGCATAGAGGACCCACAAGTATTCTTTCTCTTCCCTCTAAACCAAGTGTGTCTCAGGCATCAGCCAACAGAGGGATAGGGGGCCCATCTGCCTTCCTGTTTCTCAAACTCTACCAGACTCCCTGCCTCCAGCATCAGGCACCACTGCTGACCACTCAATTCCAGTGACACAGCACACCCCCAATGCCCAACCACTGAGTATTAAACCACTCTCCACCACACTGTTCCAATGCATCAGCATGGAGACAACTGTCAAAGCCACTGGGCCTGAATTGCATCCACAGCCAAACACTGTGAGGTACACATGCTTAATTCTGCACTTCTAAATGTTAACATCTAAACTGTGCAAATGCTGCTTACTCTTTGTAAAGGGCTGCTGTGAAGCAAATGAGGGAGGGGGAATACAGGATCCAGTTTATTTTTAGCATGAAGTCCTCCTGGTTTGAAAATTTGTCAGTTGAGCAGGCTGCCTGTGCCTCTGGCCCCAGTAAGCCTGCCTACCCCACCCCCATCCAGTCACACAGGAACCAGCATCCCTGCCACCGCAGCCCAGGGTCTCCACTGAACTCAAGTAACCTGGTCCTGTTGGCCCAGGCCCAGGCAGACAGCTCATTTGGGTCACTAGGATTCACACTTCAAAAGGAGGAACACGCTGATGAGATAAAAATAAAAACTGCTGAGTACAGAGGAGGCACCGTTCCTGGAGGGCCGCAGGCTTCAGACTGGCACTGTCTCTGTTCTGCCCTAGTGGTGGCCAATGGCCTGTGTGAACAAAGGCAAGAGACTGGCTCCCTGTCTAGGTTAAAAAAAAAAAAAAAAAAAAAAACTCCTGCACTGAGATTCCAGACAAGCAGCCAGTTCACCTGGGGTTCAAAATCTCCAGGAAATGGTGACTCTTCTTCTAAGACTCGAGGATTACTAAAGTAGAAACACTTTATAAACAGACTTCAAGCACACATCCTTACTGAACTTTAGCATGATGACACAGCAGAATTGTATTCAAAATATTCTGCAGATTTCAAAACCAAAAATGGTAGCTGCACGCAGGAAAGGACCCTGGAATTGAGGTCACCTGATCGAGCAGGTTCTAGGGCTGGAACCCTTCCCACGCTTATCCCCGTCCTAAAGACCTTGCATAAAGAACCACCTTTTCAAGATGAATTGTTGCTTGAGGACTGACCAGCTCAAACTCCTGGGTTCCAGCCCCATCTCCTGTGAACACGTGGTAGGATTTCAAGTAGGTGGCCTAACCTGTCTGGGGTCTAAAATGGACATACCAGGGTCAGAAGTTCTGCCCCAAATGGACTATGTTCAGAACGTGCAGTGCTCCTTCCACCCTCACTTATCTGCCCAGCACAGAGCTCCTCATTCTGTATTTTTCTAATCAAATATCCCTCCTTTGAAGAACATCCCCTGATATCATGGGCAGATTAAAGGTTTCTCATGTGTTGCCGAGCTGCACTCATATTCCCACTACCATTCGAACCACGCTGACATCATGATTTGTTTTCCTCTTCCACTAGAATCCAAACTCTAGGAATGCAGGAGTTGTATGCAAATTAGGGCCTAGCACCTGGCAGACCCTCAATAAATTTTTGCCAAAAGAATGATATCTGCCTGCCTCCCTCATAGAGTTTTTTTTGTTGTTGTTTTTGTTTTTGTTTTTGAGACAGAGTCTCACTCTGTTGCCCAGGCTGGAGTACAGTGGCACGATCTCAGCTCACTGCAACCTCCACTTCCCAGGTTCAAGCAATTCTTCTGCCTCAGCCTCCCGAATAGCTGGGATTACAGGTGCACGCCACCACACCTGGCTAATGTTTATATTTTTGGTAGAGACGGTGTTTCACCATGTTGGCCTGGCTGGTCTCAAACTGCTGGCCTCAGCTGATTCGACTGCCTCAGCCTCCCAAAGTGCTGGGATTATAGGCATGAGCCACTGTGCTCAGCCTCCTCATAGAGTTTTTAGGTGCACAGGAAAACATACCAAAGTGTCCTGTAACTGGAAGGGCCTGTGAAAATGTAAATAATTCTTATTACCTATAACTTATGAAGGTGTAATGCTTTTGTTTTTAATGGCAGATGAATATTAGGAGGACTCTACATGAGATGCAAGGATTTCATGGGCCCAGACAGCATCCTTGCAGCTTTCCAGCCCCACTCTGTAAGGTGCTGAGTGTATGGCTTCTAGTGCTGGTGTCCAATATGGCAGCCATAAGCCACATGTGGCCACTGGGCACCTGAAATACGGCAGATCTGAGTTGAGATGTTGAAGAGTACACAAAAAGAATGTAAAACATTTCCTTAATAGTTTTCATATTGATTATGTGCATAAGTGTTAATATTTTAGATATACTAGATTAAATAAAAAATATTAAAATGACTGTTGTCTGTTTCTTCTTGCCTTTTTAAAAGAAAATTTAAAATTGCATATGTGGCTCACATTGCACACAGCCCCATGGCTGACAGTCCACTGAGAACTGTTCTCTCTGACCTAGCCCTGGAGCCCAAGGAGATTCGCTCATTTCTTGGGATTATTACGATAAAATCCTATGTCTCGGCTAGTGTTTCTGGTCAGGGATTTAGCCCTGTTATCACTCAATCTTCAATCAAGCCCTTTGAACCAGGAAAGCTTCTGTGGGTGGGGCTGGGGCAGTCTGGCTGGCATGGGGCAGTGGCCTACATGTCATCTGGGGCCTGAATGCACACAGGGCCGGTGTGTGAATGGAAGACACAGCGCCCTCAATTCCGCCTGTCCTGCAGCCTGAGCTCATTGTACTTGGCAGATTCCTGTCCTTATTTAGGTCAGTGCCCCCATTACCCCAGAGTCTGAGAGAGAGTTTCTATGGGGTTTTGTCTGTGCCACTCTCTGCTATCCTTGACTCCACTTTGCAGAAAACTCCACTTTGCTGAGGCAGTCACACTTTAAAAATAGCCAGAGACCTGGTTTATGCTTGCTACTCACTCCCCACCTCGCTGCTCACTTTGGGAATTTCTTACCATTTTCAAAAGTTAAATACATAATTAAAAATCCAATGCCATTTCACGTGGGGAAAAATCACATTCTATGCTTTTAACCTGCTCAGTTTTCCAGATCATCACTTAGCACCACGCTTTTACCCCTCCAGATGCAGCGCTGGGACCCAAAACCTGCAGGCTGCATGGGCAAGAACACATGAAACCTTTGCAAAGCTCCAGAGAGGCCAGAAATACTTTACAGGCCACTCCCTTCTCTCCCACCTAAAATGTGGGCCATATCTTTCTCACTGCAAAATCATCACGTTGCAATGACTTAGGGATGATACAATGTGTAAGGAGATGAATCTTTGAAAAGCCTAGAGCAAAACTGTTTCCTTACATTGTTTGTCTATTAAATGATTCTATTTATACAAATAATACATGACTACACTCTCACTGCAAAGAAAAACCCAATAATACAGAAGCGAGTAAGGGACAAAAAGTCTCACATCACTGCCACCTCCAGAACCTCCTTCCGGCTTTTGTTTCTCATGGAATGTGATGCCTGTTTGTGTTGTCTCTATCCTGGTGACCCCCCTCCCTGTCCATCTCACACCTCCCTGAGGGCCAGGTCTCTGAACACACCAACTCCTTCCCTGCTAAAAGTCAGCGTGGTTGACAGTGGGGGAGTGGGAATGAACTGGATACACAGGCCAGTGGTGAGAACAGAAATGAGCCTGGACCATGTCCCTGGCTTTATGCACAGCTAAGCTTTAGCCCTGTCTTATAAGGATTCCAAGATGGTCTTTTCCACCAGTTCCTAGAAGGCAGTGGCCATAATTTATTCATTTCTACATCTCAGTATCAAGCCCAGGATCTCATACCCAGGAAGTCATTAACAGACATCTGCCACACTATCCTAAGGCTCTTTTTTTAAAAAACAAACAAACAAACAAAAACACTGTCACATAGTAATTTCTAGCCACTTCAGAAACTCCGGGAGGCCTTCCGGAATATAGAGGGGGAAGAGGTGCACCCAGGAAGGTGGCAGCTCCAGGCTCTGCAGCCCAGGTGAGCCCGGTCTGTCTGCTAGGCTTAGGGTACCTGCAGGCTTCACTCTGCTGGGATCCTCCTCATCTGTCCCAGGGGCAACTGCAAAAAACTTGGAGGGCCCCTAAATCACATTGGGGCACCCTAAGGGAAGGTCAGTGTCTCACTTAGGTGGGCAGACAACCCACACCCACACAGCCTAATGAGTTTCCTGTAAAAGGGTTTGGCATAGGGCACGGCTCACAGCAAGTCCTACACAAAAGTCCCTCCTCCTTCTCCTCCTCCTCCTCATCATCATTGCTGCTGTTCTTAGATAAATTATTATGCCTTCATCCAATGCAGCCATTGTAAATGCTACTTAAAAGGGCATTTATGGCTGGGCACAGTGGCTCCCAACTATAATCCCAGTGCTTTGGGACGCTGAGGTGGGAGGATCGCTTGAGGCCAGGAGTTTGAGACCAGCCTGGGCAACATAGTGAGACCCTCTCTCCACAAAATTTTTTTTTAATTGGCTGGGTGTGGTGGTGCATGCCTGTAGTCCCAGTTACTCAGAGGGCTGAGATGGGAGGATAACTTGAGTCCAGGGGGTCAAGGCTGCAGTGAACTGTGATCGCGTCACTGCACTCTAGCCTGGGCCACAGAGTAAGGCTCTGTGTCTAAAAAAAAAAAAAGAAAAAGAAAAAAGAAAGAAAGAAAGGGCATTTGACATAGGAAAAGACTGAAATGTTATTGGGTAAAAAAAAAAAAAAGTGGTTTATAAAATTATACATCAGCGTGATCTCCATTCTGTACAAATAAACATTTATTCATGAGCACCGGAGCTAGAGACTGGAAGTACATTTGCTGAGGCACTAACAGCAGCTATTCTGAGTGGTAGTATTTATGGGTGATTCTTTGTCATTATTTTTGCTTTTCTGAATCCACTAAATTTTAACAGTAAATAAACTGTATTCTCTTTATGACACTTTTTCTAACTAAAAAGTGAGAGAATGGCAACTTTCGGCCCACTGCCTAATTTTCATTATACCAATTGGTTGGTTTCTTTTAGCTCCTGCAGACAAGGGTCTGGGGTCTATTTTTATTGCCGTGTTCCTATCCTGCTGCAGATAATGATCACTCCCACAAGGCAGCCTTTAAAAATGACAATGCAGTCTTTCCATAACAGCTAATTACCTTTGAGCCTTTCAGCTGAGTCTAAGAGAGAACTGGGTTTTAAAAACACCAGCCTCTCCTGCACTGGAATCCTGAGGAAGAAAGGATAAACTAAACCGGGCAGGTGTTAATTTAGAGTTTCTGGTGGTTTTCCGCTTTCCCTTGCTTATCTGTTAGAAAGGGAGGGGGAAAGGAAAGAAAATGAACACAAAACAGGAATGGCGACTGCATGGTGTGGGTGTGACCTGCGGTGCCTTTCTGAGCTACTTCCCTTCTGTGTGCAGCCCACTCCCAGAATGCCCTGAACCCAGGCGAAATCCCACACTTCAAAGTTACTGTGTGCCTCCTGCACACTGGCATGGCCCTGCCACGAGGAGCAGCACTGTCATGAGCACCACTTACCATGCAAAAAGGGGGCATTCTGACCCTGCATCTCCAGGCACAAAATTCTTCCCTCTTTGGGAGCCAGAGACCCAAACCCAGAACCCAACACTTATCCCTGACATGTCAAGAGTGGCCACCAGCACATCCCGCCTCACCTGATTAATCCAGGGCAAGGACACAGATGCTGGAAGGAGCCTGCAGGGCCATGACCTCCGCCCTGCCTGTAAGAAGCCGTTGGTTTGACTGTCCTGCTTCAGATGCCAGGCAGGAGCTGGGATCAGTACAGCACACGGTTCAAAAGCTGGGCTCCAAACTCAAGAGAATTCTGGGTTCAAATCCCAGCTCCACGTATAAGCTACATGACCTTGGGCCACATTAGCCTTTGTAAGGTCCAGTGTTCAGGGCCATAAAATGGGGCTAGTGGCGGTTTCACCTTGCAGGGTCATGGTGAAGATTAAACAACGAGAAACATAAAGCACATGGCTTGGTTCTCACGGACACCGAGTCATTCAAGAAACGTTAGCTTAGATTAAAATACAGCCTATTCAGTACCTGAATCAAGCTGAGAATTATTCAGTCTTGCCACAAGCCTCTTATCATTTAAAAGCAATCTGTACAGTTCATTTCCTGTGGACACCCTCGCAGAGCCTGGATGCCAGCTCCAACACCCTCAGAACCAGGCTACAGTCCTGGTTGTGAGTTGCTCTGGCAGCAAAAGTTTACCGTGTGGAGGCCCCAGGCATGCTTCACCCCGGCTAGCGAACAGGATGAGAAACCCAAGTCCCTGCAGAAAATAAGCAGCACCCCCAGGCAAGATCCTGGCCAGGAAACCCCATACAGAGGTCCTGGCTGAAATTCTAGGCTGTCAGCAGGATCTCAGGCCCCTGAAATGTCTGGGGAGAGAACTCCACACAAGGGCCTGACAGGGAATGATGCATGTCCTGCAGATTTTTCTAACCCATCTTCACATTTCTCAGTTCTCACACTGACTCCTATTCAGCCTCCACTGTGGAGGCACACGATGAGAAGGCAAGCTGTTCTTTCACCTGGGAATCAACCTCTATGACAAGTCCTCGAGTGGAGAAAGTCTCAAGCTTGAATCATGAACCACCCAGGAATCTTGCACACGTGCAGTCTTGAGTCTGTGGGTGGGGCCCGAGATTCTGCATTTCCAACAAGCTCTCAGATGATGCTGATGCTGCTGGTCCAGGGACCACACTGCGAACTGCAGGCAGGTCAGGTAGAACCCTTTGAATGATAATTCTATGGGAAGCCAGAACTCACAAAAAGACAGCTGAGGCAGGATGCAGGGCTCAATTTTACCTCAGGCTCCATCCAGCAAGAAACAGAGAAAGTTTCTCATCTCAGATTTCTAGACCTTGGGAGTAAATGCACCTGCAGGCTTTGTTTGAAAACACCATCCAAGAGGGTGCATGGTGAGGGTTGGCAGAGATAAGGGACAGGTCAGGGGAAAGGCTGGAAAGAAGGAAAGAAGAGGAGTTGATGGTTTACAGCTGGGGAGGCAAGGCAGTAGGAAGGGAGTATCACCTACTGTGAACCAAACACAGCACCTCATTTATCCTTGCAGTAACACCAGGAGGCGGGCAGTTCATCCCCGGTTGCAGATCAGGAAACAGAAGCTCAGCCAGGTAATGGGACCTGCCCCGAGTCACTCAGCTGATAGTCATCAGAAACAAGTTTCGAACCTAGTCCAGACCTTTCCTGCTCCCACACCTGAGTGCTTTTCTCCATGCCCTGGTGCAGAGAAGTTGCTGGGAATCTTCACCCAGCTTCTCCCAAAGTTAACCTCCTACAAAACATAGTACATTATCAAAATCAGGAACCTAATGGTGATGCAATACTATGAACTACTCTATAACTTATATTCACATTTTGCCATTTGTCCACAAATGTTCTTTTTTGGGTCCAGGGTCCCAACAGCGTATTTAGTTGCCATCTCTCCTTGTCTCCTCCAATCTGGGGCTGTTTCTCAGTCTGTCTTCCATAACTTCAGAATATTTTAAGAGTACTGGTCAGTTATTTGTAGACTGCCTCTCAGATTTGGCGTGTTGGTTGTTTCTTTGTGATTAAATTCTGATTATGCATTTTTGGCAAAAATACCACAGACATAAGATTTTACTCTTCTTGGGCATCCTATCAAGAGATACAGGATGACAGGTATGTCCCATTACAGGTGATGTTAACTCAGGTCATCTGGTTTAGGTGGTATCTATTAGATATCTCCAATGGAAAGTTGCTGTTTGCCCCTTTGTGATGAATAAGCATCTTGCAGAAAGAAACTTTGAGATTATCCAAGCAAGTGGTTCTGGTGCATGCTCATGTTTGAGAGCTACTGCTGGGCTCGTGGAGCAATGAGCAGGGACAGGAGATGAGATACTTGGTGACGGGTTTTTTAACGTGGAGCCGGCAACCACAACCTCTAGCAAGAATCCAGTCTGAGAAATGTAATCTCAGTGATGACCAGAATAAAAAAGCAGAAACCAAACAAACCCTCCATGTTAACCTCCCAAAAGGAATGTTCTGAAGGACAAATCTAACATCCCACAATGTCCTTGAGAGAAAACTGGAATGTGAAGCTAATGATTCCCTGAAAGTAAGTTCTTCTTTTTAGAATTGGCCTCTTAGCTTAAGCAAAATTATGCATGCTTAAAGCAATGTGATGCAGGAGAAAATACCCATAAATCTTAGAAAAGAACAGGAAGAATTCAAGATTTATAGGGTAATAAATAACAGCTATCCTTAAAGTCATGTAATCAACTTAAATGTCCATCAATGGCAGATTGAATAAAGAAAAATGTGGTACATATACACCACGGAATACTATGCAGCCATAAGAAAATAAGATCATGTCCTTGGCAGAAACACAGACGGAACTGGCGGCCATCATCCTTAGTAAACTAACACAGGAACAGAAAACCAAATACCACATGTTCTCACTTATAAGTGGAAGATAAATGATGAGAACACAGACACAAAGAGGGGAACAACACACACTAGGGGTTTACTTGAGGATGGAGAGTGGGAGGAGGGAGAAGATCAGAAAAAAAAAAAACTATTGGGTACTACCAGGCTTAGTACCTGGGTGACGAAATAATCTGTACAACAAACCCCCATGACATGAGTTTACCTATATAACAAACCTGCACATGTACCCCTGAACCTAAAATAAAAGTTAAAAAAATAGCTATTCTTTATAAATGCCTACATAGGGCCAGGTGTCCCACGGAGCGTGCATTAGGGTTGGTCTTCGGGACAATCCCATTCAACAGGTTGGAGGGGGAGCTCACGACAGTCCATAGGTGCTTTTCCCAACCTGCACCCACAGGCCTTCTGTTCTGGTACTCACGGTGCACGACCCCCAGGGAAGCACTCCCCACCTCCCTCACTGTTGGGAACCACCATAGCTTTTGAAGGTAGTCTGCCCAGTGTCTCAGCAAGGGGTAAAGCAAGAGGTCTTACCCCCATTTTAGGGTCGAAGCAGCTGAGACTCAGAGAGGATGCTGTCACTCAGTCAGAAGAGGGAAAAGGGTTCCTGAAGTCAGGCAGTCTGTGCTCCCCACCCACTGTTGACCTCAAGGCTCTGCAGAGCTGGCCCAGGCTGCCCAGGGAGCCCAAGAAAAAAGTCCTGGGAGTTTCAGATGTCATGACTGCTAACCCAGGACATGAGGCCTCATTCCCAAAAAATGCCATGCTCCTGCCACCCACACCTGCCCTCTCTCAGCAAGTCCTCATCCTCCCCACTTCTCAGGCCATGCCAATAATCAGGCAAGTTAAAATTCTAAAGGGGGGGCAGGTAATGAGCTTTCCATAATGAAAATTTAAAATCTCTCTTCCCAAAAAATTCTTATCACCAAGACAGTCCCTACCCTGGAAAACTGTGTCAACTCAGTTTCCTGATACCCAAAGGAGAAACTGCTTGTGAGGGCCACCTTGATAAATAGATGGGTCTGAGTCACTCTGTGCTGGGTATTCTGCGGTGGCAAGACACCACAATTTCTGAGAACTTCCTTTGGATTTCCCGGAAAGCAAAAGAGCTCCCAGATTCCAGTGGAAGAATGTGTGCATGCAAAATGTGTGCCTCCTGCTTGGACTGGCTGGGTAAGTGTGAAATTGAGGGCCTGTGGGCAATGTTTAGGGTGCTCTGCCTTAGAGAAGGAGAAGAAGAGGCTCTTTCTGGTTCTCCTCGGTGGTCCACCCCTCCCTGTAGAGGGCTGTCTGCATATCTAGAAGAGCACCTCCTCCCACCAGCTGCACTGCTCAGGCCACAGCACAGCAGTCAATCGGGCCCCCCAAGACAGGTGGTAGCAGGAGAAGGCGGGCTTCACCAGAGTGACCGTGGCTGGCACACCCACAGAGATGGCTCTTGCTGAGGCCTCCTGGGAAGGAGACAAGGCCAAAGCAGTGATCAATCAGAAATTGTGTATTGACAGATGGGGTTCATTTCATCCCTACATACCAAGGAATATAGAATGTCTAATCATTTAAAACTTTCGATTTTCAGGGAAGAAGGACTTGACATTCCAGCACTGAAGTGCTTTGAGTCATGCGTGATGCCCCAAAGAGCGCCCTGCTCACCTAACACATCTTGTGAGCTTATTTATTTATTAATTGACAAATAAAAATTCTACAGTCACGTACCACATAATGACATCTCTGTCAATAATGGGCCATATATACAATGGTGGTCCTATGAGATTATAATGGAGCTAAAAGATTTCTTTTTTTTTTTTTTTTTTTGGTTTATTAAAGTTTTATTAACCAGTTTTGATTTAGTTTTTCAGGAAAATATCTTTCTTTTTTTTTTTTTTTTCTTTTCTTTTTTTTTTTTCTTAAGACCAGGTTGGGCCTACAGGAAATACAATAGGCTGATCACATAACTTAGTAAAACGTCCTGGCTTTGTCAAGTCCTAGATTTTTAACTATTTCAATCTCCCACACTGTTGCCCATTTTTCTCAAAACACACAAACTTTTCTTCAAAATTCTCATTATCAGATGTTTATGAAGACATAAATCTGATCAATTTTTCACTTTTCTCTTTCACTTTACTCTTACATCTGAAAGATATAATGCAAGAAAAATAATTTCTGCATTTTCACTTGACCTATAGTATCAAGGACAAATGGAAAAAGGTAGTATTGGAACAAACTGGTGACTACCTGTCCTGTTCAAAGTGTGTAGCAACTACTCAGCTCCATGGAAGAATGCTATTCTAGTATTGTTGAATTTTCCATATTTTTTTTTATTTTTTTATTTTTTTTTTTATTGATCATTCTTGGGTGTTTCTCGCAGAGGGGGATTTGGCAGGGTCATAAGACAATAGTGGAGGGAAGGTCAGCAGACAAACAAGTGAACAAAGGTCTCTGGTTTTCCTAGGCAGAGTGTTTGTGTCCCTGGGTACTTGAGATTAGGGAGTGGTGATGACTCTTAACGAGCATGCTGCCTTCAAGCATCTGTTTAACAAAGCACATCTTGCACCGCCCTTAATCCATTTAACCCTGAGTGGACACAGCACATGTTTCAGAGAGCACAGGGTTGGGGGTAAAGTCATAGATCAATAGGATCCCAAGGCAGAAGAATTTTTCTTAGTACAGAACAAAATGAAAAGTCTCCCATGTCTACCTCTTTCTACACAGACACGGCAACCATCCAATTTCTCAATCTTTTCCCCACCTTGCCCCCTTTTCTATTCCACAAAACTGCTATCGTCATCATGGCCCGTTCTCAATGAGCTGTTGGGTACACCTCCCAGACGGGGTGGTGGCCGGGCAGAGGGGCTCCTCACTTCCCAGTAGGGGCGGCCGGGCAGAGGCGCCCCTCACCTCCTGGACTGGGCGGCTGGCCGGGCGGGGGGCTGACCCCCCCACCTCCCTCCCGGACGGGGCGGCTGCCCGGGCGGGGGCCTGACCCCCCCACCTCCCTCCCGGACGGGGTGGCTGCCGGGCGGAGACGCTCCTCACTTCCCAGACGGGGTGGCAGCCGGGCGGAGGGGCTCCTCACTTCTCAGACGGGGCGGTTGCCAGGCGGAGGGTCTCCTCACTTCTCAGATGGGGCGGCCGGGCAGAGACGCTCCTCACCTCCCAGACGGGGTCGTGGCCGGGCCGAGGCGCTCCTCACATCCCAGACGGGGCGGCGGGGCAGAGGCGCTCCCCACATCTCAGACGATGGGGGGCCGGGCAGAGACGCTCCTCACTTCCTAGATGGGATGGCGGCCCGGAAGAGGCGCTCCTCACTTTCCAGACTGGGCAGCCAGGCAGAGGGGCTCCTCACATCCCAGACGATGGGCGGCCAGGCAGAGACGCTCCTCACTTCCCAGACGGGGTGGCGGCCGGGCAGAGGCTGCAATCTTCGCACTTTGGGGGGCCAAGGCAGGCGGCTGGGAGGTGGAGGCCGTAGCGAGCCGAGATCACGCCACTGCACTCCAGCCTGGGCACCATTGAGCACTGAGTTAACGAGACTCTGTCTGCAATCCCGGCACTTCGGGAGGCCGAGGCTGGCAGATCACTCGCGGCTAGGAGCTGGAGACCAGTCCGGCCAACACAGTGAAACCCCGTCCCCACCAAAGAAACAGGAAAACCAGTCAGGCGTGGCGGCGCGCGCCTGCAATCGCAGGCACTGGGCAGGCTGACGCAGGAGAATCAGGCAGGGAGGCTGCAGCGAGCCAAGATGGCAGCAGTACAGTCCAGCTTTGGCCCGGCATGAGAGGGAGACCATGGAAAGGAGAGGGAGAGGGAGATGGGAGAGGGAGAGGGAGAGGGAGATGGGAGAGGGAGACGGGAGACGAGCTGAAAGATTTCTATTGCCTAGTGATGTTGTCGTCATCCTAACATCACAGCAGTTACTTTAAAAAAAAAAATTTAGTGTAGCCTATGTGCACAGTGTTTATAAAATCTACAGGAGTGTACAGTAATGCTCTAGGCCTTCACATTCACTCGCCACTCACTCACTGACTCACCCAGAGCAACTCCAATCCTGCAAGCTCCATTCATGGTGCTATATATAGGTGTACCATTTTTATCTTTTATACAATATTTTTACTGTACCTTTTCTATGTTTAGCTAGATAGGTAAATCCTTACCATAGTGTTACAGTTATAATATTCAGTACAGTAACATGCTGTGCAGGTTTGCAGCTTAGGAGCAATAGGCCATACCATATATAGTCTAGGTGTGTAGTGGACTCTACAATCTGGGTTTGTGTAAATACACTCTAGGATGTTTGCACAATGAAGAAATCGCCTAAGGACACATTTTTCAGGACGTATCCCAGTTGTTAAGGCATGACTACATATATTTATGGTATACAACATAATGTTTTGAAATATCTATACATTGTGTTATGGTGAAATCAAATGAATTAATATGCACATCTCACATCCTTACCATTTTTTTTGTGATAAGAACACTTATAATCTACTCTCAGTAATTTTCAATTATAGAATACATTGTTATTCTCTACAGCCACCATGAAGTACAAGAGATCTCCTGAACTTATCCCTCCTATCTAACTGAAATTTTGTATCCTTTGACTGACATCTCCCCAATCCACTCCACCCTAGCCCCCACCCCAACTCTTTTAACCACCATTCTACTCTCTGCTTCTATAAGTTTAATTTTTTTAGATTCCACATATAAGCGAGATCAGTTCTTAAATAAAATTGCAAAATTGCTAGAAACTCAGTTTATAAAGGTGTCGGGCCTTCTCTGATGGCTTTCTCTACTTCTTTTATGAAGGGAAACTTTTATAGAGGAACCCACCTCTATACCATGGAGAGAGGCAGGCAGTGAGGCATTGCCACCACATCATTCCATCAGGGAGCCAGCCATCCATCCACTGGGCTGCTCTGCCCCCAGCACACTGGGTCAGGGAGGCAGGAGTCGCCTCATGTCTCCCATGAGTAAATCCCGCATGCTCCCCCTTCCCCACTTCAGGTCTCAGCATGTGTCTGGTCTCAATGAGCATCCCTCCAAGAAGCCTGTTCCCCTCCCACGTTACTAAGAGTTAACTGCTGGGGAACTCAGAAGGGCGCCCTGCCTCTCCTGTTGTCTGGGACCTTACCAGGTCCCTGCAGAGTGAGCACCCATGACACCTGATCACTACCAGAATACATGAATGAACAAAAGAGGATGTGGATCCAAGAGGGATGGGCTGGAAATTGGAGCTCTGTCTGGGGCATTAGGAAGGATTTCGCAGTTGCAAAGAGAAAGATTTTGGTAGCTTCCAGGTTTGTGAGTATTTGTGTCTAGTAGTTGGTAGATTAGGTGAGGACACATTCAATCACCATTGGAATCAACTAATTATTCCTGGCACACTCAGGGACATATGGATTTCTGATAAAGAAACTGATCCCTCCAAACTAAAGGTTAGGCAAATGAAGATGTGGAGGCCCAATGAAGAACCACCTGCTGCCTCTCCAACCACCTCCCATGGCAGAGCTCCATGATCAATTCCTTCGCTCTTCCGGGTCCAGCCCAGGCCTGGCCTGGGACTCCTCCTAGGTTGTAGAGTCACATCCATGGAAAGCCATATGGGGGGCTTTTTCCCATGAGTGTAAGATCTGAGATGAATGTTCACAAGTTCTAGGGGGATTTGATTCAGAAGACTTAGGTTCTGATACAAGGGAAATGCAGAGGTAACAAGCCTGGGAAGGAAGGGGGCAGGAGGAGGAACCAGGATGGGGAAGTCTTCTGTGCTGCCCCCACCTTAAAAGGAAACACACTCATCTTGGAGAGGGTCACAAGGAAGAGATGGAGTAGGATGCCAGAATTACTTTGGGGTAAAAATCACTAACTCAAATATCCTGCCTCAGGTTGAAACTGGAATTCAATCATTCACTCATTCATCCATTCATTCAAGGATTTCTTCCTCCAACATGTACTTATGGTGCCTGGACCTGGATCTGAAGCTAAAGCTGTTCCCACGGAAGCCCTCAGGGCCTGGGGGATGTGCCAAATGAGAGGACATTCACTGCAAGCAGCATACTACCAAATTCAGTACTGCAGACACCCACATCCTCTTCACCACATGGAACTGGAATTCTGCAGGTCCCTCTCAGATGGACTAGGTCTTCTTTTGGCCTCACAATAGAAGTAGCCATAGTTCTTCTGTGATGAAAAGAACGCAAAATATGGAGTTCAAAGACCACACAAAATAAACCCAGAACCGGCAAGTCCTGGGACTGGTGGGGACCTGCAGGGCTCTGAGGATGCAAATGGGGATAAGAGGCTCCTGAACTCTCAAGATGCTCACATTATGTCCACAGCCTAATTTTACTGTCATCTCTCCCACAGAATGGTGTCAGGGTCCCCCAGGCCCTCCCAGAGGGAGGTGGCAGCCATAAAGAGAGGGCACCAGGATGGGTGTGGCCGCTCTGCCGCTGGCCACCTGCTGACCACGGGACCTGACGGCCTGGGTTTCTGAATTCCTCTTGGAAACATAGCCCTAGGAACATTTTCTTGATCAAGACTGCCCCTCACTGAAGGCCAAACAATACTCGCAGTGTCCACAGGCAGGGCCATCTGAAGGCCGTGGTCCCTGGAGCTTTTCTAGACACAGGACTCTCCTAGGACAGGGGACCCAGCACCTCTGGGCAGCACTCCATCAAAACACAGAAGATACACCCAGAGCCCAGCCCTGGGTGCTTCCCATGGCCTCCCTCTGCCTCTGCCTTCAGGGGACCGCACTCCCCGGGGGACCTCCCAAGGCTGGCATGAAGTGGCTGTTCTCTCCTCATCTAGCTGCATCTCTCCTTTGTCCTCCTGTGTGGCATTCCCTCTGCTCTCTGGCCATACCTCATCCCGCCTTCATTCCTCCCCTCTCCAGGCTCCAGGCTTCTGCACACTCTCCCTCTCGGGAACTCTGCTCTCTGGGCCTCTTCTCCATCTAACTTCTGCTGGTTGGCACTTCCACCTTGGCATTCCTCATCAGTTCTTCTGGGACCCTTCCCTGCCATCCCACTCACCCCAAGATGTGGTGAGCATGCCTGCTGCCAATGTCCACGGAATCCTGTGCCCCCATCATGACGCACTGCTCTGTGCCCGGCTTGCCTCCCCCACTGGGCTGGGGGTTCTTCAGTGCAGACTAGCACCCAGCAGCTTCCAGCTGAGACCATCAGAAGACAGCAGTGAAGAGTCCAGCCCTGAGCTGCCCCTCGCTGCGCATCCCCACTCCAGTGACCAAGCCCCACCCAGGAAACCGACAGAGAAGGGATGCCCTGCACAGCCTTCCACCTGGTCCGGAGATCTGGCCACCACTCATCCTCATGGAGAACATGCAGCCCAACCAGGCTACTGGAGCCAAGGACAGAAGACAGAATGCTTCCCACTCGGATGCTCTGTGTTTCTTGATCCAGAAGGTCTCTAACCGCATTCACGAAAACAACATTTAGTTCTAGTCATGGTCCAAGGAGTACCATTTTTGTTACTTCTTAGATGTTAATCTCATTTTTAAAAAAAATGTAAGGGGAGCTGGGTTATATAATAGGCTATTTCATAACCCAGGTGTGTTGAGTAAGACACAGGCCTTCGCCGGGTAAATTTCTGCGACTTGAGTTACAGGTTGGCTCACTTTGTAACAATACTGCACACTTCTCTGACTGCTGTACTTTTCAATATGTATGTAATTGTTAATTTTTTTTTTTTAAAGAAAGAGAAAGAAGAAATACATGCACACAAAAATAGACAGTGTCACTGTCCTGGAAATTGGACACAAAGAAAGGTGTCTTCCCCAGAGAAGCAGGCAGACAGAACTCCCTGCCCCATCTGGGCATGCTAGTGTTCCCTCTGCTGTTGCTCAGAAACGCATCTGGTGGAGTTTTTCTCCTCAATTCACGTGATACAAGGAGTTTGCTGCATCTGTTCTTCTGCTTTCTTCCCTTTTAAAAATAATTTGTGGTTTGTGTGTTTTTACACAATACAGATTAGCTGGCTGTGGATGCGTCACTGCTCACACGCCATCACTTACGGTGTTTAAAAATAAAAATTGCATCTGCAATGCAAAGCTCATGTGCTCCTCTTTTAGAAAAGGGTGAAGGGCTTGGGTGCCCAGTGCCTTCTTTTAAATTCGACTCAGGCCTCTGTGTGCCTGTGCAGAGCACACAGATGAGACATTTTAACCTATGGGGTTTCGACAACGCGGAAAGAGTCTCGTAAAGACTCTTGTAAAGGCTTAGACTCTTCTAAAGAAGAGCCCCTAATCTTTACCTCCTGAAACTGCCCCTTCAAACTTAAGGGCATGTAGCAGGGGTCTCACAACAGTTTAGGATCCCAGACTCCCACACCAGAAAAGACTGCAGTTCCTGGTCCATGATAGCTCCCTGAGACTAACAGAAATGAGCAATTTCCTAAAATGAAACATGTCCGATCAGACAGCAAGTGCTGCCCGCTGGAATGGTCAGGGCATAAGTCTGCGTTTGTTTTTAGTCCAAAGTGCTGAAGATTTGCACCTCCTGGGATGGCTCAAACTATAACACACCAGGCAGCTGAACACGTCACTGAATCATTCCCAGTCTGAGCCTTCTTCTCTCTTCTTCTGTGTGGGGTGAAATCTCACTGCGGAAAACCAGTTCTAGTTAGCTCCAGCCAGTCCCACCTTTGGTTTCAGCTGTCACAGGGGCCAGATGCGGCAGCCAGGATGATAGCTGCTTCCAAGCTGCCAGGATGACAGCAGCATCACTGGTGGTTCCAGAGTCTACCACAGCATCTCTGCCCCTCTCCTGCACTCTCTTGTTCTATCTGAGCCTCGTCCTCTCCCCTCCCTCTTCCCACCTCTCCAGTGTGCATACACTCTCCTCCATGCTTATCTGTCCAGCTGCTCTGCAAAGGCTTCAGCCTAATTTTCAGTTCTCAACAGAAGCCACTCTGACCTAGGAATGACCAGGCTAACCTATCTACTTGTCCTATTTACTCCCTCTTGTCATTTTAAGCACATGCTCAATTTCAGGACCAGGACCCAAGTCATCCAAGATAACAATGCTTGGCACAAACCAGGACTTCTCAGGAGAATGCTTCCCTGACAGAAATGGGGCACACTTCATGACCTGATACCAGTGTGGTCACTTCTAAGCACCATTTGATTTTATGCCACCTGGCCCAAATGAGCAAATAAAAGTTCCTAAGAGTGGACATAGAAATCATTGTAAGTCTAGAGACCTCTTAAGCCTTTTCTGGGGAAGAGGTCAGTGACCGATAGTGACTTAAGGGAAGGTGGCCTGCAAGAGACCAAAATGAGGAAGGCCGGGCATTCCGGGGGTGCTGGCTGCAAGTCATGCCTGAGCCTGTCCTGAGACACATCCCAGGAAGGATAACGACCCTTACCCCAGGGTGGGCTTCTCCTTTCTAACAGTAACCTGGGATAACCAAGCTACATGCTTTATCCCCAACCTCCCCCACTTTGAAAGAGTCATTTGTTTTATAGCTGTACCTGGATTAGTATTATTTTTGTGTGCCAGGCTTCCACTAGGTATCAGAGACTCAGAGGCCTAAAATAAACCCATTGGAACAAAGGAAGCTGCCAGATGTTTCCCCCTCTGCAAGTCTGCCAAGGTGGCCCCAAGTGCTGGTTATCACTCCCACAGATTCACCTGCATGGTGGCCCATGTCTAAAAATGGACTTGCAGCTTTGAAAAGTCAGGCAAGGACTGTTTCTTGGTCAGGATTATGTTGATTTTTGTCTGATTATGTCACAGGAATGAGAGTGGGGGATAAGACGCAGGAGTCAAATCAAGAGTCAGCCCAAACTGGAATCCATAGTTAGTATCTCACCATGTGTTATATTTGTTTGTTTGAGACAGGGTCTCGCTCTGTTGCCCAGGCTGGAGTGCAGTGGTGCAATCATAGCTCACTGTAGCCTCTGACTCCTGCATTCAAGTGATTCTCCTGTCTCAGCCTCCCAAGTAGCTGGGAATACAGGCATGAACCACCATGCCCAGCTAACTTTAAAATTTGTTGTTGAGACAGGATCTTACTATGTTGCTCAGGCAGGTCTCAAATTCCTGGGCTCAAGTGATCCTCTCATCTTGGCTTCCCAAAGTGTTGGGATTATAGGTGTGAGCCACCACACCCAGCCTTCACTATGTGTTTTGTACATGCCAAGCACCATGCAAAAGGAAACTTCCACGCTTTTCCACATGCCATCAAAATCATGTAATTGTTGTTATTATTATTTTAAGATACAGGCTCTCACTACATTGCCCAGGCTGTCCTCAAACTCCTGGGCTCAAGCGATCCTCCTGCCTCAGCCTCCTAAGTAGCTGAGACTATAGGCACATGCCACTCTGCCTGGTCATGTTATGTATTTTTATTTTATAGATGAGGAAACTGAGGCAAGGCAATGCAAGGCAAAATAATTTGCTTAAAATGTCAGATCCAGTGTCAGACAAAGGAACTGAACCAAATCCATTTGCAGGCCTCTCCTCTTTACCACGGTGTTAAATACCCTCAGCAAGAAAATGGGGGTAGCTCATTTATTGGAAGCTTTCCTTCTCAGGCATCTCTGGGCAGGGACAGGGCCATGTACTTTCTTCTATCCCCATAGCACCTACACCAAGTGGAGCTCTGTACCCAAGGCAGGTGCCCAACAAAAACCCCTTACTGATCAGATTTCAAGATTCTGGTATTCAACAAAATTCTACCTAGAAAAGATAATATGGTCAAAGAACTTCACAAAAGATTTAGGAAAACTAGTATCTATGGATAACATAAAGAAGCTTAACATGTTATACCACAATTTTTGCTCATTTAATAATAATGTTAGTTTTAACATTTCAAGACCAAGTAAAATTATTCACTGATTTGTTTTTCTTAGCATTTGGAATATTTTTAAAATCCCCATTTTTCAACCAGACAAATGTTCTGTCCTTCAGAATTCAGATCAACACTCCTCTCGAAACTTCTGCAAATTGGATTAACCAGTCAGCAAATAGTTTTTGGGGACCACCCTGTGTCAGGCGCTGGATAGTACCCTCCCAGCCCTTGTGTGGGCTCTGCTTGTGTTTTGTGTCCCGTGGGGGCCAGTACAATGAGCAGGGTCTGACACCTACAGACACCAACTGTGGGAGCCCTGACAAAGGGCAGGAATGTCTCAATGGTGCTGGTTACAGCATCAGACTATTCAAAATTTCCACTGTGTCTGTCAAATTGAACCCACGAATGACTCAACTGGTTATCCAGTAAACAGGTATTTTTTAAATGTAGAAATCAATATTCACTAATAACTTATAATAAAGCATTCCCAAATATGAAATTATATCAACCCACAGCAATACTTAAACACTTCCATAATGAAACACCAGAAGTAAGCCATGGGCCTCATAAGCATTCATTTACTCATTTTCTGAGCATATTTAAAAATAAATATCTGTAATTAGCCATTCACATAGTTCAGAGCTCAATTTTTTTTTAATGCAAACCACCCATTTCAGCAGATGACTAGGAATCAGAACAAGAGAAAAAGGATGAAGAATTAATTTTCACCATCTATTTACTTGATGAAGCAAAGGCCCTGATTAAATTTTATTGTTATGGAATTTGATTGTTGATTCATAACCTTTGGGATCACAGGACACCCCCACCCTGCGCCCGCTTCCAACACACAGTAATCCCTGCAGGACCCACCCAGCCTGTGTATCTCCGTTGGTCACAGCGCCGCTGGCTCCAGCCAGCTGCCTCCTGACAGAATGTTTCACACATGCATCAAAGGTCATGACCACAGCACCCAGACTGACCCCAGCACAGAGCCAGAAGGTGCCAGACACACACAATGACCCATGACAATACATCATTATATCTTACTGATGTCAGTGAGAAGAGGAGGTGCCTCTTTCTACCCATTTCTGGCTTCATCATCAAATACAATCATTATTGCTATACTGATTACTAAAAAGGATACATCTTCAAAAATGCTGTAGTACAACTAATAAGGCTTATGGAAAGAGAGAGAGAGAAAGAGAGAGTAAGATAGAGAAAGAGACTCATAGACCAACCATTGAATATTGGTGTAAATTTGTACCCAGAGAATTAATAAGAGAGTAACAACTACAATTTTTAAAAAATACCAGCACAGGCCAGGCACAGTGGCTCACACCTGTAATCCCAGCACTTTGGGAGGCCGAGGCAGGCGGATCACGAGGACAAGTGTTCAAGACCAGCCTGACCAACATGGTGAAACCCTGTCTCTACTAAAAATAGAAAAATTAGCCGGGCGTGGTGGCACGTGCCTGTAATCCTCAGCTACTCAGGAGGCTGAGGCAGGAGAATCGCTTGAACTCAGGAGGCAGAGGTTGCAGTGAGCTGAGATCATGCCACTGCACTCCAGCCTGGGTGACAGAGCGAGAATCTGTCTCAAAAAAATAAATAATAAAAAAATACCAGCACAATTAAAAACTGGTTAAATTACTAATAAGTAAAGAAACGGGACTTGCAGGGGACTCAGACAGATTGTCTGCACACCCATGTTCACAGCAGCATTATTCACAATAACCAAAAAGTGGAAGCAACTTAAGTATCCAACAGCACTTAATCAATAAAGAAAATGGGGTATACATACAATGAAATATTATCAGGCCTTAAAAAGGAAGGAAATCCTGACACATGCTACAACATGGGTAAACTCAGACAACATTATGCGAAGTGAGATAAGCCACACTCAAAAAGACAAATACCATAAAAACCCGGTGGTAGGAGACATGTAGAGTGGTCAAATTCATAGAGACAGAAAGTAGGATGGTGGTTGCCAGGGGCTGGAAGATGGGGAATGGGAAGTTAGTGTTTAATGGGGGCACAGTTTCAGTTTGAAAAGATGAAAAGAGTTCTGGAGACGGATGGTGGTGATGAGAACAATGTGAATGTACTTTATGCCACTGTATACTGAAAAATGATTAAAATGGAAAATTTTATGTGAGGTATATTTTACCACCATTTAAAAATATTTTAAATAAAAAAAGGAAAGTGATGTCGCTTAATATTTTTAAAAGGTAATACAAGCTTAATTGAAAAGGAGGTAAAGAGGAGTTGAGGCAGCTGAGTTGTAACAAGGGCAAAATGCACAGAGCTCAGAGACAGCCAGGCAAAATCACTTCTGGAACAGAGCCACGGCCAATGCAAACCAAGAAGGACAAGGTGAATGGGTCCTGTGTTCCTCCACAGCTTACAGAATTCTGCTGGCTTTGTGCACCACTGCAAAATATAAACATGCTGGGGAAACACTGGTTTCCACATTATTCTGACATAATTCCCATATTTACAATCGTAACAGTAGATGAGCTAACCTGTGTTACAGAAACACATGTTGTGGCAAAAATGGTTTGTTATTTAACATTTCCAATAATAGTTTGTAAGACTGCTGAAAGAATGCTTAGCTTACTAAATTTTAATCAGTCCCAATTTTGCATATACCCTAGTGGCAGCAACGACCCTGTGTACTCCTCCACCCACGTGAGTACACATTCATGCAGCCTTAGCTACATATTTATTTTGAATTACTTTTCATTGCTTCCCTTGAATTATTCTATTTCTACTTAGATCAGTGTAGAAACTTTTGATTTAGTCATGAAGGAAAAAATAAACAACTATTGGGTCCTTCCAGTGGGCTGCTGCTGTATTTTCACAAGATGACTATATAGGAGAATGTGGCGATGCATTTTTGCTGTCCTTGAATGAGCCTGACAGAATCCTCTAAGACTTCCATGGAAGGTGTGAAGTTGGGGCCAGAGAAATGAACCCTGCTTTTCCCTCTGGGAATCACACTTAGAACTTCAGGTTGACCCCACTTATGAAAGACTTCCAGGGGTCAGAAGAGCGGCCCTGACTCAAAGCCCTTTCCCCACTGGCCATTCCCATCGTTTATTGTAAACCCTGGGGAAGTGACTGCAGAGGTAGATTTTGAGGAAGAGAACCGAGAAAGGCAGAAGGAAGGGAGAGGCAGGAGAAAGCATTGTGCCACTACCCAGCAGAGAGTGGGCCCAGAGAGGTGTGCTGGGAGGGCCAGAGTGCCAACAAAGTCTAGTCTGCCCATTTGGCTTCTGGATCCGGGGGAATGCAAAGCTCATATTTTGCTAGTTTTCTACAAATGCCACGAAGAAGCCAAACCTGCAAAAGAAATATACCACGTGAAAGAAATATAAGTTCCAGAAAGGAAAAAGTGAGGGTAAATGCACTTCAAATATGTCGACATAGTAGATGAATCACAGCCAGTTATACTTGTTCCAGTGTTAAATGGGCCCTTTCAACAGTTGGCAAAGAGATATTCTGATTTATGCTGTACACTTTTATGACAAGGTAAGGGCCTTCTATTGAGCATAAAAGAAACTTTATATAGAACACACAATGTCTGCAAAGCTTACCGACACGCCAAATGAACACACTGTCACCAACACAAAGGGCACAAAACGAAACCTTAAGCCTGCTTAGGAAGCATGAGAAGATGTAGAGGCATGATTTTCCTCACCTTATAGGAGGCATCTCTAACTTAGGATGCATGATTTGGAAAGGGCAGCATCTTCCTAGAGTAGCAACATGATGGGCATTAGGGCCAGGACCTGGAATCCACATGCTCAGCAATCACTGGTACACGTCTGCCACATGGATGCCTCATACCAGTGTGATCAATAAAGTAAAAATTCAGAAGCTGGCCACTCTATTTCTAATATATTCCCAAGAGAAATTTTTGCCCCCATACACCAACAGACAGATACAAGAATGTTAAAAGCAGCACTGCTTGTAATAACAAAAAACTGGACAAAATCTAAGCGTCCCTCCACCACAGAATGAATAAGTAAACTGTGGGATACCCACACAATGGAATAGAGTACCATGGTGAAACTGAGTAAATTACAGTTACATGCAACAGCAGGCAGGGGCCTCAGGAACCAGAGGTTGAATGAAACAGAAAGCAAGCTGCAGATGAACACATGGCATGCTATTCCATTTATGAGAAGTGCAACGATGCCTCTGTTCAAGGATACAGACACCTGTGGTGAAACTTTCCAGAAAAGCAATGGAATGGGGAACACAAATTTCCAGCAAGTAGCTATCCCTGTGTGGGGAGAGCACAAAGGGAGCTTCAAAGTAATGGTGTTGGGAGGCAGGCATATGGGTTGTTCATTGGATCATTAATTCTTTATATTTTAGCCTAGGAGCAGTGTCTCACGCCTGGAATCCCAGCACTTTGGAAGGCCCAGGCAGGCAGATCGCTTGAGGTCAGGAGTTCAAGACCACCCTGGCCAACACAGTGAAACCTTATCTCTACTAAAAATCCAAAAATTAGCCAGGTATGGTGGCACGTGCCTGTAGTCCCAGCTACTCGAGAGGCTGAGGCAGGAGAATTGCTTGAACCCAGGAGGCAGAGGTTGCAGTGAGCTGAGATCGCACCACTGCACTCCAGCCTGGGTGACAGAGCGAGACCCTGTCTCAAAAAAATTTTTTTTAATTAAAAAAAAATCCTTATATTTTACACATATTTTATGACAGTGTTAGATTAACTGATTTAATAAAGATGCTTTCTTAAAAGGGGATCAACAGTCTACTGCCTAGTTACGAAAGAACTGTAAGGAGACATTCATGCCTCAAACTGAAGGGACTGCCACTCTTCAGGAGAGGCAAGAAATGGAGATTGGTTGCTCCAGACCTTACTCCTGCCCTCACACAGTCCCAGGGCTGGTATTCCCAGGTGCATGTGAATCTTGACTCTGACTGTCACTCAAATAAGACCAATGCTGGGTTGAGCACTGGCTGTGGCTGCTAATTGGAATGCCTCCTCTTTCTTGGAAGTGGTCAAAACACAACAGTACTCTGGAGCAGGCATCAGCAAACTGCAGCCCACAGGACACAGCCAGCTGGCCACCTGATTTTCTATAGCCTGGAAAGTAAGAATGGCTTTGGCATTTTTTTTAGTGGTAGAAAAATACAAAAAAGAATAATACTTCATAACATGAGAAAATTATAATTATGACATTCAAATGTTAGTGGCCATACAATTTTGTTAGAACACAATCACCTTCATCTATTTATCAGCTGTAGCTACTTTCACTTGACAATAGCAAATTGAGTAACTGTAAGATATTAGGTGGAAAAACCTGAAATATTTACTATCTGAGCCTTTGCAGAAAATGTTTGCTGATCCCTGCACAAGAGAAAAGCTAAAAAAATCAAGTCCAGAAGAACCTAAGATACAAAGTTTGCTCCTTTGCTTATATTGAGATTCATTCCACAAAGAATTTGCGGCTGTTTGTGAGAAAACATAATAAACAACAACACACATTTTTTTAAAAATAAAAAAAAAAAAACGAGGGCTAGGAATAATCCGGATAAAACAGAAAGGCTGTGGGCCCAGGGAGAAACACTGTCAAGAATACAGAGTCTGGCGGGACACAGTGGCTCATGCCTGTAATCCCAGCACTTTGGGAGGCTGAGGTGGGAAGATTGTTTGAGACCAGCCTGGACAACAAAGTAAGACACCATCTCCAAAAATAAAAATAAAAAAGAATACAAAGCCTCTACAAGTATCAACACTGGAATACAAATCTGTGTTTTAAGACAGCCAAAGCAGAAAGGTACACAATTGTGGAAAACTTTTGAGTCTGAGGAAAACAAACAAAAACATAATAGTTATTCAGAACAAAGCAGTTCTCCCATCAGGTGTGAAGCTCACAAACAGATTGGCAGTTTTGACAACATCCCTACAGCACAAGTAGCAGCAGCTTTGGGGTTTCCTGTGACAGAAGCCGGGCGTGCAGCTCTCCAATATGCTGGGAAAAGGCAGCTCAGGGAGCCCTCTCGTCAGGCTGATCTCACAGGGAGACGTGACCACGTTTCAGCAGAAAGAGATCATGCTCAGACTGACCGGGTCCTTATTATGTTCTACTAGGAGCACAACTAAATTGTATTAGCCAAGTACACAACCTGTGCCAAGAGAGCTGGGTTTTGGTTCTCGTGGAGAACATGATGATACATGCGTGCCGTCTACACAGCAAAGACACTCAGGAACACTACACAGTCAGCTGCTCAAAGTTGGTGGGTGAACAGTTAGAACAGTTGGTCTTTGAGCTGCCTCAGGAGCCGGGCTTAGGGATGAGGCCGCCCTCCTGGCTCTCCACTCTGAAGCCTGCCTGAGCCCTGTCCGCCTGAGCTGCCCTGACACCCAGGCTGGCCCTGCTCACCTGACCCCAGAGCTACAGGGTGTGCATGGCTACTGCTTTCCACAAAGGGAAGGGGTCAAAGGTCACATGAGATGACCACCGGGTCCTAACTGGATGCAGATACCCTAAAGAGCCTGAAGACATGAAGCACAACTTTACAAAGCATGAAAAGACCCAAGATACTGGATTTAACTTCACAGGTGCAGTTTTTAGTGCCTGCATCTGTGAATTGGTCCCGTGTCCATCACTGAAAGGAAGTACCCTCTGCTCTGCTTCCGTTTTATAATCCCCAAGATGGAGATCAGGAGTTCCAATCCTGACTTGCCTGCTTTCCAGCTGTGCATTACTGGGCAAGTCCACACCCTCCTTGTAGAGGTGAAATGAGAAGCTTGTGATGAAAGCCATGCGGGGCCCCAGGCGGGGCAAACGCTGGCGAGTGGTTTGGTGTTAATGACAAAAGAATGATCAGGCTATTTATGTAACTTTAAACTTAAAAATCATATTTTATATATTGTTTTTAACCTCTGTATAAGTTTTTGAAAGGTAAGATATTCACATGGTTCAAAAAAATCAAGATACTATAAAGAGAGGCACTCTGAGAAATCCGGTTCCCACACTGTCCCAGCCCTCCCCGTGCCCCCACCATGGACTGCCATTGTGTTGGCTCTTTGGTGTCTACGCAGGATCTCTCAATTATTTACAAATAAACACAAATATATATTCTTACTTTTCTCTTACACAAAAATGCAAAGAAGATATATATTGTTCTGTACCTTACTTTTTGCTCTGAACACTATAGAACAGAAATTTTTCCATGTGGGCCTTCTCTTCCTTCTGTTCCAGCTGCAGAATGTCCCCCTTTGTGGCTGGACTACAGTCTAAGTGGACACACAGACTGTTTCCACAACCAACGCTGCGATGCACAACCTTATCCACGCTGGTAAGACAAATTCCCAGAAGCATATTGTAGATTTTACTTTCCCCCATGCTATTATTTTATCAGTCACTTTTATTCTTGTCAATGGCTTTCATCAATGGTAAGAAACGCAACAGATGGGAACCGGGATGGCAAAAGTCTGGGGAATCCTGGTTTTCACTGGTGATATTGGAGAAGGAGTAACAGATGGGGCAAGTCTGTCCTGTCATGCTGCCCTCTCTCCTCCTCCTCTTTGTTAACATTGCCACACAAAGAGTTGAAGAAAGAACAAATAGGGACATGGGACCTAAAAATAAATGTGCTTGTAATTTTCCATGAAAAAGGGAGCCTTGAACTTCATACAACCCACTGCTCCGTGATGCTGAGGTCTTGGAAGCACCAAGACAAAATCCAGACGGTTCCTAACTTCAATAATGTTGCCATATTTCTTTATCTCCTACACCTTTATATCCTCACTTGCCACATTTCCCTGTAACATGAGGGCAGTGTTTGGGGGCTAGGCACATGAGGGAGCCACAGAATACAGGCCAACTCCAGGTGCTTCTCACTTTGGCCACACTCAACTCGCACATTCAAAACTGTTTTTTCTGCCTCCTAGGTGTCAGGCTGTGCTAGACAGATGTTAGGAGTGCAAAGATATAATCGCTTGTCTTAAGTCAAAATGATTGACTCTGGGATGGGCATTGAGTTCCACAGCTACCAAACACAGAGGTGAGCACAGGACACCAGAAGGGAGTCACAGCCAGGAGGGCTACCCAACAGCATCTGTGCACACTGACAGCACAGCCACAGCCCTCCGAGTGTGAAAGGGAACAGAGGCACGTGAGGGGAAATCAAGGCAGTGGGGTGTGGCGGGTGGGGTGTGCAGGGCATGGGACAGAGTCATGAGATGTAGACAGCGCGTGGATAGGAGACTGTGAACCGCCTGGTGGACCCTGCTCAGTGGTCCCTAAACTTCTGCCTTTGCCAGCATTACCAGGGAGCTTGTCAAATGCACATTCTCCAGGCTACCTACAATGGTCAGCCCTAGCAGGTCTTGGGGAAGCTCAAAAAAGCACCCTGGGGAATCCTTCTACAGATCCAACCCAGCTTTAAGAAACGCTGCTGGGGGCAGTGAAAGTGTGGGGTGGTGGTCCAGGTCACCCTGGAGCCGGCAGCAGGGAAGAGGTGAGAGGCCAGGAGCCGACTGAGGGGGACCCTGATGCAGAAGTCCAGGTGCATGATGAGGGGGTGGGGGGCCTGAGCCTGCAGAGCAAGGGACAGATTTGGGGTGGAGCTGAGTGGATGTATGACTGAAGACTACTGTCCCAGCGGGCACAGAGCAGGGAAGGAGCCCGACCAGTCCAGAATTGGAACCAGCTTCCCAGAGGAAGGGATTTTAAGTTGGGATCTGAGGATGAGCTGGCATTCATGAGGTATCCAGGCAGACATGTGCAGACTCCTAAAATACTCAGTCACCTAAACTTCCCAGGGCTGCCCTAAGAGCCACAATCCCCACCCCCAATCACGAATGTGTTCCAAGCATGTTTAATAAAATTTCTCCTGCCTACCTCCCTGCTTTAGGACTGCAGCTGTGGGTACAGTCACAGGATTCCCAGTATTCCAACAGTAAGGCCAAGGAGGGGCACGATGGCCCTGGTTTCTGGGAAGGGAGCAGCAGCCTTTCCTTCCACTACCCCCAGAATGGAGAATGAAAGTGTGGGCAGGGCATGAAGGAGACAGGAAGAAAACAGCTGTTGCCTCATCCCCTCTGCCTCCCCAGTAAGCCACACAGAAATGACACAATGGGATGGGACATCTGGTACCAATGAGGACAAATGGGGATCAGATAAGTGACTTTCATGCCCACGCACAGGAGGTGTTACCTTTCCCCCGCATCGCTTTCTCCCGGTATCAGCTAGTTATTCTAAACATCCCATGCCAATTACCTAATTCCTTTATTAATGAACTTAATTTGGTGGAAAGAGTCTTCTTAGAGTCTTTCTTACTGCTCTCTAGCTCCTGCATGCTGTATCCAAGTCCCTCAGGTGGGTGTCTGGGAGCCACGGCTCAGTTTGCTGGGGAGGAGCCACGCTTGGAATCAGCTGGGAGGCTCAACACCCACCCCGGCCCCACTCAGGGCAGTGAAGGGCATCCTGAGAGTGCAAGCCAGGGGTGGGGGACACACTTAAGGCTCCTCGGGTGACTCAGGTAACTGTGCTTCACAAACAGCATCCAGCAACACTGCTGAGGAGGCCGAGCCGAAGGGCTCAACCCTTCATCCCAAAGAGCTCATGCTGATTTCTACAGTCTGCAAACCACTGTACAGATACAGTTCTACGTAATCATTATCCTCACAGGCATGCGCCACCACGCCCAGAAAACTTTTTTTTTTTTTTTTTTTTTTTTTAGTAGAGACAGGGTTTTACCATGTTGGCCAGGCTGGTCTCGAACTCCTGGCCTAAATGATCTGCCCACCTTGGCCTCCTAAAGTGCTGGGATTACAGGCATGAGCCACCACACCTGGCCTCTTTTTTTTATTTTTAAGACAGTGTGGTCCTTTCTTGCCATCTTGGCCAGGCTGGTCTCGAACTCCTGGGCTTCAAGCAATCCTCCCGCCTTGCCTCCCAAAGTGCTGGGATTACAGGTGTGTGCCACTGTGCCCAGCCCTATTCCTAATTTTAAAATAATGCATCACAACTTCAACCATCTTTATAGCATTTGAGCATGTAACCCCAATATATATATTACTTATTGATAAATCATGTAGAAGTACTGACATAATATTATACACCTTATAAAATGCAGCTAAACTAGAAATCTTTAAAGATGGGATAACATACACACAAATAGAAGTTGTGGGAACCACCAGCTCCCACCAGCCCATTAGTGGTCAGGGAAAGGAAAGGCTGGTTACCACTGGGGGTAGTAAACCACTAAATCCCGCAGATTAAAGCCAGGACATTGCTTCACTCAAATGTATCTTTTAAATACATGTTTGGAAAAATAAAGAGGAACTCTGTAAGAAAAAGTTGGTTTGCAAATTAATACATGGTTCACAGTAATTTCTTTTATTATTTTCTTCCCCTTGGAAAAGTACCATCCCGCCAAATGCCAAGGCCATAATCTCTTTTCAAGTTTAAATCAAATCCCCAGAATTCATAAAGGAACATTCTCCTGAACAGAGACTCAGAGAAAGGGTTCTAGACTTTAGGCTTTTCTAAATTAACTGAACATGGCCTTGGATTAAGTTATCTCCCTGGAGCAATTAAGACAGGAAGGCAACTCATCACCTTAGAGACACAGTTTACCTTCGAGGGCTCCTGACCTTGTGCCAGGCACAGTTGGAAGCCACACCAGTGCAGGGCAGGAGAGCACACCCTGCCTCATGGGACTCATGATGGTGCACAGGTGTTCATGGTAATTACAATTCTGGAGGGCTCCTGAGGGGGCACAAAGTAGACAGGGCCTATCATGCACTCCTGGCTGGCTTTTCCAAGAGCCACACGATGCTGGTACCTAAAGGAAGAGCAAGGGTTGGCAGAAGAGAGGGAAGACTGTCCCAGTTAAAGCCCATATGAAATCTGGAAGAATTTCCAAATGGCAGGAGAATCAAGGGCTTAGAGACAGCTGGAGGAATCATGAGATGAGGAGACCAAGAAGGGGCCCAGGTGTAGGGGGAGGGCCCCCGTGGCCGAGAGGAGTCTGAACTCACCTAAAGCATAGGGGAGCCCCAATGCTTTCAGAAAGATTCAGCTCTCATTCAGAATTCCACCTTTACTGCAGCGTGTGGCTAGGAGAGGCTGGGCAGTGAGCCTGGACTAGAGACCTGGCCTTGGCCAGGCTGGAGAAGAAAGTGACAGTGAACAGTAACCGCGGGGATGGCAGTTGTGGTGATGACACTAGGAGCCAGGTGTGGTGCAAGTGCTTTACACTTATTTATTCTATTAACTGACACAACAGTTTCCTGAGGTAGGAACACTGTCACCTCCATTTTCCAGGGAAGAAGATGAGGCCCTGAGGGCTTAAATGACTTACCTTAAGTCAGACACTTGAAGCAATAATGAAACACTGAGACATAAAAACTGTGAAGGTGCCAGGCGCGGTGGCTCATGCCTGTAATCCCAGCACTTTGGGAGGCTGAGGCAGGTGGATCACCTGAGGTCAGGAGTTCAAGACCAGCCTGACCAACATGGTGAAACTCCGTCTCTACTAAAAATGCAAAACATAGCCGGGCATGGAGGTGCGCACCCGTAATCCTAGCTACTCGGGAGGTTGAGGCAGGAGAATTGCTTGAACCTGGGAGGTGGAGGTTGCAGTGAGCTGAGATCATACCACTGCACTCCAGCCTGGGTGACAGAGTGAGATTCTGTTTCAAAACAAACAAACAAACAACAAAACAGCTAAGGCAAATAAGATGCCATGGAATCAGCCTAGATGCCCATGAACAGCGAATTGGAAAAAGTGGTTCCTACACACCATGGAATACTACACAGCCATAAAAAAAATGAAATCATGTCCTTTGCAGCAACATGAATGCAGCTGGAAGCCATTATCCTAAGTGAATTAACGCAGGAACAGAAACCAAATACTCCATGTTTTCACTTATAAGTGGGAGCTAAGCACTAGGTACACATGGACATAAAGATGAGAACAAGAGACACTGGGGACTACTAGAAGGGAGGGAGTGGGGAAAGGGTTGAAAAAACTCCCTACTGGGTACTATGCTCACTACCTGGATGATGGGGTCATTCATACCCCAAACCTCAGCATCATGCAATATACCCATGTAACAAACCAGCACATGCACCCCCTGAATCTAAAACAAAAGTTGAAATTGCAAAACATTTAAAAATGAAAAAAAAAAAACCTCAAGTAAGATGTCATTTAAAGCACACAGCAATAACTCTGTTATTGCTTCAGCAACATAAAATTTACATATAGAATTTATCCACTGGAAGTGTAAAATTCAATGATTTTTAGTAAAGTTATAGTTATGCAACCATCACCACAATCCAATTTTAGAACATTTCAATCATCCCAAAACATTTTCCTTGTGCCAGAGTGCAGTCAATCCCTATTCCCAGCCCCGGCCCCAACCACAGATCCGCTTTCTGTCTCTAAAAATGTGTGTGATAACAGTTTAAGTCCACATACATTTAATCATGTTTGGATTTATTATTTTTCCTTCCACTGAGGACATTCAAAGTACCTAAGAGCTACTTGAGGAGAACCAGGCAGCTTTATTTTTAGTTTGTATAACTTTATGCCATATGTTATTTCCCTCCCACTTCTTTTTCCTCACCGTAAAGGATTTATTCTGCTTTTGGCATTGGTGGTTTATCTAGGATCGTATTTATAATAGAGTCAAAAGCATATCAAGTTAGCATGATCTGAAGTCAATATACTATCTTTTTAATTATAGATGTTTCTCTGTACACAAAAAGAACACTTTATTCCAGTGAAACTTTCATTTTTGTTTTATGGAGTCATTACTAAGAAAAAATTATAAACTCCTCTACAGAAGTACAAACAGCAGTGCTTGAGTATCACCAACCCTGAGAATACTTTACCTGCATGTTCACAGCTATCATAGCGCTACGACATAGCATCTGAACCGAAATAACTTTATTCCGACATCCGTTACATGGGAGAACTTGCGGAATTCACGAGGCTCCCATGAGACCTGATTTTCCTACCCTAAAATGAGGCTCAGGGGTAGGAAACCCTGCCTCTTCTTTGCTTCTTCCAAACTTCTGCTCTTCGGCAGACTGTGAGGGAGAGGGTTGTCTTCAGGCCACTCCTGGAGTGATTTGCTGTCTTCCAAACGCACTGAGCATCCTCGCCCCAGCCACCACCAGCAGGCCTGGCTTTATCCTCTTCAGGAATCTTCCTTCCCAGGGGCCTTTCTCAGAGGTTCTGCCCTGAGAGGCCAGGCCCCACCCTTTCCCCCACTGCATCACCAGGGCAGTGGATCTGCTTGTGGCTCCCAAGTTCCTCCTTTACTCAGGAAGTCCCAGCGAGAGGCAGGGGAGGGCGAGGGTTCCCTGGGCCTCCCCTCCTCAGACCTGCCTTCTACTCACACGGCTCACTCAGGGCTGAAAGGGCCCACGCCACAGCCTGCAGCCTCTCAGCTCTCCCAGAGAGGCCACACAGAGTCATCACCTCACAGGGACCCGGCAGTGACCTGCTCAGCCCCTCTGGCTTCACCTCCTCCCCGTTCAGCCAAGGCTGCAGGGTCTGAGGCTTCTACTATAGCCAAGGAAAATTTGTCAGGTCCAGCTGCGGTCCCCACAGTGGTGGCACCGCTCCTTGTACCTTTAAAATGGCTCTGGAGCAGCGGCTCTCAACTGGGAATGATTCTGCTCCTAAGAGCATGTTCATCTGGCAGTGTCTGAAGACACTGAGCTGTCACACCCAGGAAGGGAGGTGGGGTTCTCATGTCATCTAGGGAATAGAACCAGAGATTCACTAAACGTCCTACAAAACACAGGCCAGCCCCTACAACAGTCATCTGGCCCAAAATGTCAACTAAATGTGACTCTAATAATCTCAAATTAAAAAAAAAAAAGTCAGGGTCAGGCACAATGGTTCACCCCTGTAATCCCAACACTTTTGGGGGCCAAGGTGGGAGGATCGCTTGAACCCAGGAGTTTGAGACCAGCCAGGGCAACATGGTGAGACCTCATCTCTACAAAAAAATTTAAAAATTAGTCAGGCGTGGTGGCACGCACCTGTGGTCCCAGCTGCTCGGGAGGCTGAGGTGGGAGGATCACTTAAGCCCAGGAGTTCGAGGCCGCAGTGAGCTATGATCACGCCATGGCAGACCTGCTGCAAAGCACATCCTACTTTATCTGTGAGGGCTGTTAAATCAAGTTTAGTGTAAAGCTGCCTCCTTACATATTTTAAGTTCAGCCTAAAGGTTTCTCTGTGCACAGTGAACTATAACCTATGTGGAGGTGTCAATAGACTGTAACCTAGTCTTGTGCCAATCACTGAGTTTTTGCCAGTCAAAGGGGATCAACGGTTTAAACCATGGTCAAATAAGGCAAACCTTGTAACCAATCCAGCTCTTTCTGTACCTCACTAATGTTTTCTGTACGTCACTTTCCTCCTTCTGTCCATAAATCGTCTTCCACTGCATGACTGTGCTGGAGTCTCTCTGAGCCTACTCTGGCTTGGGAGGCTGCCCAATTTGGGCATCGTTCCTCACTCAATTAAACTCTATTAAATTTAATTTGGCTAAGGTCTTTCTTTTAACAGGGCAAATATCAGCCCTTACTGATTAGTTGACTGCTAAGTTTTTTAATCTTAGAAATGGACTGGTATTTTGAAGAGGATTCTAAGAGGCATGTAATCTCTTTGATCCAGGTATCCACACTTGTACAGGGCCTGCACACAGGAGGGTATGTCACCATTCACCCAGTGAAAGCGATCAGAAGGCAGAGAAGGCCGGTGTCTTGGAGGAGACAAACAGCATATGAAGGGCTCTGGAAATACACACTGATTTAGAACTAGCAGCAAACATCAACCCCTCCTCATCCAGCAGCTGCCTGGCGGAGACCAGGGCCTGTGTAACATGGGTAGGGAGGCAGTAATTGATCCAGGATCACAGAATGTCCAGGGCAATGGATTACAGCTATGCTTTATGCACTAGCATTCCCTCCAGGGCCCTAATGCAGAGCAGCACCTCTTTTACCAGCATCATGTGTTACGCTTCCTCATAAGATTTCATTTAATGAAAGGCTTCCTTGCCTGAAAAGAATTTTAAAACCACTGATCCAGAATCTGTGTATCAGGGTGTATCAATTAAGATTCTTAATTGCAAGAAACAGAAATCAACAATGCTTGATTTAAGCAGAGAAGTACTTTGCTAAAAGGATATTAAGGAGGTAAGCGTGGGTAATCGGGAACAAGACGCAAACATGCCCCAGAACTGGTCGGGTAAGGACCCGACTGCAGCAATCCCAAGCCCCCAGTGCCACAGCCTGTGCAGCCAACAGCACCAGCCCTGGCCACCACTTACTGCCACCAGCCACACAGTCTCTGCCATCCCAAGGACTCAGCCCTGTATAAACTATTCCCACAGCCAGACTGAGCTCTTCATAGTCCCTCAGCTTTTGGTGCCACTGGCTCTCCATCAGAGATCAGGATGATTACACGGACCTGTAGGGCCCAGACCCTAGCTGCAAAGGATGCTGGAAAGTGAATCTCTGCATTTGTATTTTTCCCACTGGGTGGTGGACTCTGCTGCCCACCATGTGTCATAAGGAAGGACATTTTCCAAGCACAGAAAGGGATCTAAAAGGATGACAGTGGGTACACACAGAAAAAACTCTCTCAAGCCATGTTCTTCCTCTACCCTCATACCACAACAATCAACACAGAAGAGTTCTGTGACTGTATTGGTTGATTTTCACACTGCTATAAAGATATACCTGAGACTGGGTAATTTATAAACAAAAGAGGTTTAATTGACTCACAGTTCTGCATGGCTGGGGAGGCCTCAGGAAACTTACAATCATGGTGGAAGGGGAGGAAGGCAGGTCTTACATGGCAGCAGAAGAGAAGCTGGGGGTGGGGAACTGCCAAACACTTTTTTTTTTTTTTAAGACGGAGTCTCACTCTGTCGCCAGGCTGAAGTACAGTGGTGCAATCTCAGCTCACTGCAACCTCCACCTCCTGGGTTCAAGTGATTCTCCTGCCTCAGCCTCCCGAGTAGCTGGGATTATAGGTGCACATTACCACACCCAGCTAAGTTTTTTTTTTTTTTTTTTTTTTTAAGTATAAACGGGCTTTCACCATGTTGGCCACGATGGTCTCAATCTCCTGACCTCGTGATCCGCCCCCCTTGGCCTCCCAAAGTGCTGGGAGCCAAACACTTTTAAACCATCAGATCTCATCAGAACTCACTCACTATCATGAGAACAGCATGGGGGAAACCGTCCCTATGATTCAAACCCCTCCCACCAGGTCCCTCCCTTGACATGTGGAGATTACAGTTCAAGAAGAGATTTGGGTGGGGACACAGAGCTAAACCATGTCAGTAACTGAATGTGTAGTGTTTTTTCCACACAAACCAAGCATCAGACACTAGCTGGGTGTCCTCCAATTCTGTTTCTATACTATCTACCTGGAGGTAGTACCAGACCCCACCCACTTGGGGCTCAGTCTCCAAGACTGCCCCCAATCCCCCTGCCCTCCCCACCCCCCAGCCTTCAGACACTAGTCGTAAGTCTGAGCCTCCAGAACTTCTGACCAACTGGCTTCAAGTTGAGGTTTCCATGATCCTTTTTTTTGGGTTTGGTTAATTTGCTGAAGCAACTCACAGAAACACTGACTTAAGGTTTATTGGCTTATTATAAAGCAGAGGTGTACAATCTTTTGGCTTCCCTGGGCCACAATGGAAGAAGAATTGTCTTGGCCTCACATAAAATACACTAACACTAATGATAGCTGATGAGCTAAAAAAAAAAAAAAAAAAAAAAAACTCATAATATTTTAAGAAAGTTTATAAATTTGTGTTGGGATGTGTTCAAAGCCATCCTGGGCTGCATGCAGCCTGCAGGCCATGGGTTGGACAAGCTTGTTATAAAGGATACTGGAAAGGATACAGATGAAGGGATGCATAGGGCAAGGTACGGCAGAAGGGGCACAGAGCTTCCATGCCCTCCCTGGGTCTCTGCCCTCTAGGAACCTCCACATGTTCAGCCATCTGGAAGTTCTCGAACCCAGTCCTCTTGGGTTTCTATGAAAGCATTCCTTCTCTCAGGGTATGAGACAGGCCCCTCTCAGGGGAGGGTCTTAGGAAAAGACCCACAATCAAAAAGGAGGGGAAGATTAGAGTCCTACCTTGAGGCAGGTGAAAGAAAGGCAGAAGAGAGATTCTACTTTCCTGAGGCTTAACACGCCCAACATTATAACAAAAGACTGTAACTAGGGATATGGCAGTTATGAGCTAGGAATCGTGGACAAAAACCAGTGTATATCATAACACCACAGTAAGACAGAAGAGCCCTGAGTCCCCAAGAAAGTGAAATACACTGACAAGACAGAGAAAAAGGGCCCAAGTATTATTTATATTGTATGTATAAATATTTAACATAAACATCTATAAGCATTTTTTTATGTTTTAAATATTTCATATAAAAAGTGAAGTCCCCTCCTGGACATCAAAAATGAACTTCACAGTTTGGTCTTGAACTATGTAAAACACCAAGGTCATGGCACCTGACTCTGATGTTAGCAGCCATCAGGCAGGTTGCTTTGAAACTGAATCAGATGCCAGCTACCAACAAGCTTGGCTGAAACTAACTACAGAGAAGAGCTTACAATTAATGAGTGAGAGGCAGTATATGGCCAACTGTATATATAGGTACACTTCCCAACTATACTTACTCACTGTGAAAGTGGAAGAAGCAAAGACACAATTAACACCAAAGATAAAGATCTATTTTGAAAGATGGGTATATTTATAATTCACACACACTCAGACACTCTGTGGGTGGAGACACGTACAGACATATGTCTGTGGTCAGACACATACAAATCCATGGAGATGTGAGAAGCGAGAAAGATTTAGTAAAACAAGATTCAATCAATGATGTCTGAACTATGAAAGATAATTCCAAGGGCTTTGATCTCAAAGCCTGATAAAGTCTGACTTACTGCTGGAGTTGTTTTGTACAAGTGAAATTAATTTTAAACACTTACAATTTAGAGTCACCATATATGTTTTTTGGTTTGTTTTAAGCCAGCAACATGAGTTTTGGCTTTTCTGCTGGGTCCACTCTTTTGTGTATCTATTCACACAGAGTATACCTTGAAAATCTGAGGTTTAGCGTACAGCCAAAATTGATTTATACCTGAAAAACATGAAGCATGGGGCTGGGCATGGTGGCTCATGCCTGTAATCTCAGCACTTTGGGAGGCCAAGGTGGGAGGATTATCTGAGCCCAGGAGTTCAAGACCGGCCTTGGCCGCATAATGAGGCTCCCTCTCTACATAAAAAAATAATAATTAGCCAGGTGTGGTGGTGCACACCTGTAGTTTCAGCTACTTGGGAGGCTGAGGCAGGAGGATTGCTTGAGCCTCGGAGTTTGAGGCTGCTGTGAGCTGTGATCAGGCCACTGTACTCCACAGCCTGGGTGACAGAGTGAGATCTTGCCTCAAAACAAAACAAAACAAAAGAAGCATGGAAAAAAGTAAAATGAACTAAAACTATTCTACTCCGAGTGAGAAGATAAGATGGAAGGAGACAGAAATGATATGGTAATAAGGACACTTAAACATTGGACTGGATCTCCATTGTGGTCGGGGGGATGAACAGGTAATCTATGGTGAATGACCAAGCAACATTCAGAAGCCAAAACTAGCTGGAAATCTTAAGAACACAGCATTTTTATAGATTAGACATATTTTTAAAGGCGATGTCTAAGGGCATATATGTAATACTTTGCACTTGGAATCTATGGGAGGGGGAAGAAGAAAAAAAGATAATTTAATCTTTCTTGAGGGGAGCTCTGAAAAAAAAAAAAAAAAGACACTTTTAACATGAAACCAAAGAGAAGCAGGTCCCTGCAATGACTGATACAGGGTTCCATGAAGAGAAGAGCATAATGACTTAACTCTCCACAGCAGGAGTTAAAAGAACAGGAAATAAACATTTTATATATACAAAATATATACTTTTTTTTTTTGAGACAGAGTCTTACTCTGTCACCCAGGCTGGAGTGCAGTGGCACGACCTCAGCTCACTGCAACCTCTGCCTCCCGGGTTCAAGCGATTCTCCTGCCTCAGCCTCCTGAGTAGCTGGGATTACAGACATGCGCCACCATGCCCAGCTAATTTTTGTATTTTTAGTAGAGACAGAGTTTCATCATGTTGGCCAGGCTGGTCTCGAACTCCTGACCTCAGGTGATCTTCAGGTCTGCCTCGGCCTCGCAAAGTGCTGGGATTACAGGCGCGAGCCACCGCACCCGGCCAAAATACATAATTTTGAACGTACATAGAAAATGTCATTTGTGGATGCCGGCAGCAATCTATGGAAGGTGTTCCTTCAAGGTTATTTCCTGGCCCAAGGGCCTGTGATTTGCAGATATTGTGATGAAACTGCCAGAGCTCACCTCTCATTGGAGTTATTTTGATGAAATTTCTAAAGCTCACCTGGCATACTATCCATTATATTTTGGCTTTTGATAAAAAAAGTGCTAAACTTCCATCAAAAATGCATAACTTCAGTGTGAAAACCAGAGGACACCAAATACTTCTCCAGGACATTGTTTAAGCCCAGTTCAGACAGAACATTCCAGCCAGACTCATGAAGCATCCCAAATGAAGTTCTCCAGGCTCCTTCCCAGATGCGGGGTTTGTTTCTGTAGGATGTTGGGTACTTTTTCCTATTACAAAACAGTTATTCCAGGTTATGTCCTGGTACAATGACTCCATGACTAAGGGGCGAGGAAGAGGGGAAGAGGGAGTGAAAGGAAATCAACACAAAGATACCTTGTATTTTTTCAGCTTAGAAACAAGTTTGAAAATGACCCACACAGATCTGAATAGACATTTTTCCAAAGAAGATATACAAATAACCAATAAACATATGACAAGATGCTAAACGTCATTAGTTATTAGGGACATGCAATTTAAATCCCCAACAAGATACCACTTCACACCCACTAGCATGGCTTTCATCAAAAAGACAGACAATAACAACTGTTGATGAGGATGTAGAGAAATAGCCCCTCATACATTGCTGGTGGAAATGTAAAATGGTGCAGCCACCCTGGAAAACAATCTGGCAGTCCCTCAAAAAGTTAAACTTAAATTAACATAAAATAAACAAAAAATTACTCCAGCAACTCCACTCCTAGGTATATACCCCAAAGAAATGAAAATATATGTCTACATAAAAACTTGTACATGAATGTTCTTAGCAGCATTATTCACATAATAGCCAAAAAGTGGAAACAACCCAAACGTCCATCACCTGATGAATGGATAAAGAAAATGTGGTACATCTATATAGTGGAAAATTATTCAACTATTAAGAAGAAAAAGAAATACTGATACACACTTCACCACGGATAAACCTCGAAAACATCATGCTAAGTAAAAAAGTCAGGCACAAAAGGTCACATACTATACAATTTATAAGCAATATCCAGAATCCTGGGATGAGGAGAAGGAAATCTTCAAATTGAATCAGATGACTTCCTAAAGCGCTTGCAGGGCAGTACCCCCAAGAGGACAGGGTCCTTTACCCCCAGTTAAATCTGTCTCTTCATACTTCTAGATCTAGAAAGGCTAGGAAACAACTGTCCCCCCTCCCCCAACCTTTTTTTTTTTTTGAGACAGAGTCTTGCTCTGTCGCCCAGGCTGGAGTGCAGTGGCACAATCTTCGCTCACTGCAAGCTCCGCCTCCTGGGTTCATGCCTTTCTCCCACCTTAGCCTCTTGAGTAGCTGGGACTGCAGGTGCCTGCCACTATGCCCAGCTAATTTTGTTTTTGTATTTTTAGTAGAGATGGGGTTTCACCATGTTAGCCAGGATGGTCTCGATCTCCTGACCTCGTGATCCACCCGCCTCAGCCTCCCAAAGTGCTGGGATTACAGGCGTGAGCCACCGTGCCCGGCCAACTGTCCCCTTTCTTAATCTTTTGGCCCCATTTCCAAGTTTATGGATTTGCTACCTCTGCATCTAAAAGAGTTTGGGCGCTGGGTAATTCCAGTTTCACCAAGTACGTCACTTCATTCAAGTCAGCTTATATTCTTTAAGTTTCCTTATGTGTAAAGTGGACATAGTTTACTCACCTCACTGAAGTAGTGTGAGCATTCACTTAATGAATATCAAGGCAACAGCATGTGGGGTAAAATAAATACTCAATAAATGTTAGTGGTCATTTATTCTTTCCACAAATTCCTGAGTGCTACTGTGCCAAAACTCCACCATATGTGCATGGCTCCTGCCCTTATGAAACCCTCAGTCCACAGGGCAGACAGCACCAACACACAATTACAACAGAGGGATGGTCGTGGCAGGGGAAATACATGCTGATAGGGGAGCCCGTAGCTGGCGTGCTTAACCATAGAAGTCAGGGAAAGCCCCACTTGGGTTGGCTTCACAGGGGTCACTCTGAATCTCGCCCTTCCACAGCAATTCTAAAGGGCACTATGGGACCAGCCTGGCCAATGTGGCGAAACCCCATCTCTACTAAAAATACAAAAATCAGCCAGGCGTGGTGGCGCGTGCCTGTATCCCAGCTACTCGGCAGGCTGAGGCAGGAGAATCGCTTGAACCAGGGAGGCACAGGTTGCACTGAGCTGAGATGGCGCCACTGCACTTCAGCCTGGGCCACAGAGAGAGACTCTGTCTCTAATAATAATAATAATAATAAAGGGCACTATGTTCTAAATGGCACTAAATCTCTACCTGAAATTGGTGCCCAGTGCCCAGGGTTTGGCAAACTTATGCATCAACATTACCTGTAGCCAAGGGCAAGCAAAGAACTTGGCAAACTGGAGGCTGCTGCGTGGGGGTGGCAGTGTAGAAGGCTCCAGGTCACTGCTCTCATTTCAGAGGAAAACTCAGACTAGCAAATCTGAAGGAGAGAAGTGCAAGGGTCCAGGCCCTAAGAGCTGGACCCTATCTACTATGGCCCGACAAGAAAGCCATTCCCCTTGGCAGAGCAGTGTGTCACTCCAGGAACTCAAATGCAGCTTTCTCTAGCATTTAAACTGTGAAACAAGTACTTTGAAATCGTCATCCCTCCAGAAAAAACTCAGAGGAGCAAGTTGCTCACAAACTGCCCAGAAGGAAACCCCTGGGTAATTTTTCTTAAATGATCTTGTCAGGGGCTAAATTGTGTCCCCCCAAATTCCTGTGTTGAAGCCCTAATCCCCAGTACTTCAGAATGTGACTGTATTTGGAGATAGGGCCTTTAAAGAGTTGATTAAGGTAAAAGAAGGCCATCAGGGTAAGCTCTAATCTGATATGACTGGTGACCTCATAAGAAGAGATTTTGGGTACAGAGGAAAGACCATGTGAAGACGCAGGGAAAGGACAGTCATCTGCAAACCAGGGAAAGGGGACTGAGAAAAAACCAAGCTGGCCAATGTCTTGATCTCAAACTCCCAGCCTCCAGAACTGTGAGACAATCATTTCTGTGGTTGAAGCCCCCCAGTCTGTGGGACTTCATTATGGCAGCCCTAAAAACCAAACACATCTTATCTATAGGAACAGCCACTCTTCCTTCTCAGTATTCAAGGGTATTTGGTAGTAACAGTGATCATTTTCCCTCTCTGCGGAAAAAGCCTCAGGATTGGAAGGGACTTTTGTGATTTGAAAGAAATTTATATATTTAAATATATAATCTTAACTAACAGAATTAATCAATCAAAATACCACAGCAGTTTGAATGAATGCAAATATTGTATTTGAAATTAGGGGTTATGGGTGATCTCACAGTCTCATTTCTCATACTTCATCCAGTTTATCTTGCCTAGGTTGACCAATGACAAGAAAGCCTGTTTTTTTGTTTGTTTGTTTGTTTGTAGAGAAGGGGTCTCGCTATGTCGCCAGGGCTAGTCTCAAACTCCCAAGCTCAAGTGATCCTTCCACCTAGACCTCCCAAAGTGCTGGGATTACAGGCATGAGCCACTTCTCCTGGCCTCCTGATTTTCACAATTAAGTGGTTGCAAATGGTAATATCTTAAACATCCATTTTGTAATTTCAAATGCTTTTAATAAAATTTATCTCAAAGTTTAAAAGATAGAAGCAACTCCTTTTCTAAGCTGAAATTCTAACAATATCTAACAACTACTTGCATTTTTTGTTACAAATTCAGGAGACATCCAAACTAACATAACACAAACAATTACAAATCAACTCCAAACAGTCTTGCCTGGCGTTAAACTGAGTTCAGCAAAGGTATACTGTAATACCACAGTTTCTTGTGCAGTTTCACTTGTGTGGACATGTATTTAATATTTTAAGAATCAGACTTTAAAATTCAATTCAGCCCATTTTTAAAAGACAGTGTGGAGTCATGAACTTGGAAAGGTATTTATAAGCCATCTAGTCCCATCCCCCTGCCTGAATCCCTCTCCGTTTACAGTATTCATCGGTTCTCCGAGCAGTTCATCTGCATTGCTGAAGAAAATGCTGACTAGCACAGGTATTAAATCAAAATAAAAGCTCACTAGGACTTCATTGTTTTTATTTCTAAAAGTTGCAGGAGACTTTTTTAGGGGAAATTGGACAATGTATCAATTTGAGTCAAACTATCAATTTATGAGTCAAATTCTTGACTTCATAAATACAATCATGTACCGTTTAACAATGGGAGTATGTTCTAAGAAATGGATCATTAGGGCCGGGCATGGTGGCTCACGCCTGTAATCCCAGCACTTTGGGAAGCCGAGGCAGGCAGATCACGAGGTCAAGAGATCGAGACCATCCTGGTCAACATGGAAACCCTGTCTCTACTAAAAATAAATAAATAAATAAATAAATAAATAAATTAGCTGGGGCGTGGTGGCAGGTGCCTGTAATCCCAGCTACTCAGGAGGCTGAGGAAGGAGAATCGCTTGAACCCGGGAGGCAGAGGTTGCAGTGAGCTGAGATTGCTCCATTGCACTCCAGCCTGGGTGACAGAGCAAGGCTCTGTCAAAAAAAAAAAAAAAAAAAAAAAAAAAAGGAAATGGATCATTAGGCGATTTCATCATTGTGCAAACTTCACAGAGTGGACTTTCACAGACCTAGATGCTAGAGCCTACTCCTAGGCTATAAACCTACATGGTATGTTATTGTACTGAAGACTGTAGACAATTGCAACACTATGGTATTTAAACATAGAAGAAGTACAGTACAAATACAGTATACAATCTAAAATATGGTACAACTGTGTAGGGCACTTGCCATGAATGGATCTTGCAGGACTGGACGTTGCTCTGAGTGAGTGGGTGAGTGGTGAAAGAATGTGAAGGTCCAGGACATGACTGTACACTACTGTAGATTTAATAAACACTGTGCACTTAGGCTACACTAAATTAAAAGTTTTTTCTTTCTTCACTAATAAATTACCCTTAGCTTACTGTAACATTTTGACTTTATAAACTTTTAAATTTTTTAATCTTTTGACTTTTGTAATAACATAGCTTAAAACTCATAGTACAACTGTATAAAAACATTTTCTTTCTTTATATCCTTTATAAGTTTTTGCTACTGTTAAATATATTTCTTTCTTACTTCTTAAACTTTTTTGTTAAAAACTAAGACACACACACATTATCCTAGGCTTACATGGGATCAGGATCATGAAGATGTCACCAGGCAACAGGAATTTTCCAGTTCCATTATAATCTTCTGGGAACATATACACCATCTATCATTGACCAAAATATTACTCAGTGCTTGACTGTCTTCTCCAGAGATTGACTTTTTCAGTCAATCTCCTAGAGGAAAGAATGGTAGGTCAGTAACCACCTGCAGTTACCTGTTGGGGTCTACAATAAACATGTAGAACAAACACTGAATTTAGCTTAAATAAACAACATGGGTACAACAGTAACCTTTTTAAAAAACATAATAGATGTTATCCTAACCAACCTCCACTCAAGGGACCTACCAAAGTGTCCCCATTCCCTTTGTAAAACAAGTTGATGGATGCCCATGGTGCAATGAGTACACTTGGCTTGATCAGCTGTGAGTAGGGCATCATGTGCTTACCAGAGAGTCAACTGTGCCTGTCCTTAAACTGTTTATGTCAGTTGCACATATTACCATGATCTCCTAAAATGTGGTTGTCAACTGGTGAAATAGAAGCATGAGCAGAAAGATAAGTTGTTTCTAAGAAAACGAAGATGGATACTTGAAAAGCTTCTTAAAAAGCAAGTTGTTTAAGAAATTGCTGTCAAAATAAGTGTGGTTAAGACAATTATAAAAGACAGAAAAGTCATAAAAAATATAGTATCCTGCAATCAGTTTGCTTTGCAAATATCCTTGCTCCACTTTGAAAAGACAAACACTAAGACAAATACATATGTTCGTAGACACATGATGATATCATTATATATCAGTATACTTACGAAAAATCATAACCTAGGGAACCCAAGCCAAGCTGGTTAAGAAAGCATCTAGCCTAGAATGCAGTCTGGGTGATGAATGAAATACAACTACTCTGAGAAGCATTACTGAACAGAATAGCTTTTTTTTTTTTTTTTTTCTTCCTGAGATGGAGTCTTGCTCTGTCCCCCAGGCTGGGGTGCAGTGGCATGATCTCGGCTCACTGCAAGCTCCACCTCCCAGGTCCACACCATTCTCCTGCCTCAGCCTTCCGAGTAGCTGGGACTACAGGTGCCCGCCACCACGCCTGGCTAATTTTTTTATTTTTAGTAGAGACAGGGTTTCACTGTGTTAGCCAAGATGGTCTCGATCTCCTGACCTCATGATCCGCCCGCCTCGGCCTCCCAAAGTGCTGGGATTACAGGCATGAGCCACCGCGCCCAGCCTGAACAGAAGAGCTTTTTATCATCAAACTTTGGAGTCTAACTGCAAAGACTTTGGATTATAAACCAAGTTCCACCCTCTGAAAGCAGTAAAATTTCTCAGCTTCGCTGAGCCATCTCTTCTGTATCTGTAACTTAGCTATGGCCCTCAGCCACAGCAACTGTCAGTGTTAATTATCATTGTTTTTGTTCTAGCACAACCTCTACCACCAAGTGGACACTAAAAGTACACCATCGAGTAAGGGAGAGTAGAGGGACATGAAGTATTTTGCTATCTGAAATGAGTCCTCAAATTAAAACTTTAAAAGATTGGGAATCACTTTGAAAAGGAAAAAAAAAAACCTACCCATAAAACAACACAATAATCTGAAGCCACAGAGGCTGCCCACCAAGAAAGGAAGGAAGGAGCCCTGAGACCACTGGCAGTTAAGACCAAGGCCTAATGTCACCCAAATATTGGCTTTTTCCCATTCAAGAAACATAAACTGCTAAAAAAAAAATTAGACTGAATTTGCTTAACAGAAAATATACTCTAGAGAAGTGTTTTTTTTAAACAGGATATTGGATAGATATTTTTTAAAAAACAACAACCCACCTGAGACCTCCCACTTTTAGCATAAGCTGAAAAAGACAAAGTACTAGTTTTATTCTCCAGTTTTGGGGTGAGCAAACAAGACTTCAGATCCGTAGAACATCCAAAGCATGTGCAACCTTAAATGTGGCAATGGGAACAACGTACTGTCGCTTAAGCACTGCATTTCAGGAGTATACAGCAGCCTCTAGGTAAAACAATTTAAGGCCCAGCTTAACAGCTTAATCAGGTAACGGCTGAACCAAAATAGAATTCACAGGAAACAAGGGCTCGTTGGAAACAAACAACAAATCAATATTAGTTGGGGAATTGTAGTCAGTAAAGAAAATCCAGGTTTTTCTTTTTTTCTTTCTTTTCTTTTTTTTTAAGACAGGGTCTCGCTCTGTGCTCAGGCTGGAGTGCAGTGGCACAATCTCAGCTCACTGCAACCTCCACTTCCCAGGCTCAAGCTAACCTCCCACATCAGCCTCCTGAGTAGCTGGGACTATGGGTGTGCACCACCAACCTTGGGTAATTTTTGTATTTTTTGTAGAGATGGGATTTCACCATGTTGCCCAGGCTAGTCTCGAACTCCTGGGCTCAAGTGATCCACCCACCTTGGCCTCCCAAAGTTGGGATTACAGGTGTGAGCCACCGTGCCCAGCCAACCCAGGCTTTCTTTATTCAAGAGTCTGCAAGAAGGATTCCACACTTCCCTTTATAATGAAATGTTTACTCTGAGCACACCTCTCCAGGGTTCCCAGCCACTTGAGTTCAGCAATTTGGCTGCTGTCAATCAAGACATTACATAAGAACTTTGGCATGTGTACAACACTCATGAGAAGGAGGGTGAGGAAGCTGCTAAGATTCCTAAATATTTGATGAGGACTAACAGCCTGTCAGGTAGAGCAGGACATTTTTGTGGCATTTCCTGGATGTTATGATATGAGAAGTCATCAGTGTGAAATTCTACCCAGGTATAAATTACCACACACAAACCAGGATGTCCATGATGAGCAAATAGAATTTCAGTAAAATCTATCATTTTATTTGTTACTGACACTGATTGTTATTAGGGAATTCTGGGATAAAATCCTTTGTAAGGTAGAGTAATTTTTTTTTTTTTTTTTTTGAGAGAGACAGGGTCTCACTCTGTCACTGAGGCTGGAGAACAATGGCATGATCACAGTTCACCACAACCTTGAATTTCTGGGCCTTCTGAGTAGCTGGGACTACAGGCACGCACTACCCCACTCAGCTAATTTTTAAAGTTTCTGTAGCAATAGGGTCTTGCTATGTTTCCCAGGCTGGGGAAGGTCATTTTGAAATTAAAATGACACACACCTTCCTGCTTATAAGCTTGGCATTTGTATACCGGATTCTCTCACTGTGAGGAGCCTTGTGTGGGAGGCTGCCATGTTCCTGTCTGAGTATTTTGGATCATAAGCCTCAGTGGAGGGCCCGGACCTCCCCCTCCTCAGCCGTGTGTGTGCATGGGGGAGGGTGGATGCTGACTTTCAGCCTCAATTGTCACTATGCCACTACACTCCTTCCTCTCAGACTCCAACCACCCATCCACCTGACTTGGTCCTTTCCCTTCATCCCTGACCGAATGCTGAGGTCTCACATACCTGCAGAGCCAAGCAGACAGCGACCAAGTCCCTGTGCTCTCAGGTCTCTTAGCAAGCTTCACATCCTCCCTCATCCCACACATCATCCTGGAAATACCTGCTGAATGTGTATGTCCTTGAGACGGTGAGCCCCCGACCACAAAGTGGGGTCTTCCTGCGCCCATGCCTCTGACCTCATCAGGTAGTAAGCACAAAGTAGCTGCTCAATGTTGAACTGAATGTATGCGAACCTCTCCTGATAGAAATAGTCACCTAAAGTCCCCAGAGCAAGCCCTGGGTCCATTTGTCATTGATGCTGAAGAGAATATGTGGCCTTGTCAGATGCCCCATCTGCTGAGGGCAGACCATGGCCTCATACTCCATCTGCTATGGACCTAAGTAAGACCCCACACCCAGGACACAGCTGTGGCTGAGGGGAAGGGTAAGGTGAACACCTTGCATCATGTTAAAATAATACAGAGGCATGTGTGTCAGCCCCAGGATTTCTTATTATATATGCCTCTGCACCTATCTCATAGAAACCTCAGAGCATTTCAAACAAGCTACCTGCTGAATCTCACACTATCCACAATATAGGCAAGTCTTGCCAGTTTTTACCTCTAAAAGGCTTCTCATCTCTGCCCACTTCCCCATCTCCCCAGAGATCATTGCCTTTAGCTTGAATCCTGCAACAGCTTCTTCACTCAACTCCCAGGACCCTCTCCATGCACGCCCCGCCCCCCACCACCTCCCAGCAGTCAGACTATCTGGTAAGAGGTCATTTCTTCAGCCTCTGCTTCTAACCTTCTGTGGCCTCCTCCTGCTGTTACAAGAAGTCTTGAAGGCCCCACCTGATCTGGCCTGGCCTTGCTCTGCGGCCCCACCCACCCGCCACTCTAGAACTCTGGCCTTCTGTCTGGAGCCAGCACTCTCAGGGCCTCTGCACTTGCCAATTCCTCCATGGAGCATTCTTTTCCCTGGCTTCTTCCGTGCCTGGCTTCTTCTCATCCATCAGCTTTCAGCTGAGGCATTCTTTGACCCCCATCTAAATAGGCTTCTCTTCACCTCACCTCCATCACCCTCAGCATGCACCACTATCTGTAATGATTGATGTGTGTGTTGACCTGTTTGTCTTTCCTCCTAGAACAGAAGTTCCATGAGTGCAGGGACTTTGTCTTGTTCTCCACTTTATTACCAGAGCCTGATACAGAACCTGGTACCTAGTGAGAGCTCCAAACAGATCTGCTAACTGAATGAATGAATGGATGGATGGGTGAATGAGTGAGTAAGAAAGGAATGGATAGCCCCTGGGAAAATCAACACCATCAAACTCCCAAAGAACCTTGGAATCAGACCCAAAATGGGCCCAGCTTCCTTGTAAAACAAAAGTCACACCTTTCCCTTTAGTGAGATAAACCCTAAGTTCTGCCTACATTGGAAGTTCCCTGCATTCACACTGTCTTCTCTTACAAATCCACAACACTCTTACTACCGACCATCTTTCTATTTAGAAACACCTTAGAGTTCCTTGGCTCAGAAAACTGGAACTTGATCTTGGAGTCAGGCCCAAGGTCACAGACTCACACTTGAGGGGCTGGGTGGAGGAGCCCTGACGCCTTTTGGATTGGCTCTACCTCTGGCCTCAAGCCCCATCCTTTAGAGGAACAAAAACGGGAAAAAACAGAGGCCCCCAGAGGCCTGACACAATCTCAGGGTTGTAGGGAAGCCCTCCTTTTCCCCAAGACCCTGATACCTGGCCAGCCAAAGGCAGGGAGGAAATGTGGGTGGGCTGGGAGTCAGAGGCAGCAGAAGGGCATGGAGTTTGGGAAAAGACACGCCTAATCTGGCCTAATCCCTCCGCTTTGAAAGTAGACAAACTTCAAATCCTGACTCCAATATCTACATTTCTGAAGGCCACACAGATGCTATTTAACCTCTCAGAGCCTCAGTTTCCAAAAGTGTCAAAATGGATTTCACAATTTCTACTTTAAGAGGATTGATGGGCATTCTGTCCCCAGATGTTACGTCTGGCTGCATCCACCCACCCTTCAACCTCCCAGGGTGAGCCTATTGTTCATATGAGAAAAATACAACCATGTATCAATCACTCCTTTTGACCTGCCCCAAAACTCTAGGTTTACTAGACTGTTTTGAGGCTGGGCCACACAAACTAATCTACATTGACTTAAGTTTGGTAAGTAACAGGGCGAAGCTGATCCCTGAAATTAGCTTATATATGCACACAGCAGACATTCAATACATATTTTTCAATGAATGAATCAAATGACAAGATGGGATATGTTTATATTGATCCTACTAATCAAGTCTAATAAAGTAAAATCTTTTTTCACTATCAGTGCTTGTTGCTAGGCATTAATCCACCTTGTGCTTTGATATCACAGACATGTGGCAAAAAAATTGATTTAAGCCATTACAGGGCTAAAGACTTTGACACTCAAGTTCTCTTCTTATGTAGGCCACAGGGAAAATGAGCAAGTGGGATGTTAAATCTTCTTATTTCTTTTGGAGATTATCTTTCAGCTCCCTTAGGGTTTATACTTTCAATAACCAAAGAGACTCTCAAAACAGAATGACTTCCCAGCAAAAAATAAATAAGTAAAAATGAAATATTAACCAATTTTCATTCCAGATGTGGACTACCTCCAAATTTTGCAAGCATATTTAGCAGGAACATTCCCCTTTAATCTTGTTCCATAAATACCGAACAAGGAAGAGTATTGCCTAAGACTGAGATTTGGCAAAATAATCTAATGAAACCTGTCAGTTCTGTGCTACCAGCATGGCATCCCTGAAGGCTCCTGGTGACTGTATGATTATCAAATAATGCTGTCCTACCTCACGCCTCACTTGCAAAACAGTTTCTTATAGCTCACACATGCTGTAAGAAGGTTAAAGAGAAGACTCTAACTCCCATCCCATACAGCTACCCTTCAGCCTAAGAAAACACACCTACTAAAGCAAATTCACAGCCAGCTATTCCCTTTGCAAAGGAACTGCCTAAGGGTATCTTTAAAATCCCTTTACAATGGATTTAATTTAAGACACTGTGACTGGCTCACAATTTAGCAAGTGCGCCTGATGAGGGAGAGGATGGGTGTCTAACCAAGAGGCAGGTTAAAGGTGTCGTGCTTACAAAACACAGCATGCTTGCAAAGGGCATAGGTCTAAAGTGAGAAGGTCTGGGTCGCAGTCCCAGCTGAGTCACTAAGGAGCTGCCTGATAGAGTCATGTCATCTAACTTACTTGATTTTAGTTTCCTTACCCAGAGATGAAGAATCATTAATAAAAGTCAGTGTTACCTACATCCCAGACTTACTAGGAAAATCAAGTAAATGGGAAAGCTGTTAGAAAGCACGAAGGCATACCCAAAAGTTAGGAAACTCTTTTATTACAGGTACACATGGATGTAAATAAGAGCCACCCAGAAATCACCTGCACCCATTCTTGCTCATACTAAATGTATTTCCTCTTACTAATACGGGAACAATTGGAAGGGGAGAGATTTCTGTGAATCAGGACGAACACACAGCTCTTGGAGAATGGGTGCTGCTATCATTGAGGACACGAGATCTACTCTGTGACAGCTTTTGATACCCTAGGACAGTCATACAGACAAAGCACTCACCCTACTCTGAAGGGGATCAGGCCCTGAGTCCATTAGTTCATGTTTACTAAACATTAACAATGTGCTAGGAGTGTCTGGAATACTGAATCCATTGTGACCAGGCAAAGAGAACCATCAACCTCCAACACATTTGGCCAAGAGTGAGAATGTGACGGTGCGGGTCACCTTCCCAGTCACTTACAGGTGATCCCTTCTACACCCTGGTGGGTTTGGGTAAACTTTTCCTGTACTCTTGCCTGACGACAGTAGTTCAATGTCTTCAGCAAATCATCATCTCTCTAGGAAACCCAAAGAAGAAAAAAACAGGACAACCTTCACACTGGACAAGAGTCGTGAGGTCTCCTGCTCAGTGGGCTGCAGGGTGGAGCCAGCGCTGAGGCCAGCCGTCTTTGCTCACTCTCCTATTCTCTACCCTTCACATTCATAGGTCCTAGAAGATGAATAAGCTCCTCAACGCTTGGTCAGAAAGAATATCACAAGGTTGAATAATTATAAGGATGATCAAAACAATCAAAGGGGAAAATAAAAATGACAGTTGTACCTTGGTATCTGCAGAGATTGATTCCAGGAGCCCCTGTGATACCAAAATCCATGATGCTCAAGTCCCTGATATAAAATGGCATATTATTTACATATAACCTATGCACATCCTCCAGTATATTTTAATTCATCTTTAGATTACTTAGAATGCCTAATACAATGTAAATGTTATGTAAATAGTTACCATACTGGATTGTTTAGGGAATGACAAGAAAAAACTCGACATGTTCAGTATAGACACAACTTTTTTTTTTCCTGAATATTTTCCATCTACAGTTGGTTGAATCCATGGATGTGGAACCCACAGGTATGGAGGGCCGACTAGACCTGGAAAGTTCTGCATGAATTCACTAACCCTGCCAGAGGAAGGGGCTTCCAAGAGACAGAGGGACAGCTGATTGCCTAACACCTAGTACAATGGTTCTCAAACTTTAGTGTGCATCAGAACCACCTGGAGGGTGTGTTAAAACACAGAAACAAAGTTTCTGAGTCAGTAGCTGATGTTGCTGGTCCCCAGGGGGGACCACACTTTAGAAACCACTGACATAATAAATAGGCAGGGGCTGCCTGGTTGGTCAGTCCCACTGGACCAACTTTTGATCCTAATCCATCACCCCCCTCCCAAATTGAGCCACTAGAAAGCATAATAGGAATTAAGCAGCTTTGTCTTTCCTGCCTCTCCCCTCCTCATTTCCCATTCACACGCCCATGCTGCTATGGATAAAGAGAACAATTATCAAGCCATTCTTTATAAATATCTCCCGGTGCCGAGTACAGCTCTCACCTGTGCACAAGAAGACTTTGCAGAAGGAGTGAGTTAGGCTGCAAAAGAGAGGACACAGCAGTGCAGGGAGAGCATTCAAGGGCTCCCCAGTCCAGTTCCCTGACCCAGTGTGGAGTCCCTCTCTCAGTGATGAGAGCATGCCACTGGGTCAGTGCCAAGGAAACGTTGTGACCTGCTTTTCTCCTCACTAATTTTCCTGGTGATCTGCCATCATGCACTGTGATTTCCCGCTGAGAGTTCACTTCGTGTCACCAAACTGCTGCCCCCCCGCCGCCAGCCTCACCAACAACTCAGTGCAAAGGAAATCAACGAGTAGCCACAAACACTGCACCCCTGGTGGGTGGCAGGGCAAAACGCCTCAAGTCCAGGATCACAGCTCTTATGACCTGGAAGGGACCATCACAAATATTTCTTTCTTTCCCACACCTGATTACATTATACAGTTTGCTATTTTACTAACAGCAGGAGTTACTGCCAAAATAATATTGTTTTTGTTTATGACGAGGCTAACAGAAATTCCTACAGAGAGCAGTATTGTGAATAACATAAACGCTCTGTGGTAACGGCCTATCCTACTGGACTCTTTTCTTTGGTTTAAATGGGGAAAATCCGGCCAATTTTCACACACACACGTCAGCTTGCTTTTTTCTGGCTATGGCACAGAAAAGGTTACACACATTTTGGGCTACAATTTTAGGGCTGAAAACCAACTCCAGGTTAAATAAGGAAAAAGAATGGAGAGTGATTCATTCATAGCATTTTGGTAAATATAGACACTTGTATGTGTTTGCAAATACTTGGCCTTTAAGATGATTTTGTGTGCACAAATAGGCATATTTGATGGAACAAATATGATTTTCCCTCCCATTAATAAACAAAATCCAATGAGCTCTTTCTCACATGCGAAACTGCACCAGTTCCCATGCTCTGAGTGCCTGACTTGGTGTAGACCCAGCATCCTCCAAAGCAGTAACAAAAACACAACCTCTGCTTACCCCAAAATTATGAATCAGTCTCAGATATCTCACACTCAAGACATGGGTCACAAGCCCAGCTGTATTCAGAAAATTCTGGAGCAGAAGGACAGCCCATTCTCAGGTGACGGTATTGGCTGAGGCTTCAAGAACATTGATTAAAAACTCTTGCACCCTCCCTACCCGCAAAAGAATCCATTCATTTGCATCCATAGATGAGGTCACGCACAAGTTGCCTTCACACCCAACACCCATGGTGGTTCCTGTCCTCACCTGTTTTCCAGGAGTGTCATGCACACCACCTCTCGCACCCCGGGGTTGTTGGCCTTCTCCACGGAACAGCCCTGCAAGTTCCAGGTGGCCAGCCTCAGCACAGGCCTCCCATCCCTTGTGCCTCCAAAGGCCTCCACGGACGGCCGAGTGGAGATAATCTGGGTGGGCCCCCCTGGCGGCAGGTCCAGGTCCTCACTCTGCAGGCTCAGGGAAGTGGGGCTCGGGTGAGGCTTGGCGGTGAAGGTCAGTCCCCCGTTCGTGTGGGTGGATGGGGGCCTGGACCTCTCAGCAAACACCTGGTGCCGGATCCTGTCCAGGAAGGCGGCATTGATACCATCCATCCTCACTAGGTCCTCAACGCTGCGAAAGGGCCCATGCTCACGGCGGAAGTCCACGATGCTGAGGGCCATTTTCTCCGAGAGGCCTCGCACGCTCATGAGCTGGGCCGGGGTGGCTGTGTTGATGTTAACACGTGGGGTGAGGGGCACAGCTGTGGCCAGGTGGTGAGGCTGCTGCTCCGCTAGCAGGTCCCGCCGCAGGGAACTGGGAGAGTGCTGCGCTGAGCTGCCCTTGCTGCTCACACAGATCTCAAACTTGACCTGCTCCAGCTTGGTGGCGCCTACACCACTGACCAATGCCAGGTCCTCCACCTTCTTGAAGCCACCGATATACTCTCGGTACTCCACGATGCTGCGTGCCACGGCACGCGTCACCCCAGGCAGGGTCATCAGCTCCTCCTCCGTGGCAGTGTTGATGTTGAGCCGCTCCTGATTCACTAGAATGTTGCTGAAGTTACAGGCTGCGCTGAACTTGCGGCTATGGGACAGGTCCGAGGGGTCCCTGGGGATGGAGCGGTGGCAGCCCAGGGTGCTCCCCATGGTCCGCCAGGATCAGGCTCCCGGGAAGGCCGCACCACTGCAGAAGAGCTCTCTGGCTAGGGAGGAAGCCCAGTAGGCCGTACAAGCACAGAAAAACGGAAGGTGCAGGATTCAGGGACTGAAGAGGTTACTATAGACAAACACCGAATCTTCCATGCCTGGCGTGTCCAAAATTACCTTTCACTTGGCCGCCTAGAAAATAAATCAATAAACATAGAAACCCATTGAATTAAGAAATTTGCATTAGCACCCCCTACCTAGTGCTAGAGTTAGTAACCAGGAGTCGGGGACTGGTGGCTGCCCGTGAACCCCTAAAAACGCAGGCACAATGAGGCTAGGCCCATGTGGATTCTCCTCTAGGGACGTCCGGGTTTTATCACACTGGAGTCCAAAAAGGCTACGAGCCGCTTCTCTTGGGAAGAGACCTATCCCCATCAGCCTCATGCCTCTCCTCCAGGCCTCTCTCAACTCTGACACTTGGGTCACCCACACTTGGGCTCGCGCAGACGGGGTGGCCACTCCACCTCCCCCACGCTCCGCATCTGACACAGCGCTACCTGCAACCTGGGAAGTCCGTGCTCCCCGGAGCGGGCACTGAGAAGGGGCTTATCGACCCCCCACCCGACCTGCCGCGGGTCCCCGCGCCCCACCTCTCGGCCGCTCTGCGGGGCGCCGGTTCCTCTTCCACCTGCGGCTCGGAAGCCTGAGCCCAGCCCGGGACAGCACGGGCCCCCTGCCTCCAGCCTAGGCGTCCGCGCGGGTGTGGGTCACTGGTCAGGCCCTGGAAGCCGACTACGCCGCTTCGGTCTGCGTGTCCCGGCTCTTTCTATGGGAGAAACTTAGCATCGCTCTCCCAGAGTGAATAGAAGCCGCAGGGCTGCTCGGAGGCGGCGGCAGCGGCGGCGAAACCCGCCGCCGAGGCTGCACCGGGGCTTGCGGCGGCGCCGCCGCAGTTGCGTTTACCCCGGCAAAAAGTCCTGCGCCCAACTCGGGCGGGGATCCGCCAGAGCCAGTCCAGACCCAGCACCAGCCGCACGGCTCCCGCTCGCAGTCGGTGTCAAAGCCAAAGTCCCGGCCGCGCCGCGCCGCGCCGCTCGCGCCTCCGCAGGCACCGCGGCCACGCCTCCTCCGCGCGGCAACTCCTCCCCGGGACTCCCGAGGGCACGTGGGGGAGGGGCCCTGGCGCGGGGCGAGGCCTGGCACCAGTGGGTGGAGAGAGGAACCCGAGAGCGCAAGGGCGGGCCTGGAGTGGGAGAGGCGGGGCCATGGAAGAGGGGGCGGCATCAAGGCTCAAGAGGGTGGAGAACGAACCAGAGAGCGCGAGGGGAGGCCCTGGCGTGCGAGAGGAGGAGCCATGGGTGTGGGGGCGTGGCCTGGCACAAATGGGTGGAGAGCAGAACCCTGGAGCGCGTGGGGCGGGCCTGGAGTGCGAGAGGCGGGGTCATAGAGTGTGGGAGCGGGGCCAGGGCGCGATGGGGTAGGAAAAGCGGGGGCGGGGCCATGAGCGCGGGGGTAGGCCCCGGGAGCGCAGAGGCGGGACTTAGGGGGCTTAAGGGGCGGAGCCGGCGCCGTGCCGGCGAGGGCGGGTCACAGGGAGGCTGTCCTAAGTCAGCTGCCCCCGGACCATGGTTGCCGCCCGGGGCCTAGGACTGGTTGTGCCTGGTAGAGGCTGTTTAGGATTGCCCGAGGCGAGATCTGCTCAGCTGCTTTTCGTCTGTCTTTGAGGTGTGGGGATGAAGGCCGGGGCAGTCCCTGAGAGTGCATCGCTGTAGGTCCAGGGTCTCACGGAATTTTGCAGAACGTTCCAGAGGAGACTGAATGGGATCGTCTTAATTTCTGTCCCCACTTTCGGCCTTTTCTTTTCTTCCACCAGTGTATTACCTTTGCTCCGCTCAGAGAGATGTCCTCTAATAACGCCAGCGACGCATTGTGCTCCTAGCAGAGGGCACGCACCACCCTCCTGTGTGTTCGCATAGGTCAAATACAGGTTTGCTCCTTTGCACATTTAGCGCTGTGAGTAAACAAGGATAAGTTTTTGTAATATTAAGTCTAATCATTACGAAGGAGGGAAATGGGGGCTGCTTCCCAAAACCCAGAAGAGTTTTTGCATCACACTGCTAAATGACAATTTGGTTAAAGATTAAAGAGCCCTCTGCATTATAGTGGATACCTAGAGCTAGAGTATTCGATTAAGCAAATCATGCGGTGATATCGTTGAATACTTTGACCCTGGACGTTTAGTGTTCTCTGAAGTTTCATCCCCAACCAATGTGACCAGTGCATCTGGTTTCAATTCCAAGGACTGGGTCAGCAAAAATAGTACCTCTCACAGGCGGAAGGTACTTTGGTTGTAAAATTAGCGGCAGCCCAAGTTTGGAAAATGCTACTGCCTTTCTGAGGCACATTCCCCTGCTATGTATATTGGTCAGAAAACCAAGTCAAACTAGCTTAGACCAAAAAAAAAAAAAAAAAGGTCGGGGGGAAATTTTTGGTTCCTTGTTGAAAAGTTAAGGTAAGGAATCTTACCTCAAGTCTGGTTGCATCCGACCCAAGTGATGATGGGGTCATTAGGACATGGCAGGACTGCCTCCATCTCTGGCTCCACGGTTCTCTTTATTGGCTTTATTTTTAGGCAAGCTATTTGCACTTGATCGCAAAAATGCCTTGCTACCTACCATCATCTCCCACCCAAACACTGGGCTACATTATGCCACGCACTGAAATCCTGGTGCGGTAAGGAAAAAACAGTTTAAGACAAGCAGGAAAACAGAGAAAACTCTTCGTTGAGCAGAATGCCTTGATGCGCAACGTGGCTGTGGAAGCACAGCCGTGGAGCGTGGCTACTTGGGCTGGAAGCAGAGAAAACATATTTTATCATACAAACCAGGACACTCTGGAGGTGAAGAGAGGACTCTATTAATAATATCCTAGAACAACAGAAATAATCTGGTTTTATTCCCCATAAACCTAGCAAATGCTCCCCTTGGTATAAATGAAACCAAGCGTTGGCCAAACCAAAGTGCATTTAAAAACACACATACATACACCCCACAAAAACATGCAATGAGATGGTTAACTTTAAAACGACTGATTGTATCCAATGTTGGTGAGGACGCAGAGCAATTGAAATGGTCATACATTGCTGGTGGAGGTGTAAGATGGCACCACTACTTTGGAAATCAGTTTGGAAGTTTCCTAAGAAGTTAAACGTATACTTACCATATGACTCAACCAATCTACTTATAGGTATTTACCAAAGAAAAAGGAAAACATGAAACCCAGAGACTTGAATGTGGATGTTCATAGGAGCTTTGTTTGTTATAGCCAAACACACACACACACACACACCCACACACACACACACACACACACACACACACAAAGCAAAACAACAAGAAACTCAAATCCATCAGTGGATGAATGAATAAATTGTAGTATATCCATACAATGGAATGCTACTGAGCAATAAAGACAAACTATTACATGACATTGAAAAGTCTCAAAATCGTTATACTGAGTGAAAGAAGCAAGGCAAAAAAGAACATACTGTATGATTCTATTTATATAAAACACCAGAAAATACAAACTGACATACATATAGAGAAAGCAGATCAGTGGTTACCTGGGGATGATGGGGAGGGAGGAATGGATTTTAAAGGGCACAAAGAAACTTTGGGGGCTGATGGCAATGTAGTTTGAGAGGTGATAGTTTCATGGGCATATGAATGTCAAAACTGACAGAATCGTATACTTTAAATATGTGCATTTGGGTGTACTTCAGTGACAACAGCTTTGGAAAAATCTTCAAAAAATGAAAAAAAATTTTCTCTGAATCTAAAAAAACATAGGCCTTGTTTTTGGGGAGAGTGGGGTACGTGAGCCTGGGTGGAGATGAAAAGGTTTAGGAGGGGGATGAAGGGGTCCAAGAAGTTGAACAGACAGCTAATAGAAGAGAACATTCCCCAGCTTGGCTTGGGGGCTCAGGAAAGTGGGCGACAGAGGCCTTTAAACTTACGGCTAACAGTCTATTTTATCTGCTGTGCTATTTCATGATGCAATCCTCCCACCCCTACCCCATGCACAGACACTAAATTTTGTAAGATATGTATGTAATGGCCATCAATAAGTTATGTTTAGGAGAGATAAAGTAAGGGAGCTGAATCTTTCTGGGTAAATTAAAGACAGAGAGAAAAAGGGCAGCTAAAATATGAAAGATGGGTGGGAGAAAGAGCCAGGATTCAGTGGAAGCAGAAAATCAGAATACGAGGAGACCCAGGGAAATACCTGACTTTCAAGAATCCTCATTGAGATTGGGAAGTTGGCTCGGGTCCCATTTTACAAGGAATGAGGGTTTTATTTGCATTTTATTATTTAGGGCTCTAGCTGACAACCCAGTTACATGACGATGTCAAAGGGCAGAAATTATATCATTCCAGCCAAATACCACATCCTGTGGCCACTGCCCCTTACGACATAGTTCTCACCTGGGGCCTGGTCAGAGAGGACCAAGGTCATTGGCCTTTTGCTTCTTAGTTAGCAGTTTTAAAGTAAATGGCGATTTAGGGAAAGGGAGAGGTGGCAGATGACAAGAAGGGAGAGCATTTGTGTTTTCAGTTTTACCACCCATAGTGCTAGGCACTGGAAGTACAGTGAGGAGCACACTCCTGACTTCTATTCCCGGAGCTGATGGTGCAGCAGGACTGCAGACATGAAATCAGTAAGACTAGTGCCTGTTGAAATAAGGGAGAGGAAGAGAATATGGATGTGAATTACAAGTAATTTCTGCTAGGGGACTTCCCGGGAAGTGAGGGTCAAGATGAGATTTGAAAGCTGAATAGGGAAATGTTGCCCCAACACACAAGACCTCAGTCCTGGCAAAGCAAGCCCCAATGCCCCAATCAATGAGCTTCAGTCAGGCTATTGACTTGGCACCAACTTGTGTGCAGTGGCCAAGCTGGATGCTGTCCTGAATTATATCAGTGTGACAAGGCAACGTCTCCTTTAGTGTGACCTTAACAGTGGATTTGTCCCTCTTTATCAGAGTAGGCTCCCTGTGTTCCCAAACTCAGGAAACTCCAGGCATTGGCAGCCCACTTGCGCATTCTACATCAGATCCTGCCTCACTGGGAGTTGTGGCAGAGGATGGCCAGACAGACACCATGGACAGACACCATGGAGAGGGGCAATGAACAAAGCTTCATCTTCTACACACAGGTATGTAATTCTGCTTTCTCTTCTGTGCCTGTATATAGACACTCAGCCGGTAATCCCACCACCAGGAGCATTTTCGTATATTACTCTAAAGGATTCCAGTGCTCTGCTGCATAACAGTGTGTGATAGACTGTACATGGGTGCCCAGTGGGTCCAGCCTCCCCTCATTCTCCTCCCTGTGTGACCTCTTTCTACATTCACTCCAGGCTTAGCCATGTGATTTGTGAGAGTAAGGCAAGCAGAGACAAGTACTAGTCCATTCCTTGTGGAATGTTCCCTCCTGGAACGCAGCTGCCATGCTATAGGGAAGTATTAACTCTCCTGTTGTGACTGAGAGGCCACAGGAAGAAGAACTGAGACACCCCAGCCCTCAAGCAGCACCAGGGCCTCTGAGTGTGAGAGAATCCTCTAGGACCTTGCAACCCAGCCTGTCCCCCAGCTGGATGTGCCCACAGGAGTGAGCCCAGCAGAGACCACAAGGAGCTGAGCAACCACCCAGCTGAGCCCAGCCACCCACAGGACATGAGAGAGAATACACTGGGGTTGTTTTAAGATTATACACAGTGGGGAGATTGTCTCAGAGCAGTATTTATCATACAGATGTGGCCCTCAGGCCTTGTTTCTCAGCAAGAAGAGCCATGCCACAGCTCCGGGGAAGACCCCTTTATAGCCATTGACAGTTGTCCCACTCTCGGGATGCTCTTGCAGGCCTTGGTTTCCATTGAGGATAGTGTTTTTGTTATCGTTTTTCAGGTGGATCATAAGAGTGTTTTCAAGGGTTCAGGACCCTCCCCTTGGACAGTTGTAGACAATTGTCTTGCGACAGCTGTAGTCATAGAGCAGGGTTTTTTTTTAACTATTGCATTTAAATATAATGAATTGGCATATATATTTTTTTATCTGTTGATTGTGTTTGTTTATTTCCATAGAACCATCTCCTCTTCCCAGTAAATACAGAAGACAAGACAGAGAGGAGCACAGGAAGGAAGAAGAGCCCCTGGGGAAGCAGTCCAGTCTCTGCAGTTTCCCTCACTGGGGCAGAGGGGCCACCCTCCTTTCTTGTTCCCCAGGAGGCTCCTGGCCGACTTTTCAGGTCAGCACTTATCTTGGGGACAATGCTTTTGAAAGCCAGGGAGGTATGGGATTTCCTCCTGATTTGATCCCGCTGAGCAGCTTGCACACCTGCGTCCTCCACTGCATGAGGTCCTCTCAGCCAGGTGGGCCATGCACAGCAGTGCATGTTTTCTGCTCCCTCCCACCTGCAGCTCTTTGCCTCCAGCATGGTCCATCTCCTGCCCCATCTCCTTGGGCTCCCTGGAGCTCAGGACCTCCCTGTTGCATGGAAAGTGCCGGGAGCCAGCTTGACCTTCCCACACGCTTTCCTGTAGGTATAGTGTTCAGTCTTGCCCTGCTGCCCACCACCTGAGGTTTTGCTGTCTGCACTCTGCTTTCAGCCTCATGCTGGTTCTTTCTGGCTGACCTGAAACACAAGTGCCTGCAGAGGAAGGTGAAGAACTTCCCCGTGGTCCCCTGCTAGCCCTGGCTGTTTCCATAGGGAAAGGCTGGGTCATACCTCAGGGCAAATTCTACTGGTCCTGCAGCTGTCCAAGCTGCCCAGTGTGCAGTTAGTTTCCTCTGTAGGAGATGCCCTGGAGGAAGTTGGTTCCATTTGGGGCTCCACTACTGCTGCTGGGGTATGGGTGGAGGGGAAGGCCTCAGGGCCTCGCTAGGGGGTTGTGCAGCGGGGGTGCAGGCTAGGGAGGGGACTGGCAGGCAGGCTGGCTGTGTTGATGGCTTCCGCCCTGCCTCCCGATCCTCCTCAGGCCTCTGATTTCTTTGTTGCTCCTTTGACTATTTACAGCACAGAAATTTAAAATGGGAATAGCAGGCTCGCTATACTTCTGCTGCTTTGAGTTGGCTGAGATGCCATGCTGCACTTTGTGGATGGGGAAGGAGTGCAGCTGGTGGTGGGATCAGCTGAAGGTGGGGAGGGAGGATTTGGGACTGTGGTATAGTCTCCAGCTTGGATCTCTTGTAGGCTGGGAGCAGATGGGTGGCCAGTACTTCATTGTACTTCCGGTGCTGCAAGGATCCTGAATCCCTTTTCAGGTATGACCTATGGACACCATCAATTCAGTCTGCTCAGGGTCCTTATAGCCAGAGAGTGGCTGGACAGTTGTTTTCCTCCTCGTGCTCTACATTCATTTTTGGATTCTTCATGATTTACTCTAGGAGCCTCTCTTGCTTGTGTTGAGGATGAGGAATTTCCTTCTTTCATTTTTTAAACACAGGATTTCACCCAGACTGGAGTGCAGGAGGATGAAGAATTTCTTGTGAGAAAGTTTTCACACTCAATAGACATATAAGAGTGTTACCATGGGTAAATACAATGGAATGTGATTGCTGGATCATATGGTAAAAGCATGTTTTATAAGAGTTTTGTGAGAAACTGCCAACTGTCTTCCAAAGTGGCTACACCATTTTGCATTTCCACCAGCAATGAATGAGAATTCCTGTTACTCCATATTTGGTGTTGTCAGTGTTTGCAATTTTGGCCATTCTAATAAGTGTAAAGTGCCATGTTATTGTTGTTTTAATTTGCAATTCCCAGGTGACATGTGATGTGGAGCATCTTTTCATATGCTTAGTTGCCTTTTGTATATCTTTTTTCATTGAGGTGTCTGTTAAGGTCGTTTGCCCATTTTCAATACGTTGTGCATTTTCTTTTTGTTAAGTTTTAAGAGTTGTTTGTATGTTTGGAATAATAGTCCTTCATCAGATATCTCTTTTGTACATCCTTTCTCCCTGTGTCTTATCTCTCATTCTCTGGTCAGTGTCATTTGCCAACCAGCAGTTTTTAGTTTTAATAAAGTCCAGCTTCTCAATGCTTTCTTTTATAGATCATGCCTTTTGTGTCATATCTGAAAAGTCATTGCCAAATCCAACCTAGATTTTCTCCTGTGCTATCTTTTAAGAGTTGTATAGTTTTATGTTTTGGTCTATGGTCTATTTTGAGTTTTTTATGAAAGGTGTCAGTTTTGTGTGGAGATTCTTTTTTTCTTTTTTCTTTTGGATGTCCTGTTGTTCCAGCATGATTTGCTAAAAGACTGTCTTTTCTCCATTGTATCGTCCTTGATCTTTTGTCAAGGATCAGTTGACTATATTTATGTGGATCTATTTCTGGGCTCTCTATTCAGTTCTACTGACCTATTTGTCTATTCTTATGGCACTACCACACTCCCTTGATTACTGTAGCTTTATAGTAGGTCATGAAGTCAGACAGTACAGTCCTCTAACTTTTCTTTTTCTTCAATATTAAGTTGGCTACTCTGTCTTTTGCCTTTCCATATAAACATTAGAAGCAGTTCATTGATATCTACAAAATAACTTGCTGGATTTTTAATTGGGATTGTGTTGAATCTATAGATAAAGTTGAGAAGAACTGAACAATACTGAGTCTTTCTATTCATGAACATGGAATGTCTCTCCATTTATTTAGTTCTTTTTTTATTTCTTTTATCAGAGCTTTGTTTTTTCCTCATATAGATCTTGTATGTATATTGTTAGATTTATACCTAAGTATTTCATTTTGAGGAGTGCTAATGTAACTGGTATTGTGTTTTAAATTTCACATTCCACTTGTTCTTTGCTGGCATGTAGGAAAGGGATTCAGTTTTGTATATTAACCTCATGGCTTATAATTTTGCTTTAGTTGCTTAGAAGTTCAAGGACTTTTTTTTGGTCAATTGTTTTGGATTTTCTATATAGGAATTATGTCATCTGTGAACAAAGTTTTTATTTCTTCCTTCCAAATCTGTATACCCTTTATTTCCTTTTATTGTTTCTTGTTTTTTTTGTATTCACTAAGACATCCAGTACCATGTTTAAAAGGAAGGGTGAGAGAGGACATCTTTGCTTTGTTCCTAATCTTAGCAGGAAAGCTTCTAGTTTCTCAACATTAAATATAACATTATCTGTGGAGTTTCTGTAGATGTTCGATATCAAGTTGAAGAAATCCTCCTCTATTCCTAGTTTGCTGTTTTTTTCATGAATGGATGTCGGATTTTGTCCAATGCCTTTTTTGTATCTATTGGTATGATCATGTGATTTTTCTTTTTTCTTTTTTCTTTTTTTTAGCTTGTTGATATAATAGACTACATCCATTGATTTTTTTAAATGTTGAATCAGCCTTGCATGCCTAGGGTAAAGCCTGTTTGGTCATGTTATGTAATTCTTTCTATATATTGTTGGATTCAATTTGTTAATATTTAGTTGAGGATTTTTGCTTCTATATAATTGAGAGATATTCATTGATAGTTTCCTTTTTTGTAATGTTTTTGACTGGTTGTGTTTTAAGGTAGTTCTGGTCTCATTCAATAAGTAAACGAAGTATTAACTCTGCTTCCATATTCTGGAAGAAATTCTAGAGGATTGGTATAAATTTTTCCTTAGATGTTTGGTAGCGTTCACCAGTGAATCTGCCTGGACCTGGTGCTTTCTGTTTTGGAAAATTATTAATTGTTGATTCAATTTCTTAAATAGATACAGGCCTACTAAGATTGTGTATTGTATATATTTTTCAGGGTTTTCTTTTTTTCAAAATGAAGTTTTAAAACAGAATTAATCAATACATTTCCATGATAATGAAATAACTAAAAAGAGTTGTGAACAAAATGTCCCCATTTAGGTTCCATTTGCCTATTTTAAGGTGTTTCAGCATATTTGCTGAGGGGTTGTGCAAGCATTTCTGCTAACAGAAATGGAGGAACCTATTTCTTCTGGTCAGATACATGGATATTGAGGAAAAACAGTTTCCACTTATTCTTACATGCAAACCTAAATCTGTTTTGGTTTTATAAAATGGCTTAGCATAAGCTCCTGAAATAGAGCTTGATACCAGTTAGAAACAGGCACCTGCATTCACAACTTCCCAGGAGACCCAGGAACCTCCTTTAGAGCTCCTAGTCTACTGACTAATATAGGGTTTCATCTCATGACTGACAAATGAAGACCTTTGTCATTTCCCAAACACCTTAAATGCCTTTCCAATTAACACTTTATTTCTTATGGTGCATTTGGCCAGAGATCATTGTGGCAAAGCCCCAACAAAACGAGGTAGCTTCATTTACAGTAACAAAATGGAGAACATTTACCATCAGAGGCACTGTGTTGTCCCTCCACCTCCAAAACTTTTATTATTACAGAAAATAGTATTCATTAATCTTTAAAGATGATATGATTATCACCATCACACTTAGGAAATTAAGCTCCCATTCACTTTATTCATTTCCTCTAAAAAGTGACATTTCCAATTAGTTTCAGACTTTCACTTTTTCACATAACAATTTATTCTTTTTTGTTTACTGGATTTGAGGGTTTATGAAATATTCTTCTCAGTGAAGTCCATTACTTTGGTTTCTGGGTGCCTAAGCAGAAGCCTTCTCCAAGCACAAAATAATACAGAAGCAGGAGAGGAAGTGAGGCAACTATTCTTACCTTATGACAAGTCAGGGGAATGTCCTTGGACCTACACTTCTGGTGGTGGGGTGAGGAGGCTCCTTCAGCCCCACCACAGGCCAGAAGAATTGAGCACTGTTGTTGGAGCTTGGGAGTGGAGGGAAAGGCTTTCACATACCTAGGAACAGCAGGTAAACCTCAATTGCTCTGCTTCCCCTTCACACTCACCTGACAGCAGCTACAGTCTGGACTTTGCTGTTGACACCTGCCCTACTCAATCTCACAATGCCTTTTCTGGTTTCCGCATCTATTCCTTTTCAATGTTGCCATTGGCGTTCTTTTTTAGCCTTATTTCTTCTAAATATTGGAAGACTGAAGGCCTGGTAAGGCTGGTCCCTGACCCCAGCCCCACTTCCAGGAATGGCTCCCTTAAGAAATAGTCATGAAGACCTTGTATGGCATCCCGAGAGTGTGATCTAATGGTAGTGAGAAAAAGGATCTTAGGAGGCCCCAGACACAGCATTAAATACTGTTGAACCACTCTGTGATGAATTTCTCCTTATTTGTGTCTCTGTTACTCTAAAAGCATGAAGGGAAGCTCTCAGTTCAAGGCCACTGTGACCACAACACATTCACATATGTGTTAATCTGTCTAGAGAAAATGCTGACCTCAGGCTCAGAATTTTGGCAAGCACCATTATTTAGCTAGAATGTAATTATATTGTTTTCCTTTTGTTGGTTTTTTTTAAAGCTACCTTCTATTACTGGCAAAGGATAGTGTTGTTCCATATACAGTCACACATTCTCATGTACAGATGGTGCTCAGAGGGCAATACACCATGAAGGTGAACAAGAAAGACTGCAATGTGAAGACTGTGTCTTACAAGCAACGGTTCTTAACCTTAGCATCTCATAAGAACGCCCCAGGGCACTTGTCAAAATTCCAATGCCAAGGCCCTTCCCCAGACCAATTCCATCAAAAACTTGGGATGGGATCTAAGTGTGAGTGCTTATTAAAGCTCTAGATGACTCCAGTGCATAGCCACACTGGAGAACCAATGTTTTAAACTGATCTGAAGTCTGAGCATGAATGAGACAAAGCATGTTCTCCACACCACGGCAGCAGGATTAGCATCTGGAACATAGATATTCTAAGGACCAAGGTCAACTGCCGTCTTAAAATTTAAGTGCAAAGAATTACAGAACTGTAGAGCTGCAGAAAGTCTGAGAGCTCATTTTAAATGAGTCTGCATCCTCATTTTATTCACCAGAAAACTGAGCATAGAAAGGCCAAGTGATTCCGTACTGAGAATCACTCCCTAGGGGCCCAAGGAAGGGCTCCTTCCCCAAAATCATGCTGCTTCTTTGATGGGTGTAATTGCCTCAATTGTGAATTCCTTCTGAAGGAAGCTACAATCTTTTTGAGGAATATGCTAAAGACCTAAAAAGTTAGAGGATTGGCTCTTTAATCCACAAAGCAGGTATGAAAGAAGTTGTAGGGAGCCCAGGAGGCACTATGGACATTCCTCAAAATCTGTTCCATGGTTGGAAGGCACTGGATTAAACACATTGAAATGAGTTTCATCACTGCAGGACTTCTCAGGGCCTTTAATTTACTAATGTGCAAGGGAATCTTCAAGAAGAGGACAGACAGATAGCTTATTTGCCCATTTCTGTGAAACATTTCACAGGACTAGCCTTTCTTGGGGAAATATTGGGGGACACAATTTCTAAAAGGTCTGGCCCACTGTGTCTCCTACTCTGTTTTACTTTTCTTAATTGCATTGGTCACTTATATACTTGGTTATTGCCTGTGTCATTGTCACTAAAATATAAGTTCCTTGAGGAGAGAAACTTTGGCTTCTTTGCCATATCCCTAGCACCTCCAAAAGTGCCTAGCCTTTAAAAAATATTTGCAAAAAGGGCTAAATGGGTAGTCTCTTAAAACACAGGTAACCATGACTAGATGCCTAGTGGGACTCCTCCTGCTTCTTCTGATTGCAAGTCTCTCACCACAACTTTAGGCTGAATTTTGGAGTCTGCTTGCTGGGGAAACCTGGTCATACCTTGGGCTAATATCCAGGCTCTGGCACTAATTAACTCCACAACCTTGGGCAAGTCACTTGACTTTCCTGGGCTCCATTTCCTTATCTAGCAAAATGAGTGGACTGGATTAGACAACCTCCAAAGGTCCTTCTCAGGTATTGTATAACAAGCAGTTAAATTAAAATATCTGATATAATCGGGGATTTTTCTATTTCTCCTTGGATTTCTATCAGATTTTGTTTCATGTAGTTTAAAGCTCTGTTATCAGGTCCATATATATTTAAGATTGTTATATCCTCTTGATGAATAGACCCTTTTATCATTATTCAGTGCACTTCTTTGTCCTTGGTAATATTCTCTGCTCTGAAATCTATATTTTCTTATGCTAATATATCCACTCCAGCTGTTAAAAAAATGGTGTTAGCATGGTATATTCTTTTCTATCATTTTACTTTTAACCTATTTGTGTCTTTTTAGTTCAAGTGGGTTCCTTGTAGGCAGCACATACTTGGTTCTTGCTTTTTAAAGGAAATCCCACTGCTCAGTCTCTGCCTTTGAATTGAAATCATTTAAATTTAATGTGATTATTGATATTATTAGGTTTGAATTCATTCATTTTGGCTGTTATGAATAATGCTGCTATGGACATTCATGTGTAAGTTTTTGTGTAGATATATGTTTCATCCTTCCTGGATGACTAGTGATATTAAGCATCTTTTCATGTGCTTATTGACCATTGGTGTATCTTCTTGGATGAACTGATTATTTTTATGATTCCATTTCATCTTGCTGTTTGTTTTCTATTTGTCCCATTTTCTTCTTTTTCTATCCAAAAAGAAAACAGCCTTTTTTGAGATATAATTTATATACTGTATACTTTTCCCATTTAAAGTGTGTAATTCGGTGATTGTTGGAATATACATAAATTGTGGAATCATAATCAATTATAAAACATTTTAATCACCCTTAAAAGAAACTCCATACCCTTTAGCTACTACCCCCAAATGCTCCCTTTCCTACTGCTGCCTTAGCCCTAAAACATTAATCTATTTTTTGTCTCTATAAATTTGCCTATTCAGGACATTTCACATAAATCGAGTTATATAATATGAGTTTCTTTTACTTGGCATAATATTTTTCTATTTTTATCCATGTTATAGTATATATTAGTGCTTTATTCCTTTTTGTGAATTAATTCCACAATATGGATATACAGCATTTGTTTGTCCATTCATCAGTTGATGGACATTTGGGTCTTTCTAACATTTTGGTTGTTACGAATAAAGCTGCTATGAACATTCATGTATACTTTTTTGTGTAGATACATGTTTCATCTTTCGTGGGCACATACCTAAGTGTGGAATTGCTGGGTCATGTGGCAACTCCATGTTTAACTGTTTGAGGAACTGCCAGATTCTTCCAAAGTGGCTGCCCCATTTTACATTCCCACCAGCAGTGAATGAGCCTTCCTATTTCTCCACATTGTAACCAACATTTGTTGGCTTTTGTCTTTTTGCCTATAGCCATCCTGATTGGTGTGAAGTGGTATCTCACTGGGGGATTGGAGTTGCGTTTTCCTGATGACTAGTGATGTTAAGTATCTTTTCATGCACTTACTGGCCATTGGTGTATCTTCTTGGATGAACTGATTATTTTTATGATTCCATTTTATCTCCTTTGTGGCTTATTAGCTGTAACTTTTTGTATTATTATTTTAGAGGTTATTTTAGGTTTATAGCATGCATCTTTGACTTCATTTTGTCTATCTTCAAGTGATACTACCACTTCATGTGGATTCAGGTACCTTACAAGGGTATATTCCAGTTCTCCATTCTCAGCTTTTGTGCTATTGCTGTTATACCTCTGGTTAAATTAGATGCTTTCCTCTGTGTTGTGTACTAGTGCTCTGTTATCATGAGGTACCTGTCATGGGCAGCTAGAGAAGGAAAAGTAAGTGAGATAATCTTGTTGGATTTTTCATTGCTTCTGGAGGGCAAGACTGCTCAAGCTGTCAGGATCACCAGAGAGAACATCAAGCAGATTCTAGGCTCAAATGGAAGGAAGAGAGGGGAGGCCTTAGAATGCTAAAGATCCCTTAGAAATCCCTGAGGAATCTTCACTAGGTTCCTAATCTCCCGAGAATCCCCTTTCCTATGTCTCTTGGCATCCACACCATTGGATTCATGATTAATAAATTCATTAGTTCCAGTGATTACATCTGAATCAGGGTAGGGCAACAGAGAGTCTATTTGACTCTAGGTCAAATAGAACAGTTCTACCACTTATAGGTACATACCCCAGGGGCAAGATACTAAGCTCTCATGAACCTCAGTTTCTATACCTGCAACATTTTGCAACATTTTTATTCCCATTGGAATAAAAATTCTTACTTTATCATGTTGGTTAAAGGATTAAATGAGGTGATCTCAGTAAAAGTAGCAAGCGTGTGACATAACAAACACACCATTAATATTTATGTCGCTCCTGTATACCTCATTGTTTGTTTTACTTAATTATATTTTTACATTCTTTATGTTTCCCTGGCATTCATAAAGTAGCAGGGATTGCATTACATATGACAGCCTTTGTTCTTCTTCATACTCTGAAGATTCTAGTGAGCTCAAATATTTGTATAGGATTGTCACACACTCCCTGCTTTTCGATGTGCAGAACTACCATTTATTGGACTGACTTGATGGCAGACATGTGCTGAGCTCCTTTTATGCCTCATTTCCAAATCTCATTACCAACCCCATGAGGATGGGGCAGTGTTTCTCAATCTCGGCACTATTGAGACATCTGGGGCCGGATCATTCTTGGTTGTAGGGGGTTGGCCTGTGCATTACGGGATGTTTAGCAGCATCCCTGGCTTTTACCCTCTAGACTCCAGTAGCACCTCTTCAGCTATGACAATCAAAAATGTGTGAAGGCATTGCCATGTATGTCCTAGGGGGCAAAATCTCCCTCAGATGAGAACCACTGGGATAGGGTTGGTGTCATTCCCATTACCTGTGAGAAAGCCAAGGTTCAGAATGGTCAAGAGCTTTTCTCAGCATCACACAGTTACTGAGTGATGGAGGCAGGATTCAAACCAGAGTCCAACTAGCTCCTAAGCCATGTGTTACGGTAACTCCAGAATATATCCTCTTTCATCTGCAAATAAAGCCTCTGATACCTTTGACATCCCTGGCTTTAAACTCTGTCTTCGTGCCAAAGGTGTCTAGACTCTGGAGTGTCCTGTCTGAAAACCACGAATAGGTCCCAAAGGGAGAGATTAGATAGCCACTGTTCACAGACAGCGCTCAGAAGGCCACACACAACATATTGCAGGCAGCTGGCCCCCATATGTGCTTTTCCTTGACATAAGGGGCGTAATGGGCTGAATTGTGTTCCTCAAAGGATATGTTGAAGTTCTAATGCTCCGGACCTATGAATGTGACCTTATTTGGAAATACGGTCTTTGCAGACATAATCAAATTAAGGTGAGATCATTAAGGTGGGCCCCGATCCAATATGACTGGTGTCCTTATAAGAAGAAAATGTGTAAACACACACAGAAAGAAGGCAACCATGTGAACATGGAGGCAGAGATTGTAGTGACATTGCCACAAGCCAGGGAACAGCCAGAACTACCAGAGCCAAAAGAGATAAGAAAACATCCTCTCCTAGAGGCTTCAGTGGGACCACAGCCCTGCCAACACCTTGATTTCAAACTTTGAGTGTCCAGAACTAAGGGAATCCATTTCTGTTATACAGTCTGTGGCACTTCATTATTGGAGCTTTAGGGTAACAGGACAGGAGAGCACACCTCAGGTCCCCTGGCAGCCCTGGCCACGTCTGTATTTCTGCATTTGACAGTGTTCCCTTTGATCCCTGTTCTCCAGTCAGTTATAATATCTGGCCATTAATCAAAGTCATGAAAGATATTTCACTTTGCCACGACCAACCTACACATTAGATTGCACCTCCCATTAATTACATTAGTGCAATGATGATCTGGCAGTCAAACAACATAGGCACCTTCCTGGGTAGCACCTGTCCCCTCAGATGTCCTCACTCATGCATGTATCAGTGGTAGGGCAACTGTGCCTTATCTTTCTTGGTAACAGGAGGTACCATATCATTCCCTGAGATAAGCAGAAGCAATTTCATAGAACCTGACTCAGTGGACTTGGCTACCTGCAGTTCATGGATAAACAGAAGGAAACAAACCCTAGACAACCACAAGTGTGATACTGACAGGAAGCAACCAAAAGTAGCCAAGGTCATCTCAAATCTAAACTCCAGAGCAGTTTATTCTGGGCAAGTGAACAGGAAGCATCAAACAGACTCATAGGTAGTTTGAGACTCTTTAAAGCTAAAGCAACCCTTAGAAGTTGTGGCATCTCAAACAGGTTCTTCATCTTTCCCAGCCAAAGGATGTTCTGGGTTATTTAAAGGATTCTGTGGACAGGTGAACTTGAGAAGTGTTCTGTGCTTTAATATCTCTCTGGGACATTGAAAAGGCCCATTAGCATATTAAAGACATTGAGACATTTGGCAGTAAAGACACCCCTTCACCTCTTTTTAGGGTGTGGTGGAACATGCCTTAGATCACTGATACATTTGGGCCCATTTCACTGTGCAGAATTTGAGGGGGAGGCTCCGGGCAATTAGATGTTTTTTCAAAGCTCACACAGACGGATTCAACTTGCGTCTTCACATTCCAAATCCAGTGCTTTTCTATTTTTTATTTTTCCTTTTAGTTTGTTAATAAACATTTGAGTGTTACCATGTGGCGACATAGGAATATAAAAATGAAAAAGGTTGGCTTTTGCCCCACGTATCATTGACTATCTCTGGAGTAAATGAACAACAGAATAACAAATAATGGAAAGGGTATGGGGATAGGGAAGGAAAAGTGCTGTGGTTTGAATGTTTGTGTCCTCCAAAACTCACATTGAAATTTGATTCTCAATGTGGCAGTATTAGGAGGTGAGGCCTTTAAGAGGTGATTGTGGCATCAGTGAAACCCTGTCTGTACTAAAAATCAAAAAATTAGCCTGGTGTGTGGTGGGAGGCTGTAGTCCCAGCTACTTGGGAGGCTGAGGCAGGAGAATGGCCTGAACCTGGGAGGTGGAGCTTGCAGTGAGCCGAGATGGCACCACTGCACTCCAGCCTGGGCGACAGAGTGAGACTCCGGCTCAAAAAAAAAAAAAAAAAGAAGTGATTGTGTCATGAAGGCTCTGTCCTCATGCTTAGATTAATCCATTAATGAATGAATGGGTTAATGGGCTAATGGATTGTCACAGGAGTGACATTAGTAGCTTTATCAGAGGAGAAAGAGAAATCTGAGCTTGCATGCTCATTCCCCTGTGATGAGATGCCCTGAGCTGCCTTGGGACCCAGCAGAGTCTCCACCAGCAAGAAGGTTCTTGACAGATACAGCTCCTCAACCTCCTCAGCCTCCAGAACTGTAAGAAATAAATTCCTTTTTTTAAAATAAGTTACCCACTTTTGGAATTCTGTTATAAGCAACAAAAAATGGACTAAGATGGAGAGAATCACTGCCTTTGGGACAAATATGGAAGCAGTCAGTCTTGAGGAGTCAGGTTAGGTTACTGATGTTCTGCTGAGTCCCATCACAGGAACCCACCATCCCTGCCACCCACTGCCTCTCCTGAGGAGAGCTGGTGGCCAGAGGCCTGCTGACCGGGCTACCCCGGGAGGCTGCCACCAACCTCAAAAAGCTGTCTGGTCAGGGCGGCCAGCCCACAAGTTCGCCAGGCCCTTGTAATGTGCCTATTCCCCCAAAATAGAGTGATCAGTCTGGTTCCTTCAAAATTTGAACTGGAGGCCACAGAGGGGAGGCAGTTAGCAGGTGGCTGAAGATGAAAGAATGTCTAAGGAGGTGTGGGGGTATTTTGAAGGGTCCTGGGCAAGCCAGGGAAGAAAGGGGGCAGTATGAGTGAGCTAGAGAACAGCAAGGAAGGAGACCAGCAGGTGGTGTGGAAGGAAGAAGTCAGGCAACAGCACAACCACCCCCTTTTCTGGTTTCTGGGGGGAGCTGGCTTCATCATAGCTCCTGATGGTACATTTCTGAGAGGCCCATCTCCCCCAAAGTAGCCACCCCCACCCCCACTCTCCCTACTTGAGCAAGCCTGAGAGGGGCTCTTTTCTTGGTTACTAAAAGAAGCTAACTCTGTTTTTTAAGTTGAGGTAAAATATGTGTATATATACATTATATACATATACATTATGTTACACATATACATAACATAAACTACCATTGTAACCATGTTTAAGTGTAGAGTTCAGTGGCATTAAGAACATTTATATTGTGTAATCACAACTACCATCCATCTCCAGAACTTTTTACGTTTTCCCAAATAGAAACTCTGCACCTATTAAACAGTAACACCCCATTCTCCCTCCCCCAACCCCTGGCAGCCATCATTTTACTTTCTGTCTCTATGAATTGGACTATACTAGGTACTTGACTGAAGTGGAATCAAACAGTATTTGTCTTTTGGTGTCTGGGCTATTTCCTTTAGCATAAAGTCCTCAAGATGCATGCATGTTGTAGCATGTGTCAGAACCCTCTTTGTAAGGCTGAAAAATATCCCATTGTATGCAGAGACCACATTTGGTTTATCCATTTATCCATCAATGGACACTTGGTTGCTTCCACTTTTTGGCGATTTGAATAATGCTGCCATGAACATGGGTATACACATATCACTCTGAGACCCTGCTTTCGGTTCTTTTGGACATATACCCAGAAGTCGATTTGCTGGAGCAAATGGTAATTTCTATGCTTAATTTTGTGAGAAACTTCCTTGGTGTTTTCCACAGTGGCCACACTATTGTATCTTCACATCAACAGTGCACAATTTCTCCACATCCTCACCAACTCTTGTTATTTTCTGTTTTTGTTTTTTGATAGTAGCAAGAGTCTCTCTTTTAGTAGAGGCTCTGTCTTCCATGTGGTCACCGTTGTTCTTTTTCTCAGTTTTTCTTCATGCCGAGTGGGCGTCAAGTCAGGACAGAAGTTCTGCTCTCTTCCTTCTGCCCTCAGAAAGTTGCCCTTGACTCTGAGGCACCACTTGAAAGATCAGACTCTGTGTGTTTCTCAGGATAGGCAGAGCTCAGACCTTGATGGTGGCGGGAGGTGCGGGGAGTGGCCCCTGTGCAGCCCCCTGCCCCTGTACTGGCATGGAGTAGCAGATACAGGAAAACATATGATTCCCTCAGACCACATCCTTCCCCCTTGCTGCCTGGGGTCTGATGTCTCCATCCCAGAGTGCCCCTTCCCAGGGCCGTGACTCTGCAAGGCTTGAGGGTCCCTAACACACCTCCTCCCTTCCCCATCTGCCCTCTAACAGAGTACTGGAAAAAGCAGGGGCTGCTGAGTGGTGAAAATGTGAGCACTAACTGAGGTCTGAGAAGATGAGGTGTCCGAGTAGCCCTTCTTTGGGGTTTTATCCTGGCTCTCAGCTTTGGGTGCACTGCCATCTCCGGCTTATGCCACAGGGAGCCTCTACAGGCAGAGGTAGGTCAGGATTCCCAGGCACTCAGGCTTCCTCTTCCACTCTCCACACTTCCCAAACAGGCTTTTCAGAATGTAAGCCCCATGGGGACAGGGGGTGTCCCATTCTGTTTACTAACTCACTGCTAGCACCTGCTGGATGCCTGGCACAAAAGGCACAGTTTTAATCAAACACTTTTGATACGTCATTAACACATTAAAGTGAGTAAAAATCACTGTGTTCTTTTTTTCCCTCTTCCTCCATAAATGTCCATCTCCGTAGTTTAGTTGTTTTTTTTTTTAATCAACCGAAGTCCATAGTTTACATTAGGATTGATTTTTGGTGTTGTGCGTTCTGTGGGTTTGGACGAATGTATATGTGTATAGTGACATGTCCACCATTGTGGTATCATGTAGAACAGGTTCACTGCGCTGAAAGTTCTGACTATTCATTCCCCTATTCCTCCCTGCTAACTCCTGGCAACCCCTGATCTTTTTACTCTCTCCACAGTTTTGCCTTTTCCAAAGCGTCATATACCTGAAATCATAGAGTATCATCCTTTTCATATTGGCATCTTTCTCTTGGTAATATGCATTTAAGGTTCCTCCATATCATTTCAGGGCTTGATAGCTCATTTCTTTTTAGCACTGAATAATATACCATTGTTTGGATTTATCAGTTTATTTATCTGTTCACCTACTGAAGGACATTTGGGTTGCTTCCAAGTTTTGATAATTATGGATAAAGCTGGAATAAACGTCTATGTGCATGTTTTTGTATGGATAAAAGTTTTTAACTCATCTGGGTAAATATCAAGGAGCATGATTGCTGAATCATTTGGTAAGACTGTGTTTAGTTTTGTGCAAAACTACAAAACTGTCTTCCAAAGTGGCTGTACCACTTTGCATTCCCACCAGCGGTAAGCGATGGTTCCTGTTGCTCCATATCCTCACCAGCATTTGGTGTCGTCAATGTTACAGATTTTGGTCATTCTAATAGGTGTACAGTGATATCTTGTTTTAATTTGCATTTCCTGGATTATATGTAATGTTGAGCACCTTTACATGTGCTTATTTGCCATTTGTACATCTTCTTTGGTGAGGTGTCTGTTCAGCTCTTTTGCCCATTTTTAAATTGGGTTTTTGATTTTGCAATGTTGAGTTTTAAGAGTTATTTGTGTATTTTGAATAAGTCCTTTATATGATGTCTTTTGCAAATAGTTTCTCCAGTCTGTGGCTGGTCTTCTCACTCTCTTGACACTTTTCATTTTAGTGCAGCAATAAAATCAACAGAAGGCTCCCTATAATGTGGAGAATTTTATCCAGTGGTGTCCACCACAATTACTTGATGAGAGTTTTGAAAATTTTACATTTGAGTTCCACCTGTGAGATTCCTGTTCAATACATTTGAAATGAGATCCAGGATACCTTTTATTTATTTATTTTGTTTTTGTTTTTGAGATAGAGTCTCACTCTATCACCCAGGCTGGAGTGCAGTACCACAATCTCGGCGCACTGCAACCTCCATCTCCTGGGTTCAAGCGATTCTCGTGCCTCAGCCTCCCAAGTAGCTGGGATTACAGGCGCCCGCCACCACACCTGGCTAATTTTTGTATTTTTCAGTAGAGATGGGGTTTTGCCATGTTGACCAGGCTGGTCCAGAACTCCTAACCTCAGGTGATCCACCTGCCTTGGCCTCCCAAAGTGCTGGGATTACAGGCGTAAGCCATGGCGCCCGGCCTCAGGATACCTTTTAAAAGCTTCCTTGGTGATTATAATGAGTAGCTGCGATAGGAACCATGACATTAAGAGTTGGAAAGACAACCCCATTATGACACGGGGGCTGCCTACTTGGCCTTCCTATATGCCCTGTCCCACAGCTCCATCTGAAGGCCAAATGACACCCAGAGCTCTATAATTCACTGCTAATTGGACATAACCTGTCATCTCAAATTTCACCTCTTTCGAGCTAAACCCATAAATGTCCCCATCTCCATCCAGAAAACCGCTCCACCTCTGAGCTTCCTGTCTTTGGAAGGTGGCGATTCTAATCTTCCAGTTGGCTAAACTCTTTTTATTTATTTTTATTTATTTATTTATTTTTTGAGACAGAGTCTTGCTCTGTCGCCCAGGCTGGAGTGCGGTGGCGTGATCTCAGCTCACTGCAAGCTCTGCCTCCCGGGTTCACGCCAGTCTCCTGCCTCAGCCTCCCGAGTAACTGGGACTACAGGCACCTGCCACTGCGCCTGGCTAATTTTTTTTTTGGCTAAACTCTTAAAGTCAAATTGGATTCCCCTCTCTCTCAGGCAAATCTAATCTATCAGCAATCCCTGGTGGCTCCAGCTTTAAAATACATCCAGAATCTGACCTCTTCCCTGCTTCCACTGCCTTGGCTACACCAGGTCTCTCGACTTCTGTTTTGTCTCTTCCAATCTGTTCTCATCTCTAACCCACAGTGCAGTCAGATCGTGTCCTTCTCTGCTCACCACCTTCCAATGGCTCCCATTCACTCAGAGTAAAAGCCCAAGTCTTCACGATGGCCTATAACATCCCTCACAATCTGCGGTATCCCCTGCTCCACCCCTGTAGCTCTCCTCCCGGGTCCTTCCAGCCACACGGGCCCCTTTAAAGGACCTGGAACACACAAGGCCTCAGAGACTTTGTACTGTTGTTCTCTCCTCCTGGAATTCTCTTCCCATAGAGAGCCACCGGGCTGGCTTCCTCATGTCCTGTAGGTCTTCAGAGCCACCCTGAATAAAATTTCAAACCTCCTACCCCCTCTGCCAACATCGCATCTTTATTTTTCTCGTAAGGATGCAACACTGGTTACACTCCATGCTGACTTGCTTGTTTATTTCTGTCTGGCCCTTCCCACTGGATGCCAATGCCATGAGGGCAGGGATATTGGTTTCCTCTGTTTGCTGCAGAGCCCCAGATCCTAGAACGGGGCCTAGTGTATAGTGGGTCTTATCCTCAGCAACTCCTCCCCACCTCTCTACCTCTCTGTTACATCTCTGTCTCACAAGTCCTGAGGCATCTTCCTTTTTACTGTCTCTCATCTCCACCTTCTCTACTTGGTCTCCATTGGCCAGAACTATTGCTAAAAGCCTGAGGTCTCCTCCCATTCAGTGCCTTGTCACAGCAGCCAAAGGTCTGCAGGTCTTTCTAAAAGGCAGATCTGCGGCAGTTCCTCAGATACCCCTTAACTCTCGGGACCCTGTTCAAACTTCCTGGCTTAAAACACAAGGTTTCTGCTGATGCAGCCCCAAGATGCTTCTGCAGCCCCGTGTCGGGCCCCCCATCACCTCCATGCTTTGTGAACTGGGCTGGTTTTCCTCTCCTTGCCTTTGCACATGCTGTTCCTTCTGCCTGGCGCGCCACCCTCACTTCCTGTACCCTCCCTTCCTACTCTGCATCCAGGAAGCTCTGATTTAGCCTTCAAATTCTAGCTGATGGAACCTGCTTCAAGCAGCCTCCCCAGACCCCCAGGCATATGTATCTATATAAACCCTCTCTCTATATATAAGCAATATATATATTGCTCCCCTAACTCCTTGGGCAGACTTCAGCAGTACAATCCTGCACCACAGCCAGTTATTTGCTTGTCTGTCTCCATCATTAGTCCAAGTTCTCTGCATGCCTAGGCCTGGCACACAATAGAGACTCTGTATATGTTTCCTGGGTGAATAAATCTCCGGAAACATGGAACAGTGGCCCAACTCTGCAATAATGCTCCAAATGTACATGGCACTTTTGCCAGCTAATGAACTCACTGTTTATTAGTAGCAAGAATGTTCCAGAGTGTGTCATGGCAGGAGCACCTGAACACTGGGACAGAGGAGAGAGCTACCTGTCAGGGGTCCCAGTGGCTCCAGTGGGACTGGCTAAACTGCCTCCAATATTTATACTCTCTGTTTTTGTGGGTGTATGTACATATATGTAAATATATTAAAATATGTCCATGTATTTATATGCATTTACAAATAAATATGTTCTACACACCTGTATCTCTATGTGATTGCAGGTCTTGGAGGCATCCTTGGGGTTTGGCTGGCTGGCTACTCTCTGCTGGCCTCATAGACTCCTATACTTGGTTGAGCCTTCTGCCTTCAGGCAGGTGAAGGGATCGACCATCCAAAAGGATAATGTGGTCACTTTTTCCCAAAGTCTATAGAACTGAAGTCTTTACTCAGATGTATGTTTCTAATATGTAGGGCCATGCCTCAAAATTTCTTCTTGTTAATTTAACTCCACTTTCCTCTGTAGTCATAGAAGACCCCTGATCAATATTTTCATGGAAAAATTCTGATACGTTGGAGACAGTAATTACATATATCACATTAGCCATTTTTAACCTTTCCCCCCAAATTGCCTTTGTGATTTAGAATAATGATTTAATTTGACATCTACTGAGTGTGTAGTTCATTCATTCATTTAGAGACTCCACTGATCATTCAGCAAATGCTCACTGGGTGTCTACTCAGTAGGGGTGATACGTGATGTACAAGTAAACAAATCAATAAAACGTTTGAATAATGATAAATGCTGTGAAAAAAATAAAATGTGCCCATGTGACAGAGTGCAGGGACAAGGGGGTTATTGCAAATACGATGGGCGGGAGCACATCTTGGCAGAGGTGACATTAGAAATGAAACCTGATGCTAAAATGAGCCAGCCTCAGGTGCCCTTGCCGAGCGCCCTGTCCCCCACCCTCCCCTGCACATGCTCCACTGACTGCGGCTGTTTATTTGTGCATTTGTCTATTTGTCTCCATGTCACCCAAGACCTGGCTCCCGGGGCCCGGCCCAGATGTGGCCCACCCTCATATCCACGTGCAGTGTTTGGTAAATGGGTGGAGTTCAATACATGTTTGTAGCGCTGTTGAACAACAATGACTCAACCACAAAGTAGATAGTGGCCAGTCATATGATGGAAGGTCACAGTGCTATGATGAAGAAATGAATTTCTGGAACCAGCTGAAAACTATATTTGAACTGTTGGGTTACCAATTAATAATTCTCAGGAAAGAAAAATAAACATATACTGTCAGGAAGGATTTAGAGGACATTACGGGGGGTGGGGAGTCGTAATGATTTGGAACACTGCTAAAAATAACATTTTAATGTCTTCGCTGCTAATTCCATCATCCTTGTTCCAGAAGCTGTGGCTGTCCACAGCTAGAAGGGCTTTGTACTCTGAGCACGGTGAGGCTACAAAGCCTTCTATACTTTAAAGTGTGGCCAGAGCTCATCACAGCGCCAGAGTTGGCAGATGAGAAAGCCATGTTTATTGAGCCGGCAAAACTGCCAAGTGTGTGACTCAGCCCGTGGGAACCTGGTGTGCCTGCCGGTGCAGCCAGCGTCCAAAGAACAGGCACACTCCCAAAGGGGTCTGTGAAGGCGGACCATTGGTATATGTTGCCTCTGAGGACCCAGGCATCTAACAAAAATTCCAGAAATATAATTCAGTAATTCTCATCCAAAATCCCATCAGTTGGCTCACCCAGGGAGTTATTTTTGTATCAATAACAAATACCCTTGTGGTAATTCCAGATATCTGAGCCCTAGTGGTGGCTTTCAGAACTGCCATAAAAAACTTTTGGTTAATATTTATCAAGTGCTGATTATGTGTAGATGCTGGGCTAAGTGTATGTTTTATCCTTATCTTTGTTAATTCTCATGGCAAACCTATGAGGCAGGTATTATTATGAACTTCATTTTACAGAAGGGGCAAAATGAGACTCAGTGAGGTTTAAAAATTTGGCCGAAGGGCTCACAGTGTTGGGGGTGGGGGATGCATTTGTCCTCCGATCAGGGAGTGGATATGTTTAGCAAAGTTGCCTGCTGTTGCTAGGATTCATTCTATACTAATCCTATAGGCAAATGTGAAACAACAATGATACACATTTATACAGCGACAATATTAACCTATAGTGCTCATTACTGAAATTGAGGCACTGTTTTGAATCCTTCTTTGGGGGATTCCAGACTTTGTGCTTGAAAAATAAAATCCATTGAGAATACACTGAGTACCCTGTTATGATAATAATAGCATTTAACATTTATTGAACACCTACTGGGGGGCCGAAATGGAATTTGAATCCAGGCAATCTGACACCAAAATACATTTTCTTAATCACTAGGCTAGAGGTCCTCAAAGTTTGGCCTGGCTATTCCCGAGGCCTTTCCAGGGGATCCACAAAGTCAAAACTATTTTCACAATAATATTAAGATATGATTAGCCTGTTTCTCCCCCATTCTCTCATGAGCCTGCAGTGGCGTTTTCCAGAGGCTGGGTGATGTGTGATAGTGTAACAGATGGAATGCAATCTTCTAGAAAGCCAGACATTCAGGAGATTTACAAAAATGTAAAAGTGATGCTTAGTCAATTTTTTAAATTTAGAAAACAAAAAGTGTTGATTTTCATTATTTTTAATAAATTACCAAATAAATATTAAAGAATATGTTTAGTTTTAATTTGTAATGTTGGTAGATGTAATCCAGGAACGTTCTCTAGGGTCCTCAAGTGGTTTTCAGTGGTATAGCAGGCTCTCGAGACCATAAGGTTTGAGAACAGCTGCACTAGGCAGTATTCCCTTCCTGGTGTGGCTGGCTCAGGTGCCCACCCAAAGCCCAGCCTTCTTCTAGAGCTCATGGGCCATGCTGGTGCCTCCATCAGGCCTCACCTCACCCCACCTCAGTGAGGCATCCTCAGGAGAGCTCCTTCTGGGCATCCCAGCTCCATGTGGCAGAAAGGCTGAGAGGGACCTGCTCTTCTGAGTGAGTCACAGATGTCATTTTCCACCAGGGGCTGAGCTCCACCCTCTGTTCTTAAACCTCTGTGTTTCGTACCACAGCTGCCTATTTATAAATCTCATATGATGAGGCCAACAGCTCTCTTCAAGAGCTCTCCGTGGAGGGGGCTGTGTGGAAAGTGGTAAGTTCACTGTCACTGGAGATTTTCACAATGAAAATCTGTGACAAGCAGGGTGAGAGCCTGTTGGGAGTGCTGTGGATGAGATTCTGGAAACAAAAGACTTAGCCACATTTTCTGAGATCCCATCTAAGTGAAAGCCCTGACTATTGACAAAGCCAGGGGACATTATTGCTGATGAAACCAATCAGGCAGTGATACTTTTACACCCAGTGAGTTCTAGGGAGTGGCATTCATGAAGAGGCTTGCACTACATCCAGACCCTGAAGCATCTGCAGGCTACTGCCTTGTCTGCCAAGGCGTTGGAGAAACCATGGCGTGAACACCACCAGAAGTTAAGCCTGAGCCTTTAATAAGCAGATCGGGTGAGTGGACGGAGCATGGAACTCTGAGATGAGGGAAAGTGAATGCTGCTGGGTTCTTTGCATGGCTGTGGCCATTCTAGCTGGGCTGGGTTTCCTTCTCTGTGCTCTAACTCCTCATGACTATTCATGAGGCCCTGTGTTGACATCACTCTTTGCAGCACACACACACACACACACACACAATACAGGTATTTCTACCTGTATTGGCCATTAAGAATTTTGTGATGAGCAAGTGGGACTGAATGGTCCCCAGTGACTTGCCCAGTGGAGTGGCAGAACAAGTGTCCAGCAGAGCCTAAATTCGAGCCATGCTTCCTGGGTTCAGAACTCTTTCCACCACACCACAGCCTGCTCACTGACACCTGAAGAGGCCACCCCCTGTGAACACGAAGGAATGAATGTTCTCTTGGCCTGGCCCAGGCAAGATATCTCCTATGCCCCCCAGCTCTAAGACTCTGGGCACCTCACAGGGACCCAGTAATCCCCTGGCCCTGGAACCTGTGACATTATCCGAAAGCCAGTGCCTGGATAAGAGGAAATAGCAAGGTGCATCCAGATACCTGCAAGCAGGCAAAGAGGAGGGATAGGAGGCAGCGAACTCACATGGTTGAATCCTTTATATTGGCAGGCACTGTACTAGACATTTTATTTTATTTTATTATTTTTTATTATACTTTAAGTTCTAGGGTACATGTACACAACATGTAGGTTTGTTACATAGGTATACATGTGCCATGGTGGTTTGCTGCACCCACCGACTCGTCATTTACATTAGTTATTTCTCCTAACACCATTGCTCCCCCAGGCCCCCACCCACAACAGGCCCCGGTGTGTGATGTTCCCCTCCCTGTGTCCATGCGTTCTCATTGTTCAACTCCCACTTATGAGTGAGAACATGCAGTGTTTGGTTTTCTGTCCTTGTGATATTTTGCTGAGAATGAGGGTTTCCAGGTTCATCCATGTCCCTGCAAAGGACATGAACTCATCCTTTTTTATGGCTGCATAGTATTCCATGGTATATATGTGCCACATTTTCTTTATCCAGTCTATTATTAATGGACATTTGCATTGGTTCCAAGTCTTTGCTATTGTGAATAGTGCCACAATAAACATACATGTGCATGTGCCTTTATAGTAGAATGATTTATAATCCTTTGGTATGTATCCAGTAATGGGATTGCTGGGTCAAATGGTATTTCTAGTTCTGGATCCTTGAGGAATCGCCACACTGTCTTCCACAATGGTTTAACTAATTTACACTCTCACCAACAGTATAAAAGCTCCTATTTCTCCACATCCTATTTCTCCAAAGTTCCTATTTCTCCACATCCTCTGTTGTTTCCTGCATCTGTTGTTTCCTGACTTTTTAATGATTGCCATTCTAACTGGTGTGAGATGGTATCTCATTGTGGTTTTCATTTGCATTTCTCTGATGGCCAGTAATGATGAGCATTTTTTCATATGTCTGTTGGCTGCATAAATGTCTTCTTTTGAGAAGTGTCTGTTCATATCCTTTGCCCACATTTTGATGGGGTTGTTTCTTTCTTTCTTGTAAATTTGTTTAAGTTCTTTGTAGATTCTGGGTATTAGCTCTTTGTCAGATTGATAGATTGCAAAAATTTTCTCCCATTCTGTAGGTTGCCTGTTCACTCTGCTGATAATTTATTTTGCTGTGCAGAAGCTCTTTAGTTTAATTAGATCCCATTTGTCAATTTTGGCTTTTGTTGCCTTTGCTTTTGGTGTTTTAGTCATGAAGTCTTTGCCCATGCCTATGTCCTGAATGGTATTGCCTAGGTTTTCTTCTAAGGTTTTTATGGTTTTAGGTCTTACATTTAAGTCTTTAATCCATCTTGACTTAATTTTTGTATAAGGTATAAGGAAGGGATCCAGTTTCAGCTTTCTACATATGGCTAGCCAGTTTTCCCAGCACTATTTATAAGTAGGGAATCCTTTCCCCATTTCTTGTTTTTGTCAGGTTTGTCAAAGATCAGATGGCTGTAGATGTCTGGTGTTATTTCTGAGGCCTCTGTTCTGTTCCATTGGTCTATATATCTGTTTTGGTACCAGTACCATGCTGTTTTGATTACTGTAGCCTTGTAGTATAGTTTGAAGTCAGGTAGCGTGATGCCTCCAGCTTTCTTCTTTTTGCTTAGGATTGTCTTGGCTATGTGGGCTCTTTTTTGGTTCATACGAACTTTAAAGTAGTTTTTTACAATTCTTTGAAGAAAGTCATTGGTAGCTTGATGGGGATGGCATTGAATCTATAAATTACCTTGGGCAGTATGGCTATTTTCACAATATTTATTCTTCCTATCCATAAGCATGGAATGTTCTTCCATTTGTTTGTGTCCTCTTTTATTTCATTGAGCAGTGGTTTGTAGTTCTCCTTGAAGAGGTCCTTAACATCTCTTGTAAGTTGTATTCCTAGGTATTTTATTCTCTTTGTAGTAATTGTGAATAGGAGTTCACTCATGATTTGGCTCTCTGTTTGTCTGTTGTTGGTGTATAAGAATGCTTGTGATTTTTGCACATTGATTTTGTATCCTGAGACTTTGCTGAAGTTGCTTATCAGCTTAAGGAGATTTGGGGCTGAGAAGATGGGCTTTTCTAAATATACAATCATGTCATCTGCAAACAGAGACAATTTGACTTCCTCTTTTCCTAGTTGAATACCCTTTATTGCTTTCTCTTGCCTGATTGCCCTGGCCAGAACTTCCAATACTATGTTGAATAGGAGTGGTGAGAGAGGGCATCCTTGTCTTGTGCTGGTTTTCAAAGGGAATGCTTCCAGTTTTTGCCCATTCAGTGTGATATTGGCTGTGAGTCTGTCATAAATAGCTCTTATTATTTTGAGATATGTTCCATCAATACCTAGTTTATTGAGATTTTTAGCATGAAATGCTGTTGAATTTTGTTGAAGGCCTTTTCTGCATCTATTGAGATAATCATGTGGTTTTTGTCATTGGTTCTGTTTATGTGATGGATTATGTTTATTGATTTGCATATGTTGAACCAGCCTTGCCTCCCAGGGATGAAGCCAACTTGATTGTGGTGGATAAGCTTTTTGATGTGCTGCTGGATTCGGTTTGCCAGTATTTTATTGAGGATTTTTGCAACAATGTTCGTCAGGGATATCGGCCTAAAATGCTCTTTTTTTGTTGTGTCTCTGCCAGGCTTTGGTATCAGCTGGCCTCATAAAATGAGTTAGGGAGGATTCCCTCTTTTTCTATTGGTTGGAATAGTTTCAGAAGGAATGGTACCAGCTCCTCTTTGTACCTCTGGTAGAATTCGGCTGTGAATCTGTCTGGTCCTGGACTTTTTTTGGTTGGTAGGCTATTAATTATTGCCTCAATTTCAGAACCTGTTATTGGTCTATTCAGAGATTCAACTTCTTCCTGGTTTAGTCTTGGGAGGGTGTATGTGTCCAGGAATTTATCCATTTCTTCTAGATTTTCCAGTTTATTTGCATGGAGGTGTTTATAGTACTCCCTGATGGTAGTTTGTATTTCTGTGGGATCGGTGGTGATATCTCCTTCATCATTTTTTATTGTGTCTATTTGATTCTTCTCTCTTTTCTTCTTTATTAGTCTTGCTAGTGGTCTATCTATTTTGTTGATCTTTTCAAAAAACCACCTCCTGGATTCATTGATTTTTTGAAGGTTTTTTGTGTCTCTATTTCCTTCAGTTCTGCTCTGATCTTAGTTATTTCTTGTCTTCTGCTAGCTTTTGAATTTGTTTGCTCTTGCTTCTCTAGTTCTTTTAATTGTGATGTTAGGGTGTCGATTTTAGATCTTTCCTGCTTTCTCTTGTGAGCATTTAGTGCTATGAATTTCCCTCTACACACTGCTTTGAATGTGTCCCAGAGATTCTGGTATGTTGAGTCTTTGTTCTTGTTGGTTTCAAAGAACATCTTTATTTCTGCCTTCATTTCGTTATTTACCCAGTAGTCATTCAGGAGCAGGTTGTTCAGTTTCCTTGTAGTTGTGTGGTTTTGAGTGAGTTTCTTAATCCTGAGTTCTAATTTGATTGCACTGTGGTCTGAGAGACTGTTTGTTATGATTTCCCTTTTTTTTTTTTTGCATTTGCTGAGGAGTGTTTTACTTCCAATTATGTGGTCAATTTTAGAATAAGTGCGATGTGGTGCTGAGAATAATGTATATTCTGTTGATTTCGGGTGGAAAGTTCTGTAGATGTCTATTATGTCTGTTTGGTCCAGAGCTGAGTTCAAGTCCTGGAAATCCTTGTTAATTTTCTGTCTTGTCGATCTGTCTAATATCGACAGTGGGGTGTTAAAATCTCCCATTATTATTGTGTGGGAGTCTAAGTCTCTTTGTGGTCTCTAAGAACTTGCTTTATGAATCTAGGTGCTCTTGTATTGGGTGCATATATATTTAGGATAGTTAGCTCTTCTTGTTGAATTGATCCCTTTACCATTATATAACGGCCTTCTTTGTCTCTTTTGATCTTTGCTGGTTTAAAGTCTGTTTTATCAGGGACCAGGATTGCAACCCTTGCTTTTTTTGTTTGTTTGTTTGTTTTTGCTTTCCATTTGCTTGGTAGATCTTCCTCCATCCATTATTTTGAGCCTATGTTTGTCTTTGCATGTGAGATGGGTCTCCTGTATACAGCACACTGATGGGTCATGACTCTTTATCCAATTTGCCAGTCTGTGTCTTTTAACTGGAGCATTTAGCCCATTTACATTTAAGTTTAATATTGTTATGTGTGAATTTGATCCTGTCATTACGATGTTAGCTGGTTATTTTGCCCGTTAATTGATGCAGTTTCTTCATAGCATCAATGGTCTTTACAACTTGGCATGTTTTTGCAGTGGCTGGTACTGGTTGTTCCTTTCCATGTTTAGTGCTTCTTCAAGAGCTCTTATAAGGCAGGCCTGGTGGTGACAAAATCTCATCATTTGCTTGTCTGTCAAGAATTTTATTTCTTCTTCACTTATGAAGCTTAGTTTGGCTGGATATGAAATTCTGGGTTGAAAATTCTTTTCTTTAAGAATGTTGAATATTGGCCCCCACTCTCTTCTGGCTTGTAGAGTTTCTGCCTAGAGAGCCACTGTTAGTCTGATGGGCTTCCCTTTGTGGGTAACCCGACCTTTCTCTCTGGCTGTCCTTAACATTTTTTCATTCATTTCAACCTTGGTGAATCTGACAATTATATGACTTGGGGTTGCTTTTCTTGAGGAGTATCTTTGTGGTGTTCTCTATATTTCCTGAATTTGAATGTTGGCCTGCCTTCCTAGGTTGGGGAAGTTCTCCTGGATACTTATCCTGAAGAGTGTTTTCTAACATGGTTCCATTCTACCCATCGCTTTGAGGTAAAGCAATCAGATGTAGATTTGGTGTTTTCACATAGTCCCATATTTCCTGGAGGCTTTGTTCATTTCTTTTCACTCTTTTTCTCTAATCTTATCTTCTCGCTTTCTTTCATTAATTTGATCTTTGATCACTGATATCCTTTCTTCCACTTGATCAAATCAGCTATTGAAGCTTATGTATGCTTCACGAAGTTCTTGTACTGTGGTTTTCAGCTCCCTCAGGTCTTTTAAGCTCTTCTCTACACTGGTTATTCTAGTTAGCCATTCGTCTAACCTTTATTCAACGTTTTTAGCTTCCTTGTGATGGGTTAGAACATGCTCCTTTAGCTCAGAGAAGTTTGTTATTACAGACGTTCTGAAGCCTACTTCTGTCAATTCGTCAAACTCATTCTTCCTCTAGTTTTGTTCCCTTGCTGGCAAGGAGTTGTGTTCCTTTGGAGGAGAAGAGGTGTTCTGGTTTTTGGAATTTTCAGCCTTTCTGCTCTTGTTTCTCCCCATCTTTGTGGTTTTTTCTACCTTTGGTCTTTGATGTTGGTGACCTACAGATGGGGTTTTGGTGTGGATGTCCTTTTTGTTGATGTTGATGCTACTCCTTTCTGTTTGTGAGTTTTCCTTCTAACAGACAGGCCCCTTAGCTGCAGTTCAGTTGGAGTTTGCTGGTGGTCCACTCCAGATCCTCCTTGCCTGGGTATCACCAGCAGAGGCTGCAGAACAGCAAATATTACTGCCTGATCCTTCCTCTGGAAGCTTCATCCCAGAGGGGCACCCGTCTGTATGAGGTGTCTGTCAGCCCCTACTGGGAGGCGTCTCCCAGTCACGCTACACAGGGGTCAGGGACCTACTTGAGGAGACAGTCTGTCTGTTATTGGAGCTCGAATGTGCTGGGAGAACCACTGCTCTCTTCAGAGCTGTCTGGCAGGGACATTTAAGTCTGCAGAAGCTATCTGCTGCCTTTTGTTCAGATATGACCTGCCCCTAGAGGTGAAATCTAGAGAGGCAGTAGGCCTTGCTGAGCTGCAGTGGGCTCCACCCAGTTTGAGCTTCCCTGCCACTTTGTTTACACTGTGAGCATAGAACCACCTACTTAAGCCTCAACAGTGGCAAACGCCCCTCCCCCTACCAAGCTCCTGCCTCCCAGGTCGGTCTCAGACTGCTGCGCTAGCAGCAAGCAACGCTCTGTGGGCATGGGACCTGCTGAGCCAGGCATAGGAAGGAATCTCCTGGTCTGCCAGTTGCAGTGGCACAGTATTTGGGCAGGAGTGTACTGTTCCTCCAGGTACAGTCACTCACGGCTTCCCTTGGCTAGTAAAGGGAAATCCGCCAACCCCTTGCACTTCCCAGGTGAGGCAATGCCCTGCCCTGCTTCGGCTCGCCCTCCATGGGCTGCACCCACTGTCCAACTAGTCCCAACAAGATGAACCAGGTACCTCAGTTGGAAATGCAGAAATCACCCGTCTTCTGCATCGATCTCGTTAGGTGCTGTAGATCGGAGCTGTTCCTATTTGGCCATCTTGGAAGCGACTCTTGACATTTTATTTTTAAAGTAAACTTTTTATTCAATCAAACCATAGATGCATAAAAGCATACAGTTCATAAGGGAATAGCTTGATGAATTTTCATAAAAGCAGCATACCTGTATACAGTACCTAGATCAAAAAGCAAGATATTACTAGCACTCCCAAAAATCTCCCATGTGCCCCCTTCTAGGAACTAATCCCAAGGACACCCACCACTCTGACCTCCAACAACATGGATTGGCTTCGAGTGTTTTAAAGTTTATATAAATGGACATGCAAAATGCACTTTTGGTGTCTGGCTTCTTTTTCTCTCAACACTGAAATTCATCCTTATTGCTTGTGTAGTTTGTTCATTGTCACCATTGTGCAATATTCTGCTGCATAACTATACCACGCTTTACTTCTCCATTCTCTGTTGGTGGATTTTGGATTGGTTCCCAGGGTTTGGCTTTTGAAATAGTGCTATGAACATGAGGTCATACTTGTATGTGTCTTTCAGCAGCTATATGCACGCCTTTCTCTTGGGTGTATAACTAGAAGTGAAATTGCTGGGTTGCATGGCAATATGTATGTTTAACTTTATAAGAAACTGCCAGATAGTTTTCCAACATGGATATACCAACTTCCACACCCACCTCCAGTGACTTGATGTTCTGGTTTCCCCATAGCTTTGCTAACACTAGCTATAATTGCACCAGACAGTTTGCATGTGTCATTTTGATGCAGTCTCAGTAGTGGTTACAAGCGTGGACTCTGAAGCCAGACAGCCCCGGTCCTTATCCTGACACCACCCTTTTAATATCCCTAAGACCTTGGCCAACTTCCCTAGCCACTCTGCACCTCAGTTTTCTAGTCTGTTAAGTGGGAATAAGAACAATAGCCCCGGCCAGGTGCTATGGCTCACCCCTGTAATCCCAGCACTTCGGGAGGCTGAGGTGGGTGGATCACCTGAGGTCAGGAGTTCAAGACCAGCCTGGCCAACATGGTGAAACCTCATCTGTATTAAAAATACAAAAAAAAAAAAATTAGCCGGGCATGGTGGCCCATCCCTGTAATCCCAGCTACTTGGGAGGCTGAGGCAGGAGAATCACTTGAGCCTGGGAGGTGAAGGTTGCAGTGAGCCAAGATGGCACCACTGCACTCCAGCCTGGGCAACAGAGTGAGACTGTCAAAAAAAAAAAAATAGCCCTATCCTCTTAGGGTGGTGGTGCATTTATCACAGTGGCTATCACATGGTTACCACTCCACAGATGTTGGCTCTCACAGTTATTCCAGGTGGGTACCAGGAGGCTCCACAGTGATCTTTAGGGGGGCCCTGGGAAGCCCCTGTCCCTCAGCCTGTTCCGTTGCCCATGGCTAGGCTCTCCTTGGAGAGAGTGCTATTGGTACCTGTGTCTGTGTCAGATGCCTGGGAATGGTGAGTCCAGGGTCCATTCTGTGGAATGCATAGATGAATATGTCCTATGGCTGCTGGGGAGGGGCTCACCATCTAGTGGGGCAGGAGATCCAGGGACAAATTGTGACCCAACTGTGACAGAGAAGCTGGTGTGGGGCAGATAGGGAGTGGGAGGATGTGCAGAGCTAACTGTGCATGGGGGCATCAGGGATAACTTCTCGTATTTATACCTGATGCACCTGAGGAATGAATCGGGTATGAGTTAACCAAATGTGAACAGAGAAGCACTAGCTGTGGGTTGGGAGTGGGGAGCAGGCTTCTTATCTCAGTGTTCCCCAAAGAAGAAGGGGGCTAAAAAGATCCTCGGGCTTGTATGGACAGTTGCCTTTTCTCTTCTCACAACTTTTCTAGCTCCTTCCCCATACACATAGTCCCTGAATTGCTCTGGAAGAGCTAGTGGTTATGTAGAGGGCGAAAAGGTCTGAAATATTCAGAATAAAGTGCAGAAATTGAATTTCAACAATATTTGGTCCAATCAGCTATGCTTTTAAGTAAATGAAAGACTAATCGATATTTCTTTTTATTCATATTTTTAGAAATGATTGTTTCCTATTCCCATTTAGTTTTTCTCTTCTAATTTTTGCCAGAGGAGAGGTTCTCCCATTTTTAAATGGAGCATCGCTGTGAATCATGCTGCATTAAATATGAAAGTTTATGCTCATAGCAACTAATGGTGCTGGAAAATAGAAAGACAGTTTTCTATTAAAACTGCATGAGACTAACAGTGCCCATGAAGAAAGCTTTTTAAAGAAAACCAGTCCTGGTATTTGTTAGGGCCAAAATACACACAAGAGATTCCCTTGGAGTCAAGACCAGCTGAAATAGAAGCAGAGTCATAGAGCTCAGGAAGGGGAGACCTGGCAAGTCACTTAGACCTTCTGAACCACTGTTTCCTCCTCTGTAACCAGGGAGGATCAAACCAGCAGGCCTCAAATGGCCCATTCCAGCTCCATCATTTGGAGATCTAAAAATAACGTGACCACTGGAGAATACCTGCCTAATTCTCTCTCCTAATTTCCCTTCAACAGTCTTCTGCTCTGGGCTCCCTGGCTCAGTCCCCTCTGAATCTGTCATTAGAATACCCCAGCGCTCTACCAACCTCTCCCGTCTGCTCTTCCACCAATAGAGGAGAAGCCTGTGAAATGCTGAGCGATTCCGGCCACTCCCAACAGGACAGTGACACTGAAGCCTCAGCCCCCAACATCATCCATGAAAAGTGGACAACCTTCTTTCTAGGCTCTGTTTCCATTCCTAAGACTGAAACTCTTAGGAAACACTTCGTTTCAAAATTTTAATCATCAGCATTATAAAAAATCTGATCTACAGACCAATCAGTACTTCCTGTTGACAGGAAATAAAGCAGGCACCCAGTGGGTAAAGTAGTTTCCCGAAGTCACACAACTGTTAGTGACAGAGCCAGGACTAAGCCCCAGGCTTTCTTGCCAACATAGTAGTGTTTTTATTAACTAGGGAAGGAAAAGAAACTAACATTTCTGAGGAACTGGTCTGTGCCCTGAATCTCAAATGACCTGGGAAGATTGCTATCACTGACCCCATTTCACAGATGAGGACACTCAGGCTGAGAATCATGTCTTGGTTATTCTTGGTGTCAGGAGAAGTAAAATGTTCCTGCTTCCAAAGCCTTGCTTTCCCTGTCCTGTCCTGTCACTTCCCTTGCCAACGGTTGGGGTTTTTATGGAACAGCACTTGCATTTTAGCCTTTGGTTTTTAAAGCACCAACTCACTCCTCTGACTCATACTTCCTAGGTGCACCTTCTGTGGAATGCAAAGATCAATATGTCCTGTGACTGCTGAGGAGGGGCTCGCAGTCCAGTGGGGCAGGAGACCCAGGGAGCAACTGTGACCCGACTGTGACAGAGAAGCTGGTGTGAGGCAGACAGGGAGCAAGAGGATGTGCAGAGCTAACTCTGTGAGGGGATCAGGGAGGGCTTCTTGGAGGTGGTGGCAGGAGCTGAGGCACACAGGATGAGGAATCACTTATCCGGAGCAGCAGGAGAAGAGCTGGCTTTATCTGGGTGGAAAAATAAAAACTTTGGTTTAAATACAGATGTAATTTTGAGGCCCAAAACAACTAGAATAACAGAAAGACAACCAGTTCTCAGGATAATGGGCAAAAAAAGGGCTTCAGCTTCCCACATTCAACATCATTTTTATTAGAGTTATTTTAACTTATCTTTACCGCTAATGGCCCGCAGCCACCCACTTTCGAGGCAGCTTCCCGGCAACACCAGCTCTCTGATCTAATTTTACCCACAAGAAATTTGAGTTTGGAAGAACATGTGCAGAAGCTTCATTTGGTAGAAGGAGGCTAGAGGGAACCGGCACCCTGGGCCCCTGGAGAGCACACACAGCAGAGGGGCAGATGTCGGGGAGGATTTGACAGTTGCAAAACTGCCTATGGAAGGCCAAGCATCTGAGGGACAGCCTCTAGACTACCACCCATGCTGTGGTTCCCCAGCTCTGGGGAGGATGACATGAGTCTTTGGAATGTGTATTTTATTTTTGTCCTGCCTGGGTTTATAGCCCTAAAATGAGGTCTCTGCCTTCAGAGCAGAAAGGACCAGATAGTCTGATTGACCAGGGGAGGAGCCCTAGCTACTTTCCCCTGGGATGCCACTCTGTAAGTCATGCAAGGGCACCTCCAAGGAAGCCTCTCTGGGTGTCCCTTGTGATAAGCCCCATGTGTCAATGTGTCTGTGCAGAGGGAAGTGTTCACAGCTATACCAAGGGTGCACAGGGGAAGGCACCGCAAGGTTTCTTTATGACTCAGGCCTACAGAGTGGGTGGGAGAGGAGAGAGTACAGATTCCAATATGAATCAGCCATCCCTCCTAGCCTGGCAGGCCGCCAGCCTTTGCAACTCCCTTCTGATGCCAGACTATCTCCCAGCCTGTGCTCCACTGATGCCTGGAGGACTGCTCCTCAGTCATCCACTGTCAACACAAATTGATCTATAGGTTCAGTGCAATCTCAGTCAAAATCTCAGCAAAATCAGAATCTCCTGCTCTGCAAAAGACAGTAAGCGAATGAGAAGGCAAATCACAGATTGTGAGAAACTATTTGCAAAAAACATGTCTGATAAAGGACAGCTATCCAAACTAAATGGAGAACTCTTAAACTTCAACAATACAAAAACAAGCAACCCAACTGAAAAATAGGCAAAAGATCTGAATAGACACCTCACCAAAGAAAATACACAGGTGGTGATACACTTTGGATGTGTTTCTACCCAAATCTCATGTTGAAATGTAATCCCCAACGTTGGATGTAGGGCCTGGTGGGAGGTGATGGGATCCTGGGGGTGAATTTCTCATGATGGTTTAGCAGCATCCTCTTGGTACTGTCCTCGCCACAGTGAGTGAGTTCTCAGGAGCTCTGGTTGTTTAAAAGTGTGTAGCACCTTCCCCTTTTTCTCTCTTGCTCCTGCTCTAGCCGTGGGATGTGCCTGTGCCCCCTTTGCCTTCCACCATGATTCTAAGTTTCCTGAGGCCTCCCCAGAACAAACTGTTTCTTAACATATAATTCAGCAATCATGTGCCTTGATATTTACCCAAATGAGTTGAAAACTATATGCATACAAAAACATATACATAGATGTTTATTGCAGCTTTATTCGTAATTGCCAAAAATTGGAAGCAACCAAGATGTCCTTCAATAGGTGAATGGATAAACATTTTTATATAGTATCTTGATGCCATTTAGGCTATGATTTCATTTTGAGACCAATCATTCAGAGCTGTTGCTTTTTTAATTTTCCCAAATTTTATTGAGAGAAGCCAAGCAGATGCCAACATCATGCTTCCTGTACAGCCTGTACAACCATGAGCCAATTTAACCTCTTTTCTTTATAAATTACCCAGTCTCAGGTATTTCTTTACAACAATGTGAGACTGGACTAATACAGATGGCAAGTAAGCACATGTAAAGATGCTCGACATCACATGTCATCAGGAAAATGCAAATTAAAAGAACAATGAGGTACCTCTACACACCTATTAGAATGGCCAAAATGCAGAACACTGATGATAGCAAGTTCTGGTAAGGATGAGGAGCAACAGGAACTCTCCTTCATTACTGGTGGGAATGCAAAATGGTACAGCTACTTTGAAAGACAGTTTGACAGTTTTGTACAAAACTAAACGTACTCTTTCTTACCGTATGATTCAGCAATCGTGCGCCTTGATGTTTTCCCAAATGAGTTAAAAACTTATATCCATACAAAAATATACCATAGATGTTTATTGCAGCTTTATCCCTAATTGCCAAAACTTGGAAGCAAACAAGATGTCTTTCAATGGGTGAATGGATAAATGTTTCTCTATAGTATCATGGTGCCAGTTAAGTTTTGGTATCATTTTGAGACCAGTCATTCAGAGTTGTGTGTTTTTTGTTTGTTTGTTTGTTTGTTTTGTTTTAGATGGAGTCTTGCTCTGTCACCAGGCTGCAGTGCAGTGGCATGATCTCAGCTCACTGCAGCCTCCACCTCCCAGGTTCAAGTGATTCTCCTGCCTCAGCCTCCCAAGTAGCTGGGACTACAGGTGCGTGCCACCATGCCCGATTAATTTTTTGTATTTTAGTAGACATGGGGTTTCACTATGTTGGCCAGGATGGTCTCGATCTCCTGACCTCGTGATCCACCTGCCTCAGGCTCCCAAAGTGCTGGGATTACAGGCGTGAGCCAGAGTTGATTTTTTAAATTAATTTTTCCAAATTATATTAAGACTATAAACTTTTGGATCGAAAAAGTTCAATGAACCCCTAACAGAATAAACATAAAGTTCAAAAGCACACAAAACCAATCACTATATTATTTAGGAATAGATACATATATAGTAAAAACAACAAATAGCCAAGGCAAGATTAACAAATTTCAGGATAGAGAGTGCCTCTGGGGAGAAGACGGGACACTCGAAGGCTTTAACTATATTAGTAAATTCTTTTTCTCAACTGATCTAAGGAGTAAATAAGTATTTTTATTACTATTCTTTAAATTGAATATATAGGAAATATTTTTGCAGGATCATAGATATCACAATAAATAGAAAATGAATTAATGATTCATCCATTCTTCTTCTGTGTTACTTATAATAACAAAAGCCAGAAACCTGGGGGTCACCCTTGACCACACCCTCACCAACCAAATCCAGTGAATTATCATCACTTTCCACTTCTCCCTACTTCCAGTATCACACCTGGCTCAAGCCACCTTGACTCTCGCCTGAAACATTGATATATCTTTCTCTCCCTTACACTCTTGCTCTAATCCAATCTCCATACAGCAGCCAAACACATTAAACCTTATCAGTCTATCTCATCATCCCCTTTGCTATCAGAAGCAATGGAGTGACATGTAAATTGCCCAAGGCCACACAGCCAGCAAATGGCAGAGGCAGGATTCAAAATCTACTAGTGTTACTGGAGAGTTCACATGTCTTATTCACCCACTATCCTACCTTGGGTGATACTGGGAAAGGCTCAGCCACTGCTTAGCATGGGGTAACGTCTGGATAAAGGACAATTTATTTTTCCTCCAATCATCACTTCACCTCCTTTATATTCCTGACTCCTAATTTTCCTTAACTCTGACTTGAAACCATACTTTCCAAGTAATGGCTTCCTAACCTCCTTGCCCGACTACAGCAAGTCCCTGCTATTTGTCCTTCCAGCACTTTGTCTATTTCTAGTAACATCCCTCCTCCACTAGATTGTGACTTCCACGAAGGCAGGAGTCTGCTTTGTCCCCCATTGCAGTGCACATCATACACCCTTACTCACTCTGGTTCTCTCCATGTCCATTTCTCAGTGAAAGTGATAGGTCACCAACAAGACCTCTCGCCTTGCATTTCAACGTCATGCAAGCTGATCTGGGGACCCTACCTGCAGGGCTGTGTGTGAGCCCTGGTGGGATGGGGAACTGAGACCAGCCCTGGCACATGGAACCTAAGATGGCCTGTTCCATGCAAGAGACCTGGTGCCTGAGTGGGAATGAAAGAGAGTTTAGGTACCCAAGATTTCAATCTCTGGGGCCAGCGAATGAATCATAAATGAGCCCCTTCTGCCCAGTAAAAAAAATCGTATCTAGTCCACTTACTCAGCTTGGGTGGGGAGCACCTGGATATTCACCCCAGGCATGTTGGGGCCACAAGTGATACAGATCAAGGTAACCAAGCAGGGATGGAGTTGGGGTAGGGGTGGGAGGGCAGGGGCAGGCACAGCCAAGATTGTGGGACTTCCCCAGAGGCCCAGAGAAGCTTGAGCCGGCAGAGGTCTGTCTCCTCTCCTTGGCAGCATTTAGAATTTTTGTCCACAATCTTTCTGCTCTGCAACAGAGGCAGGGTGCCTTCATGCATCTCTGAATACTTAGTGTCCAGCACAGGGCATGACCAAGGGTATACGTCCAAGAAATGGGAGGTGCAGCCCACCCCCATGAGTCCTTCAGGTCTGACTCAGGAACCTCCTTGAGAAGTCTTTCTTCCCTGACATTCTCTAGCTGTATCCATGCTCCTCACCGTGGGACCCCGCAGCCTTGGTGCTCTTGGTATTGTCATTATCCGGACACCAGCCAGAAGCTGTTGGTTTTGTTTGTTTGTTTGTTTTAAGGAATGGAATATTTTAAGTGTAGATATTTTGAGCTTTTTATGAGCCAAAAGCTTTTTACAGCTTTGCAAACTAGAAATTAAAAAGCCACTGAAGCATCCTACATGTTATAATTTCTAAGAAGGTGAATATTTGTTCACTACAACCCACATAAACAAAAAGCTCTTTGAATTCTCCCTCTTTTTGTTTTTTAAGAGTAAAGCATTCTTGAGACCAAAAAGTGAGAAAACCACTGTGAATTATCCTTAGCTGTGATAGGTCTATTTCTTGCTATGACCTCGTAAGGAACCAGTTACAGACTTCCAAGTACTGTACCATGTAAGTCCCTGGCTGGGCCTAAATTTTTGGCCTTCCTAGCTCAGGAAGGTAGCTTTTGGTGACCTGAAGGATTTTCACCAAAGTTAGCTTTTTAAATTTCTTGGCTCTGTATCTATTTTTCTTGTTATTTTCTCTTTTTTCCCCTCCTCTATTCTTTTTTTATTTTTCTCTTTATTCTTTCTTTTTTCATTTTCCTTTATTCTTTTCCTTTTCTTTTTTCTTTTTCTTTATTCTCTCTCTCTCTCTCGACAGAATCTTGCTCTGTCACCCAGGCTGGAGTGCAGTGGCACCATCATGGCTCACTACAGCCTCAACCTCCTGGGCTCAAAGGGATCCTCCTGCCTCAGCCTCCCAAGTAGCTGAGGCTACAGGCATGCACCACCACACCTGGCTATTTTTTTTTTTGCAGAGACAGGATCTCACTATGTTGCCCAGGCTGGTCTTGAATTCCTAGACTCAAGTAATCCTTCTGCTTCAGGCTCCCAAAGTACTGGGATTACAGGTATAAGCCACCATTCCTGGCCTCATTTTTAATTTTTTTTTCTTTTTCTTAATTCCTTTTTGTTTTTCTCATTGTTTTCTTTTTCATTTCTTTCCACATTCTTCTTTATTTAATCAGTATTATTAGTTAATATTGGTAATTAGTATTGTTAGCAGTAAGTCCAAAAGACTGGTAGGCCCTTTATAGCATCTCTGCCAAGGAGGAGACTCATATTGGCAGCTACATGCTCCTCAAGACCATTGCCAAGGGAACCTTTGCCAAGGTGAAGTTGGCCTGGTACATCCCGACTGGCACACAGGTGGCTGCAAAGGTCATTTACAAGTGTGGAACTCCAGCCTCCAGAGACTATCTCATGAAGACATCATGAAGGTATTGTATCATTCCAACATTGTGAAATTATTTGAGTTGATCGAGACCAAGGAAGCACTTTACCTAGTCGTGGAGCAGGCTAGTGAGAGAGAGGTATTTGAGTACCTAGTGGCTCATGGCAGCCTGAAGAAGAAGAAAACCTGAAGCAATTTCCACCAGATAGTGTGGGCTGTGCTATGTGATAGTATTGCTGCCAGAAGTGTAGTATTGCCCATAGGGACCTGAAGGCAGAATAGTTGCTTTTGGATGCTGACGTGAACATCGAGACTGCAGGCTTGGGCTTCTTTGGCAACAAGCTGGGTACCTTCTGTGGTAGTGCCCCTCATGCCACCCAGAACTCTTCCAGGGCCAAAGTAAGGTGGCCCCAGGGTAGAGGTGTACAGCCTGGAGGCTTCCTGTATATCTAGTGATCACATCCCAGCCCTTTGATGGACAGAACCCTAAGGAGCTGCGGGAGTAGTGAGAGCTGAGAGGAACATTTGGTATTTGTTTCTACCTGTCCATGGAGTGCGAAAACCTGTTCAAGTGAATCCTCATGCTCAATCCAGCAAGAGAGGCCCTCCTATGGGGAGAAACTAAAGCTTTGCGTTGAGTCATTCTCTGACTACAAAGACCTGGGCAGGCAGAACTGATGGTGTCCATGGGTCGTACATGGGAAGGGATCCAGGACTAGTTGCAGGACAATGAAGTGTTGGCCACCTATCTTCTCCCAGGCTACAAGAGATCCAAGCTGGAGGCTTGGATCATACCCCTGAAACTAATGCCTGCAACTGATCCCGCTACCAAGCTGCCCTCCTTCCCCATCCACAAGGTACAGTGTATCATCCCTGCCAACCCAAAACAGCAGAGATGCAGTGAGCCTGCCATTCCTACCTTTACTTCATACTCTGAGAATAGTCGAAGGAACAACACAGAAATCAGAGGCCTGAGGAGGACCTGGAGTCAGGGCAGAAGCCAGCAGCACAGCTAACGTGCCTGCTAGTCCCCTACCTGGCCTGGAGAGAGGACCACTCCCCCTGCACAGCCCCCCAGTGAGGCCCTGTGGCCTCCCCCTTCACCCACACCCCAGCAACAGTGGTGGAGCCCCAGGTGGAACCAACTTCCCCCAGGGCGTCTCCTATAGAGAAAACTAAGTGCACACTGGGCACCTTGGACAGGTGCAGGATCAGTAGAATTTGCCCAAGGTATGACCCAGCCTTTCCCTATGGAAACAGCCAGTGCTGGCAGGGGACCACGGGGAGGTTCTTCAACTTCCTCTGCAGGCACCTGTGTTTCAGGTTAGCCAGAAAGAACCAGCCTGAGGCTGAAAGCAGAGTGCAGATAGCGAAACCTCAGGTGGTGGACAGCAGGGCAAGGTTGAGCACAGGAAAGAATGTGGGAGGTCAAGCTAGCTCCTGGCACTTGCCATGAGGCAAGGAAGTCCTGAGCTCCAGGGAGCCCAAGGAGATGGGGCAGGAAATGGGCCATGCTGGAGGCAAACAGCTGTGGGTAGGAGTGAGCAGAAAACACACACTGCTGTGCATGGCCCGCCTGGCTGAGAGGATCTCATGCAGTGGAGGACGCAGGTGTGCAAGCTGCCAGGCTTCGCTCAGTGGGATCAGATCAGGAGAAAATCCCATACCTCCCTGGCCTTCAAAAGCATTGTCCTTAAGATAAGTGCTGACTTGAAAGGTTGGCCAGGGGCCACCTGGGGAATAAGGAGGGCAGCCCATCTGCCCCAGCTGGGGAAACTGCAGAGACTGGACTGCTTCTCCAGGGGCTCTTCTTCCTTCCTGTGCTCCTCTCTGTCTTGTCTTCTGTGTTTATTAGGAAGAGGAGATGGTTCTATAGAAATAAACAAACACGATCAACACACACACAAATATATATGCCAATTTACTATATTTAAATACAATAGTTAAAAAAACCCTGCTCTATGACTGCAGCTGTCACAAGACAATCATCTACAACTTTCCGAAGGGTGGGCCCTGAACCCTTCAAAACACTCTTGTGACCCACCTGAAAAATGATAAGAAAAACAATATCCTCAATGGAAACCAAAGCCTGAAAGAGCATCCCGAGAGTGGGACAACTGTCAGTGGCTGTAAAGAGGCTTCCCTGGAGCTATGACAATGGCTCTTGCTGCTGGGAAACAAGGCCTGAGGGCCACACCTGTGTGATGAATACCGCTCTGAGACAGCCACCCCACTATGTATAATCCTAAAACAATCTCAGTGTATCCTCTCTCGTGTCCTGTGGGTGGCTGGGCTCAGCTAGGTGGTTGCTCTGCTCCTTGTGGTCTCTGCTGGGCTCACTCCAGGAGGGTACATCAGGCTGGGGACTGGGCTGGGTTGCAAGGTCCCAGATGATTCTCTCACACTCTGAGGCCCTGGTGCTGATTGAGGGCTGGGGTGCCTCAGTTTTTCTTCCTGTGGCCTCTCAGTTCACAAAAGGAGAGTCAATACTTCCCTATAGCATGGCAGCTGAGTTCCGGGAGGTAATATTCCAGGAGAAATGAACGACTGCTTATCAACCCTTTGCTTGCCTCACTCTCACAAATCACATGACTAAGCCTGGAGTGAATGTAGGGAGGGATCACACAGGGAGGAGAGTGCAGGGAGGCTGGACCCCCTGGGCAACTGTGTATAGTCTATCACACACTGTTATGCAGCAAGGCACTGGACTCCTTTAGAGAAGTGGATGAAAATGCTCCTGGTGGTGGGATTCCTGGCTGAGTGTCTGTACACAGGCACAGAAGAGAAAGCAGAATTCATGTTATGTATAGAAGATGAAGGTTTGTTCATTGCCCCTCTCCATGGTGTCTGTCCATGGTGTCTGTCTGGCCATCCTCTGCCACAACTCCCAGTGAGGCAGGATCTGATGTAGAATGTGCAAGTGGGCTGCCAATGCCTGGAGTTTCCTGAGTTTGGGAACACAGGGAGCCTACTCTGATAAAGAGGGACAAATCCACTGTTAAGGTCACACTAAAGGAGACGTTGCCTTGTCACACTGATATAATTCAGGACAGCATCCAGCTTGGCCACTGCACACAAGTTGGTGCCAAGTCAATAGCCTGACTGAAGCTCATTGATTGGGGAATCGGGGCTTGCTTTGCCAGGACTGAGGTCTTGTGTGTTGGGGCAACATTTCCCTATTCAGCTTTCAAATCTCATCTTGACCCTCACTTCCCGGGAAGTCCCCTAGCAGAAATTACTTGTAATTCACATCCATATTCTCTTCCTCTCCCTTATTTCAACAGGCACTAGTCTTACTGATTTCATGTCTGCAGTCCTGCTGCACCATCAGCTCCGGGAATAGAAGAGTCAGGAGTGTGCTCCTCACTGTAACTCCAGTGCCTAGCACTATGGGCGGTAAAATTGAAAACACAAATGCTCTCCCTTCTTGTCATCTGCCACCTCTCCCTTTCCCTAAATCGCCATTTACTTTAAAACTGCTAACTAAGAAGCAAAAGGCCAATGACCTTGGTCCTCTCTGACCAGGCCCCAGGTGAGAACTATGTCCTAAGGGGCAGTGGCCACAGGATGTGGTATTTGGCTGGAATGATGTAACCTCTGCCCTTTGACATCGTCATGTAACTGGGTTGTCAGCTAGAGCCCTAAATAATAAAATGCAAATAAAACCCTCATTTCTTGTAAAATGGGACCCCAGCCAACTTCCCAATCTCAATGAGGATTCTTGTAAGTCAGATATTTCCCTGGGTCTCCTCACATTCTGATTTTCCGCTTCCACTGAATCCTGGCTCTTTCTCCCTCCCATCTTTCATATTTTAAATGCCCCCTTCTCCCTATCCTTAATCTACCCAGAGAGTCAGCTCCTTTACTGTATTTCTCCTAAACCTCACTCATCCAAGGCCATTACATAACTTATTAAAGACCAGTGTGTCCGTGTTTGTGTGTGTGCGTGTGTGTGTGTGTGTGCGCACATGTAAGGGTTTCTTTAGAGAATAGCACAGCTGATAAAATAGACTATTGGACACTATCAGTCTTAAAATGTCTCTGGGACCCCCTTGCCTGGGCCCCAAGTCCAAAATGGAATATGTTCACTGGCCTTCTCTTCTGGTAGCTGTCTGCTCAATTTCTGGGACTTCTTCACTTGCCTTCAACCTCCTTGTCTCCATGCTGGCTCACTTACTCCCTACTCCCTAAAAATCATGTTTTTCTGTTTAAGGCTAAAGAGCATGCATTTTTATTTATTTTTTCTTAAAGTGTTCCATCTTTATTGAGGTATATTTGAAGGATACAAAATCACATATATTTAAAGTGTGCAATTCTATCAGTGTTGACATACACGCAGCCATAAAACTGTCACTTCTAAACAATATTTCCACCATCACCTAAAGTTATCTTGTGCCCTTTTAATCCATTCTTCCCTCAATCCCATCCCTAGGCAACCAGTGATACGCTTTCTCTATACAGATTAGCTTGTATTGGTTGGATGCGGTGGCTCACACTTACAATCCAGCACTTTGAGAGGCCAAGGTGGAAGGATTGTTTGAATCCAGGAGTTCGAGACCAGCCTGAGCAACATAGTGAGACCTCATCTCTACAAAAAAAAAAAAAAAAACAAAATTAGCTGGGCATGGGGGTGCATGTCTGTGGTCCCAGCTACTCAGGAGGCCGAGTGGGATGATCTCTTGATCCTGGGAGATTGAGGCTGCAATGAGCTGAGACTGCACCACTGCACCCCTGCCTGGGCAACAGAACAAGACTCTGTCTCAGAAAAAAAAAAAAAGATTAGCTCATATTTTCTAGTGTTTTACATAAATGGAATCATACGGTATGTTCTTTTTTTGCCTAGCTTCTTTCACTCAGTATGATTTTGAGATTCTTCTCTGTTATTGTGTGTATCAATAGTGTGTCTTTACTGCAGAGTGGTATTCCATTGTATAGAAGTCCCACAGTTTGTCTGTCATTCATATACTAGTGGATTTGGGTTGTTTTTGGGTTTTGGCTCTATATAAAGCTCCTGTGAACACTTGCATTCAAGTCTTTGGGTTTCATGCTTTCTTTCCTCTTTGATAGATACCTATAGTGGGATGGTTGGGTTGTATTGTAGGTGTATGTTTAACTTTTTAAGAAGCTGTCAAACTGATTTCCAAGTTGGTCGTGCCATCTTACACTCTCTCCAACTATGTAGGAGAGTTTCAGTTGCTCTGAGTCCTCACCAGCATTCAATATGGCCGGTCATTTTAAAGTCAGCCACCTACATTGTTTTATGTTTTTGTGTTTAGAGTTTTTAAAAAAATGTACTCAAGTTTAGCCAACTCTTGGCTTCATTATACCAAAGTTTACAGGAATAAAACCAGATTATTTCTGTTGCTCCAGTGATATTAATAGTGTCTACTCTTAACCCCCAAAGTGTCCTGGTTTGGATGCTAAAGTATATGTTTTATCTGCTTCCAGCCCGAGTGGCCATGCTCCCAGGCTGTCCTTCCACAGCCACACAGCCCATCAAGGCATTCTGCTCAACGAAGACTTTTCCTTCCTCTGAAAGAGACTTTCCTGCTAAACAACTTTTTTCCTTACTACAATCTGATTGCAGTAAGCAAGGATGGCATAACATAACCATCCAAATAAGTTGAAAACTTTTGCCCACACAAAAACCTGCACACTGATTCATATTTGCCAACACTTGGAAGCAACCAAGATGTCCTTCAACAGATGAATAGATAAACAAAACGTGGCACATCCAGACAATGGAATATGATACAGCAGGAAAAAGAAATGAGCTCCGGACATTCTGGAAAGGTAAAACTACAGAGATCATAAAAAGATCATCTCTTTGAAGTCTGGGTATTTGGTAAAAACAAATCAGTGGTTAACAGGGGCTTGGATGGGGGAGGGAGGGATGAATAGGTGGTGCACAGAGGATTTTTAGGGTAGTGAAATGATTCTGTTTGAGAGTGGAATGGTGGATACATGGCATTATGCATTTGTCAAGATCCATGGGACTGTATATCACAGAGCGAATCCTAATGTGAACTATGGACTTTAGTTAATAAAAGTGTTCCTGTATTGGTGCGTCCGTTTTAGCAGGTACACCCCACTGATGCCACATGTTCCTAGTGCTGAGAAGAGACCCTGCTCAGGGTATGCTCTGACTTTTTTCCTCAGCATGGTCAGGCTTCCCTTACCCCTTTCTGCCACCCACCTGCCCATCTGCTGCTGAGGTGGCTGGTGGCCCCTTTGTTACTCACATAACTGTTTGTGGGGCCTTCACGTGTTTTTACAGAAGCCCAGTGACACCCCAAACTGAGGGGACCTAACAGCTTTCCATGGGCCTGTGGCCTGGGGCAATTCTACCTTCCTATCTGAAAATGTGGTGGTCAGACCACTGCTATTTAAGGGTCCTCTGTTCTGAACCCTCAGTAACCCCATGGTTGGGGATCCCCCTGTCTTGCACAATGAGAGGATTGGGAGGATGATTGTCTTCCCATCAGTTATTTCCACTTCAGTGTTGTGCAGCCTTCTTGCTTAAATGGCTTGCTTAATTCAGTTCCCAGAATAAACCTTTGTTTACATCCTGAATTACGTGACCTATTAATAACAAAAATAGCCACCTTAATGAAAAGTACTTTGCTGACCTCATATCATCTCTGAATATCATGTGTTATTAGTCACATTTTATGGATTGGAAAACTGAAGCTCAGAGAGGTTAAGCTACTTGCCCATGGTCACACAGCAAATATTGGCAGAGCCAGCTTTCAAATCTAGGTTTTTCTGATCCCAAGGGCTTTCTACACTCCACTCCCAGTGTAAACACTAGGAGGATCACGTTTAGTTGCTTTTAAAGGGTTATATTTTTTTTAATGAGGAGGCTGGTCTTTAGGAGTTTCAGTAGAAAGAAATGAGCTTAAAAGTTAATAAAATCATCAATGCTTGGATACATTAGAAAAGAGCGTGAAGTCAGTGGGGTGGAGGGAGAGGAATTCATATTTGCTAGGGGACTTCTCTGAATCTTGAAGCAATTTTAAATACAGTTCTTCAGAAACTGCTACTAATCATTAGAGTAACTAGCAGTTACTGATCATATACCATGTTTGAGACTGCAGTCATCCCACTGAATAGACATTATTTTGCAAATTCTCACAACCTCATGAAGTCAGTACTATTGGGAGCCCATTTAACAGATAAGCCAACTGAGGTTGGTTAAGTCCTTGTCCATATGCCCCTGTATATGAGGGAGCAGGTGTGTTCAGGGAATGCCAGCGCTTCCTTCTGTTTTAATCTGTTTGGCCATCTGATTGTTTTATGTATTTATTTTCTTTCTATCCTGCTGGATGTTTGTTTCATAAGGGTTGTAGTTATCTGTCTGGTTCACCCCTACAATCCTAGCTACTTGACAAACTATGCATACAGACTCCAGAACTAGTTTTTGAATAAGTGAATGAGAAGCATGGTATCACTTCCATTTAAGGTTCTGGGCCCATCTTGTGTAATAGAAAATGAAGAGCCTCATAGGGATACAGGGGATACTGGGATAGGATTTTCACAGGAGGTTGAGGTGTTTTCAGAACTTTAGTGGCTAGTTTGAAATGAGTTTTGAGGCGCTGAGGGGAAGCTTCAGCTCCTTCTTCTCTTGTCTTCTCACTGCCCTCTGGCCCAGTTCTTTTCCAGGTTCCTCCAGTGCAGGTCAGGATGGAGACCCTATCCCATAACAAGGGCAGAGCCCTGTAGAAAATTTCACCCATCATTTACCTTCTTAGAACTGCCCTGTTCTCACTGCACATGGACAGAGAGAGGACTTAGAGCTCATTTACATGCTTGTTGTTGGTTTTTTAAAAAGTGAAATAAAAATGCTCTTCTGCCAGGACTGTGATGTCACCCAGGGCTGTGATTAGCTGGAAACAGGTGAGTAGATAAAATCAATGTTAAAAATTATTCACCATTCAATGTTCAGAAAATTCCGGAATGTGGCTGTCCGCTTGATTGAGGAGGAGTTCAGAATTCATCCAGGGTCACCAGCAATCAGTTCTAATATAACTAACATTTTCAAAATGTTAATATCTCACTTACCGTGATGCTAAGGACAGTAAGTGTGTGCTGCATTTACTTATCCACTTCGTTTTATCATTTGTATGTAAAATATGTTTGCCTTTACCTCACCCACCAGCCCCTAGGTTTTTTGAGGTATAATTGGCAAATAAAATTGCATATATTCAAGGTGTACAACTTGATATTTTGATATATGTATACATTGCAAAATGATTACTGCAATCAAGCTAATTAATATATGCTTTACCTCACATAGTCAGCATTTTCCTCCTTCCTTCTTTCCTTCCTTCTTTCCTTCCTTCCCCCCTTCCTTCTTTCCTTTTTTTGGTAAGAGTCTCTCTTGACGTCTCCAGCTACTATTGTACTGGGGCCTATCTTTCTCTTAAGCTCTAATATTTGCCTTATATATCTGGATGCTCCAGTGTTGGGTGCATATATATTTAAAATTGTTATATCCTCTTGCAGAATTGACTACGTAAGAACACTTGAGATCTACACTTTTGGCAGATTTCAAGTATGCAATACAGCATTGTTAACTATAGTTACATTACTATACATTGGACATCTGTTTGCTTTTATATGTGTGAATTATTTGGTTTTACTGAAAATATATTAACATTGCACAAGAGGTTGCATACGGTTGTCCATTACATTGGCGGCCCCAGTGAGTCATGATCCCCCTCCCCACATCTCCAGGTATTCAGGCCCTTGTGTAGGCCCCTCCTTGAGTCTGGGCTGGATGTGTTTCTTGCTTTAACGGTAGAATGTGGTGGGAGTGAACACCGTGTCTGTTCTGGGATGAGGATGTAGAGTCATGGCATCCTCTGCTCCTATGCTTTGGGAGTCCTGGGCCACTGTGTAGGAAGTCCAGCTACTCTACTGGAGAGATTACGTAGAGTAGCCTCAAGGAGAGGGAGAGGCCCTGAGACATGGTGAGAGACTGAAGCACAACTGTCGCATTCCATGTTGAATCCAGACTTAAGTCAACCCATTGGCTCAATATACTCACATGAGTGACCACCAGCAAGCTAGCAGAGTCTGGATTGGATCTGTTACTTGCTCAACAACAGAGCTGAGCCTGGTACAGATTGTAGAATCATGATAAAATAAAATCATTGTTACTTTAATCTACTGCATTTTGGGATGGCTTCTTATGCAGAAATTGATGACCAAAACATTATATAAAAGCAGAGATTCTCAACTCTGGTGATCTAAAAGTACCATCACCCAGGGTTCTAACCCTTCAGAGATTCTGATTTGATTGGTCTTGGGTGAGACATCATATATAAAGTTTTTTAAAGTTTTATTTTAAAGATGAATACACAGGATGAATGGAGGAACAAATGGTGGTATGTACATACAATGGAATATTATTCAGGCATAAAAAGGAATGAAGTACTTACATGTGCTACAATGTGGATGAACCATCAAAACCTCCAAAAGAAGCCAGTCACAAAAGGTCACATATGATTCCATTTACACAAAATACCCAGAATAGGCAAATCCATAAAGACAGACAGCAGATTGATGGTTGCCAGGGACTGGGGTAGGGGACATGGGGAGTGACTGCTTAATGAGTATGAAGTTTTCTTTCAGGTTGATGAAAATGTTTTGAAACTAGGTAGAGGTTGTGGTTGCACAACATTGTGAATGTACTAAATGCCATTGAATTGTTCACTTTAAAATGGACATGAAAAAGGTTAATTTTGTGTAAATTTCACCTCAATAAAAAAGAAGAATCAGAAGAGGGAGACAAAAGAGGAGGTTAAAGTGAGGCAATGTGGGAAGGACTTGGCCTGATATTGCTGGCTTTGAAAATGAAGGAAGATGTTATAAGCCAAGGAATGTAATGGCCTCTAGGAGCTGGGAAAGACAAGGAAAGGGATTCTCCCCTAGAGCTTCCATACAGGAATGCAACCCTGCCAACACCTTGCTTTTAGCCCAGAGAGACCTGTGTTGAACTTCTAACCCACGTTCTGACTTTTAACTATAACATAAAAACTTGTGTAGTTTTAAGCCACTAAAAAAATACACAATCATTTTAACTTTATTTTTAAATTTTATTTTGGGGCATAACAGTTTGGTAAGGTTTAACATATGTTTAGATTCATGTAACCACCACCACAATAGGATACAGACAGTTCATCATACACAAATTCTCTCATTCTTCCCTTTGTGGTCACACATCTCCCACCCCTAATCCCTGGCAACCACTGATTGTTTGCCCATTACTTTCATTCTTCCTTTGCCAGAACATCTTTGCTTTGTTCTGCATCTTAGGAGGAAAAGTATTTCTTTAGTATTGATTTTGGAACATGTCTGTTGGTGATGAATTCTTCCAGATTTCATTCATTGAGAATGTCTTTATTTCATCTTCGTTCCTGAAGGATGTTTTCACTGGATATTGAATTCCGGATTGACAGTTTTTTCTCTTTCAGCACTTTAAAAATGTTATTCCATTTCCTCTGGCCTACTTTTTTTTCCTGAGGAATCCACAGTTATTTAAGTCAATGTTTCCCTTTATATAAAGTATCATTTTTCTCTGGCTGCTTTCAAGATGTTTTGCCCTAGTTTTTAGCAGTTTAATTACGATGCATCTGGGCACGGTTTCCTTTGGGTTTTGTTTGTTTCTTTGCATCCTATTCTTCCCCTTCTCCCTCTGGAACTCTAACACTATGAATATTAGACTTTTTCGTATTGTCTCACATGCCTCCAATACTCTGTTCATTAATTTTTAATTTTTTCCTTTTGTTCAGATTGGATAATTTCTATTCAATCTTCAATTCACTGACTTTCTCTATTTTGCTATTGATCTTATCCAGGGAATATTTTATTTCGGTCATTGTAATTTTCAGTTCCAAAAAGTTTCTCTTTTGTCCTTCTTTGTATCTTCTATAGTCTTTATTGAGACTTTTTTGTTTCAAGAGAATTTTCCCTTACTTCTTGGAATATGTTTATAATAGTCGCCTTTGCATCTTTAATAATTTCAACATTTGTGTCATCTTGCAGGTGGCATCTGTTGATTGTTCTTTTCCCTATAAGTTGAAGTTTTTCTTGTCTTTCATATGTCAAGTAGTTTTGGATTGTGTCCTGAACATTTTGAATATTACATTATGAGGATCCATGTCTTGTTTAAATCCTAAAGCGAATTTTGAATTTTGTTTTGTTTTGTTTTTGCAAGCAATCAGTCTAATTAGGCTCCAGACTCGAGTTCTCCTGTGGACTGTGGTTCTAATATCAGTTCAGTTTTCAAAGCCTTTGCAGTGCTATGGGAATCTGTTGTGTGTATGTTGCCCAGTGGCCATTTGGTGGCCTGGATCATAGTCTCATGCACAGTTCAGTTCTCACACCATGTGCAGCTTAGAAGTAAGCCTCGGAGTTAATATGGAACTGCTCTCTTGAGCAGTCTCCTTTCTGAGATTATTCTGGCATTTTTGGCCCACTGAAGCCCCATTTTTTTTGTCCTCTGGTTAGAAAGCTAGGTCTTTAGTTTTCCTACCTTGCTGCATACATCTCATGGCTATACTTGAGTCTGTCCCACCAGGCAGTGTATGAACAGAGAGAGAGAAAAGGGAATGGTATTTTGTCCCACCCTCTTGGGACCACAGCTTCTCTAGTGGAGGGAAGACTCGCTTCCCTCAGAGCTTTAAGTATTTCGGTGCTCTCCAGGCTGCTGTTGCCATTGTTGTTACTGCTGCCACTATGGGATTACCTGGGGGTTGGGTGGGCAAGAGTGAAAAAAGATTTAAAAACCAGGGACTTTCTCCACTTCTTATAACTCTTAGGTGTCCCCACAACCACCTTGGACCAGAAAGTGAGGATTCTTTTTAGAGCCCTGCTTGCTTTTGGTGTGCACATCCAGGCCAGACTAATGAGTCCAGGCCAGATGATACAAGAGGGGATAAAAGATGAGAGATTCATGGTGGTTTTGGTGGTACTTCATATTCTGATCTCTTTCCCCAATTCACCTGCTCCTGTTTACTTGTCATGGTCCTTAGATAGCTGTTCAATGTAGTCTGTCCAGGGTTCATTTTTGCATTTTGTGGGAGAAACAGGGTAGGGTGTGCTTACTCCACCTTGCCCAGAACAAAAACTCCAATATATATGTCTTAATCCAACACTATAAATGGTTAAAAAACTTTGCCTTCAGCAACAGGCATAATGACCAATGCTAATTGCCAGGATTGCCTCCAATAGCTGTGTTCTTTCTGCTGGATAGAGACTCCTGGGCCACCTTAAGGGTTAGCTGAGGCAGGCACTACTATGATGGGTCACTCCTGAGGCCAAGCTACTTGAAGCAGCTCCTGTCTTCTCAGGTGCTGGTTCCTGCCTTCATCTTCCTATTCCTCCCACCCAACAGAGTCCAGGAGCTAAGTAAGGTAGCCTGAACCATGACAGAAGCATCAGTGAGGAATTGGAGCCTGGAATGTCTGACTGAGAAGTTTGGTCATGACTTAATAAGTAAAGGAAGCTCCTGAAGATTCTCAAGTAGCAACATCATGTAATCATTATCATTAAAATAATAACTAACATTTATTAAGCCATGCACTATCTTATATGTTTTTATATACATTATTATATATATATAATTACATTAAATTTTCTGATATGGTTTGGATTTGTGTCCCCACCCAAATCTAATATCAAACTAATCCTCAATGTTGGAGGAAGGACCTGGTGGGAATTGACTGGATCATGGGGGCAAACTTCCCCCTTGCTATTCTCATGATAGTGAGTGAGTTCTCATGAGAGCTGGTTGTTTATAAGTGTGTAGCACTTCACACTTTGCTCTCTGTCTCCTTCCTGCCACCTTATGAAGATGTGCCTGCTTCCCCTTCACTTTCCACCATGATTGTAAGTTTTCTGAGGCCTTCCCATCCATAGTTCCCATACAGCCTGTGGGACTGTGAGTCAATTAAACTCTTTTCTTCAGAAATCACTCTTTTCATACATAAATCTTATGTCGTTCCTTATAGCAATGTGAGAACAGGCTAATACATCTTCCAAACAGGTTGCAGGATAGATACTATTTTTCATTTGCAGATGAGGAAACTAGTTTTACCTGGAAGTGACAGGTTACTAACATCAAAGGATCAGGAAAGTGCCATCCTAACTTATGTTGAGGAGGTGAAGAACTGGATGAGCCCAGACACATATAAGCTTGTGACCTTGGGCATTAATCCCCTCTTCTGCAAAAAGGGGATAGCAATGGTGTCCACCCTGCTCTGTAGATAGGATAAGATTATGAATGTAGCATGCTTAGCACAGTGACTGGCACAAAGGAGGCACTCATAAATCACCATTTTTATTTGTTTCCCTTCTTCGGTGTAGCTGAACCAGCACATAGAGTTCTACTTGAATCTCCAAGGACTGGCAGGTGTCCTGGACCAGACTCCATTTTTAGTGATAATTGGATGCTTATTATCACCTAGAGATCTGGCTTGACAGTTATTTTGCACTTTACCAAGAAAAAACAAGTAGCTATGCCTTGGTGGCAGTCAGATGGCCAACACATTAAAATGAGTTTGCATAACCCACTACTTTACCTATGGTCAAGTGTTTAAAATGTCATCTCATCTATTTAATCAATTCCATTAAGATGTTTTTCTCTCAATTTCTGTGGAAGATGCAGGGAAAAAAGGTAATATGTATTTGTCTCTAGCATTTTCACTTGATGTGTGAGGTCACAGTTAAAAGCAGCTACCACATATTTGGTCAAGAGTTCAGGGACAATCTGGGCAGCAGGGAGCAGTAATGTCTCCATTTAAGATGCAGGAGCCAATGACTAGGTCAGTAATTTTCCACTGGCTTCAATGAGAGCCCTGACAGGGAAAGGGGTAAGAGGAAAGGAAGAGGAGATTGTGGGAGGAAACCGAGCTGGGCAACTGCATTGCGGAGACACAAGGACTGCCAGCCAATTGTCTTCGACTTGCCTATGCCAAATGTTCTGGAAATGGACTAAAGTGGGAGAAATATCACAGCAAGGTGGGACTGGGTGGCGTGTAGGGGAAGCAGGGAATCAGCAGGGGCTGTGACATCAGAGGAATCCTGTTCTTAACAGCTGTTCGCTACTGGCCAGTTGTTTAACCTCTTTGACTGAGCCTTGATTTCTTTACCAAGTGGGCAAAAAAATACTCATCTCGTATGATTGTGGGGAAAGCAGATGAGATAATGTGTGTGGCACAGCCATGGGGACTGGGGCCCAGGGCATGCTCAATAGTGCTACTTTCCCCTTTCCAACCCGGATGTCAGAGGGGACCACCTGCCCTCCAAGATCTAGAGAAGAGGATCTCAAATCCCCACCCCATCAGTGCCCAATTTTAGATTTTGGTGAAGCCCCAGGAATAATATTTCTTGCTTCCACTCCACTATGCTTTCCTCAATTAGGTTTTTGATCTAGCCCAGATGTTGACCTCAGCTTCAGACACACACACAGACTCAACACTCACACTCTTACACGCTCACACACACACATGCTCACACACACCCACTAATAAACATATACACACCACTCACACACACTCATACATGCACAATCTCACACACATACACACAACACACACACTCCCACACACGTACATACTCTCACATACACAACTATATACATGACCTACGTTCACTGAAATAATATTGTTCAGCACATTGTGTATACAGCATTCTAGGAAACATCTTTTAAAAATTGTATTAAACTCACGTTTCTGTCATTATCCTGTTATAAACCCTTCGATTCACAGATGATAAACTCTTAACAACACAGGGCATCGGTAATGATCTGAGCATCCTCTTTTGAACATTTGTCTACGAACACTTCACTACACACATAGGCCCTCACACACACAATCCCTCCCTCACACAGCCCTTGCATTCAAGACCCCTGTGTGTGTTCCAGCTGTGCTGAAACTCTGGGGCTATGGAGATTTATGCTATAAAGGACAGGGGTACAAACTGAGTACAGTCTGGTTTTTTGAAGTCTTGGACATGTCCACTTGGGCTGTCCTTCCTGCCACATTTCCCCTGCCCGCTGTTATCCCTTTCCCCGCTTCCTTCTCTCTTCCCTCACTCTGCCTTTCTGGCCCCCATTAGGGCACTTTTTTCTAACGTAAGGTGGTCTAGCATTTCTTTGTTGTCTTCTTCCAGCTCAAGCCCACAGGCTCTTGTTTTCTGCTTCCAAAGGCTTATGGAGGTGTTCTCCTAAACACACATGGTTCCTGTCCCAAGGACTTCCGGAGCAGCTGGAGAAATGCAATATGCTTGTTTTGCTCTGTTGCCTTCTCCCTGTGCAGTGTTCCATGGCCAGGGTGGCGGTGGCAGTGGTGTTAATACCTGGAGAGCATTCCACGCTTTTCTCCATTGCTGCTAACTTCCCAGGGTCCCCATCTGCACAAAATACGCCCTGGATCAATACAGACTAACTGATGGCATAAACACAGCTGATGGCATCAATCACTTTATGATGCAAATTAGATACACATTCTTTCTAGAACAGAGGCACCCATCACCACCGCCATCAGAGGTCATTGGGTGTTACTACTAACTTGGGTGACACTAAACAGATCTGGGATACAATCCTAGCTAATTCGTTGCGCACTGTCTGACATTGGGTGAATCGCTTCACCAATCTGTGCCTCAATTTCTTGACCTTTAAAATGGGGGTGATGATACTTGTCCCCAGAGCGAAATGTACTGCAAAGTGAATGAAGCTAAAGCTTAGGTAGCCCTCACTTCTAAAGACCTGCTTTTGTATCTAATTTCATGTTGGTAAGTTGGTGTTCCTTTTCCTTTCTAAAGAAATTATTTTATTTTTTTCCTCTTATTTCAGTCTATTTGTATTAGCTCATATGTGTTCCTTTTCAAAAAAGGCTCCCCAAATTGTATACAATTCTGGACCCAAAACACCTGGCTTCTGTGTGGGTTGGGAGGAGGAAATGAGACGATGTCTGTAAATGCTCAGCCAAGACTGTTCTGAGTGCTCCAGGCATGGAAGCCATTGCAGCGAGAGCACCAGGACGTCTGAACCCATCCTGCTGGCACCTTCTTCTCCATGTCCCCCCTAAATGGGCCTGCCAACTGGGGCGAACTTCTGCAGGACACAGTCACTCAGGCCTTGGAGCCTCCGTCCAGCTTCTTGCAGGCACAGATGCATGCCTCCTCTTGACGCATGCAGCTTGGAAGCTCTCCCTAGACACAGCCAGCTTGACAGAGGCCACATCGTTCAAACCTCGTGCCAGTTCCCCTCCAGCTGACATGGTGGTGCCAAATGGGAGGAACCCCATATTAGTCTGTTCTCACATTACTATAAAGAAATACCTCGCCTGTAATCCCAGCACTTTGGGAGGCTGAGGCAGGCGGATCATGAGGTCAGGAGATCGAGACCATCCTGGTTAACATGGTGAAACCCCATCTCTACTAAAAATGCAAAAAATTAACCAGGTGTGGTGGCGGGTGCCTGTAGTCCCAGCTACTAGGGAGGCTGAGGCAGGAGAATGGTGTGAGTCTGGGAGGCGGAGCTTGCAGTGAGCCGAGATGGCACCACTGCACTCCACCCTGGGCGACAAAGCGAGACACTGTCTTAAAAAACAAAATAAAAAGAAAGAAAGAAAGAAAGAAATACCGGAGACAGGGTAATTTATAAAGAAAAGTTTACTAGGCTCATGATTCTGCAGGCTGTACAGGAAGCATGGCAGCCTCTGCTTCTGGAGAGGCCTCAGGAAACTTACAACCGTGGCAGAAGGTGAAGGAGCCAGATGTCTCACATGGCTAGAGCAGGAGGAAGAGAGAGAGAGGGGAAGTGCTACATATTTTTAAACAACCAGATCTTGTGAGAACTCTATCACAAGAACAGCATCAAATGGATGGTACTAAACCAGCAGTCCCCGACGTTTTTGGCACCAGGGACTAGTTTTGTGGAAGACAATTTTTTCACGGACTGGTGGGTGGGCGGGGAATGATTTCCGGATGAAACAATTCCACTTCAGATCATCAGGCATTAGATTCTCAACCTAGATCCCTCACATGCACAGTTCACAATAGGCTTCAAGCTCCTGTGAGAATCTAACACCACCACTGATCTAACAGAAGGTGGAACTCAGGCAGTAATGCTCTCTCATTTGCTACTCATCTCCTGCTGTGTGGCCAGGTTCCTAACACAGTAAGTACCCATCCATGGCCTAGGGGTTGGGAACCCCTGTACTAAACCATTCATGAAGGATCCACCCCCATGATACAATCCCCTCCCACCAGGCCCCATCTACAACACTGGGATTACAATTACACATGAGATTTGGGTGGTGATACAGATCCAAACCATATCAAAGCCCCTCTCTCTACCCCTCAGCAAAGACTTTGTTATGGCCACTTGGGACCTGGACTACTGCAGTGTGTTCCCATGCTCCATTTTCTGCACCTCAGGTCCACAAAACTGGCATATGGATTCATCACCATCCTTTCTTCAGAGCACACTGAAATCATTGGTCCCCGTCTGGCCTGCTGTTACCTGATTAGGCTTTTTGCTTCATTCTTTAATGTAATAAGGACTGCAAGACCATCACCCAGAACAAGAGCTAGGACCTTGATAGAACCTACAGCTAACTCCACCGTCCCCACTTAACCTGCACCTTCAAATGTTTGTATTTAATTCAGAAAAGACTCCAGTTCTCCCAGTAACCCACAGCTGCTGTGTACACCAGCCCCCACCCCATGTCTTCTTTCCCCCTTGGTGACATATCTTCAAAAGAAGTCCAGAGCAATCATATTAGCCACTTGATAGCACATTTGGTAAGGGCTTGGGTAGAGGATCAAGTTGAAATCAATGATTTAAATTAGGTTTTTGAGTTTATGTTTGTTTTCACATTCAACAAACCCCTCGTGCTTTCTTCCTATCTATTAGGCCTTGCAGGTTCATCGAGATGTCCTTGAGGTTCTGAGGGAAATGATCCACAATCTCATGAGTTCTCCCTCCCAGTTAAGCGGGAGGCTGCCCCGGGCAGTAACCCTGGGCTGCCTTGCAGGATTCTGGGAGGCTGGGTTGGGGTGGGGGCTGGTCGGGCAGGAACCTGCATGTGCAACTGTGCTGATAAGTCATATCTGAAGCCAGAACCAGAAGGAAAACAAGGTCACCTATGTAAAGGGGTGGGTGGAGCAGGAGACAAAGTCATGAGAACCAGGGCTGCCCGCCCGGAGCTGGGAGCAAAGCAGAGGATGAGGGTGCAGTCCAGGGGAGCTGAACTGGGGGGAGCTTCATCCGAGTGCCTTTCCAGGCTGGGGAGCCCCTGCACCTCACCACTCTTGGACATCTCTGCCCTCCCCAGACTTCGCCCCTGCACTGGCCTCTCAGCACTGGCTCTCTTTAAAGTTGCCTGGGCAGCTTTATGAGAATGTCCGTGTCTGCCTCCACCCCAACGGCTTCAGGTTTGCTTGGTCCCGGTTGAAGCCCAGGCACTGTGTGTTTGTGTACGTCCTCCAGGTGATTCCAGGACAGGCTTCGTGTCGAAACACAAGAAATAGCACAGAATCTATTATTTCTTCTCCACAGGCCCTTTTCCAAGTTGTACTCAGCGTGGAAATTTTTGTCAACATAAATCTAAGGACAAGAAATTTCTTCCTAGAGATACAACACAAGTGAGACAGATGGGATGGTTGGGGTGGGGAAGCATCACAGAGCATGGGGCTGGTTCAGGGCTCTGGGCTGCCAACTTTACAGAGTTCTCATCTCAGCATCTACATCTGCACAGACTCATGCAGTAGCCTATAACAACCAGGAGAGCTAAGGCTCCTGAATACGGGACCTGGAAGTTATGACCTTTGAGCAATTGTAGCCAGAAAGAAGCCTTGTCTGCTATTGGATTTGGAGCCCCAGCAGAGGGGGTGAGCCATCTAGGACAGACTGGAGGACGACAAGGAAGTGTGGCCACAGACAATCAATAGAATGAAAGAAGACACTGTCAACGGGAAGGGATGAAACATTCCTCACAGCCCCACCTGGCTAAGGTTTCACCAGCCATTAGCGTGGGGGGCCTGGAAGTGAATATGGGAGGCATATTATGTTTATTTGTCCTTTGTACATTCACGTGCAAGTTGATGATTTGATGAGCGGTATATAGTTTATTCTGTAGTGTGGGATTGGCCACAGGAGTATAATTTAATTAGGGCTGCTCTGCATACTGATTTGCTTAGTTTGAAGCCCATTCCTCCCCTGGGCAGGGAAGTCTCTAAGCCTCTGATGGGTAAATGGGAAATTAGGGCATCTGTGGATGACATAGAATGTAGATTAGCCAGGCGCAATGATGCACACCTGTAGTCCCAGCTACTTGGGAGACTAAGGCAGAAGGATCACTTGAGCCCAGGAGTTCAAGGTCAGCCTGGGCAACATAGTGAAACCCTCTATAAAAAAAAAAAAAAAAACAAAGAATGTAGACCTCATGAACAATAAATGCCTACCCAGGGCTTCAACTGGGCATTTCTCCAGAGCCAATATGCTGTCGGGCATGCCAGACATGTCACTGTCATTGTGGCTTCTGCATGGCTATGTGTGAACAGGAGAAGTGGATTTCAAACTATGAATCATTTTCAGGATCAAGTCTGGGATGCCAGTAATTTCATTTCTGGGCCCATTTACCCACAGCAGAGCAGGACAGCTTTTTGTGGAGCAGGAGATCCATGCTCCATCCATAGAGGAATGTCTTGGAGACAGCTGACAGTCTGCGTTTGGGAATGCTGACAGCGCTGGCACAAAGGAATGCCCATTTGTATATGCATTCAAGCAAAGAAGAGTAGAAGATACTCGGTAAAAGCTCCAGGGATACTAGGAAGAGGATGAGGTTTATGTAAAATAGGAACCCTCAGCTAAACAAATATTGGTAATAACAAAAAGGTGGGTGGTGGGGGAAGAAATAGAATATTTTTGGTTACAGCTGCATTTTCATTTAACAGTTTATGAAATATGGTTCAGAAAAGGGAATAGGACATGATTAAAAGGCAAGCTGGTCAATAGAAAAATAGTGGGGAGATTATAAAAGAACTTTTAAAATTAATGTATTAGTTTTTCTGCTGTAACAAATTACTACAAGCTTAGTGGCTTAAAACAAGTGTAAGTTAACTTATCTTACACTTTTGGAGGTCAGAAGTTCAAAATGGTTCTTAAAATCAAGGTGTCAGTCAGGCTGTGTATTAGTTTGTTCTTGCATTGCTATAAACAAACAGCCGAGACTGGATAATTTCTAATGAAAAGAGGTTTAATTGGCTCATGGTTCTGCAGGCTGTACAGGAAGCATTGCACCAGCATCTGCTTCTGGGGAGGCCTCAGGAAACTTACAATCATGGCAGGAGGTAAAGGAGGAGCAGGCATCTCACATGGTGAAAGTGGGAGCTGGCGGGGGGTGGGTGGTGCCATACTTTACAACAACCAGATCTTGAGAAAATTCACTCACTATCCTGAGGATAGCACCAAACCATGAGGGATCAGCCCCAATGACCCAAACACCTTCCACCAGGCCCCACCTCCAACACTGGGGATAACAATTCAACATGAGATTTTGGTGGGGGCAAATGTCCAAATTATATCATACCACCGCTGGCCTCCGCCAAATCTCATGTCCTTCTCACATTGCAAAATATAATCATGCCTTCCCAACAGTCCCTCAAAGTCTTAAATCATTCCAGTATTAACTCAGAAGTCCCAAGTCCAAGTCCCAAATCTCATCTGAAGATGAGTCCCTTCCACCTATGAGCCTGTAAAATCAAACAAGTTATTTACTTCCAATATATAATGGGGGTACAGGTGTTGGATAAACATTCCCATTCCAAAAGGGAGAAACTGGCCAAAAGAAAGGGATTACAGGCCCCGTGAAAGTTTGAAACCCAGTAGGGCAGTCATTAAACCTTACATTTGAAATCCAGTGGGGCAGTCATTAAACCTTAAAGCTCCAAAATAATCCTTGACTCCATGCCCCACATTCAGGGAACACTGGTGCAAGGGGTGGGCTTCCAAGGCCTTGGGCAGCTAGCTCCTGTGGTTTTGCAGGGTTCAGTGCCTCAGGCTTCTCTCATGGGTTGGAGCATGCCTGAGGCTTTTCCAGGCACAGAGTGCAATCTTCTGGTGTATCTACCATTCTGGGGTCTGGAGGATGGTGACCCCCTTCTCACAGCTCTACTAGTCAGTGGCCCAATAGGGACTCTGTATGTGGGGCCTTAGTAGAAGTTCTCTATGAGGGCTCCACCCCTGTAACAGGCTTCTGCCTGGGCACCCAGATTTTCTCATACACTCCCATCTAGGTGGAGGATGCCAAGTCTCTTTCACTCTTGCACTCTGCACACCCACAGGCTTAATGCCATGTGGGAGCAGCCAAGGTTTATAGCTTGCACCCTCTGAAATGGTAGCCTGAGCTGTACCTGGGCCGCATTGAGCCATGGCTGGAAGGGGAGCAGCTGGGATGTGGGAAACAGTGCACCAAGGCTGGGCAGGGCAGCGGGGCTCTGGGCCTGACCCAGAAACCATTATTCCCTCCTAAGCCTCAGAGCCTGTGAAGGGAAGGGCTGCCTCAGCGATCTCTGGAATGCCTTTGAGGCCTTTTTCATGTTGTCTTATCAGCACCTGGCTCTTTTTTAGATATCCAAATCTTGCTAGCAAGTGGTTGCTCAACAGCCTGCTTGAATTCCTATTCTGATCATGCTTTTTCTTTCTCTGCCACATGTCCAGGTTGCAAATTTTTCAAACTTTTACACTCTGCTTTTTAATTACACTCTCTTTTTAATTATGAATTCCAAATTCAAGTCATTTCTTTGCGCCTGAATCTGGGCATCTGTTAAAAGCAGACAGGCCACACCCTGAATGCTTTGCTACTGAGAAATTTCTTCCACCAGATACCCTAAATCATCACTTTCAAGTTCAAACTGTCACAGATACCCAAGGCATGAACACTTTGCAGCCAAGCTCTTTGCCAAGGCATAACACACATGACCTTTGCTTAAGTTTCTGATAAGTTCCTCATTTCCATGTAAGACCTCACCAGCCTGTCCTTCACTGTCCATATCGCTATCAGCATTTTGGTCACAACCATTTAACCAGTCTCTTAAGAAGCTTCAAACTTTCCCTCATCTTCCTGTCTTCTGAGCCCTCCAAACTCCAACAACCTCTGCCTGTTACCCAATTCCAAAGCCACTTCCACGTTTTCAGGTATCTTTATAGCAATGCCCCACTCCTCAGTAGCAATTTTCTGTATTAATCTGTTCTTGTATTGCTATAAAGAAACACCTAAGACTGGGTAATTTATAAAGAAAAGAGATTTAATTGGCTCATGGTTCTACAGGAAGTACAGGAAGCATTGCACCAGCATCTGCTTCTGGGGAGGCCTCAGGGAGCTTCCAATCATGGCAGAAGGCAAAGGGGGAACAGGCAGGAGTGGAAGTGAGAGAGACAGTGGGGAGAGAGAAGGTGCCACACTTTACAACAACCAGATCTCGAGAGAACTCACTCACTATTGTGAGGAAAGCACTGAGCTGTGAGGGATCGGCCCCATGACCCAAACGCCTCCCACCAGGCCCCACCTTTGACATGGAGGAATACACTTCAACATGAGATTTGGATGGGGACAAATATCCAAACCATATCAGGCTGCATGGTTCTGGAGGCTCTAGGGGAGAATCCTTTTCCTTCCTTTTCCAGGTTTCAGAGGCTGCTCACATTACTTGGCTTATGGCCCCTTCCTCCATCTTCAAAGCCAGCAGGGTAGCATCTCCCAATAATTATCTCTCGCTCCTTCCATCATCAAATCTCCTACTTCCTCTGCCTCCCTCTTACAAGGACTCTTGTGATTACATCAGACACATTTAGATAATTCAGGATAATCGTCACTTCATCTCAAGATCCTTAGTTTTGCTGGGTGCAGTGGCTCACACTTGTAATCCCAGCACTTTGGGAGTCTGAGGCAGGAGGATTGCTTGAGCCCAGGAGTTCAAGACCAGCCTGGGCAACATAGTGAGACCCAGTCAACAATAACAAAAAATTAATAATTAAAAAAAGGCCAGATGTGGTAGCTCACGCCTATAATCCCAACACTTTGGGAGGCTAAGGCTGCAGAAGTACTTGAGCCCAGGAGTTCAAGACCTCAAGACCAGCCTAGGCAACATTGTGAGACTTTGTCTCTACAAAAAAATAAAAATAAAATAAAATAAAATAAAATTAGCTGGGTGTGGTGGCTCACACCTGCAGTCCCAGCTACTCAGGTGGCTGGGGCAGGGGAATTGCTTGAGTCTGGGAGGTAGAGAGAGCTAATCATCATGGCTCACTAGCCATGATGGCTCCACTGCACTCCAGCCTGGATGACAGAGTAAGACCCTGTATCAAAAAAAAAAAAAAAAAAAAAGAATCCTTAATTATATCTGCAAAATTCCTTTTGCCATTTAAGGCAACATATTTACAAATTCTAGGAACATCTGGATGAAGGAGGGCATAATTTTTGCTACCACGGCATTGTAAATGATTGTCTTTTTTTAAAGACCTAATTTTGGAATAATTTTAGATTTACAGAGTCCAGAGATTTGTAAGTCTTTTAAAAACATTTTTTTCATCTCTGATTCCAGCTTTACAAATGCTTTCACATTAAAAATTATTTGAAAACCATTTGTGAAAGTACCTTGAGTTCTTTGGAAGAAAGGTGCTGTTTAGTGCAAGTTGTTCGTGATACCACTGACCTCCTTCAGAGGAAAACCATGCAGTTTGTCGCTAAAAGCCACCAGCCTCTTCTTTCCCAGGAAACATCCTGGAGTTGATTCCTTAGGAGGCACTCCTAAGCCTCATGACCATCACTGCCCCATGCAGGCAGGTGAAGTTACTTCTCTCCACCTATTGGGAAACACATTCTACTCCAGAAAGTCCTTCTCTGTGTCACTTCATCCCCACTTTCCTCAGTTGTTGCCTTGGGCACTGCCAGGCAATTGCCACTTGTAACTGGCCAAGCAGGTGACACCTGGGAACCTGAGTCACCTGTGCCCCAGGCCTGTGAGCCAGCCATCTTTAGGGATGCTTCCAGGAGGCTTAGGGAACACTGAGCTCTCTTTAGCCAGCTCCTGTCTAAGAACCTCCCTCTTCCTTTTGCTACTGGTTCTGGCTCTGAAATCAGAGCTAGCCCTATTAGTGATTTGAGGCTACTTGTTGGCATAATGCCTTCCAAACCCAGGTGTGCACTGGAATCATCTATTGTGCTTTGTCAAAAATACACATCCCATGAAATGAATCTGGGTTGTCTAATTGCACAGAAAAGCAAGGAATTAGTCAAAGACCAATGGGGATATGTCAAAAGGACACAAGAACCAGCTTGAAAGCTAAGTCTGGGATGACTTGAGCATGAAAATGAATAGTGATAGTAATGGATTATAAAGCATTGAATAAAATAAGAATGTATAAAGTCATACTGACATAACTACATAAACAAGTAAATAAACAAGCAAATGTTCTTGCTAAATAAAAGTCCACATTGGAGACTCACCTCTTAAAATAGGTCTGGAATGAGATATGTTGAGGCAGTATTTTAGGAAGTGAATGTTTCTATTTTTCTTTTCTTCTTTCTTTCCTTTTTTTTTTTTTTTTTTTTTTTGAGGCAATGTGTCATTCTATCACCCAGGCAGGAGTGCAGTGGCACAATCATGGCTCACTGCAGCCTTGACCTCCCAGGCTCAAGAAATCCTCCTGCCTCAGCCTCCTGAGTAGCTGGGACTACACTACTGTGTCTGGCTAATTTTTAAATTTTTTTTTTGTAGACACAGGGTCTCACCATGTTGCCCAGGCTTGTCTTGAACTCTTGAGCTCAATCAAGCAATCCTCCCCACTTGGCCTCCCGAAGTACTGTGATTACTGGTGTGAGCCACTGCGCCTGGCCTTGATTTCTTAAAAAGCACTGATGAGCAGTCAAGATTCAGCCTCTCTAGGTAGAACACAGCCAAAGAAGTTGTAGAAGAAAGACCTAAAGTATTTGTTGTTTCATTCATTCTTTCACCATTTATTAAAACCTAGTATACGTCAGGTGATGTACAAAACTGGGAATGGAAAAGAGTAAAAACACTTCCTGTCTTCTCAGCTTCCTGGAGGTGGCTCTGGAGGTCTCAGAGCCCAAAAGAAGGAGGAGGACTTTGCTGGGGGGATCAGGGAGAGAACGGCATTCAAAATCAAGGGCAACTCTGCATTTGAGAAAACTCTGCTCCTTTCCAGAACTCCCGTACAATGCTCAGGGTGACTGGTGCACGGGAGGGCAGGGCACGGTGGTGGCTGATGGTAGATTTTATTGTGCAGGCGAAGGGTGCACTGCAGGGTTGCAGCACAGACGAGCAGTTATAACTACTGACTTCGCATGCACCGCGTGCCCGGCACTGGTCCGGCCCATTGTGCCTATTCAGCTGTGTCACCCTCACCGCAGACAACACTGTATGTACAGAGAAGGAAATGGCAGAGCCAGGCGGGGTGACTTTCCAAGGCGCGCTACTGGCAAGCAGGAATCCACGTGACTCCAGAGCACACACTGTTAACTCCTCAGCCGGCCAGCAGCCTTGGCCTTACCTGGGAGCCCCTCAGAAATGCAGAATTTCAGGCCCCACCCCAGATCCAGGGATTCAAAATCTGCCTTTTAACTTGATCTACCAGAGATTCCTACACACCAGAAGTGCCAGTCGAGTAGGTCACTCTGACCGCCAGGAGGATGACCTGAGGCGGGGCAGTGGCTGGGAATTAGCAAGACAAGGTGGAGGACTGCTGCGCTGCCGGAGAAGGGGTCGGGCCCAGGGGCCACGCGCTGCCGTGTGCTGAAGCCCCCTTCTCCCTCCCTTGGCCTTCCTGTCTGCATCTCGACTGCACGCTTGTTAGGAATGGCCCGGTGCTCCCCGGGCGACCGCACAGATCTAGCATGGCGGTGTCCATCCGCCAGCGGCCAGTGTGGATGGGCTCAGTGTTTTGCTCATGGATCATTAACTCCAGCAGTGGAGCCGTGAGGTTGCCACAAACACACATGCTTCTGTGGTTCCAGCGTCCTCCACGTGAACTCCGATCTTGCTTCCCAGGGATCTCCTCCTTCCCTGGGCTGTTCCAGCCACTTACTGCTCTCAGCTCCCCCTGCTGACGCAGCCACTCCAGCAGCAGGAGTGAGCGACGCAGGTAACACCAGCTGGCACGTGGGAGGCCAGTGTGGAAGCACACACAGCAAACAGGCCACTGGTTCCCTGGAGATGGCTGCAGTGTCGCTATCACTGGAACAAAGAAGAACAGTGGCTGCTGTGAATGTCCTCATCTTGCCCCCCTGCCCCACCCAAAAAAGTAGCCTAAAGTAGCAGAAACTACCACAGACCTGGAGATCTTCTGTTCTGAGGAGTTTAGTTCAACTGAGAAGGCTGGAATAGTAATTGATATCAAATGACGGGTGTAATTTCTCCGAGTTCCACAATCACCGAGAAGTTACACATTGTTAAGCCAGGGCTGGATCCTAACCCCCAGACGACTGTGGGTGAGGGCTTTCATTCTAAGCACATGGCGCTGATGGTATTTTCGCCCATCAGTTTGCCCAGGCATGCCACTGTGAAATTCCTTTCCCTTGCTGGGATTTTGACTCTGAGGTTTCCAGAGTGGAAGAGAAATGCACTTCCACTAAAGGCATTTCTATTGCCACGAGGGAAATCACCACCAAGTCATTTTGATAGTCCCACAACTCAATCCTAATTAATATCAATCATAATTACTAATATTTATTGACATTCCCTCCCTAAAAATATCCACTGCCATTAAGTTGCCCCAAAATTCCCTGGGAAAAGGGTGAGGACTGGCTCTGCTCCTTCTTCTGTGTCTTTGAGAGCAGGACTCTCAGAATCGCACTGACCAGCCCAGACCAGAAGTTAGTTCAATGAATGGACTTGGAGGGGGCGTGCAGGCCCATCCAGACACGCTGGCTGGTTTCCACCCCAGGAATCCTGCACTGAAGAAAACTGAGAAGGTGGAGCTGGTGGAGAGATCAGGGGTTTGGGTGGCACCAACCACCAATCCATCCGTACGCTTTCTGTTCTCACAGATAAAGAGGGAGCCAGCCCCAGCATGATGGCTCATGTCTGTAATCCCAGCATTTTAGAAGGCTGAGGCAGGAGGATTGCTTGAGCTCAGGAGTTGGAGACCAGCCTGGGCAACATAGTGAGATCTTGTCTCTACAAAAAATAAAGAAATAGCCAGGTGTGGTGGCTAGTGCCTGTAGTTCCAGCTACTCTAGAGGATGAGGTAGGAAGATCACCTGAGCCCAGGAGGTCGAGGCTGCAGTGAGCCATGATCGCACCACTGCCCTCCAGCCTGGGCGACAAAGTGAGACCCCCCCCACCCCATCTTAAAAAAAAATAAGTTGTAAAAAGAGGGAGTCAGCAGCAGGGAGGGAAATAATCAAATCAATAAGATATCATTGCCAAGCTCTCTGGGAATTAGAAAATGGATTTAGTAATTCTGCAGAATAATGGATGGCCAGAAGCCCCAGTCCTACCAAACCACTAAAAAGATAAGCATCTTCAGTCAGGAGAAGCAGCTGGCCATCGGGGGCAGTACAGGGACACCAGAGGGATAGGAGTATGGGGGTTTGTCATCTACTCTGGCGGGGCGGGAGAGGGGTGGATTTAGGCTCACACAGTATAGTTGATGGGTTGGCTCTAGGGTCTGGGTGTTTCTTTCTTGTTATAGCTCCTTGTTGCTGCAAGCAGGGAAAATTTGGTCAACCTGGAAGAGGAGAATGTGTGTCTGGTGAACAGTGTCGGTGCCATATGTTTCGCCATGCCCTGACCTGATTCCTGTGCACCAATGAGGGCCTCCAGCCTTGGAGTGCCTCAGACAACTCTCGAACCCCCTGCCCATGCCCGTGTAGGTGTTTTCCCAGAAGTCCGGACAGATAGGTAACTGAGGCCCCACCGCCATAGCAGTGTGAAGCCCCTGCAGGGTCATGCTTTTCTGCCCCACTCTTTTCCATTTCCTGTTGAACCCTCATCAAAGTCTAAAAAGCAAAGCACCAATCTCCAGTGCCCCCTGCCCTTTCATCGACCCCGCTGGAGTTTCAATGCCTTGGAGCCCAGGGAACCCATCTATGACCTCTCTGGGCTGCATTTTCCTCTTCTGTAAAATGGGCTAAGTGTTGACTGGGATAATGCATTGAGGGCACTTTGCTCAGTGCCTCGGAAACATTAAAAAGCCATGCCTGGAAGCTGGGCTGCTGCAGTTATTATCTCACCACTCCACCCACTTGGGGCAGGCCAAGGGGAAGGACAGGAAAGGTGGGCAGCGACCTTCCTGGCTTCATGAAGAGTTGGATTCAGGAACTGGAAGAAGGAGGAGCCAGGAGGATGGGTGAAGGGAAAGGGCTTCTGGTGCTTCCCAGGTGGAGGTTCCCTTTGCGTTGGAAAAATCCTGTGGTTTCGGGAGGATCCCAAAAAGAGCAGGCTCCAGAACAAGAGTGGGAGGGTCAGAGGCAGAGATGAAGCCTGCTGGGCGATTCCCTTCCAGGGGCAGAGTGGAAACAAAGCTGGGCAGGCGCTGGCAGCTAAAGCCATTCATCCAGCCCTCAGATGGCTAAAAAGAGTGTCCCTCTGTGTTCCTTGAGGTCTCATGACAAAAAACCAGCAAATGACAACATTAAAAAAGAAACTTACTGCTTGGCAGTATTATTGGTGAGGAATCAAATTATTAGCTGAGGAATTAAAATGCTGTGCCCTGTGCACAGGCTATTCTACAACAAAAATAGAAACCCTGCCCTGTGTTGTAAGAATGGACCAGGAAAAGAAAGTCTCCCCGTGTCCCAGGAAACAAAGCAGGCATCAGGAGCATTCTTAGTGACCAAAGAGAACTGTGACCTGGTGGGACAGGGCTGGGGCTTTCCAACCAACCCTGGGATGGGGATGTCTTAGTCTGTTTTGTGCTGCTGTAACAAAATGCCACAGACTGAGTAATTTATAAAGAAAAGAAATGTATTCTTACAGTTCTGGAGGCTGGGAAGTCCAAAGTTGGGGGACCCACATCTAGTGGGGGCCTTCTTGCTACATCATCCCATTGAGGAAGGGCAAAGAAAGGGTGAGAGAGAGCAAGAGAGACCCAAACTCACCTTTATAACAGCTCACTCATGATGACAAACCCACTCCTTGATAACCACATTGATCTACTCATCCCTCATGACCTGAGCACCTGTTGAAGGTCCCACCTCTTAACACTGATGCATTGGGAATTAAGTTTCCAACACATGAACACTGGGGGACACACCCAAACCAGACCAGGGGGCTTTGCTGGGGTGCAGGTTTCTAATTGCAGAAGGACATGAGAACCTGCCTGGCCTTGACCTTTCCCAGGTCTGAATGGCCCAAGCTTCATTGTGTGAGCTGTGTCTGTGGCCCCTCACAGGGCTTTGGGGGAATCTAGACTCCTGCTTTGAAACCCATCCCAGACTCGTTTTGCATCAGATACCAGGTTTTGGCTTGAAGAGCAAAGCCTGGCTGTTCTCTCTGGGTGTCAGAAAGGTTGGGGCTTGTGAGTTTGGGTTGTTAATGGTGTTTCTCATGAAGGGAGCAGTTCCATAGAATCTGTCCCCAGTAATCAAGCGCTTATCTGCAATGCAGATCTGGACCTTGCCAACCGATTGGCACTGGGGAAGGCCCTTCAGATAACCAGCCTCCTGCCGTGACTGGCACTGAAGTGTTCTAACAATGGGAGGGCCCGATCAGGTTCCTGATTTCAGAGAGGACCGAAAGTGGGGGCAGGGGAGGGCATTTCACTGACTGAGAGTTTTATGGATTAGACTTATTTTTGTTGTTGTTGTTTTGTTTCATTTTTATTATTATGGACTAGACACTGTAAACCTGTTGTCTTTAGTCTTCAAGAGAATTCCTGAAGTGGGGCGTCTCATGTTCATTTTAGAGATGAGGAAATGGAGTTTTACTTTGGTAAAATAAACTTGCTCGCTGCCTTAGGGCTTGCCACTAGGTCTGCCCCATTAAAAAACCTCTAGCCTTTAACTATGTGACCGCCGTACCGAGTGACCCCATCAGCGACCCCTCTAGGGGTCTAAGAACAATTTGCCATCACATGTGGGTGGCTGCTGTGCCACTCTTCCAACCCTAGGAGCTTTGTGCCCCAACCCTAGTGCTGTAGTGGGGCTGAATGGTGCCCCCCAAAAAGATATGTTCAAGTCCTAACCCCTTGTACCTGTGACTATGACCTGATGTGGAAATAAGGTCTTTGCATATTGAATTAAGCTAAAGGTCTTGAGATGAGATCATTCTGGATTTAGGGTCCACCCTAAATCCAATGACTGGTATCCTAATAAAAGAAAGGAGAGAGAGAAATGATACACAAAGACATAAGAAGAAGGCCTTGCAAAGACAGAGGTAGAGACTGGAGTGATGCATCTCAAAGCTGAGGACCCAAGGACCACCAGGATCCAACAGGAGCCAAAGAGAGGCTGGGATAGATTCTGCCTCAGAGCCTGCAGAAGGAGCCAACCTGGCTGATTCCTTGATTTCAGACTTCTAGCCTCCAGAACTGTGAGAGTACCAATTTCTGTCATTTTAAGCCACCAAGGTTGTGGTAATTTCTTTCGGCAACCACAGGACACTGCCACAGGCCTAATCTCCACAGTAGGACTCAGAGCCTTCTCTTGTGTTGTGTGCCTTCTGTACGCCCAGGCACTGAGCTGGACCCACGCTAGCTTTGTCAAGTCTCTCACTTTAAGAGGTGGGTGTCATTATTATCACGCTCATTATCCAGGTAAAGAAACCGAGGCTTAGATAACTAAGTCCAAGCAGAGCTGCCTGGTGGGGTGGACTCTGACCCAGGCAGTAGGACTCCAGAACCCACATTCCCAGACAGTGACAGGGGAGGAAGCAGGGGCTGGTGGTTAAAATCCCTGCCCAAGAGTGCAGAGAATGTGGGGGCTCTGCCCTGGTCTGGAAGTCCCCATAGCCTCACAGCGGCCTTCAGCTGCACAGAACCACTGGGAGCATCAGGGGTTTCCTTCTCTGCCTCCACAGTTAGTAGACCAGGGAGGTGGGTGCAACACTTTCCCTAGGGGCACACAGCTCTGTGAGGCAGCCAGCCAGGGAGCTCAGCACCTCTAATTCTCTGTCCTACGTCCTGGAAATGCCCAGAGAGTGGGGCTTCCTCCTCTGGCCCAGCTGTGAGCATTCCAGAGTGAGAAGCCTTCCACAGCCTGCACCTGCTGCCTGATCCAGGATTGATTTACCTGGAGAGGATTGACACAAGCAGAAGGATGATTCAATACAACCTATGTGTCCATGATTCCTTAGAGGGATTCCCAAATCCCAGAACCTGTTTCTGGGGTGTGTGGTTTAGAGGAGGGAGGGCAGGGATGCGGGGACGGGGGTGGGTGGCAGAGACTCACCCTTGTCCAGCCACAGTCATGGACTTGAATGTGAAGAACCTGCTCTCCCCATGATGGCCTGGTGCACAAGGAGGTAACGACATTGACTGCAAAACCTGCTGGATGACTTAAAGATCTTTCCCAACAAGGAGGTGCTCGCAGACCTGCAGGTCACCTTTGAGGACCCTGGGGCCTGTACCATGTGAAACTCCTGATGAGGAAGGACTTCCACATCGCTCCACCCAAAGGCTTCCTTCCACCTCAATATGGGTGCCAGCAGTAAGATCCGGAGGAACTGGACGGTTGAGCTGCGTGTCTGATGTGTGCTGCTGACCATCAGGTGCCGGCTGAGCCACCTGGAGTCTGCACTTAACCAGGGGTCAGGCTACCTGCTCTTGGAGAACCATGTGTGGAGATCTGGGGGGCATGGTGGGCCCAGGAGCTGCAGCCTCCTCCACCGAACCTCTGGTCCCCGGGGGCCCTGGGGTGGCCGAGAATCCCATCGCCAGGGCTGCAGTGGGCTCTTCTTCCTCATCCCTCCCCTTTCTTTCTCCTCCCTTCAACTCTAAATTACTTAAATTATGGTGGGGGTTTGGGGAGGACATGGGGGGCACTGGGACCTAGATTTGTTCTTCTAAATAAAGTTGGGGGGGGAAAAAAGCTTCAAAGGTCCAAAGCTCGGCATAGCTAATTTTGTAGCAACAGCTGAACTGAATTGACGTGAAATTCTTTATAATCTTTATCCCACTTGGTGTGAACATTTTGTTACAGTGGGTAGCTAGTCAGACACAAAGAGGGCAGGAGAGGGCCCTGCACCCCACCAGGAAAGTCAGGCACCCATCAGGTGATACTCAGGCAATTTTCTGCCTCTCTAAAATAATAATAGGTTGCAGCCAGCACCAGAGAAAGGCAGTCTCCCTATAGAGAGAGAAACACCTGAAGCTGGTGATCAGCAGCTTCCTGATAAGATCTCAGGAGGTGGGTGAGTGGTCTCAAGCATGCACATTTAAAGACAAAATGGCGGCATTGAACTGGTATATGACCTTCCAGGGACATTCCACCAGTAATAGGAAGACCGCCTCAGGTGAGCATGCCTACAACTCCAGTAAGCACACTGCTCATGCTCCCCTCCCAAAAGCTAGCAGGCCATTGTGCACACAGCCCACCCAAGGGAAGAATCAGGGAGAAGGGACGCCAGACCCTAGAAGTAAGCAGGGTAATTTTATATGCCACCATATAAAAGAAGTAATTTTACATGCCACCATATAAAATTCCAAGTCAAAAGTTCAGACCCCACACTTGTCCCAAAGATGCCCATTTGGCCCTCTTCCAAGTCTACTTTCTTTTCATTCCTGCTCTAGAGCTTTTTAATAAACTTTCACTCCTGCTCTAAAACTTGCCTCGGTCTCTTCTGCCTCATCCCCATCAGTCAAACTCTTTCTTCTGAGGAGGCAGAAGAAAGAGATTGCCGCAGACCCGAGCAGATTTGCTCCTGGTAACAATTTCACTCTGGAGATATGAATGTAATTCATTTCAAGGTGCTGCCCCCGACTCTACTGGGTATTCTGCATGACATGGTATATGCACTATAATTCTATAAGTCTAAAATCTGGAAAACTCTGAATCCTAAAACACATCTGGGCCAAGAATTTCTTGCTAGAGATTGGGGCCCTCCTTTAAGTTCTCCTGGAGGCCGATCTGCTGGCAGCACTGGGGCAGAGCCACACGTGCCCTCCACCCAGACATGGTCAGATGTGTAGAGGGCCAACAGCAACCCCGGCTCTTACTTCTAGAGGGGCAAGGACGCGGACAGGTTTCAACCTTGAGAAAAGATTTAATTTAATTTAGGGTACCATTGAGGTAGTAAAGTAAATTTTTCAAGTCAGAGAGGCCTGGGTGCAAATCCAAGTTTTGTTTGTTTGTTTGTTTGTTTATTGATAGAGTCTGGCTCAGCCGCCCAGGCTGGAGTGCAGTAGAGCAATCTCAGCTCACTGCAACCACCGTCTCCCAGGTTCACCCTCCCAAGTAGCTGGGATTACAGGCACCCGCCATCATGCCCAGCTAATTTTTGTTTTTTAGTAGAGACAGGGTTTTACCATGTTGGCCAGGCTGGTCTTGAACTCCTGACCTCAGGTGATCCGCCTGCCTTGGCCTCCCAAAGTACTAGGATTACAGGCGTGAGCCACCGCACCTGGCCAAATCCAAGTTTTAAAAGTGAGTGACCTAAACATCTGTGAGACATCTATAAAATGGAGACAATCACACTTACCGCACAGGGTCGTATGAGTGTGAGTATTGAATGAGCAGGTACCAGGCCAACCACAGTAACTTAATACATAGAACCACCCTTTGTCTGCACTCCTTAATGAAATCCCTCCCCTCAAAGCTGGCCAAACTGCAAATTCTCCAGAAGAAAATTGCATTCTTTCCAATTCTTAGCAACAGATATTTGGTACCTGGAGTTAAGAGATTTTTCTGAGAGTGATGCAGTCATGCTGTCAATTTGTCCAGTGCCTCTCAGAGAGTCACCAAGGACCCAAAGTGCTCTGCCAGCCTCAGCAAGCGTGGCAGCTGGGTGCTCACCACAGCACATCTGGGGACAGAGACACAGCACAGTGAAGGCCACCGTAGTGCTCCCACCTTACTGCTGTCATTAGCTATTAAAGGAGGTGTTGGTTTTTAAATGTCATATTTGAGTCCCCAGGGGCCTCTGGAGGAAGTACTATCGTAGGACATCAGGCAGGGAGTGTGACATTAAAAGACCCTGGGGATGGGCAGGGTGGTACTTCACAGAGACCACTCTCCTGGCACAGAGAGGGCCTAGGGGCTGATGCTGGTAGGGGCAAAAGCAATGTGGAACACACTCTCTTTTATTAAGCCAGGCTCCTCTCATTTTATTTGAAATTGTAGGGTCTTTTCCTTGATTCATATGATTGTCATTAAACCAGCGACCTTGTGTAGCTAATCAATAAAAAGCATGTGGAGTCTTTAATTGTGCACGCCCTGGTGGGAGGTCCAGGGCATGCGCACCACACACCCCCCTGGGCTCCTGCCACCTGCCCTTGACAGTATGACTGCGCTTCCTGTGGGATTTGTGAATCTGACCTTGACGACAGATAGGGAGGGGCTGGCCAGTTGGTCTGGGAGAAGGGAGATTATATTTATATATATTTTTTTACAGGTTGAGCAACCCAAATTCAAAAATCCAAAATCTAGAATGTTCCAAAATCTGAAACTTTTTGAGGATCAACATGATGTTCAAAGAAAATGCTCATTGAAACACTTTGGATTTTGGATTTTTGGATTTAGGATGCTCAAGCAGTATCAGGCAAAAATTCCAAAATTTAAAAAGTAAAGAAATCCAAAACACTTCTGGTCCCAAGTATTTCAGATAGGGGATACTTGATCTGCATTTTATCCTGAGGGATCTGTGCTGCCTATCTCAATGTAATTTTTGAACCAGGGCAAACTATTCTTATCCCCTTGGTTTCAAATGGGAGAAGCAAGGCTTCCTGAAACTTAACACTGCAGCCAAGTCACAGGCTGGTCAGATTTGGCTGATGATGGAAGAAAAAAGAACATTCTTACTGAGCAACAGGGCTGAGTTTCCACCTTTTGTTCTGTCCTCCACTCCTGAGGGTAACAGGCATTCTCATTTGGAAGCATCTGCTGCCCTGGAGGGTGTGTTAGAATCTCCTGGGGAGAAAAAGAATGAGAGGGAGAGGGTTGTGTACACTGGGAGAAAACCCTACTTATAATAAGAATTTCTTTCTGTTGTTTTTTGTTTTGTTTTGTTTTTGAGATAGAGTCTCGCTCTGTCACCCAGGCTGGAGTGCAGCGGCATGATCTTGGCTCACTGCAACCTCTGTCTCCCTGGTTCAAGCGATTCTCTACTGCCTCAGCGTCCTGAGTAGCTGGGACTATAGGTGTGCGCCATTACGCCCGGCTATTTTTTGTATTTTTAGTAGAGAAGGGGTTTTACTATGTTGGCCAGGCTAGTCTCGAATTCCTGACCTCAGGGGATCCACCCGCTTTGGCCTCCCAGAGTGCTAGGATTACAAGTGTGAGCCACCGCACCTGGCCAATAATAAGAATTTCTAAATGATCTTCTCTCCCCCTGAGAATGATCAAGCAATGGACCCATTCATTCACTAATTCCTTCACTCTGTCATTCATTTGGCAACTTCTCCTAGGCCCACAGTACATCCCCGGCTCTTCTGTGCTTCACAGCTTTGAACATGCTGCCTGGAAGGGTGCTTGTTCAACCTCTAAAACCCAGAATCAATTGTCTCCTCCTCTGTCAAATGTTTTCTGCTTCCCTGTGTCTCTCACCTCTGAAATCTCTTGAATACAGCAAGACTATTGCATTGATTATTCTGAATCTAAGGTCTATTCATTTTCCTGTCTTTGTTGACTTTTAGCTGTAAACTCCGTAAGGGAATGGACCACTGTGTTTCTTATTGGTCTTCATATGTCTGGTCACTAACCAGAGCCTGGCATATTAAAGGTACTCAATAAAAGTTTGTTGAGTGACTGAGTGAAGGACTTTCTCATAGTGGACAGCTTCTTAAGTGTGATAAAATTGGTATGTGTGTGGATCGGGGAGGCGGGACTGCTGAGTGGCCTCGTTCCAGGGATGGTCTTAACCATGAGGTGCTGTTGAGCCCATGGTGTGGTGGACACTGTGGTGCCTTCCCAAGATCCCCTCGACCCCTTCTCAATCCCTCCTACAGGTTCTGTGTGCTCTACCCCAGCTTTGCTCCTGAGGGCTGGTCCTTATAAACCTCCACAGAGGACTGCCCCTGGGCTCCTGGACCTGATAGGGCAGCAGGTGCCACAGGCTGACAGGGCCTGGGAGTTTAGTCCCCTCCAGAGTGACTGCCAACACCCAACTGGTGTGGGAGTGTGAACACTGGGCTCCCTTGCCTCAAGGACAAATACTGAGAGGCAGCGCCTGCTCTGGAGCTTCCTGTGGGGTCAGGTTGGAGCTGGGGCTTTGCCTGAAATCGTGCCCTTGCTTGGCTTCCTCCCCTGTCTCTGTCTTGCTTCCCCCTCTCAGTGCCCCCTGCACCACCACCTCATGACTCCCTTAACAAAACATTTGCACAAGAATCCTTGACTGAAGGTCTACTTGGGGAGGAGGGGGTTTCTGTGCCTTATCTTTCTCATTTGTAAAATAGAGATTTGAAGAGTATCTGTCTTCATCATGAGGATTAAATAGAGTACCCCCCTGTAAATGCCAACACAGAGTATGACTCTTGGGCAGCACTTTAGTAACAGAACATTAGTAATAGAACTTTCCAATTTTAGTTAGCACACTGGGCCCCCACAAATAAAGACTGTATTTTCCAGGTCCCACCCCTAGCAGTGGGTTGATGTAGCAGTGTGGGTAATTCTGGCCAGGTGCATTGGAGCAGAAGTCATGAGTGTAACTTGCAGATGATTGCCTTTGAAGGTAATCATCCTTCTGCATTTTCCTCTGCCCCTTCCTGCTGGCTGGAGTGTGGGTGCGAGGGTGGGAATTGGCACAGCCAACCTTGACAACTAAGTAGAAGCTGCATGTTGAGCAAAGTGGAGCAAAAGGATCTGGGGGACTGCATACCACTGAGCCACCCTCCCAGCCCTAGAACTCCTATCCCATTGGGCATGTAAGAGAAACTTCAAGTTTATTCAAAACAAGTATTGGGATGGCAATCTCTTTGTAACAGCAGCCAAACCTATATCTTAACATCTTCAGACTCCAAGTAGAAGGTAACTGCAGGAGAGAAGGTAGGAGGATCATCTCTTGAGACAGCCAACTCCAGCACCAACAAGCAAGGAATCCCGCTTCAGTGTGCGCTTGATTTCTCTGTCTTCCTTTACTTGGTCTCCGTGTCTATTTTTGAATGGAAATGGGATAACAATAGGAGAATGTAGGAAAGGAAAATAAGAAGTGACAGCTCTAAAGAGAAGGTAATATTAACTTCTCACTTAAGCCTGGTGGAGTTAAAATGAAAGTGAGCAGGAAAAGAGAAGACCTTGTCCCAAATCAAAATTGTTCAGAAGGCTTAATTTTAATTTTAAATTTTTTGAGACAGAGTCTCACTGTGTTGCCCAGGCTGGATTGCAGTGGTGCGATCTCGGTTCACTGCAACCTCCATCTCCCGGGTTGAAGCTATTCTCCTGCCTCAGTCTCCCAAGTAGCTGGGATTACAGGCATGCACCACCACACCTGGCTAATTTTTGGTCTCAAACTCCTGAACTCAGGTGAACGACCCACCTCGGCCTCCCAAAGTGCTGGGATTACAGGCATGAGCCACCTGGCCCAGCCAGGCTTAATTTTTAAGGATGTGCTAAATTTCCCTTTCACTCATTTCCAAAGTTCATCAACAGCAAGGGAATGGATCTGGCACAATCCTCCTACAGACCCTCCCTCTGATGAACTGGCTACGGGACACATTCTTGCCTATGCTGCAACACTTTGTAATTTTGTACAAAAGTCATCCAGGGATTGTTGCAATTTTCCCAAAGGACTCAGAAGAGATTAGGTTGATTTTGTTAGCGTGACACAAGTACTCGGTGCCTCCTTCATGGTGCTTACTCGGTCACTGCTACTGCCCAGGGGCAAGTTAGTACCCTTGGAGTGAAGCATAGAATATGGAGATTCTTATGTATAAGGGCCTGAGGGAGAAGCAAGAAGGCACTAAGAGAAGGAAGAAAGTTGATTCTCAGGCTCAGTCCTGTCTTTCAGGGTTGGTTTTCTCAACCTTGGCGCTACTGACATTTTGGTCTGGATAATCCTTTCTTGTGGGAGGCTGTTTTGTACATTGTAGGATGTTTAGCAGCATCCCTGGCATCCCCCCACTAAATGCCAACAGTACTACCATCCCCAGCCCCCAGTCATGAAAAAAAAATGTCTACAGATATTACCAAATGTCCCTGGAGGCTGTGTGCAAACTCGCCCCTTGTTAAGAACCACTGTTCTAGGGTCTGGCTCTAGGGAGACAAGCAGTGGAAGCAGCGCCTGAAGATCATTTTTATTATTGTTTTGGGGGTATCTTTTCCCCTAAAAACATCAGCAAACAGTAGCCTTGGGGAACACACAATCTGTTTTGGGTTCAACTGACAGAGGGAAGGTCAAAGGGAGGAAAATCTCTGTTCTTTAACAGAAACCCAAAGACTCTAGCATCACCAGAAGACCACTTAGAGAGCTGCAAGCAAGGGCAGTGGACATTCTGAGGAAGGAGAGGAAAAGAGGACAAGACCCAATGCTCAGCAGTGCCTGTTATTTAAGTCAATAATGGATGTCTTCGTCTTCTTTGCTAGTGATTGGCTGATGGATGAGCATGTGACCCAATTCCGGCAAATGGGATGTAAGAGGAGAACTCTCCTAGGGGACCTTGGGAAAAATTTTCTTCCTAGATAATGGAGAAATAGCTGGGGCAAAACTCCCACTCTGCTCTCCTCTTCCCTTCCCATCCTATGCCAATATGGAATGCTTGGAACTGCAGCAGTTATTTTGCAACCATGAGGCAACAACCAAAGTTCAAAGCCTATTGAAATATGGGAACAGCCTGGGTTCTTGATGACATGGTTGAACTACTGAGCCAACTTTGGGACTATCTACCCTTAGACTTCCTATTAAGTAAGAAGTATATGTTCCTATGTTTTAAGCCAGGGTTAGCTGGGTTTTTCTGTCATTTGCAATTGAAGACATTACTAACCAATGGAAATGTTTTCAACTGCAATTAATAGTAATATCTAACTAAAAGAAACTTCTAAAGGGAGTGGATATTTTTCTCACCTAATGAGAAGTCCTGAAGTAGGTGATTCCAGTGTTGGTTGGTGGTTGTGCAGTATCAGGGCTCTGGGTTGACTTACGTGTGATTCTCCCAGCCTTTTCCTCATGGTCACAATATTGCTGCCACAGCTCCAAATGTCATGTATTCACTCAAACCATGTTCAAGACAGGAAGAAAGACGCAAGTTCTCTTTGTTTAGCCCTCTATTTTTATCAAGAGACAAAAAAATGTTCCCTCAAGCTCCTAGTAAACTATCTCAGGGTCTCATTGGCCAAAACCGGACTACATATGAAGACAGCCTGGGAGAGCAAGTTCTTGGCATTTTAAGTCTCTGTCATGAGAGGTGGGCTCTAGCAGAGAAAGGCTGCTGGGTCCACAGATAACAGTTTCTGCCACAAAATAATTGTTCATTCCACATTCCCCATTATCAGAAAATCAGTATTTCCCTGTTGAGGCTCTCATCCCACTCCATCCTTCATTGTCTAGGAAGTCCAGGGACCCTTAGGCCACCTGTAGTAGGTTGGCTCAGCCTTCACATGCCACTAGGAGAGAGAACTAGAGTCGATCAGTTCAGTTCTGTGCTCATCCCCTGGCACATGATGTAACTGCTGAAGGATGGCTCCCGGATGACAGTGTTGTTCATCCCCTGATGAGATGACCCTTTGCTGGCTGGGAAGACTGTCCTGGGTGCAGTTCTAGGGAAGACAATCATGCACCCTTAGCACTAAGCCAACCATGAGGCCCCAGTCTCTGCTCCCAAAATGTCAGCTTCCAGGGATCAGCCTCTTCTCAGGGCTCAAGCTGGTCCTGGGAGCTCTGATCAGGGAACCGGAGTCACTGGCTCCCATCTTCCAGGTGAGCTCTCTCTTCTTCCTGCACAGCTGCACCTGCGAAGGGAGGCCATATGCCGTGACTTCCAGGAACCCCCAAAACACCCTTTCCAGAGGCCACTACTCATAGCATTTGCTCTACTGTGACATAGCCTGTAACCTATTTTGCTGAAGAAAAGAAACTAATGAAACAAGTTTAGTCCCCAGCAAGGCCTTCCCTCTAATATGATCCCCTGATGCGTAAACACATACGCTCCCAGAGTTTAATCCTGGTGAGTAGCAGGCCCTCTGGTAAAGCATCTGCAATATCAGATGACAGTCCCTGCTAGATTTCCGTGTAGGTCTGTTCCGCATCTTCCCGTGTCGTTCTCCTTTTTGTCCTGCGATTGAGAACAGCACAGCCTTCCAATCCAAGACTGTTCCTTATGAAAAATGAAGCACCAAGTGAGATCTCACTCCTCTGTCGGGGCATTTGGAAGCTTGTGTTTCTTTGCAGAAATTGCTGCCTGATAGCTTTTTCACTGGCAACAGGGAGCAATTTGGCATCATATATAATCCTGGATTACTGACTTGATTAATATTTCATGGTGTCTATTAGTCATTTACATTTATAGAAACGTGAGTCATGAAAAATTAAAGTTTTAATTGCCTTGAGTGTCTTTCCTTTTGCTTTCTTTACTCCCCCTCCTCCTTCTTCTTCTTTTTGGTTAGAGAATTTTTCTCTTAGCTGAGCTGTCTTTCAAGTCTTCGTACCAGAGTTACTCAAAAGAATCAGGAAATTTGGAGATTCAGTTTGAGGACAGATTGTGTGCAGCAAGACAATAAGACAATGTCAGGAGGAGTATAAAATAATAAATAGCATTCTTCAGCTCAAGGGCAAGGCCCGGGAAAAAGGAAATGATCCGATGTATCCCTTTTCTTTTTCAGCATGGCAACTTTTTACCAGGAAACAAGATTTAATCCGTAACTGCAGAATTTCAGACATGAGGACATCCCAACATTACAGATCATGAAAAATGATACACAGGGATAGCCTGCTCCTGTGCATTGGTTTCTGTTAGTGGCAGTTGTCTTTGTTTTCTTTTGTTTTTGTTTTGCACTGATTAGGCATTTCAGAGGTGTCTTAAGCCACAGACATCCAATATGGAAGAGCCGGAACAGTAGCTGGACAGATTAGCCCACTTCTGAGAGTCTCCTGGGGAACTAACCCTTGTAATTGGACTTCTTGGACAACAAATTCAGGCTTACTCAGTGTTGCCACTCTTTTTTTTTTTTTTTTTTTTTTTTAGATGGAATCTCGCTGTGTTACTCAGGCTGGAGTGTAATGGCACGATCTCAGCGCACTGCAACCTTCACCTCCCAGGTTTGAGCTATTCTCATGCCTCGGCTTCACAAGTAGCTGGAATTATAGGCACGCACCACCATGCATGGCTATTTCTTGTATTTTTAATAGAGACAGGGTCTCACCATGTTGGCCAGGCTGGTCTCGAACGCCTGACTTCAAGTGATCTGCCCACCTCAGCCTCCCAAAGTGCTTGGATTACAGGTGTAAGCCGTCGTCCCCGGCCCCCAGTGTTGCCACTCTTTTGATAAATAAATGTATGGTCTTTGGTGTTCTGTACCTCTGTCATATAACTGCTCCTCTTTATTGGGGCAAGGGGATTTACTTGTATTTGACTCAGTGATTTCAAATAAATGCTTGACTTCAGATTCTTGGATCAGTCTCTCTGAGGGTGCCTTGTCAGGTGAGGTTGGCAATTGTGGGGATTTGCAAAGTGGAGCATTTGGTTCCAGTTTCAGAGGACATCAAGTGGATGAGAGATGGGCTGCTGGGGTTAAGGGAAGAAGAGGCACATTTCGCTCTTGTAGAAAGGCCTAGAAACCAGGCTGGAAGGGTAAGTAACGTAGAAGGCAAAGGTCAGTCAGGCGGAAGGCATGTGCTTGTGCGGCAGGCAGATGTATGAAAAGTGATCTTCTATCCTGAATATTAGAACAACTTTCTCAGGGAAATCTATGAATCTCCCATTTAATTGCTAATTAAACAAAAATATAGCATTTTCCAAAGACTATTTGATTTATAATTATGATAAAGTATATATTAAATGAAAATAATTGTTTTATGTCACTTCAGTTTAAACCATGTAACCATGAAACTTAATTGAAAAATGAACAATTCTTCTAACCTCTAAATGAAGCAAAGTATTATCAACCAAATTTACAGCAATAGGAAATACTTGCAACTGTGTGTTATGTAAGATTTGCTATGTGTTGTCACAGATTTATGACACCAGCAACTCAATACTGTGAAAGTTTCCTAGAGGATAGTATAGATATGTAGAATAAGTGAACCACATATTTTGTCTCAAGGATTAATTTCTTTTCAAGCCACATCAGATTTGCATGAATGTGCTTATATTAAGCAGTTTTTTCATGTTGTTAATTCTCAGTATTCCACAAAACTAAAAAATGTAGGTCATACCTATTACAGATAGTTTATTTTAGCATGTCACCTATACTGTTACTTAATAATTCCTTGACTATATTTTCATAATATAGTACAGTATTTAACAAAGAGGTGAAAGTACACCTCTAGAACATTAGCATTTCACTTCTTGGTTAGTTCAAATGATTTCATCATCTGAATTCCTTGAGATATATAAAGCAAGTTTGTCCTTTAAATGAGCTACTGGCAGGAACTTCGTGGAACTGTGAAATGAGCAGTGCAAAATAATTCATTGTGAAAATGAAGGAAGCAAGTATGTAGAAAACACACTCTAGATTTTTAAGGAACTGAATTTTGTTACTATTATGCAAATGAGGATCTGATACATGTATTATTATTTTTTACAGAACATTGCCAGAGATGGTATGCCTGGTCTTTGCCGTATAATGGTGAGTTCTAGCTGTTAGCTACTTCATAGTCATTACAGATCTCACACCAGTGAATGAGACAGTCATATCACTTGTTGGGATTCTCTGTTTTCTGCAAATAAAGGCAGTCTTCCTTACACAATCGCTGGGTCCCAGTTATTATAATGGCTTAGGAGAGTTATCAAAAAAAAAAAAAATGAAGGAACACAAGATAGCACTTGCAAAGAGAATCAAGAAAGCTATTGCCTTCCAGGCACTTGGCTGTTCTGAGGACAGAGCCCTGTGTAATGCTAGGTGTGCATGAGTCTATCTGCAGCGAGGGAAAGCGTCCCACACCATGATAACTCAAGAGACAGTGACTCTAGTAGGGCCATTCATGAAAACATACAGATACACTACTTTATTAGAAAATAAAGCCCCCAAATCCAGAATAACAAAACACAAAAGCAAAGAATCAACAGGAGCAACAAAAACTGGCCATAGCAGCAAGTTTCAATAGATGCCCCAAAGCAAAGCCAAGCCATTAATATGGCCTCCTTACCTCCTCTGTCTCCTTCTCTGATAATGCTCACAGCATGGGAAGCAGCTTGGGTTGGAAAGAGGACACATCAAATCTGTTTTCTCTCTTCTGGTGAATTTTCAGTCCTGACAAGATTCCCAGGACAGTACTTCCAGTGCTTAAAATGAGTGCAAGCTATTTGGAAGTATAACTCCGTCTCTACTGTTTTCGAAAAACAATGTTTTGATGGGAGGGGTTGTTTTTATTTTTGAGACAGAGTCTTGCTCTGTGACCCAAGCTGGAGTGCAGTGGTGCGATCTCGGCTCACTGCAACCTCCGCCTCCCGGGTTCAAGTGATTCTCCTGAGTTGTTGGGATTATAGTCGCATGCCACCACGCCCAACTAACTTTTGTATTTTTAGTAGAAATGGGATTTCGCCTTCTTGCCTAGGCTGGTCTTGAACTGCTGACCTCAGGTTATCTGCCCACCTCAAGCTCCCAAAGTGTTGGGATTACAGGCGTGAGCCACCACGCCCGGTGGAAAACCAATGTAACAAGAATTAAGTTTAGAAGCACACAAATACATGTCTGCACCCAAACACACACACACACGACAAAATTGAGCTAGAATAACTAGTCAGGCTGTGTTTGTTAGCAGACTGAAAAAAAAATACAAAGGAGAAAAAATGATTTTAATAGAGTTAAGATATTTCCTTATTACTTTGATTTCCAATGTATGGACTCATGAAAGTGGTCAAACTTCCACAATATTGCTGACATTTATATGAGAATTTTCAGGAGTTCTTTTACTTCAGTATAAATGTTGGCACTGTCAGGTTGTTCACTTGGAAGATCACAAAATGTCGTAGGAACATGCAGAGGTTCGCTCAGAAAATCAATTACAGCGTATCTGTAGTACAAACAGAAAGATGACCTTGGCATCTGCCAAAAAGGAAAAATAAATAAATAAATAAAAGGAAAGGCAATTTGCTTCCCACAAAAACCTTTGTACAGTGTGCCTCCGTGGCTTCCAAAAAGTAAAGCCCCAAACAAACAAACAAACAAAGTTTCTGCACAGGGACTAAAGAATGGTTTGCTATAGTGAGTGAGGGGAGGGAGTTGCCAAGTGAAAGTGCCATGCTTTGCAGTCATACTTAGCCAACTCAGAGCCACGGCAAGATGAGGAATCCCGAACAATGTTGACCTTCCAGTGGGAGAAAAATCAAGAGCTCAGCTCAGCTTGACAGGTGAAGTCGCCTGGGTTTCTGGGTGGGGTGGGGACTTGGAGAACTTTTCTGTCTAGCTAAAGGATTGTAAATGCACCAATCAGTGCTCTGTGTCTAGCTAAAGGTTTGTAAACGCACCAATCAGCACTCTGTAAAAACGGACCAATCAGCACTCTGTAAAATGGGCCAATCAGCTCTCTGTAAAATGGGCCAATCAGCTCTCTGTAAAATGGACCAATCAGCAGGATGTGGGTGGGGCCAAATAAGGGAATAAAAGCAGGCCACCTGAACGCCCTGGGACAGCTGTTTGGACTTTGTGAGTGTGTTGTTGTTTTGCTCTTTGCAATAAATCTTGTTGCTGGTCACTCTTTGGGTCTGCACTGCTTTTAGAAGCTGTAACACTCTCCAGGAAGGTCGCAGCTTCACTCCTGAAGCCAGTGAGACCATGAACCCACCAGAAGGAACGAACAACTCTGGACTTTTATGAGCTGTAACACTCACCGGGAAAGTCTGCAGCTTCACTCTTGAAGCCAGTGAGACCATGAACCCACCAGGAGAAAGGAATAACTCTGGAAGTGCCGCCTTCATGAGCTGTAACACTCACCAAGAAGGTCTCTGGCTTCTCCCCTGAAGCCAGCAAGACCACTAACCCACCAGGAAGAACAACTGTGGATGCTCCATCTGTGAGAGCTGTAGTACTCACGGCGAAGATCTGCAGCTTCACTTCTGAAGTCAGTGAGACCACACATCCACCAGAAGGAAGAATCTCCAAACACATCTGAACATGTAAGGAAACAAACTCAGACACACCATCTTTAAGAACCTTAACACTGACCGCAAGTGTTCACGGCTTCATTCTTGAAGTCAGCCAGACCAAGAACCCACGGGAAGGAACCAATTCTGGACACAAGCTTAGCTCAGCAGCTGCCCCAAAGGCATGGACCTGAGAAGTTCCTCCCCCCCATCAGGGCCAGTCATACCCACCTCAGACCAGTCCACTTCCACCTCAGGGAATCTGGGGGCCTTAGTCTGTTTCAGCTGCGTTAACAAAGTGCTTCAGGGGGGCGCTTTACAAATTGTCTGCTAGTTATGGAGATTAAAAGATCAATGTGTGGGCAGAATTTTTTCTTTTGAAATTTGGATCCTGGGTTGCAGATGGATGTTTTTTCCCTGTGAGCTTGCATGGTCACCCCCTGCATGTGTCTGCTTCTTGGCAGGATGTCAGAAGTGTTTGAACCAGAATAATTTCATCTTGCGTGGGGGCTGGGTAAAATAAGGCTGAGATCTACTGGGCTACGTTCCCAGGAGATTAGGCATTCTAAGTCTCAGGGTGAGACAGCAGGTCAGCACAAGATATAGGCCATGAAGACCTTGCTGATAAAACAGGTCATGGTAAAGAAGCTGGCCAAAACCCACTGAAACCAAGATGGCAATGAAAGTGACCCCTTGCCATCCTCGCTGCTCATTGTACGCTAATTATGATGCATTAGTATGCTAAAAAGACACTCCATCAGTGCCAGCACAGTTTACAGATGACATGGCAACGTCAGGAAGTTACCCTAAATGGTCTAAAAAGGGAGGAACCCTCAGTTCTGGGAATTACCCACCCCTTTTCCCAAAGATCTCATGAATAATCCATCCTTTTAGTATATAATCAAGAAATAACTATAAATATGGTCGACCAGTGGCCCTCGGGGCTGCTCTGCCTATGGAGTAGTCATTCTTTTGTTCCCTTACTTTCTTCATAAACTTGCTTTCACTTAATGGACTTAGAATTCTTTCTTACGCAAGATCCAAGAACCTTCTGTTAGGGTCTAGATCAGGACCCCTTTACCATAACAAGAACAGCTGTCTTAATGGACTAGGGCCCACCCTAATGACCTCATTTTAACTTATTTCATCTTTAAAGACTGCCTCCAAATAGTCGCATGCTGAGGTCATATGAATTTGGAAGGACACCATTAGCCCATCATGCTGGGGTAGTAGACTTGATTTTCTATCCCTTCCTACTGTTGTTTTCAACCATTGTTTTTAAAGCTATCCATATCATACTTGAAATTCAAATGCTATTCAGCATTCCGTCCCTGACCTGTCCCTGCTATTGCCTCTCCCCACACAAGACGAAAACAAGTTCAACTCTTTTCATTCTGGGGTTTAGCTCCTGTTCAGAAAACATGCTCCATGTTTTCACTTTAGTGTAGCTTCTACTGACTTTCTACTCTACAAAATAAGGATTTAATTCTCTTATACTTTCTTCACTCACTTTTACTCTTCCTCAATCTCCTGATAAAGTTACAGCACAATTTTAAAGCTTAGATCAAGATTCAACATGTGTGTTCTATATGATTGCAAATATTCTTCACAACTGGGTCTAGTAGAACAATAGAGTCATTTCTTGTACTTAGATTTTTTTTTCCTGGAATTAATCAGTGTTGTTTCGCTTTTTAAATAGGTGTTAATTGCAGGTGTCCTTCCTGGAGCCCTGCTTCCTGCTCCATCCACAGGGGTCGCTTTCCCACCTGCTGCGTGGGAAATCCTGGAGGAAGAGCGAGGGGGAGAGATGTGGCAAATGTTGACACACGAGGTTCCGTGCATGTGTGGGTTGGAGTTATCCCTCTTATCTTGCTATTTTTTGAGTTATTGATTAGCTAATGAGCCATGGCTCATGACTCCTTAATTCTCCAATTCTTTTTGTTGTTGTTGTTGTTTATTTTAATTCTCCAATTATTTAGCCTAGGGCAGAGTTATATACACTTTTTCTGTAAAGGTCCACATAGTATCTTTTAGATTTCCTCAGCCAGCTGTCTCTGTTGTAACAACTTAACTGTGCTGTTGTGGTGTGAAAACAACGCATGCCAATGATGAGCATATTTATGTTCCAATACAACTTTACTCACAAAACATACCTGTGGGCAAGATTTGGCCAGTATACCATCATTAGCTGATCCCTGGCCCATAAAAGGGTGCTTTTAAATTTTTCTATTGACATGATTCCATTGGCAGAGAAAAGTGGGTTTGTGCCCGCAGGGTCTCTAGCGGGTTACCTGGGGAAGCTTACTAGAAGCATAAGACAGCTTTGAAATCTCACGTATCCACAAATTTAGACAAAGTTTGACAAAGTTGAGTTGTTCTTCATAACTCAGTGCCCTGCTGATTAAGGAGGGTAGAGAGGGTTAAAGACAACTCAGATGAGGTTGGGGGTCTCTGGGAAGCTTTTTGCCCAGGACCCCTCTTCTTGTTTAGCTAGAGTACTTGGCTTGGCCATCCAGCAAATCAAAGGTCGTATTTTCAAGTTGCCATGGAATCTACGGCTGAAAGGAGACAAACATGGTAATCTATTTACTGACTTTCTTGCCACTGTTCCCTGTTTAGATTTTTCTTTGAGCCAATGACATCCTAAAAGGTAAAACAGCAATGAGGTTTAGACAGAACAAAGCCCTGTGGACCCACAGCAAAGCCTCACCCTTCAGAAAGATGATGCCCCTGCACTCTGGCCACCTTGAGGGCAACACGGAAATGGTCACAAGTAGAAAAAATTGTGTTTACAGCTGTGTGTTCTGTAGTCCTATGAGAGAGAGAAAACAGTGGGCCCAAATGGAGAAGAAAGGGCTGCCTCATCCCTGCACAGCCCTTGGTGTTGTTTCATTTTATCCTAAGACTCATCTCATTTCAACTCAGCAGGCTGGGGTTTGGGGCTGTGTTGTAACTAGGACTCTTTTGCTTCCAAACACAACAAGAGCTACTTGAACTCACAGGAATTAGCCATAATTTTTCAAATGACAAAAACTGAATGTCTTCCCTGAAAGAGAGAGCCGCAGCAGGAGCCAGCTTGCTGGAAGGAATTGACTGGAGTGTTTTCTTCATTCTGAATCCGCTTTCCCTGCCTGTCCCCAGCAGATGTGGGCCAGCCTTATGGAAAGACTCATTCTAGATGAGTGGGATTCTAAGAAGCAAGTACAAGCGGATTGCCACCCCATCGTCTTGTAAGGCAGCTGGCCTGGAAAATTCAGTCCCAAAAGGCAGCTGTGACACAGCTGTGAGGTTCTTATCACCACTTCACCAACCTCTAATCACAGGCTCAGAATTAGAGCAAACGGGACAATCAGTGTGATGAGAGAGGGAGAAGAAGACCTGTGACCCAGCTACCAAGAACCCTTTTCTACCCCCAATTTGCCCTCCAGATGGATTCAACTCTCTAGGGCAAAACACCCTCTTTCTGGGTTTCTGGGACCTGTGGGAAGGAATATGGGGGGCTTCTACCGCACAGGGTCTAACTTTAAGCCAATTTCATCTGAATCCCAAAGGATGAAACCTCTCTTCTGACATCAGGAAAGCGACGATATTTCAGCCTAGGCACACTAATCTGGCCGTTGAGAGATGTTTTGGAATGAACTTTTCCAAATAGTATCTTCCACAAAGGAAGGCAGCTAAGATTTGAGGCCAGATTCCTTGAAAGTGCCATTGTTACTCCTCTACCCTGCTGGGACATAAGGTAGCAGGAGGAGGCATTAGATGCAGATGGGTGCAGCATCCACAGAGCAGGCTGAGTGAGCCTCTTGGTTTTAGGGCTCTGGATGCAGCTGTGGGAACCACTCCAACAACTGTGTCCTCCACATAGGCTCCCTGGAAAAAGGTGCAGGGTATAGGCTGCACCACAAGCAGGCAGACACATTTTTATTATAGAATCAAATGGATGTAACATTTTAACTTTGCAGGGCTACTTTGCAGTTCATGAAATAAAACCTGTGCACAGACATTATCTTCCCAACAATCTTTCATTGGAAATTTTTTTTTAATTTTTATAAATTTTTGTGGGTACATAGTAGGTGTATACATTTATGGGGTACATGAAATGTTTTGATACAGGCATGAAATGTGAAATAAGCACATCATGGAGAATAGTGTATCCATCCCCTCAAGCATTTATCCTTTGAGTTGCAAATAATCGAATTACATTATTAAAGTTATTAAAAAATATGCAATTAAGACCGGGCGTGGTGGCTCATGCCTGTAATCCCAGCATTTTGGGAAGCCAAGGTGGGCAGATAACTTGAGCTCAGGAGTTTGAGACCAGCCTGGGCAACATGGCAAAACCCTGTCTCTACAGAAAATACAAAAATTTGCCATGCGTGGTGGCACGTGCCTGTAGTCGCAGCTTCTTGGGAGGCTGAGGTGGGAGGATTCCTTGAGCCTAGGAGGCGGAGGTTGCAGTGAGCCAAAATCATGCCACTGCACTCCAGCCTGGGTGACAGAGTGAGATCCTGTCTCTCTCTCTTCTCTCTCTATATATATACACACAGACACATATATATGTGTGTGCATATATATCTATATATATGTATATATGTGTGTATATATGTTTACATATGTATATATATACACACACAAGTATGTTATTATTGACTATAGTCACCCTATTGTGCTATCAAATAGTAAGTCTTTTTTTTTTGAGATGGAGTCTTGCTCTGTCGCCCAGGCTGGCGTGCAGTGGCGTGATCTTGGCTCACTGCCAGCTCCGCCTCCTGGGTTCATGCCATTCTCCTGCCTCCTCCTCCCGAGTAGCTGGGTCTACGGGTGTCCGCCACCATGCCTGGCTAATTTTTTTTTGGTATTTTTAGTAGAGATGGAGTTTCACCATGTTAGCCAGGATGGTCTCAATCTCCTGACCTCATGATCCGCCCACCTTAGTCTCCCAAAGTGTTGAGATTACAGGCGTGAGCCACTGCGCCCGGCCAATAGTAGGTCTTATTCATTTTTTTTTTGGACCCATTAACCATCCCCACCTCCCCTCAATCCCCCAATACCCTTCCCAGCCTCTGGTAACCTTCTACTCTCTAAGTTTATGAATTCAATTGATTTGATTTTTAGATCTCACAAATATGTGAGAACATGTGATGTTTGTCTTTCTGTGCCTGGCTTGTTTCACTTAACATAATGATCTCCAGTTCCATCCATGTTGTTGCAAATGACAGGATAGGCTGAATAGTACTCCATTGTGTATCTGGTACCACATTTTCTTTATCCATTTATCTGTTGATGGACACAGAGTTTGCTTCCAAATCTTAGCTTTTGTAAACAGTGGTGCAACAAACATAGTGCAGATATCTCTTCGATATACCGATTTCCTTTCTTTTGGGTATATACCTAGCAGTGGGATTGCTGGATCATATGGTAGCTCAACTTTTAGTTTTTTGAGGAACCTCCAAACTGTTCTCTGTAGTGTTTGTACTAATTTATATCCCCACCAACAGTGTATGAGGGTTCCCTTTTCTCCACACCCTCATCAGCATTTGTTATTATTGCCTGTCTTTTGGATAAAAGCCATTTTAACTGGGGTGAGATGATATCTCATTGCAGTTTAGATTTTATTTCTCTGATGATCCGTGATGTTGAGCACCTTTTCATATGCCTGTTTGCTATTTGGATGTCTTCTTTTGAGAAATGTCTATTTAAATCTTTTGCACATTTTTTATCAAATTATTAGACTTTTTCCTATAGTCTTCCCGACAATCTTGTGAGGTGAGTAAAGTATGGATTTGACAAGATAACAAAAGACGTTGTAGCTATGCCAACATCACACCTTTTGTGATTGCTGGGAGCACCGAGGTTCCCTGTCAATCTTCCTGAAGCAGGAAATGAGGTGGGCCTTGGGACTTGGGGCGGAAGGGCCTTGTGCTGGATGCTGGAGGATTGGAGGGCAGAGGAGGCAGGGAGGGGCAGCTTGAACAGCCTGTGCTAACACAGGGCCTGAGAGGGAGCCACCACTGAACTGCCTTCTTTTCTTGCTAAAAGAGAGGTGATGGTCAATTTTTTGTTAATCTCAAGGTGAAGAAATTGTAATATGAAAGACTAGTGATAAGCATTAGAATAAGTTAATCATTAAATTAAGGTTGCAGCCGGGCACGGTGGCTCACGCCTGTAATCCCAGCACTTTGGGAGGCCAGGGCAGGCAGATCACGAGGGCAGGAGTTCGAGACCATCCTGGCTAACACGGTGAAATCCCATCTCTTCTAAAAATACAAAAAATTAGCCAGGTGTGGTGGCACGCCCCTGTAGTACCAGCTACTCAGGAGGCTGAGGCAGGAGAATTGCTTGAACCCGGGAAGGGAGGTTGCAGTGTGCAGAGATGGTGTCACTGCACTCCAGCCTGGGAAAAAGAGTAAGACTGTCTCAAAAAAAAAAAAAAAAATTAAGGTTGCATCATTATTATACATAGAGTAATATGCTTGAATAAAAATGTAAAAAATATCTTTCAACTGGGAGAGATCTAAATGAGGGAAGCCACTTCATACGTATTTGTTGTTCACCTACCATGTGTCTGGCACTATTCTGGGTGCTTGGGATACTGCAGTGAGCAAAACAGATCTCTTATTTTGTGGAGCCTACATTCTAGAATTTAAAAATAGACTATAAACCACGATTACAATAAGTAAATTCTTTAGAATGTTTGAAAGTGATCATTGATAGGGAGATATTAGGTTGATGCAAAAGCAATCACAGTTTCTGCCATGACTTTTAATGGCAAAACTGCGATTACTTTTGCACCAACCTAATAAAAAACAAAATGCAGACACAACAGGAGTCCCAGGAAGGGGGAGGAGAGCGAAGACTCCAGTTGTAACTAGGAGGCCAGGGCAGGCCACTCTGAGAGACACCTGCCCCCAGACTTGAAGGAGAGAAGGGAGTTCATCTGCAGACATCTGCCGTGCTCCGGTCTGAGAGAATAGCCGGCCCACAGGCCTGGAGCTTCGTGTCCCTGGAATGCTTGGTGGCCTGTGCTGCTGGTGGCCTCCCACAGTGAGGGAGGGACAGCAGCAGGTCACCTTTCAATGTCAGAGGGGCAGCCACAGGGTGAGATCATAACGCTCTTAAAAGTCATTGTGAAAACGTGGCTTTTGCTCTGAGTGAAAGGTGGAGGCTTTAGAGGTCTCTGAGCAGAGGGTTAGAATCATTTCACTTTCTCATTATATCCTTCTGGCTGCTGCCTTCAGTAGGGTGAGAAACTGGAGGCCAGATGAGGGACAGACAATGTGGCTGGGGCTGGCCGGTAGCAATGGATGTGATGACCGGTGCTTAGATACTGCATGTGCTTTGAAGGCTTTGAAGGTAGAAACAACAGAATTTCCCCCAAGGATCAGATGTGGAGTGTGACAGTAAAAATGGAGGCAAGGGGCCGGGCGTGGTGGCTCATGCCTGTAATCCCAGCACTTTGGGAGGCCAAGGCAGGCAGATCATGAGGTCAGGAGATCGAGATCATCCTGGCTAACATGGTGAAACCCCGTCTCTACTAAAAATACAAAAAACTAGCCAGGCGTGATGGCACACACCTGTAGTCTCAGCTATTCGGGAGGCTGAGGCAGGAGAATCGCTTGAACCCAGGAGGTGGACATTGCAGTGAACCGAGATCGCACCACTGCACTCCAGCCTGGACGACAGAGTAAGACTCCATCTCAAAAAAAAAAAAAAAAAGACAAGGAAGAGATAAGAGTTTTTTGGCCTGAGGAAGTGAAAGGGCAGAAATGTCATGAACTGAGACAGAGACAGTTGTGAGCGGAGCACATTTTTAGAGGAAGAACAGGTTTGAGACCTATTAACTTGGCGATGTCTACATGTTGTGTTAGATATATGTGGCGATGTGTTGAGCACATGAGAATCTGGAGCTTGGGAAAGAGGTTTGGGCTGGAGTTGCAGCTTGTGGGTGGTTGGTGTGTAGATGATTTGTAAAGCCCAGAGTCTGCATTGGTTCACCAAGAAGCAAGTACAGATGGAGAACAGAAAGGAATAACTTTCAAGAGAGCATAAAAATAGACTGAAACATTACATATTTCAGATGCAAATTTTAAAAAAAATACATGTTTTTTGTTAATCACCCTACAAATGCAAAGCAATCCCAATGATGTTTATGAGCTCTACAAGAAGGACCCCTTTTACAACAATAAAATCCCTTATTTTTATTGTTACTGTTTTTTGGTTGCTTACTATTTATCAGTTCTTGGATGTACTAAGTGTCTTGCATGCATTATCTCATGTGATTCCTCAACAATGCTATGAAAAGGCACTATCATTATCCCCTATTTATAGATGAGGAAATTGAAGCACAGAGATTTAGTAACTTGCCTAAAGTCCCATAGTTTACTTGAAAGGAATAAATATAACTAAGAAATGTGAAAGAGGTAGAACAATAGGAGGAAACTTAATCTACTTTATATCAAAGTGTATTCTAGCTACTGTCATTAAAATAGTGGAACATTAGTGAAATGTATGTTTGGGAATTTAGAATATGGTAAAGAGCGTGTTCTGTATCATTGAAGATGAACTATGTTGGAATAGTTGGATATCTGCTGGGAAAAACATTAAGGATTCCTGTTCCCTGCCAGTGGCAGCCATGAAAGGGCACTGCTATGCTTGCCCCCGTGACAGAGGGTGTAGTTCCCTGATAGGTCCCAGCTGCAGCCCCCTGGGTCACCTGCAGCACTGGAGGTGAGGCCATGCTTCTCCCAGACAGCCGGCCCTTGAGGACACAGTGGGGGAACTTGAGCCTGCTAATTCCTGTCCCTGGCCTGGGTCTCCTCTGCAGGCTGTCTTTGCTCTAACACTCCCTGTGGCCTGGCTGAGGCTTTCTCAGAGGCTGCTCCACAGTCCAAGGCTCTCTCTCCTTTCTTCCCCTTCTCCTTTCATAGATATCCGACCTTCCTCATAGTCTGAAGTCTTTCCCTGCTTCCTCCTGCTTCTTCTCCTTTTATTGTTCCCAGGCATTATCCCCAATAAATCTCTTGCATTTTTAACCCCAATTTCATGATTGTACCCCAGAAGACTTAAACTGACCACCCCTGTATGCAGACATGCTGGAGAAACAGAAGAGCTGCGTGTAGAAAGTAAAGGATGCATGTACAACTGCATGTACATATACATGTGGCTGCATGTACAACTATGAGGAGAAAATAATCAGGAATATGTCTATAATGATTGGGGTAGCTCTCTTTAAGGAAGAGCAAAATCTGAAAGCATGATAGATAACATGGGATAGTTAGTTATGTGGCAATCAAATATTACTGTCCTGCAACAGAAACCATACATAAAATTGACTACAAATAGGGGGAAATTGGGAGTTGTTGTTCAAGGGGTATGGGGTTTTGAAAAAATTCTAGAGCTCTATTGCACAACAATGTGAATATATGTAATACTACTGAACTGTACACTTAAACATAGTTAAGATGGTAAATTTAATGTTATGTGTTTTCTTTTTACCACAATAGAAATAAATAAATACATATCAAGGAAAAGCAGAGAAAAGTACCAATTAAGTGAAAGTATTGAGTATTTTTAGGAAACACATTCTCTTGGCCAGGCATGGTGGCTCATGCCTGTATATCCCAGCACTTTGGGAGGCTGAGGTAGGAGGATCACTTGAGCCTGGGGAGCAGAGGTTGCAGTGAGCCAAGATCATGCCAGTGCAGTCCAGCCTGGGTGACAGAGAGAGAGACCCTGTCTTAAAAAAAAGAAAAGAAACATATTCTTATCATTACTGAAGAATGCCGTTAATATACCCTCTCCCTCCTCAAAAAAAAAAAAACAACAAAATATGAGCTTTTCATTTTCATTTCATACTGACCTGGCTGAAGGCTCTCAGCTGTAACCTACAGAAATGCTTCTGGCCAGGGGGCTGGGACTGCAGGCATCTGTGGCCATGTCACAGACTCGCTTTATCTCCTGAAGGGACAGACTGAAGAGCCCTCAAGTCACACTTGAGTAGACTACAACTAGAATCAAGCCAACTTTTGACATTTGAATGGTGATACTTAGCCTGCAGCTTCCTCTACATGCCAGGCCCTATACTCGGGCCTTCTGCACGGGTTGTCTGCTTGATCTTCAGACCCTGGCAGACACTGGATAGCTGCTTACCAAACTCATTTCCCTCTTCTCTTGAGCACACAAACCCTGTGCTCTTCCTTTGGGAAGATCCAGGAGATCTTCCTTAAAAATCTACTAGAGAAGAGCTTCAGAAAACCAAAATGTCTAAAGGGACATCCACATAAGAACTGGTGGTGTGTGTTCAACATATGGTCTCTTGTAGAACTAAGATGAAATGTGGGCTGAAAGGGACGTACATAATGTGTAATGCCCCAAAGCTCATCTGGTGTGGACATAGCACCAATATGAAAAAAATGGGACAAGGAAAGAATGATGGAAGCTATATGCAAAAAGAAAATTTAACTGCTCTCAAGAATCATATAGATGCTGTAGATTGGTATTGTTATTCTGAGACTGTTGTGTGTGTGCTTTGGGATAAAGTAAATGAGTCATCGTGGGATATTCTAATCCCATCATTTCCTGGGTCATTGAGATCAAGAATTATTGATGTAGAAGAAAGGAGATAAAAATGTAACATTAAGGCAATGAAGTAAAAAAACCCTGTTGCCCTAAATTTGAATTGGAAGTATCAGTGTGATGGTATTTTAACTTTTCAAAAATATAATTTTCTAGCTCTGTCTAGTGAAGAGGCCTAGAAACAATGATTAATTCTGAGTAGCAGTGACATCTCTGATACCCAGATTGTGGGCTTGAAATACTATTTCTCACTAAAATAAACAGAGCGTCTTGGGAGAAATGGCCAGTTGCATGTCTGGGTCAGAAATGTACAAGGTGAGCCTAGAGCCTCTGTCATATCAGGCAGTGAGAAAGCTACCAAAGACCAGTGGAATTGTGCCCCAAAGCACTCAGGAGCCAACCTGAAGAGGTTCCCAGGCTAAAGATGGGCAATTTGAAAGCCAACAAGAATAATAATTAAAATAGATCAAAACCCGTCAAATGTGTTTACATATGCAAGTTCATAATGATATTTTTAAAAGCAGATGGTCACCTTCATAGCATGATAGAGAAATAATTCATTATCTTGAAAAGTAGTAAATAAAGGGAAAGAATGAAGCATTTATCTTGCCTTTCCTGTATGAAAGGTACCATCCACTGGGTGGCCAAATTGTAGATGAGAGAAAATATCTCTTCATAAAAGTATTTAACTAATTAAATAAGAAACTATAGAATTAGATTGTCACCCTTTTAGAGTCCTTAATGAGCTAATGGATCCAGTCATTGACATCAATATCAGCTGTGGCCAACAGCATGAGTTGGAAGGGGCAGAAAGAGAGAGAGAGAGAGGGATGTAAAAGAAGATGGAGGAGGAGGAAGAAGAGAAGAGGAGAAGGAGGAGGAAGAGGACGAGGAGGAGAAGGAGGAGGAAGAGGACGAGGAGAAGAAGAATGTAGGAGGAAGAGGAGGAGGTGGGAGGGAGAGAACACAGACATTATGTGCTTCCCAGTGAAAGAACATACCACCACCTGTAATCTTGCCAAAGGGGTTGGAAATGAGACAGATAAAACCTCTGATTTCAGCTGTCAATTTTAAGGAAATACAGAGCTCAGAAGAACACACTGAACTGTACCATGAGTACCCAATCAGCACAACTCAGACTGTGAGGAACTCTACGTGTTAAGTGTCCCTGTATTTTAGAAAAATAAAGGAGAAATCTGTAAATCTAATGATACTTAAAAGACATAACAAATGGTTTTAAACAGCAAGCCTAAACTATAGTGACCAGGAATGCACACTTAGGTGATAGAACTGTAAAGAAACACCAGGAAGTGATAGCTCTAAAAGTCAGGAGAGCATTTACTTCTAGGGAAAGGGAAAGAGTTGAGGGTGGGACAATGGGGAGAAGGCTTCTGGGGTGCCTGGCGAAGTTCTGTTTCATGACTTGGTAGTGATTAAGGATGTTCACCTTATAACTCATAAAGCTATACACTTATTTTATCTGGGTTTCTATACAGTCATCCCTCAGTATTGGAGAATTGGTTCCAGTTTTCCCATGGATACCAAAATTTGCAGACACTCAAGTCCCTCATATAGGCATACACTGGAGATACTGCAAGTTCAGTTCCAGACCACCACAATAAAGTGAGTATCACAATAAAGTGAATTGTGAATTTTTTGGTTTTCCAGTACATATAAAAGTTATGTTTACACTACACTGTAGACTACTAAGTGTGCAATAGCATTATGTCTAAAGAATGTACATATACTTTAATTTTAAAATATTGTTAAAAATGCTAATGATCAACCGAGATTTCAGCAAGTTGTAATCTTTTTGCTGCTGGAGGGTCTTGCCTTGCTGTTGATGGCTGCTGATAATCAGGGTGGTGGTTGCTGAAGGCTAGGGTGGCTGTGGCAACTTTTTTTTTTTTTTGAGACAGAGTCTCGCTCTGTCAGCAGGCTGGAGTGCAGTGGCGCAATCTAGGCTCACTGCAACCTCCGCCTCCTGGGTTCAAGCGATTCTCGTGCCTCAACCTCCCGAGTAGCTGGAATTACAGGCACGTGCCACCACACCCAGCTAATTTTTGTATTTTTAGTAGAGACAGGGTTTTACCATGTTGGCCAAGATGGTCTTGATCTCCTGACCTTGTGGTCTGCCTGCCTCGGCCTCCCAAAGTGCTGGGATTACAGGTGTGAGCCACCGCGCCAGGCCAACTGTGGCAATTTAAAAAAATAAGACAACATTCAAGTTTACCACATTCATTGACTTTTTCTTTCATGAAAGATTTATCTGTGGCATGGGCTGCTGTTTGATAGCATTTTACCCAGCTGCTGCTTTATCCACTAAGTTTATGTTTTATTCTAAATCCTTATTTGCCATTTCAACAATGTTTGTGGCATTTTCACTAGGAATAGATTCCATCTCAAGAAACGACTTTCTTTGCTCATCTATCAGAAGCAACTCGTCATCAGTTTGAAGATTCATCATGAGATTGCAGCAAGTCAGTCAATTCTTCAGGCTCCACTTCTAGTTCTCTTGGTGTTTCCACCACATCTGCAGTTGCTTCCTCCCCTGAGGTCTTGAACCCCTCAAAGTCACCCATGAAAGTTGTAATCAACTTCTTCCAAACTCCTGTTAGTGCTGAGATTTTGACCTCCTCCTGTGAATCACGATTGTTCTAATGGCATCTAGAATGGTGAATCCTTTCCAGAAGGTTTCAATTGACCTTGCCCAGATTCCTCAGAGGAATCTCTATCTATGGTAGCGATAGCCTTACTGAATGTGTTTCTTAAATAATACTACTTGAAGGTCAAAATGACTCCTGGATCCATGGGCTAGAGAAAGGATATTGTTTTAGAGACAGGAAAACAACATTAATCTCCTGTACATTTCCATAAGAGCTCTTGGGTGACCAGGTGCATTGTCAATGAACAGTAATATTTTCAAAGGAATCTTTCTTTCTGAGCAGTAGTTCCCAGCAGTGGGCTTAAAATATTCAGTAAACCATGCTGAAACAGACGTGCTGTCATCTAGGCTTTGTTGTTCTATTTCTAGAACACAGGCAGAGTAGATTTAGCGTAATTCTCAAGGGCTCTAGAATAGTAAATGAGCATTGGCTTCAGCTTAAAGTAGCCAGCTGCGACTCCTAATTACCTCCTAATAAGCGAGTCAGCCTGTGCTTTGAAGTTTTGAAGCCAAGTGTTGACTTCTCCTTTCTAGCTATAAAAATTCTAGATTGCATTTTCTTCCAATAGGAGGCTATTTAATCTACATTAAAAATGTATTGTTTAGTGTAGCCACCTTCACCAATGATCTCAGCTAGATCTTCTGGATAACTTGCTGCAGCTCCTACATCAGCACTTGCTGCTTTGCCATTTTATGTTGTAGAAATGGCTTCTTTCCTGAACCTCATGAACCAACCTCTGCTAGCTCCAAACATTTTTTCCGCAGCTTCGTCACCTCTCCCAGCCTTGAATTGAAGAGAGTTAGAGCCTTGCTCTGGGTTAGACTTTGGCTTAAGGGAATATTGTGGCAGATTTGATTTTCTATCCAAACCACTCAAACTTTATCCATATCAACAATAAGGCTGTTTCACTTTACTTTTAATTTTCTTCAAGAACTTTTCCTTTGCATTCACAACTTGGTTAACTGGTATAAGAGGCATAGCTTTCAGTCTGTCTTGGCTTTGGACATGCCTTCCTCATTAAGCTTAATCATTTCTAGCTTTTTATTTAAAGTGAGAAACATGTGACTCTTCCTTTCACGTGAACACTTAGAGGCCATCGTAGGGTTATTAATTGGCCTAATTTCAATATTGTTGTGTCTCAGAGACTAGGGATACCCAAGGAGAGGGAGAGAGATGGGGAACGGCCAGTTGGTGGAACAGTCAGAACACACACAACATTTATGGATTATGTTCTCCATCTTATATGGGTGCGGTTCATGGCACCCCAAAACAGTTACAATAGTAACATCAAAGGCCACTCATCACAGATCAACATAAAATGTATAATAATAATGAAAAAGTTTGAAATATTATGAGAATTAACAAAAGGTGACACAGAGACACGAAGTGAGCACATGCTGTTGGAAAAATGCCGCCAATAGACGTGCTTGGTGCAGCTGTGCCACAAACCTTCAGTTTGTCAGAAATACAGTATCTGAGAAGTGTAATAAAGCAAAGCACAATAAAATGAGATAGATTGTATAAAATGGCATACTCTTTGCATATAATCTACACAAATCGTCCCATACACTTTAAATCATCTCTAGGTTACTCATAATACCTAATATAAAGCAAATGCTATGTAAGTAGTTGTCATACTCTATTGTTCTTTAATTTGTATTATTTTTATTGTATTGTTATTTTTTATTTTTATATCTTCCAAATACTTTCAACCTGTGGTTGGTTGAATCTCAGATGTGAACTGACTGTATGTGTTTTGACAATTTTTTAAAAGGGCAGAGAAAAGAGAGAATTATAAAGCCTCCCCGCACCCCCCCCACACAACACAGCAGGACTTCCATTCATTGCAACGATGGTCTCAGCATTTAGAGGTTATGAATGGTATCTGGTGTCTTCTGAGAACATTTTAATATTTCCAGGATATTTTTAGATATTTTTTGTATGAACTGCGTTGTCTTGCATTCCAATATGTTAAAAAGTAGTGATTCCAAGTATGGTGTGTTACAGAGGGGCTGGCAACCAAGGTCTCTCTTCCAGCTCTTACGGGCGATATTGCCTGGTAGCAGCTTGAGGAATGCACGTTCCAGGGAGTCACCACCTTTCCACAATGCCCTTTGTTTTCCTCTCGCCCAGATCTCACTAACTGTATGCTAACGAAATGACAATATGGCACAGCTCGAGAGGATCTCAGAATTCACTCAGTCCAGGGTTTTAAAAATGTGCCCCACCACACAGAGACCACCTGCAGCAGCATCTCTGGGGACCATTAATAGTGCAGATGGCCCCTCCAGGCCTGCTGAAGGAGGCTGCCTGGGGGAGGGGCTTGGATTCACCTTTACAGGAGCTCCCTAAGCAACTCTGACACTTACTCAAGTTTGATATCTAGGTTTAATCCAATAGGTCTAATCCATCCCCTCTTTTATCAGGTGAGGAGGTGGAATCTCAGAGAGGAGGAGGGGCTCACTAAATTGTCACGCAGCAAATTGGCACAAACCTGGACTGGAACCCGGGTCTCCTATGCCTAGTTCTCCACCCTTCCAGTTTGTTTCCTCATTCCCTTCTTCACTCAAACACAGGAGCTACCACAATGTGCCACCCCTGGATAAAGCTCAGGAGTACAATTCTGAGTGAAGTAGAATTAGTCCCTGCCCTTACAGTGCTTACCATCTAACAGGTGAGGCCAACATGAATTTTTGAAATCCCCATAATGTATAACTACAGCCCATGATGTGGTCTGAGAAAGTGCAGGGCATCTCACCCTGTGCAGGTGGACAGGGCTGCCATCCACAGGGAGGTGCCCCTAGAGCTGAGATGTGGAGAGGCAGAGGCTACATGGGGACCCTTCCAACCAGAGGGGCCAGCTCTGAGGTCACAGGAAATACAGCTCCATCGAGCAACTCAGAGAAGCCTAAGGTAGCCTAGGACACTTAAGGCCCCAGGTTGAAAGGACTTGAAGGTGGTGTTCCTTGTGCACTCCTGGAATTACCTGTCCCCATCTGTCTCTAGGACAGCAATTCTGAAACCCAGCTGTGCATCAGAATCACTTTGGGAAATTTACAATCACTTCCGGAACTTTACAATCACTTCCTGCCCCAGCTGAGCATCGTGATTCAGCAGGTCTGGGGTAGATCCCAGGAATGTGTGTTTATTCTGATGTGCAACCAAGTCTGGGAACTTCTGGCCTGGGAGATATCAGAAAATTGGAAATGATTGGGGTTAAGTGGTGCACTGGCTTTGAATTCCTTCTCAGACCCTCAGTGTGCTCATTTGTCAAGTGAAAATAGGGAAGCAAACCTGTTTTATGGGCTTGCAGCAGGGTTGTACCAGATATCTGCAAAGAACCAAAATGGGGCTTGGTACCTTGGTACATGCTCAATACATAGTGACTGTAATTAAATCCAGACATCTGGTTTCTGAGAGAGCTATTTTTAGAAAGAAAAATATTTTTATCATTCTGCAAAATTTACAATGGTTTTTGGGAAATCCTACATTGCACCCCTCCCAACCTGGGGACAATTCTTATTCCTTCCACACTCCACACTCCCCACCCCCACCCCACTGAGGGCAGGAGATTTAGGGTCAAGTTTGCTTTAAATGTCTACCCTCCCCCACACCACCCCCAGCAATGCTCTATTCCCAGCTGCCCATATGGGTGAATAATCTTTTCCCTAAAAATAGAGAGCAGGCACAAGCTCCATTGAGATTGAATTTCACCTCTTGTTTTTAAGGCTGTCAATCTGGCAACCAGTACTGAGGCGAAATTATCTTTTTGAAAATCTTAAATGATGAGAGGAAGGCCTCTGGGGTATGAATTCTTGGCATTGGAACAGTTATATGGCAGAATCTCCAGATCTGAAAAATTGAGCAAGATTATTTGAACCACAACTATTTACGCTTGCAAAATCAGCGTAGACTCGTGGACTGGTTCAGCTCCAAATAGCACAACGAATGAACAGAGAGGGAGGACAGGGGCCCAGAGTTTGCTTTGAGATATTGTCAAAGTTGTTTCAGGTCTAGTGTTTAGTGCCTTCATTCTAGGAGAGAATAAAAGAGAGTATAAAATTAGAAGGGAGATGGAGAAGACACGACTGATGGGGAGAGGGGCTGAAAAGCCTAAAGAAAAAATGGGAAGTCTGAGATTGGGGTTTGCTTGTCCCTTCTCTCTGTGAGTGGCCCCAGGCTTCTCCCCTACCTAGGCTTTTGTTTCTTTTTTTCTTTTTCTTTTCTTTTTTGGCAGGGTCTCGCTCTGTCACCCAGGCTGGAGTAGCTGGGATTATAGGCGTGTACCACCACGCCCGGCTAACTTTTGTATTTTTAATAGAGACGGCATATTACTGTGTTGGCCAGGCTGGTCTCGAACTCCTGGCCTCAAGTTATCCTCCCACCGCAGCCTCCCAAAGTGCTAGGATTACAGGCATAAGCCACTGTGCCCGGCCCTGATGCTCTAGGCTTCTCTGTGTGGGACCCCTCTTCCAGGTCAGCTTCATCCCTAAGTGTAGGCTGAGTTCCTTCCTTTATTCTCTCAAATCATAATTAGCACAAGACAGTTGTGTTTAACCAACTTTATTGAAGCCTTAGGGTGATGTAAGAGAATTACAATGCAGAAGAGGAAAACTGAAACGCTTGACTGTTAGATTCCACCCAGTGCCCCTACAGACTGTCAGCCACATCCAGCCACAAGGGGCTCCCTGCTGGCTGTCTTACTTAGCTCTATCCTGCTGCCATATTGCATTGGTTCTTACCTTCCCTGAACTGGAAGCTACTTCTCCAGCTCCTTCTTATCCAACTCCAGGACTCTCCTACTGACTCTCTCATCTATTCCAGCCAGATACAGTTTACACCACAATAATCTCTGTAAGATCTTCCTGAGCCCAGGAAAATAGACTTTGACATTATAAACAGCATACTTCACATCTCAGCCTGAAACACCTGCATATAATTTGCTTCCTGGGTTCAGGCTTCCCTGAGAGCAGTAGGTAGATAGGTGCTTGCTTCTACCTGGGAGCATGACCCCCTCATGCTCCAGCCCTGATTCGAACCACAAGTGATGGTTTAGAAAGATCTGAATGAAATTGGTTATAGGCAATTTTGGAGTTACAAAGAAGAATCCTTAGAGCAAAAATAAGTTTTAGTTAAATAAACAAACCTTTAAATAGTTCATTGGTGAATTCATACTTTATCAAATTTGTTTGTTTTGCGAATAGTAGATGGATATCAGCTAATTTAATTACATAATAATTACATAATAAAATTCATCGTTTGAGATTCTTCAGATTTAAAAAAAACTTACCTGGGATTTCTTTTGGAAATAGCAGAAAAAAGAAAACAAACAAGAAAACTTGTCATTCCTTAAGGACAACTCTATGTTACATTTTCTGGACACTTTTTGCATATTACCATATTTAATTAATCAATCCAAAGTGGTAATACATATTATACTCATTTTCCAGTTGAGAAAATTAATATAGGTATACAGTGGTCAAGTAACTCATCAAAGGCTACTCAACTAGAAAGTGGCCAAACCAGGATTCCAAGTGCTCACCAATCACAGTAACTGGGACTAGGTTGTGGTCACCAGGGAATGCAATGGTGGGATAAGCCTTGAGCTGGTGTTTTGAGAGGGCACAGATAATGAATGTTTAATGGGCTCTTTGATGCCCTTGGAATAAAGTTGGTATGTATATCTAAAGGAATTAAACACTCCAGCCCTGATTCGAACCCAAACAGCATGTTCTATATGGCTCTGCGGTGAACTGGGAGCTCACTTTAAATGTATCTGGAGGAAGTCTTGACTCAAAGCAGAAAGAGCTCTGATTGGCCCAGGCTCACAAGAATGGAGGCAGCCCTGCTTGCTGGTCTTGGATGATAATCTGGTGACTGGCTCCAGGTGGTCAAGCCTATTTAAATGTCTCTCTGCAGCTCAGACTCTTGAGGAGGGCCTCATGTGGCTTTTGGAAGTGCTAATGGGATGGCAGATGTGGCTGCAGGTAATTATAATGCAGGCTCCAGCAAGGCCTTCTGCCCCTCCAGTCGCAGTAAGTCCTTCCTCTTAGTTTCACTCACATCACACCAGTGCAAAGTTCAGTCCCTTCACCAGTTTCAACCCTACAAAATTAGAAACTCAGTTGCACCAAGCATGGCCTGAGATTAGCCACTTTAGTGACTAGCAAGGGGCGATAGAGTGAAAGCCACTCCCACTACCCTCTCCTTCCCTGTCTCCTCCCCTGTTTCTCTCAGGAGTGACAGACGCCTCTCCTTGTCCTTTTCACTTCTGCAACAGTCTTTGGTACTTGGCCATGAACTTGGGGCCTTACTCTTCTTCCCAAGGGAGGATATTAAACAATTTCTTCTTCCAAAATATAATATTTTCTTCTGCAAGGGGGAGCCTGAGGAATGACATTTCTCCATCTCATTACATAACTGTGCCTGGGAGATTTAACAAGGGCCAAGGTTTTTTTGAAGCCCAGAGATTTGATTGATTTTATACAAAAACTGAGGGAGTGAGAGCAAATCCATCCACAAAAAGGTTGAGAAACATGCGCTTGGGCTGCTATTTATTTAGAACTGCTGATCAGGAGGTTATGGCTGTGAAGAGGTTTGTGCACATGGCACTCTCTGTCGGAGTGCATTTCACTCAAGTTTCATTGCAGTTTGGGATAAAGGCCTGATTTCTTAACAGGAAATCCTGGGATGCCAGAATTTTCTCTTGTTTAAACACAGAGGTCATTTGCTGATGGTTTCCTGTTTTGCCTTCATTTTTGATGATCTAGACTTTGCCAAAGAATTAGTTCTTATGTCAAAAGTCCTTGCAGACTGTCATTTATCGTTGTCTTTTAAATTCCAAGTTTTGAAGTGCTACTAGTCAGTGGTGGGACTGAGGCCACATGGGAAGTAGTTTGTCATTTCTGAGTTCCCAGTACTCTTGGTCACTGGGGATCAATAAGTATCTGTCCCATCTCTCTCGCCCGCTCCTAGCTTCCCTTCCCACCAAATCCTGACCCCAATCCTCTTTTCCTTCCAAACCAGTTAAAGACAAAGTAAAATCTACCACAACAGAAACAAAGTTCACTTCTAACATTCAAACTATTTCAAGGATTTGGAGATGATGTGAAAATGCATTTGACTCAGGAGTTGAGCAGAATGCTGAACTATTTTAACAAAGTCGGGTGCAATAGGTTCATTGCTGAAAGAACCTTTCCATCTCTGGATGGAATAATTATAACATTAGCTCATTTTGTTAAGTGATTACAATGCTTACATGGATAATTTCATTCAATCCTCTGTGATGGGATTATTCTTATCCCCATTTTACAGCTAAGGAAACAGGTTTGGAGAGAATAGGCAACTTGGCTCAAGGTTGCTCAGCTAGTATGACTTTAGGGTCAGAGTTTCTGCCCCAGGGGTCTGCTCTAGCACACACCCTTGACCGCTGAGCTGCGCTGATGCTGGAGGTTGGTGTCCAAGGTACTCGCCTTCTAGTAAAGAAAGTATAGAGGAAGCTCTTTTTTCAGTGGGGATCTCTGCATTTAAATTATTTCACTGGAAGTAGCAGGATTTTTTTTCTCTGTCTTCTGCCAAGCCTGATAGGTGCTTGAAACTACATTCTCCATCCAGCAGCCAGTCGGTTCTACCCCACACATTCCTTTTCTACCTCACGCCATTTGCAGTTGCTGTTTCCTTTGCCAGAAATGCTCTTCCCCCAGAGGTTTGCACAGCCTGCTCTGTCCATTGTCAGCTCAAATGTCTCCTTCACATAGAGGCCTTTGCTGACAATCTTCTGATTGATGATCATATTTCCCTGTTTATTTCCCTCATAAGTAATTGCCCTGTTCGTTTGATTTTCATTCATTGTTCTCCCACCAACAGGAAGGCCTTTCCCATTTCCACTGACTCATTTCAGTGTTTGGAGCAGCAACCAGTACCTAGTAGATGCTCAATAAACATTTGCTGAGTGAACAAATGAATGAATGAATGAGTGACCATAACCTCCTGATTAGCAGTTCTAAATACATTTGCATAAGTATTAATTGTTGGCCAGACTGAAAGCTCTAGGAGTATGGTATAGTGCGTTTTCAAGAGGAAACCTCTCCATGTATTTCAGCTCAGTTAGGACACACGCAGGGCTTCAGAGATCAATGCAGGTCTTTGCCACACGCGTAAGAAATAGCCCTTCCCAATGGGAGTGTAACTTTTGCATTGGAAAATGAATCCTCTCTGAGTGCCATGGCTTACACCTGTAATCCTAGCACTTTGGGAGGCCTAGGCGAGGGATTACTTGAGCCCAGGAGTTCAAGAGCAGCCTGGGCAACATGGCAAAACCCCTTCTCTGCAAAAAATATGAAACTTCACCAGGTGTAGTGAAGGTGTGGTGGTGCATGTCTGTAGTCCCAGTTTCTCAGGAGGCTGAGGTAAGAGGATCACTTGAGCCCAGAAGGTGGAGGTTGCAGTACCAGCCTGGGTGACAGAGTGAGACCCCCTCTCACAGAAAAAAAAAAAAAAAAAAAAGTTGTGTTTTTCTTAAGACATTTGCTTTGTTTTTTGTTTCTGTTTTTTTGTTTTGTTTTGTTTTGTTTTGTTTTTTGTTTTTTGAGACAGAGTCTTGTTCTGTCTCCCAGGCTGAAGTGCAGTGGTGCAATCTCAACTCACTGCAACTTCCACCTCCTGGGTTCAAGTGATTCTTGTGCCTCAGCCTCCCAAAGTGCTGGGATTACAGGTGTGAGCCACCACACCCAGCCTGTTTTGTTTTTAGAGCTGCCAATGTTTCTTAAGAAATCCTGTAAGATGTGAGGAGGTAGAGAAAAGCAAGCACATGAGACAGTCATTGTCATACTCAGACACGTCAGAACCAGGTTTGGACTTTAGGAAGCCTATCTATTTTTTTTTTTTTTTTTTTTTTTGAGATGAGATCTTCCTCTGTGGCCCAGGCTGGAGTGCAGTGATATGATCAGGGCCCACTGCAGCCTCAACCTCCCTGGCTCAACTGATCCTCCTGCCTCAGCACCCCTCAAGTAGCTGGGACCACGGTCAAGCACCACCATGCCCAGCTAATTTTTTATTTTTTGTAGAGATGGGGTCTCACTGTACTTCCCAGGCTGGAGGAAGCCCATCTTGGCAGTGGAGTGGATGATGACAGCCAGAGGTAGGTGCTTCTGGGCGCTGACAATGAGACAGAGATTATGAGGGAGGCAGGGTTGAATTTGGAGACGGAGTGTACTTGGTGTTAGGCCTGAGCCTCTGGGGCCATGAGGGGTGGAAGAGAGGTCCCCTTCAATTTGCTAATCCTGTAGATGTTTTTGGAGTGACTCCTCCTTTCCTCTTCCTCATTCTGAAGCCTGGCTCTGTTATTCCCCTGATAGCTCACCTGTGCCCAGCCGTTTCCAGCCCAAAGTTAACAGTGATCACCTCCTTTCTCGAAATGCATCAGCCTGCCTCTGCTTGCATTTTGGGACCCCTGCATCTTCACACTGATTTCCTAGTACCCTTCTGCATGGAGCCTGTCCTCTGGTCAGGCCACCTCCTCGAAGCTCACCCCAGTCTCTTTCTGTCACCGGCACAGCTGCCTCCCATTTCCCCACACCAAGCCCTACTTCTCCCATGAAGCCACCTGTGTCCCTCTCCTCATCTCGTTGCCAATCTCGCTCCATGCCTCTCAGAGCACACAGAAGTGCTCAGACAGGGATTCCCTCATGTCCTGTCTCCCAGTAGGCCCCCCTTCCTGCAGCTGAACCACACTCTGTGCCTTGCCCCCTCCGACTGGCTGTGCTGTGTCCACCCTGGAGCCCATCACCCCTCACCATCTCAGGACTTCCCTCCTGCAATTGCCCCTTTCCACTGGACCATTCCAGGCACACCAGGCAAGCTAGTATCTCTAATGTTTGGATAAACTTGTTCTTGCTGCTCACAAACCCCCTTAGTTTCTTCCCCCAAGTTCTCAGCTCCCCTTCACAGCATAATTTCTTGAAAGAATTGACTATAGTTAGTCCTCATTTCTCCTTTCCATTCTCTCCTCAGCCCAGTCCATTTGGGTTTCTGTTCCCACTTGTCCCCAAATCAGCTCCTGCCAAGATCACCGATGGTTGGCAAATCCATTTGCTACTGAAAGGTCCTCCTCTGCGACCTCTCAGTGATAGTCAACACTGCCCTTTCCTTGAAATGTCCCTGACTCCACTGCGTGGTCTCCCTGCTCCTTCACTAGATCCTCCTTCTCCATCCCATTTGCTCAATCGTCTTCTATTTGAGTTCCTAAAGGTTTATTTCCTCTTCAGGGCTCAGTTCCTGAGCTGTCATTTATCTACATGCTTTCTTGGATAATCTCATTCAATCTACGCCTTTTCTTTTTTTTTTTTCTGAGACAGAGTCTTGCTCTGTCACCCAGGCTGGAGTGCAGTGGTGTGATCTCGACTCACTGCAACCTCCACTTCCCAGGTTCAAGTGATTCTCCTGCCTCAGCCTCCCAAGTAGCTAGGACTACAGGTGCCCACCACAATGCCCAGCTAATTTTTTTTTTGTAATTTTAGTAGAGACGGGGTTTTGCCATGTTGGCCAGGCTGGTCTCGAACTCCTGACCTTGGGTGGTCTGCCAACTTTGGCCTCCCAAAGGCTGGCATTACAGGCGTGAACCATTGTGCCCAGCCAATCTATACCTTTAAATACCATCAGTTTGACAGTGACTTTCACATTTGTATCTCCAGCTCAGCTCAAATTCATGTCTATCTACTCACTTTTCCACCTTGATATCCATTAGGCATATCCAATTTAACTTGTCCAAACTGAAGTATTGATTTTCCCACCCTCCCTACACACACTTCTCCAGGCCATCCCATGTGGCACCATGGCACCATTCTCTACCCACTAACCTTCCCTCACTCCTTACACCTAAGCATTTCAGGATTCCTATTGACTCAATCTCAAAACATGTTTTCCATCTCCACTGCTAGCACCCTAATCCAGGCCCTCCCATCACTGCCCTGGACTATGGCAAAGGCTCTTCACTGGCCTCCCTGACTCCAGCTCCAGCACATCCATTCTCTAGAGACCCTCCACAGTGGTATTCACAGAATACAAAACTGATGCCACTCCTGTTTTAACTACCCAAAGGTTTCCCATTGCACGAGAAACTTTATATCCTGGCCCACAGTGCCCTATATGATTCGGACTCTGCTTGGTACCCTGATTTTCCATCATTATTGCCTGTCCTTTCTACTCCAGCCACACTCCCCTTCATTTTATTCTTCCAGTGCATCAAACTCAGTCCTGACTCAGGGCCTTGGAATTTACTTGTTCCTCTGCCTGGGATGCTTTTCCTCCACATATACTATATTAATCATGTTTTTTTATTTTCGATATTTTATAAAACTTTGACATCTGGGGGCCTTGCAGACCCAGGAGGAACTGCCCCTTGCAAGGTGAGCTAATTCCTAGAGATAGCAAGCAACTTTCCTTAAAGCATGTATTTGATATGCAAACCAACCAATCCAGAGCCCATACCTCAGAACTACCCTCTTTGTCAAATTCTCACAGACCAAGCCAATATTCCCCCTGCCCTAAATTGCCCTGGGAGTCAGGTACTGGATAACTAGGGACCACCCCTGTAGCCCAGAGCCTGCCGAAATTATTCAAATTATCTAGTCCTAAACTCTGTTAGCATACCAACCTACTTCTATTCCTTCCCACAAAAATCCCAGTCAAGGCTTCGGCCCGCACTCTCCTGAGCTCCTTGTGCTTCCTGACTGACCCTGGTGCTGCCCATGTGGCCCTGTGTGGCAGGGCCTGCCCCCTCCTTTTGGGAACACCGAGTAATAAACTCTTTTTCAACGCAATTATCTCAGTGTCAATCACCTTTCTTTGCCTGATGAAAACCAATCCCCTGTACATTTTAAAACATACGTCCATGGCCTATTGTCATGACAAGGTGCTTCCTGTCATTCAGGTCTGAGCTTAAATGCAGATTTCTCAGAGAAATCTTCCTTGTCCATCCATCTAAAGGGACCACCTGGCCACTCTCCTTCATAGCACTCAATTTCATTTTCATTATAGCATCTTCACGCATGATGCTTTATCACTTGTTTTTGTCTAGTTCACCCTCCTAGGATAGAGAAGCTGAGAGGCAGGCCCTGCTTTGAGAGGTTCACAGCCCACTGTTCTAAAGGAGGAGCTGTTCTTCTCATCTCAGAATGAGGAGTCAATCAAAAACACCCCAATCCATGTGACCAACGGTATGTGACCTTAGCCAGAATTCACTCGGCCTCAAAGCTGTGAGTTCAACATAGCCAATAAAGAGTTTTAATACAGACACATTGAAGTTAAGATTAGAACAGCTTATCTCCCAGGATAGGCTCTTATCTCTAAAGAGCTAGACAGCTCTGTATTTTAATCTCATTAGATCTGTCACATTGGATTCGTTACTTACCTTGTCCAGGTTCAGCTTATTCATCTGTAAAATGGGGTTACTAATATGAACTGCCTAACTGAATTGTGAAGATTTAATGAGACAATGCTTTTAATTCACTCGGCACAATAAATGCTGGAAAGAATGTTAGCAGTTAATAGTATTGTTGTTTTATTCCTCAAAAGAGGATGGATTATCTCTCAAATCACTGAGGTAAAGATGGAATTTTTAAGAAATAATGCTGGGATGAGTGGACCTCCATTTGGCGAAAGCAGCACAGAGGACAGTGTGCAGCATCCGGTGAGTCAGGGGGCGGTACAGCAGGAAGCAGGGGAGAGCGGACATGTCAGGAAAGGAACATCCCTGTCACCGGAAAGGAGTCCCGATCCAGACCCAAGAGAGGGCTTTTTTTTTTTTTTTTTTTGAGACAGAGTCTCTCTCTGTCGCCCAGGCTGGAGTGCTAGAACGCAGTGGCTCGATCTCAGCTCACTGCAAGCTCCGCCTCCCGGGTTCACGCCATTCTCCTGCCTCAGCCTCCCGAGTAGCTGGGATTACAGGCGCCCGCCACCACGCCTGGCTAATTTTTTGTATTTTTTAGTAGAGACAGGGTTTCACTGTGTTAGCCAGGATGGTCTCGATCTTCTGACCTCGTGATCCTCCCACCTCGGCCTCCCCAGAGTGCTGGGATTACAGGCATGAGCCACCGCACCCAGTCAAGAGAGGGATCTTGGATCTCGCACAACAAAGAACTTGAGGCAAGTCCATAAAGTGAAAGCAAGTTTATTAAGTAAAGGAATAAAAGAATGGCTACTCCATAGACAGAGCAGCCCTAAGGGCTGCTGGTTGCCCATTTTTATGGTTATTTCTTGATGATATGCTAAACAAGGGGTGGATTATTCATGTCTCCCCTTTTTAGACCATATAGGGTTACTTCCTGACATCGCCATGGCATTTGTAAACTGTCATGGAGCTGGTGGGAGTGTAGCAGTGAGGACGACCAGAGGTCACTCTCATTGCCATCTTGGTTTTGGTGGGTTTTAGCCAGCTTCTTTACTGCAACCTGTTTTATCAGCAAGGTCTTTATGACCTGGACCTTGTGCCGACCTCCTGTCTCACCCTGTGACTTAGAATGCCTTAACTGTCTGGGAAGGCAGCCCAGTAGGTCTTAGCCTTATTTTACCTAGTCCTTATTCAAGATGGAGTTGCTCTAATTCAAACGCCTCTGACACCCCAGCCACTTCAGCAGCCCTGGATGTCTCCTATCAGATTCTCCTGTGGCACCAAGCAGCCTTCGGTGCCAGGGGCAGAGCATCCCAGAGGCTCAGCTGGGTCCACTGCTGGAGGCAGGGGACACTGGAAATCCCAGCACCACTGGCCTGGCACCCACTGCCTAACAGACAAAGTTGGCTGTCAAACTCAGCTCTATTTCTAAATACAAATACTCCTCAGTTTATGACGGGGTTACATCCCAATAAATGCACCATGAGTTATAAAAATGATGAGTCAAAAATACATTTAATCCATCTAACCTACCGAACATCATGGCTTAGCCTAGTTTACCTTAAACGTTCTCAGAAAACATTTGCCTACAGTTCGGCAAAATTATCTAACACAAAGCCCTTTTTATAATAAAGCAATTTTTTCCTTTTTTTCTTTTTTTAGATGGAGTCTCACTCTGTTGCCCAGGCTGGAGTGCAGTGGCGCAATCTCAGCTCACTTCAACCTCCTCCTCCTGAGTTCAAGCAATTCTCCTCCTTCAGCCTCCTGAGTAGCTGGGATTACAGTCATGTGCCACCACGCCCAGCTAATTTTGTATTTTTAGTAGAGATGAAGTTTCACCATATGGCCAGGCTGGTCTCAAACTCCTGACCTCAAGTGATCTACCTGCCTCTGCCTTCCGAAGTGCTGGGATTACAGGCGTGAGCCACTGTGCTTGGCCTTTAATAAAATATTGAATAGCTTATGTAACTTCAACGCTGTACCGAAAGTGAAAAACAGAATGGTTGTATGGATACTCGAAGTATGATTTCTACTGAGCATGTACTGCTTTTGCACCATCATAAAGCTGAAAAATCATCTGTGGAAACATTGTAAGTCAAGGGCTGTCCCTACTGCACAATCCGCTCAGAGACCTGGGAGGGTGAGGCCGGCCAGATACAGCTTTTAAGCCACTGGTTTTCAGCATGCAGGAAACTGTTCCTTGGCACAAATTGCTGAGGAACTGATAACCATCTGTTGCCAAGGTAACCATTCTTCCAAGAAGGTCAAACAGAGAAACAACTCAGATAGTCAATAGTGATGTAATTTTGAACCCACCGGCTATCTGGCATCAAGTCAAAAAGCACAGCCAAAAGCCCGTACACATTTTTTTCTTTGCTTGCAACTTTCTTAAGAGTTCAGACATGGGAACCTTGTCCGCACCCCCGGCCTTTATAGCCAGAGGGAGCGGCAGTATTTGTCACTGTGCCTGGGAAAAAGAGGCCCTTTGTGGAGCAACTTGAGAAGGCTCCTGTGCCAGTCTCCCTCTCCCAGCCCTTGTCAATGCTGCTGCCGAGGCGAGCCCAGAGAACAGCCCGTCAACTCTTTTCAGGGCTGGGAAAGTCAGGCTTTCTGTCGCCTTGGCTGGGCTGAGGGACTTGGATCCCTGGTCTTCAGCCCAGGATTTGCAAAGAGGGATGGGAAACGTCAGACCTTTCACTGGTTGAGAACTGGGGACTTTCAGAACTGAAGAAAACCTTGACACTCTTTGGGTGCAGTCACCCTGCTCCCCCATTGATGAGAAATGGAACCTGGTGAAAGTCACACAGCTCTGGGTCCAGCAGTCTTGCTGCCAGAGGCAGAAGGTCTGAGAGAATCAAGCCTCAGGCCTGGCATCTCTATTTGCTGGACAACCCACGGCAGCATCCCCGCCTCTGTCACATGGCTCTGCTGGGTAGCACTGCCATGCCTGCTTCTGTTATCTCTCACGCTCTTCATTCCACACCTCCATCAGCTGCCTGGGAGTCTATCTGCAACACCACTAGCAGCCCAGACCTTCCCAGCCTGTCCAGTGGGGATCGGATTCCTGGAAGAGCAATGACAAACTCTTCAGGATATGACTTAAGACCTGATTGTGGAAAGAGGACAGGCTTTGAAATCAGCTAGACAAGTGCTCAAAATCTGAATCTGCAGTGGCTCATGCCTGTAATCTCAGCACTTTGGGAGGCTGAGGTGGGAGGATTGCTTGAGTCCAGGAGTTCAAGATCAGCCAGGCAACATAGTGAGAACCCCGTCTCTACCAAAGAAAAAAAAAAGAAAAGGAGCTGGGCATGGTGGTGCACACCTATGGTCCTAGCTATGTGGGAGGCTGAGTGGGGGTGGATTGCTTGAACCTAGAGGTCAAGGCTACAGTGAGCTGTGATTGGATCACTGCACTCCAGCCTGGGCAACAGAGAGAGAAAGAGAGAGAGAGAGAGAGAGAGACCCTGTCTCAAAAAAAAAAAAAAAAATCGGAATCTGTCATTTTCTTGTACTTTATACTGGTCACGTTACTTAATCTTCTGAGCTTTAATGGCCTCATTAGTAAAATGGAGATAATAATCCATACCACGGAAGGATTTAGGGATTCAATGAGAGTCTACAGAGTGCACACGGTGTTGGGTTTGGCACAGGGCGGTGCCCAGTAAGTGGCAGCTCTTCCATCTGGGATCCTCTATTTCCCCAGGCCTGTGTCTGTGGCTGCTGCAGGGCCCTTCACTTATGCCATTTGCTGTCTGCTTTACCTGGAGGTCATGGGTGTAACTTTTTCTCATTCCAAGTAAGTGCAGCTCCTCAAATGTTTCTTGAACACCAACAACGGGGTCCATGTTGAGTGCTGAGGATACAGGAGCCACTCTGCTGCAGTTTTGCCCCTCGGGCACTCAAGGCCAAATGAGAGAGAGGAGCAGTAAGTCAATCCCAGAGCAGTCACTTCACAGGATAGGACAGGTGACAGCGAGCTACAAACATCTGCCTGGGGGAGTCAGGTGAGGGCTTAGGGGGCTTCACGATTTGAGCATTGCCTAAACTGTCTCATTCCAACAGGAACCTGGGTCCTATTCCCATCCTAGGAATCTGGGGGCCTGGGTCCAGAGCAAAAGCATGGAGCCCAAGACACACAGACAGTGTCTGCGGGGAAGCCTGGATCAAGAACTCAGCGACTGTCAACTCTGGGCCAAGTCCCAAGAAATTCCCAAGAGCCCAAGGCAGGCATTCGGTGCACTTGATTTATTGAAGGGGTCCTCTCAAGCCCAGGGGAGTGAGGGAGGAAGGAGAAGGCAGGGGATGCAGTCTCAGCTGGAGCCGAGCTTCAGCCTTCCTACAGAGCTCCAGAGCAGGAACCGCAGCACCGTGTCGGCTTTACCAGAAGACAAAGGGGCCAGGCTTTTGTACCCTGTGCCAGTCAGTCATTAGCTCTGGGTTTTGGAGAAGGTGGTGGGTGTGCCTGGGTGAGCCAATTCCTGCTGGGCTGATGACAATTCTGTAGGGGAGGGCAACCCTGAGCGCCCTGAGCCCACACTCCTAGCTCCCAGAGGGTGGGTGCCCCGGCCCAGCACACTGTCCGGGTGGAGGTTTACCCCAAGGATAGTAGGCAGAGGCAGAACTTGGCGGGAACAGCCACATGGAAACTAGACATAGAAGGCTTGTTTTGTTCTTGTTGTTGTTATTTGAGACAGAGTCTCGCCCTGGCACCCAGGCTGGAGTGCAGTGGTACCATTTCGGCTCACTGCAACCTTTGCCTCTCGGGTTCAAGCGATTCTTGTGCCTCAGCCTCCCGAGTAGCTGGGATTACAGGCATTCGCCACAAGCCTGGCTAATTTTAGTATTTCTGGTAGAGACAGGGTTTTACTATGTTGGCCAGGCTGGTCTCAAACTCCTGGCTTCAAGCGATTCACCTGCCTCGGCCTCCCAAAGTGCTGGGATTACAGGTGCAAACCACTGCGCCCGGCCAGGATATAGAAGGTTTTAGAATTGCATTCTCATCTTGAATTGTCCAGCTTCCAAAACTGTGACAATTTAATTGTTGTTTAAGCCACCCAGTCTATGGGAATTTGTGACAGAGCCCAAACTGACTAAGACGACTTTCTTCCTAATGTTGGGAGACGCTTCTCCCATGGTCTCTCCCTCTCCCATACAGCTTGTCAAGCTCTGATGTCTCTTTATCTGGCCATTTCTCAAGGTTGTGTTGGAACAAGCACCTTTGGGAGATGAGACAGTGTCCCTTCCCCAGACAATGAGCAGGCTGCTGTGGGCAGTTGGTTCCCCTGGCCCTGTGTCCTCTCTTAGGTGTAGCCCACTGTGGGGGGGGGGGTGGGCTCCCGTCTAGACCTGCCTGCATCACCGCTGATGGCCTTGGAGCTCAGGGAGCCAAGGTGATCATGCTGACACTCTGGCTTCTGCTCTTGCTGTGAGTAAGGCCATCATTAGTCCCTGACTCAGGAGTCTCTCATCTCGCAGCCCCATGCACCAAGGCAGGCCAACTCATTAGCTTACAAGGAGGGACCATCTCAGCTCTTCACAGCCCTTGGCATCCAGCATTAGTCACTACCACTTCCAGCTGCCACAGCCTATGTATGTGCCACAGACACATGGGAAATTCCTCCCTCAGCCTCTTGCCGACACCCAGAATACCCACAGGTCTCTTTGTCTATCTCATTTCTTTCCTCTCCCAAACCAAGTAGTGTTTCAGGCTTCCCTTCACATCAGGTGTCTTCACAGGACCCCTTGCCCCTACCTCTGTCTGAAGTGGATCCTCCAGCAAAGCCTACAAAGCCCTTGTGACCTACACTCACTGCTCTTGGTCCCAACTCAGAGCTCTTCCCCATCGGAAACTTTCACTGGAGCAAAGTCAAATGTTTCTGCTCCCTGAAGTTGATGCCCCTTGATGCTGTTCTTTCTGCCTGGAATTATCCTTCACTGTCTTTGCCTCATTCTTCAAGACTGATTTCCAGAGACACTTCCTCCAGGAAGCCTCCCCTATGGTCTAGCTAACTCAATCGGCTTCCCTTATACCCTCATTAGGTGCCCACTGCATGTTACACACAACAGCATCAACTAGTACCATAGGTACTGGCCAACTTCCTTGCCCTTCCAATACTGTGGGCTCCCTAGAGGCAAGAACTGTGTATTACTCTCCCCACTATGTGCAATGCCTAGCTGGGGTGGTGTTCAGAAATCTTTCTTTTCCTTCCTTCCATTCTTCTCTCTCTTTTCCTTCCTTCCTTCTTTCTCTTTCCTCTTTTATCCTTCCTTCCTTCCTTCTTTCTTTCCTTCCTTCCTTCCTTCCATTTTTCAACAGGGTCTTACGCTGTGGCCCAGGCTGGAGTGCAGTGGCACAATCACAGCCCACTGCAGCCTTGACCTCCTGGGCTCAAGTGATCCTCCTGCCTCAGCCTCCTGAGTAGCTCAGACTACAGGTGTGCACCACCACACCAGGCCAGAAATATTTCTAGAAAGAAAAAGAATGAATGAATGCCCACCCTTTGCACAAATACTTCACTTACTACCACTGGCCAAAGTGATCTCATTCCTCTGAACTGCCATGGGACTTTGTGACAGTCTCTGGGGAATGTTTCATGTTTCTCATCTCCAGCCTGGCTTTGTGATCCTCACTCACAGCCCTTGAGGGTCAAGGTTGTATCTATTCCTTGTTTAGATGGATCTTATATCACTTTGGAGTTTTTCTGGCTTTCAATTTTGTAGGTGTATTATTTTAAAATCCCAGAAACCTAATCCAGGGATAGTAAGAAGAGTTATGGAGTTTGTTAAATTTTATTTAGGTTAAGGGATGAATTTCCATTCAGTGCTGAGCATATGCTAATTTGCATGTCTATTTCTAACATAATAACCAAATCAATCTCCTGGGAGAAGAGAAGGGCATTGTGTTTTTCACGTCCCTCTGTCCATTCACTGTCTCTGAGCAGGTTTCAGGAGGTAAATTCATTCAAGATTCAACAAATATTTATTGAGTGTCTAATAACATTCCTGCCCCAGGGACCTGGATGATGTCCCAGTCAATGCATCGGCAGGGAATGAAGCTTTGATTTTTCTTATGGGGCAGAAGCCTGAACAGAGCCTCCACTGCAACATCAAAGTGCAAGCTGCCAAGCAGCTGATCTGAAAAATCTGAGAACCCAAAGGGACCATGAATAAACATATGAATGGATGGATGCCTTTTGACAGCTCCACCTAGAATGCAATTTGCCCTACTCCACTTTCTCCACTCATCAGAGCACACGTCTTCCAGAATGTTCAGCAGCTCAGCTCAGAGAAGGGCTCTCTCTAGGCAGTCACGAGGGTGGAAAGTCTCCAAACAGTGGGCAGAACAGCACCCGGGCAACAGTGCTGACAATCGCCTGTAAGAAGAGAGAGCAGGGCTTCCTTTGCAAGACACCATAAATTTCTTTCCAATCTTAGTTTAGTTCCTTGGGAAAGAAAGATAACTTCTTTGCTTATTTTGTCACTTGTGTATTTGTGAGATGGAAAATAACATTATAACGGGATGAGGAGTCCAGTCATTTTTCTCTTTCTTTTTTTGAAAACAGGGTCTTGCTCTGTTGCCCAAGCGGTAGTGCAGCTGCACATCATAGCTCACTCTGCAGCCTTGAACCCTCGGGCTCAGTGATCCTCCCACCTTGGCCTCCCGAGTAGCTGGAATTACAGGGGTGAGCCACTGTGCCCAACTGTCCAGTCATTTCTCACCACACACCATTGAGAGGTTCAGTGGGTTCTGTGGTCTGAGATCCAACATCCAAACAAGTGGTAAAATTTGGAGAAAGGGAGGTCTCAGTTAGGACAGTGGTATGGTGCAGTGATTAAAAGTTTGGTTCTCAGCTGGGCGTGGTGGCTCACTCCTGTAATCCCAGCACTTTGGGAGGCCAAGGTGGGTGGAACACCTGAGGTCAGGAGTTCAAGACCAGCTTGGCCAACATGGTGAAACTCTGTCTCTACTAAAAATACAAAAAAAATTAGCCGGGCATGGTGGCACATGCCTGTAGTCCCAGCTACTCAGGAGACTGAGGCATGAGAATCACTTGAACTGGGGAGGTGGATGCAGTGAGCCAAGATTGTGCCACTGCACTCCAGCCTGGCCAAGAGCGAAACTCCATCTCAAAAAAAAAAAAAAATTTGATCTTAAAGTCAGACAGAGAAGGGCTCTAGTCCTACTGATACCACTTATGACTTGGGGTATCATAGTGGGGGAAGCTGTAGATCACCTTTGAGCTCATTTACCTCATCTGTAAGTCAGAAACAATAACCCTACCTGTCATTGTGCTTTAGCTGGTCTCAACACTCCTACCCTGTTTGATGCACCCCTCAAACAGGTGTGTGGCTTTCTCTGATGCACGCCCCTACGCCAAGGAGAGGTGTGCTGGACTTTGATCTGTGTTTGTGTCAGGCTCCTTTACTAAATAGGGAGCACATTGTGGGCCAGTACTTGGCCTCATTCATCTCTGTATGAGGGACACGTGATTTGTCCACAAGTGAGTGTTCTCTCCCTCCTCTTACCCCCAACCAGCTCAACATAATTTTCCCTTTGTCTACTCAGATTTTCCCTCTTTCCTACCCTCTAAAAAAGAGTTTAGTCTATACTGGGCAAGATAGAAAATGTCTGTGGAAACCTAGGTAGAGGGAAACAGAACCTCAACTGCAGGAGGAAAGAGAGTAAGATACAGCCAGAGAGGCTAAGTTAAGCTACAGGCGGAAAGATGACAGATCCTGGGAAAAGCAGAGAAGGAAGACAGTAGGGAAGCCAAGCAGGCCAGGCATCAGGAAGTGTTTGGAGGGAATTGGGCAAGTAGGATGTTCTGGGGCATCTGCTATCTGCTGAAAAGAGACAAAAGAGAAGCTGGAAAGGTTTGGGGGGTTATGAATTTGTTCCCCATTAATAGTCTTTAAAAGATGCAAGACGGCCGGGCATGGTGGCTCTTGCCTGTAGTCCCAGCACTTTGGGAGGCTGAGGCAGGAGGATCACTTGAGGCTAGTAATTGGAGACCAGCCTGGGCAACATAATAAGACCCCATCTCTACAAAAAAATGTAAAAATTAGGTGGCACTTACCTGTAGTCCAAGCTACTCATGAGGCTGAGGTGGGAGGATTGCTTGAGCCCAGGAAGTTGAGGCTGCAGTGAGCCGCAATTGCTCCACTGCACTCCAGCCTAGGTGACAGAGTTAGACTCCTTCAAAAAAAGAAAAACTATGCAAAAGAAAAATTATAATTTAGTTTTAATTAAGTTTAATTATTTTGGGACTGTGTGTTTTTAAATGTGTCTCCATACCTAAACTAAGCCACATGGGGCCCCAAAATGTATCTGGGTTACACCAATCTCTTCAGAGCCTCGGAGGGTATCTGACACATACCAGATATTTCAACTGGTGAGCTGAACCAACTGTCTAATGCTGGTGGCTTGGGAAATACTTAAAACCTTTTCTTGTTGTCTGAGCCACTCCCATCATCACAGCCACACTGCTGTCACAACAGAGGGAGCTACTGTACAAAGGCACAGAATTTTGGAGGGACATGCTCAATCTGATAATAGATACCTTTAGGGGTATATTTTCAGCCCTCAATAATCTCCTGGGAGCTGCCTTTCTATTACATGACAATGACCTCCCCACAGTAGGTAACCTGATGAAGGCAATCAGATTCATTCTCCTTGGAGCTTGGAATTGTGACTAATGCATTGGTCTCAGATTGGGCTGGTTAGCTTGAGCAGATACATAAACCCAGAGGCTATGAAGCAGCTGGGTTTGTCCTCACGTAGGACAAAGCAGTGAGTCTGTCTGTAGAGTGGGAGAATGAGAAGAACAGAGAAATGAGACAGGGGGCAATCAGGCCTGTATCCCTGGGTCTCTCTAAGACGGCTTTCCAATAAAGGTCCATTGTGGCTGAAGCTCATTTGAGGTAGGTTTCACTTACCTGCAACCCAAGGCAATGACATCAGTGCCTTGAGCCACAGTCCCTCAGCATTGCTGGTTGTCCTTCTGCCAGTCTTGTCCTCTTAGCCCTGGGCAGGACAGGAAGCTGTGGGAGGAAACACCTCATGCTCCTAGGGGCTTCGTAGGCAGGTGTTCCCTTCCAGGCTGCTCTAGTGTCCGCTGTCTCAACTGGGTCTTCCTAGCCTGGCAAAGAGGAGAAGAGGTTAAAGCCCTCACTGTTTCCATCTCCCTTGACACCAATGAAAAGAAAAACAAGAAAAACATCTCTTCCAAAACAGCAAGTCAGCAGAACCAGCGGAGGAGCAAGTCATCAATTTTTTTCTAGAAAACTGGCAAACACTTTTCAAGGGTGTTAAAGATAATCAGACACAAAAATAAGACTTAATTAGGCACTAGTTTTGCCCTCAAGAAAACTGAACCCAAAGATGAAAACGTGTAGGCTTTGAAGAGAGCATTCTGGAAAATCAATAAAAGAAGTCAGTGCCATCTGACTGCTAATTTTTTTTTTTTTTTTGAGACGTCTTGCTCTGTCACCCCGGCTGGAGTGCAGTGGCACAATCTCCACTCACTGCAACCTCCACCTCATGGGTCCAAGCCATTCTCCTGCCTCAGCCTCCTGAGTAGCTGGGACTACAGGCATGCACCACTGTGCTCAGCTAATTTTTGTATTTGTAGTAGAGACAGGGTTTCACCATGTTGGCTGGGCTGGGCTTGAACTCCTGACTTCAAGTGATCACCCCACCTTGGCCTCCAGAAATGTCTTCCAACAGAAATGCTGCACCCAGCCTGATTGCTAATTTTTTAGAGTGGATATTTTGTCTCACATTTCACCATGGGCTTTGGAAGATGAATTCACATGCCTTTCTCTCTTCACTGGGCATTTTAACAACATTGTAAAATCCATCAGCTAAGATTTCTCAAAGTCCCCCAAACCAATCTAGCTCCCTTTTTACCTGCCTTTGTATACTGGGGCTTGTATAAGATTTTATTTCAAAAGGGGTTCTGCAGCTACCAATGGCCTCGGAAACTCTTACGGACAGCACTCCAGAAGGAAGAAATGAGGCAATGTTCACTTCTTTTCGAGGCATTCATCACATATCTGGACCACTGCCTCCAACCCCACCCGCCAAGTTCACCATTTCCCTTGCGATGGAAGGAAAAAGCCCTGGCCCACGGGGTTGCTCTGAAAAGGTGGCCAATTCACTTTCTTTTTTTTGTTTGTTTCCTTTTTTGAGACAGAGTCTTGCTCTGTCGCCCAGGCTGGAGTGCAGTGGCACGATCTCGGCTCATTGCAACATTCGCCTCCCGGATTCAAGCGATTCTTCTGCCTCAGCCTCCGGAGTAGCTGGGATTTCAGACACTTTCTTCTTTCACTTTTACTGACAGAAACTTGTTCAGAGGAGAAAGCCCAGGTGCTCTGGCCTGAGGCTCTGACCAAAACTATCTTCGACATCACTTTAAACAGTTAAAGAAGTAGTAACTTTGAAGGTTTGGCCGGGGTGTGTGTGTGTGTGTGTGTGTGTGTGTGTTGCCAAAGATGGCAACTTCCGGATAGGTCTTTGCTTGATAAAAAGATATTAGCTGCCTTTTCAGTTGTGGAAGTTGAGGCCCAGGACACAGTTTGAATGAGGTGGCTGGGGCAAAGGAAGACAACGTCCATTTTCTGAGGAGCTATGCTGCAGAGAGGGTGAGTAGGTGGCCTGGGGACTGGGGAAGCTGGGGTTTCGGTGGGCAGGGAATAAAGGTCTTGGGAGGAAGAGGGGGCAGCACCGAGGCAGCTGGCCTGGGTCGAAGGAGAAGTGGCCGGAGACCCTCCGTGCTGTAGATGGGAGGTGAGCTCAAGGACGCGATGTCAAATACTCAAGTTCCTGAACCCCCCTCCAACACCTCCAAACCTTCAGTAATGCCTGTGGTGTGCCTGCCTGGAAAGCACACTCGAGGGAGGGCTGGAGGAATGTTCTGGAGCAAGCCAGGGGCCACAGAAACATGGAGAGGGGGCAAGAATGTGCCCAAAGATGGTCACGGAGGGGCTGGGGACAGGTTTCGGCAAGAGAGTCCCCAATTTGCCTTCTGCCCCAGAACTCCTCAGACAGAGTAGGGACAGCCCTGGACTTAACACATTTATGTGGGAAAAGAGTGAGAGTTATTTTGGGTGTTAAAACAGCTGGTGATCCCAGAAGGTGGAAGAACTTGGGGATAATTGGGACATGAAATGATCTACAGCAGTTGGTGTTCTAATCTCTCTTTCCTTATATCTCTTCTTTCCTTGCTTCCATTTTTCACATCTTGTATTTCTCTCTTCAAGGAAATGATATATTTCTTTTCAGTGCAAATCCAGTGTCTGCTCTTGATTTTGAGCTTTCTCTCTTTTGTCTCTCAAGACGTACAAAGCAGCTGCCAACTATTCCATGGTTTCCCAGCTGGAGAAGCCCTACCTTCACAGCATCCTTGAAGCAGACACCCCAAGGGAGCACCTACCTGGGGCACCCCAGGCTGGCACCAACATACAAAGTGGTCAAAAATGTGCTGTTACCCTTCAAGGGGCTGCTTAATAAATCACAGTTTTACTTCCCTCTTTGGTCCAAAAGTTTTGAGAGAGAGAGCGAGCACATGTGTATGTGTCCTTCACAGGACACCATAAGAAAGTAAAGAGACAACCCATAAGATGGGAGAAAATATTTGCAAATTACATTTCTGATAAGGCATATCTGATAAACGCTTACAACTTAATAATTTTTTTTAAAAAATGACCCAATTAAAACCGTTAGCAAAGGGTCTGAATCGACATTTCCCCAAGGTAGGTAAACATATGGCCAATAAGCACATGAAACTATGCTCAACACCATTTGCCATCAGGGACATGAAAATCAAAACCACAATGAGATACCACATCACACCTAACAGAGTGGCTAAAATTTAAAAAGACAGCAAGAACAAGTGTTGACAAAGATGCGGAAAAATATTTGGTGGTGGTGGAAAAGATTTATTTTGCTGGTAGAAACTGCTAATGGAAAAGGTTAAGCATAGAGTTAAACAATTTTTTTTTTTTTTGGCACAGGGCCTGGCTGTCACCTAGGCTGGAGCGCAGTGGCAGGATCTCAGCTCACTGCAACCTCTGCCTCCCACACTCAAGCAATCTTCCCACCTCAACCTCCCACCTCACCATTACCCTTGCAATGGAAAGAAAAAGCTTTATCAGATACACCTTATCGGATATGTAATTTGCAAATATTTTCTAGAGTAGCTATTTCTAGAGTAGCTAGGACTATAGGTGCCACCACGTCCAGCTAATTTTTGTATTTTTTTGAGAGACAGAGTCTCACTTTATTGCGCAGGCTGGTCTGGAACCCCTGAGCTCAAACAATCTACCTGCCTCAGCCTCCCAAAGCGCTGGGATTACAGGTGTGAGCCACCTCACCCAGCTAGAGTTACAATTTAACCGGACTGAAACATATGTCCACAAAAAAGCTTGTCCACAAATGTTCATAGCACGTTATTCAAAAAAACCCAAAAGTGGAAAAAACCCAAATGTCCATCGTTTCATGAATGGGTAATACATTGTGACATATCCAAACAATGGAATCTTAATTCAGCAATCCGAATGACTGAAAGACTGATATATGCTACAACATTGACAAAGCTTGAAAACATGCTAAGTGAAAGAAGCCAGACACTAAGCATCATAAATTCTGATTGCATTTGTATGAAATGTCCAGAACAGTCAAATTCATAGAGACAGAAAGTACGTCTATGGTTGCCTAGGACCGGAGGTGGGTGTGGATGGGGAAGGGACTGACTGCTGCCAGGTACCACGTTTCATCTGGGATGATGAAAATGCTCTAAAACTGATTGTGGTGATGGTTGCCCACCTCCGTGAATATTCTAAAAGCCATTAAATGATTCACTTTAAATGGGTGAATGATATGGTATATGTGTTATAAAAAAAATGTAGGCAATGTATTGTTTTCTCTAAGACTTCTAAGCACTTGGATTTTTTGTTTGTTCAAACTTTTATCATTAACTTCTAGTATTCTGTCATTGTGGTCAGAGAATGTTGCCAAAATAATTTCTTTGAAATTAATTAAGAATTTCTTTGTGGCTTAGTGTATGATCAATTTTTATTAATCTTTTTCAGTATTTGAAATGTACATATATTTAACGACTTATTGAGCACTTAAGTATGTCAGGTGCTATCCTGGATACTTCACACACATGAGCTCTGCTCTCAATTCTGTAGTGGCCACCTTCATTTCACAGTGGTGGTGCCGAGGCCCACAGGAGTTAATCCCAGTTCCAGTGAACGGGGGTCCTGGGAACTGAGCCCTAGCCTGTCTGGCTCCCAGAAGCCTGCTCACCGCACTTGGTCACAATGCCCTTTTAAATGGTTTTTGTTGATGCAAATGGCCTTTCCTTTGACAAGAGCATTGGGTCATTTCTCTCCTTATCTGGGGCTCACATTGATGTAGTTAAAAGACTATTTTGCAGGAGCATTTCCTTCCTCACATTATTGCTTCAATTCGGCAGTTAAAACTTGACTAGTGAATTTGAGACATAGAAAATGCAGAAAAAAAGCAAAGTGATTCTCAAAAGGACCTAGAAGATGTGAATAAACTGAAAGACCATGTAACTGAATGGATAAATTGAATATGGTTAGGCTAGCCAATTTCCCCCTGATTAATATATCGTACATTTAATACTCCTGTGAGATTTTAAAAACTTGTCTAAATAACTCTGAAATTCATCAGAAAGTAAAATCATAATCTGAATAGCTAGAAAGTTTTTAAAAACTAGAGTAATGGAAGGGTCTTATTCTACATAATATTAAACAGTGTCATGAAGCCATGCTAAAGATGCAGGAAGATAGAAGAGGGAATTTGATGCTTAACTCTGTGGAACAAAGTAGATACCACTGGGGGAAAAAACCCAAGTAAAAGAAGAACTAAGTGTCTGACATGTGGCATTTAATTCAGTGAAGAAAGAGAATATTGTTTAAAAAATGAGGCTGGGATGATTGGTTAGTTATTTTGGGAAACATTTTAACTCCTCACTACATAAAACTTTAAAACTTTGCAATACTAAAAACACTATTAACAAAATTTTAGGACAAACTTTAGATTGGAAAAATTTGTAACAAATATGCTATATGGTTTTGATTTATAAAGGGCTTTTACAAATCAGTGAGAAAATTGCTGACATCTCCCAATGGACAAAGGGCATACATAGGCTTTAAAAGCACTGAATGTATAAATAGCCAATAAGCCAAAAAAAGAAGGTTCAGCTTCTGCACTAATTGAAGAAGTACAAATCCAAACAAATAAAAAATAATTAACTGTTGAAAGACAAAATTTCCTATTTGCCGTTGTTCACTGTAATAGTTTTGGCAAAATCTTAGAAAAACAGCATTCTCATTGCTAATAGGGATATAAATCCATGAAAACTTCCTGGGGCCAATTTGAAAATATACCTCAAAAGACTTAAAAATATCTATTTATTGCGATCTAACAATAATAGTACTAGGAATTCTTCCTTTAAAAAATGGAAAAGGGAAAGGAAAGGAAAAGAAGCCGTGAATACCAAAATAGGGGATTAGTAAAACATGTCAGGGCACAACCATTCAATAAACTATTTTGCAGCCTTTAAAAATGATGTAGGAGGGTCAGGAGCGGTGGCTCACACCTGTAATCCTAACTCTCTGGAAGGCCAGGGTGGGAGGACTGCTTGAACCCAGAAGTTCAAGACCAGCCTAGGCAACATACTGGGACCCTATCTCTGTAATAAATAAAAAATATATCCGGGTGTGGTGACTTACGCCTCTGGTCCCAGCTACTCGGAAGGCTGAGTCAGGAGGATTACTTGAGCCCAGGAGTTGAGGAGCTGAGGCTGCAGTGATGGTCCTGCCACTGCACTCCACCCTGGGCATCAGAGTTAGACCCGCCTCAAACATCAAAAAAAAAAAGATGTAAGAGAGGAGAACTGGAAAAATGCTTCAACGTGCAAGCCTTCTCAAGTGGGTTGCCTGCAGGGCTGTGTTGGGAAGGTTTCTGAGGTTTTTTCTGGGTGGGAGCAATGTCATAATTGATGGGTTACTTTCCATCCCCGTGATAAAAAGCCACATAATGATATGTAAAGATGTTCAATTTTTGTTAATTAAAATTACATGAATATACACATTAACAAGGACAGAAAGACCCCTTGGCACACTGCAGTAAGAAGGGCACCCCTGTGACGTTCTCCCCCAAAATCCCTAACACAAGTGCCATTATGAGGAAAACATGAGACAAACCCCAACTGAGGAATATCCTACTGAAAACCTGATCAGTGCTCCGTAAAAATGCAGTGATCACAAAGAATAAGAAAAGACTGATAAACTCACAGAGTGGAGGGGACTGAGGAGACTGGATGACTGAATGCTCTGTGGAGTCCTGGATGTGATCCAGGATTGGAAAAGGACATTCATGGACAAACTGGTGAAACCCAAATAAAATCTGTAGTTTAGTTAATAGTCTTGTACCAGTGTTAACTTCTCCATTTTCACAAATGTAGCCGTGGTTTTGTAAGATGTCAACATTACAAGAAGCTGAGTAAAGGGTAATGGGAACTCTCTGTACTGTCTTTACAACATTTTGTAAACCTAAAATTATTACAAATTTTTAAAATGTTTAAATGGAGGGAATGCTAAAAATGAGTCTACAGTTAAGCAAATATTCAGTCTGGTGTAATGCTATTCAGAGTTTTTTTTTCTGATAATCAATACATAGAACATTTTATTTTTCATTGCAATGACTTTTTAAAACTTAATTTTTAAAATTTTAGATTTGGGGTAAATGTGCAGGTTTGTTACATGGATATATTGAGTGATGCTAAGGTTTGGGCTTCTATTGAACCCCTCACCCAAATAGTGAGCATAGTACCCTATATGTAGCCTTTCAACCCTTGCCCTCCCACCTCCATCTCTCTCCCCACTTTTGAAGTCCACAGTGTCTATTGTTTCCGTCTTTATGTTGGTGTGTATACCTATTGTTTAGCTCTCACTTATAAGTAGGAACATGCGGTATTTGATTTTCTGCTTCAAATCACACATTTTTTTTAAACTAGTCATATCCAATAATAAAATGCTAGTGTTAGTGCAAGGCAGTAATAGATGTTATTTTTGTTTCCTGTATTTTAAAATTTCCTTCCATATACATATATTAATAATTGTATTTAACTATTTTAAAAATCATAAAGAGAAAAAGCAACATACTCTGGTCTGGATTCAGAAAAGTCCTCCCAGGGCCAGCAGACCGCAACCCTTGTAGTCCAAGCTGGCACTGAAAAGGCAATGAGATGCACGCTGGAGAGAAATGGAGAGCTTTCCAGGAAAGCCAAGCATTGCAATGCAAAGTGCGTTCAGGCTGTGAACCACAGTGGGACAAAAAGGCCTTGAGAACTTTTGGCAAAAGTACACTCCGTGCGTGAGCAAGAAAAGCATCTCACAGAGAGAAAAGCATCTCTCTCCGTGTCCTTCGACGGCCAGGAAGATGTGCAGCCAGGAGGCAGGGAAGGTTTTCCAGGCTCAGGTGGCCTGGTGCCAGGCCCTGAAATGGGAAGAGCAGAAATGTGGTCTGGCTACTTGGTGTGAACAGGACAAATGGGAAGTGGGCAGTGTGCAGGGGCAAAGCAGGCAGAGCAGCCCCTGGCTGTCAGTTATGGCCAGGACAGGACAGTGTGGCCAGACCAGGCAACGCTGAGGTGCATTCAGGGGGGTCTCTCTACCCGTCCATCATTCTTGGAGCCCCGCTGTGTTCCCAGCACAGTGCTGAGGGTTAAGGATACTGGTGTGTCCTGCCTGATGGCACCCTGTCTACTGGGGGCAATGACATGCCCAGTCCCATAATGAAGGTAAGTACAGGGAGAATAGGTGGCAAGAGTGAGAAGCATGCCTGCCCTCGCACAGCAGCAAAAGGCTCAGAGGTGGGTGGAGAAGCAGCCAACCTGTGTAGGTCCAGCTCCACGGGCAGAGCACAGCTGGGTAAGGTTTCTCTCCCCACCTTTGGAGGTCATGGGCCCAAGGGCAAGCCTTAGCACAGCCAAGCTTATCTCCTATGATAGATCAGTCAGAGAACACAGGGATTCCATTTCCTGGCAGTCACTCAGAAACTCACAGCAAGGGGATCTGCTCAAATGCAGTGGTTTTGGCTCGATTCCCTTCCATAGTCCTAGTGAAAGTGAGGTTGGGTCATTGCTCCTTCACTTAACATTTTCATGCTTAAAACCAACATCTGCTGAGCACCTACTACGTGCTAGATGACACCAATCCCAAAGCGCCCTCTTCAGGCAAGCTAAGAAATGGACAGGGCCGACCTAAGTGGGGTCTGGGTGGAGATCTAGCTAAGGGGCAGCCTGCAGAACTTCTGGCTTGGCGAGGGCCCCAGGCAATCCAGCAGTGTGACATTTAGTATAATGTGGCCTCAGTTTCCACAGATTCACTAGTCTGTGCCTTAAAAGAAAAAAAAATATGGCAAAAGAAGCCTTTTCAGAGTCAAAAGGAAAATTCAGATAATCATTGTGCCTTCAGGAGCTGTCTCTGATTGCTATGGAATCAGCCTACGGGCAAAAACCAAATGATAGAAGATTTTAGGACGATAGTGACTATTTAAGACTTTTCAAAGAGGATTTCAAACGAGTGTGGGTGGCAGGGCACCCAGAAGTCATGAGACCTGGAGCAAGTTTTCTACCATTCGAAACCCGAGTTTCCTCTTCTCTATAATGGAGTAACCATAAGTGTACCTATTTCATGGGGCTGTTGCAAGGATGAAATAGACAATGTCTATTTCTCACTTCACGCCTGGCACATATGAGGACTCAGCAGGTGTTAGATATTAGCTGAATACTGAAACTCCATGACATGTTGATATATTAAATTCCATCATACGAACTCTGAATAATTTTACCAAATGCAAAAACGGTCATGTTCCAAGTATGCAAGCATTCTCACCTCATTAATTATACTTAGGTTATACTTTCTTGAACTTTAAAAATTCATATCACTTAGCATTTGTGTGTTTATCTGGTAGCAGACGAGAGGACCAGCCACTAGCAAAGGTGTACAAGCACTTGCTGGAAAAGTTTCTTCTGTCAGTCCATGCCTCTTTTCCTGTGACTTGGAAAACAGTGGTCAGCATTAAATCACAGAAAGACTCCTCCGGGCCTGCTTCACCAATGTTCTTTGAAAACGTAGTCTTAGAGCCAGTAGATTTGACTAAATATTTAAAAACCACTTCCTTCAATTTTAAAGAGAACCCATTAGAATGTATAATGGGGCCAAGAAAATCACCCAGCTTTCTGCCAACCTTTCCTAAAAATACAGTCCATCTGAGAATTCCCAGAACTCAAGAAAAACTGCAAATGTTCAGGCTGATGAGCTCGACAGCAAGACACGAGGTTCTGCTGCTTGAGGACCTGTTGTTTATCTTGTTGAGGGATGAGATGCTTTTGAGAGTGGAAAGGGCCCTATTAACAATGATGCTGGAACAGCAGACATACATGCAGCTTGTCCCGGGCAAACAGGGCACAATGTCTCCTCCTCCACAGGCAGCTAAGCTCCCCAGAACACTTCTGCGCTGCAGGCAGTGCGGACACACGAGTGCACATGCCTGCTGCCCACCCAGCCATGTAGTTGGTGAGGAAAGTGAGGGAGATAGACAGTGGCTCAACATGCATTAAGACAGCTCAGAGGCTGGACAGGCTGGTGTAGATCAATATCCCGCAGAGCCCTCACTTCAGCTGAAGACACGGACCCTTCAAAACAAGCACTGTATTTCCTAAAAGAAACCAGAATTTGGGAGTCAGTATCAAAGGAGGCCTCCAAAGCCTTCCTGGCGGAATTACCAAAATGATTCAATCCAGTTCATGAGCCAGTCCATAAATGGTGCTCCTGTGCCAGATGCAGTGACCAGGGCTGGGGACCCAGGAGAAGTAAGGTGCCATCTATGGAGGGGACAAAGCTTTATGCCCATATACACAGGTTAGAGTGACTGGCCTCAGACCAGAGGCAATAGACAAGCCACAGTCTTGGGGGAACCAAGGAGGGAGGGAAGGACTCCACCTGGCAAGGCCAGGGACGCTTGGCCTAGGAGAACTGAGCCTGGAGGCTGGGGTGGGGGCCAGGAAGCAGACCAGGAGCGGCGCACTGTCTGCAGAGAGAAGGGGGTACACAGCAGGCTTAGAGACAATCAGTGTGGTTTCAAGAACAAGGTTAATGCATTCAAGGGATGAGCTGAATAGGAGAGAAGAGATTAGGGGCATGTTCCAGGCCTGCCTTCAGTAACTGTGGGGACTGGAGGTGCCCGGCCCCTGGTCTATTCCCTTCTCTTCCTTCCCTGTCCCACCCTGCCACCATTTCTTAGCACAAATGGTCCATGAGCATGTATATGGACAGGTCAGCCCAATCCCTCCACACCAGCTTGCAGACAGCACCTTGCTGTCCACCCTCAGGCCTAGGGTGCATGACTTGCCGCACAGTCTTCTTTGGAGCAGATGGAGCCAGGAAGGAGGTTCTCACAGAGCTGGGAGCAGGCTCAGGGCGTTGGGACAGGTATTCCAGAATCCTGGGACCTGGCGCGTGGTCTTGAAAGGGGTGCAAAGGCTCTGATAAGTAGATCCCCTAAGCCCCAAGGACTCCTGAGAGAGGGGTACCTGGAGAGGACCAGAGCAGGGTCCCCTGAAGTATAGAGCTCAGGGCAGGACTACGATTGCCCAGGACTGAGGGTGGTTCTTACCAGAACTTCTCCAGTCCTTTTGAAAAGGTACCCCCCGCCCCACCAAGGCCCACTGGTAGGAGGGCCCCTGCCCCCATTCCTCCAAATCCTGACTGCCCTCTCCTTTGCAAGGACTCTAGCCCTGCAGCTGTTCTCAATACCCTCCAGTACAGCCCACTACCAGGGGCATGGTCACAAATGTGACCCCCAGGTCTGAGATTGGAGCCTCCTTGCTGGCCCTTGGAGAACACTCTCAATTCCGGCAGCTTCCCTCAAGCAGGTGACCATCCTCAGGGTCTCACCTAGACGTCCTGTCAAGGCTTTCAACCCTCACCTGTAAAAACCCTGATGCCCACTTCTACCCACAAGATTCTGATGCAATTAACACAGGAGAAGCCCAAGAGCAGGAATTTGTAAAAGCTTCTGGGGTCACTCTGTATTGAGGACAACCAGAGTGAAAGGTCACCCTCTCTGCCTGTAGTAAGTGTGTTTTTTTTAACATACACACACACACACACACACACACACACACGTTTTTTGTTTTAATTAAGAACTCACACACTTTCTGTTCAGAAATGGAAAGTTTTTTGGAGTTCTACAGGAAATGCTCTGTCCCCAAAGCTACACTCATACATTCTTTCTTGAGAAGAAATCTATATATCTCTCCATCCATTCATCACACACAAGGGGCTGTGCCTTGTGCCAGGTACATAGGATACAGCTGTGTGGGCGGCAAGCCACCCAGGCGCCGAGGCAAGGGACAGAGGACACGAGCTGTTCCAGTATAATAAAATCTAAAACAAGGATAGTTATACCAGATATAGATCTTAGATATGATTATATATGAATATCATTAATCATTAGTTTGTAGCAAGTACTTTTTATTCCAATATTATAATAATCCTCGCTCTATAATCATAGCCTAGGAAAAACCAGGCCATACAGAGATAGGAACTGAGGGGACATAGTGAGGTGTGACCAGAAGACAAGAGTGTGAGCCTTCTGTTATGCCCAGACGGGGCCAGCAGAAGGGCTCCTTGGTCTAGCGGTAACGCCAGTGTCTGGGAAGACGCCTGTTGCCGAGCGGACGGTGGTCTAGCAGTAGCCTCAGTGTCAAGGAAAAACACCGGCTGCTTAGCAGACCGGGAAAGGGAGTCTCCCTTTCCCCGGGGGAGTTTAGAGAAGACTCTGCTCCTCCACTTCTTGTGGAGGGCCTGACATTAGTCAGGCTCGCCCGCAGTTATCCGGAGGCCTAACCGTCTCCCTGTGATGCTGTGCTTCAGTGGTCACACTCCTAGTCCGCCTTCATGTTCCATCCTGTACAGCTGGCTCTGCCTTCTAGATAGCAGTAGTAAATTAGTGAAAGTACTAATAGTCCCTGATATGCAGAAATAATGGCATAAGCTGTCTTTCTCTCTGTCTCTTCTCCCTCTCTGCCTCGGCTGCCAGGCAGGGAAGGGCCCCCTGTCCAGTGGACAAGTGACCCACGTAACCTTACCTATCATTGGAGGTGACTCACATTCTTTACCCTGCCCCTTCTGCCTTGTATCCAATAAATAACAGTGCAGCCAGACATTCGGGGCCACTACCGGTCTCCGCACATTGGTGGTAGTGGTCCCCCGGGCCCAGCTGCCTTTTCTCTTGTCTCTTTGTCTTGTGTCTTTCTTTCTACACTCTCTCATCGCCGCAAACAGGGAGAGATCCACCGACCCTGTGGGGCTGGTCCCTACACAGCTGTGAACAGGACAGATAGTCCCAGCCCTCAGGGAGGGTCCACTGGAAATGAGGGAGACATGTTAGATGAGGAATCACTCAGTTATGTATTACACTGCAATTACAGCAAGTGTTTCAAATGGAAGACAAGGAAAACCCCTAAGTGAAGGGCATAACTGGACAACCTGCCTAACCAGGAAGGGCCTTCCTTGGAGAATCAACATCAGAGCTGATCAGCAGGACAGACAGGACTCACTGAGGGTAAGGATTGCTGAGAAGTTAGGAGGTATCAGAACATTCTAGGCATGGAGTTCTTGAGGGAGAGGAACCCAAAAGACCAATATGGCTGGAGTGTGGAGAGACAAAGAGAGAGAGGCAGGATGGGGCTGGAAAGCAGAGATCAGACTTGGGCGAGGTGAGGACTCGAGTATGTATCAGTTATCCATTGCTGTGTAACAAGTTACTGCAAACCTTATCAGCTTCATACAACGAAACTGTATTATCTCACAGTTTCTGAAGGTGCTAAGTCCAGAGCACCTTCGCTGAGTGGGTCTAACTCAGAGCCTCTCATGAGGTTGCAGTCAAGCCATCTAGGATGTCTCTACTGGGGAGGATCTGCTTCTGAGAGGGCTCCTGCACTTGGCTATTGCCTGAAGTCTTCAGTTCCTCCCTGCATGGGCCTCTCTGTTAGGCCGCCTGAATGTGCTCATGAAGTAGCAGCTGGCTTCTCCCAGAGCAAGGGATCCAGGGGAGAGGAGACCCATGAGGGAAGCTGAAGCCTTTTATAACCTAATCTTAGAGGCAGCAAACCATCCTTTCTGCCATATTTTATTGGTCAGAAGGTATCATGAAGTCCAGTCCACACTAATGGGAGAGTGTCCCATAAGAGTGAGCATAGCAAGGTGTGGAACCATTTGGGGTCATCTTGGAAGCTGAACCCACAGGGAGCACATTCCGATTTTATTTTCTTTTTTCCCCGTCTTTTTTATTTATTTACTTTTCGTTTTTCTTTCTTTTTTTTTTTGGAGATGGGGTCTCACTCCATCATCCAGGCTAGAGTGCGGTGGCATGATCTTGGCTCACTGCCACCTCCACCTCCTGGGCTCAAGCCATCCTCCCACTTCAATCTCCCAAGTGGCTGGGACTACCAGCATGTGCCACCAAACCTGGCTAATTTTTTGTATTTTTGGTAGAGATGGGATTTTGCCATGTTGCCCAGGCTGGCCTTGAACTCCTGAGCTCAAATGATCTGCCCACCTCGATATCCCAAAGGGCCAGTATTACAGGTATGAGCCACCATGCTCAGCCCCAATTTTCATTTAAAACAAAATCACATGTTCCCAAGGGAATGTTTTGGTATAATAGGAATGTTTTATGTCATGTTTGTGATAGAGGTTATGCAGCTGCATACCTTTGTCAAAACTCATCGCATTATGAATCTTCAGTGCATTCTGCTGAGTGATAGAAGTCAGACTCAAAAGGCCATATACTGTGACTTCTGTTTCTGGGAAGGTGGAGTAGATAAACTTTTCCCTATTCTTTTCACTAACTACAAATAAATGCCCTAGACATTATATACATATGTGTGTGTGTATATATATATATACACATAAAATAAACACAAGATTTATATATATAAAATATATATATTTTACATATGTATGTGTAAAATAAACACAAGATTCTGAAAGACAGAGAGAAGGTGACAGACTGGCTAGACATCTTGGGACCTGAGTGATGACACTGGGTTTTCTTTTTGTCCCTGTATATCCCAGATTTGGAGCTGAAGAGGTGGCCTTCTAGAAACACCAACCATCATAGACAAGAAGAGCCCCAAGAAAGGCCCCTCCTCTCGAAGGCAAAGCACCAGGGAAGGGGCAGCCTAGCAAGACAGAAAACTTTTAGACAATTACTGCTCTACTCCAGCAAAATTATCATAGAAAAAAACTGTGCTCTCCCCATTCATGCCAGCAAAGACCAAGTGGGGAGCTGGCAGCCAGGCTGTAAGGAGGCTCCTAACACCTGTCCAGAGGTGGTGTCAAAAAAAACCAAGTTGGGGAGCCTGCACTTCCATCCCTGTCAGTTGGAAATGAAACCCCAGCTCTCCAGTGTCAGAGGAAACCCTACAGGGGGCCTGGCCTTCCGTTCGCTCCTGGCAGTAACGGGGTGCCCCTTCCCTTCCTCACTGGGGCAGTGTCAGAGGAGGCCAAATGGAGAGTCAGAACTTTCACGGTCTCCTGGCAGTAATGAGGCCACCCCGACCTCGGAGACGAGGGAGTCAGAACTCCCACCCTGCCCCGTAACAAGGAACCTCCCCCCTTGGGTGTCAGCAGAGGCTTGGTGGGGAGCCTGAGCTGTGACCTCCACCTGGCGGTAATCAGGTGGTGCCTTCCGCCTCCCCTGCAGGAGCAGTGCCACAAAAAGCCAGCTACAACAGGAGGTTGAAATCAGAGCCAGAGTCTCATTACATCATATGAAAATGTCTCATTTTCGATTACAAAAATCACTTGGCCTATTGAAGAACCAGGAAAATGTCAAATTTGGAGAAAAAAGACAATCAATAGATGTGAACATTAAGATGACTGAGATGCTAGGATCATTAGACAAAAATTTTAAAGAAGCCCTGATAGAAATACCTCAGTGAGCAATAAAAATGAAAAACTTTTGCTCTACAAAGATCCTGTTAAGAGAATGAAAAGACAGGCTGCCAGAGTGACAGAAAATAGTTGCAAATCACATATGTGACAAAAAATGAATAACTAAAAAATACATATAAGATTAACCTGGCTATTCAAAAAAAATTTTGGAGAGAAGTGGTTCTCACTTTGTTGCCCAGGCTGGTCTTGAACTGTTGAGCTTAAGCGACCCTCCTGCTTTGGCCCCTGTATTTGTCCATTTTCACCTTTCTGATAAAGACATACCCAAGACTGGGCGATTCACAAAAGGAAGAAGTTGAATGGACTCACAGTTCCACATGGCTGGGGAGGCCTCACAATCATGGAGGAAGGTGAAAGTCACACCTCACATGGTGGCAGACAAGAGAAGAGAGAGAAGCGAAAGTAGAAACCCCTTATAAAACCATTAGATCTCATGAGACTTATTGACTACCACCAGAACAGTATGGGGGAAACTGTCCCCCCGATTCGGTCATCTCCCACTGGGTCCCTCCCACAACGCATGGGAATTATGGGAGTACAATTCAAGATGAGATTTGGGTGGGGACACAGAGCCAAACCATATAGCCCCCCAAAGTGCTGGGACTACAGGCACGAGCCACTGTGCCTGGCCTATTTTTAAACTCTCAGAGCTCAACAGTAAAAAAGAAAACAATCCAAGTAGAACATGGACAAAAGATGTCAAGAGACATTTCACCAAAGAACATACACAGATAGCACAGAAAAAGATGGGTAGCATCATAAGTCACTAAGGAAATGCAAATTACAGCCACAATGAGAGACCAACATGCACATATCAGAATGGCTAAAATAAAACATAGTGACAACACCAAATGCTTTCCAGGGTGCAGAGAGATTGGATCCCTCATGTGTTGCTGGTGGGAATGTGAAACAGTACAACCACTCTGGAAAACAGTTTGACAGTTTCTTTAAAAACTAAACATGCAACTACCATATGACCAGCAACTTTACAGGCATTTATCCCAGAGAAATGAAGACTTTGGTTTACACAGAAAACTGTATACAAATGTTTATAGCAGCTTTATTCATAGGAGCCCCAAACTGGAAACAACTCAGATGTCTTTCTATGGGTGAATGATTACACAAATTGTACTACCTCCTACCATGGGATACCACTCAGCAATAAAACGGGACTAAATATTCATGTACTCAACAACCCGGATGACTCCCCAGAGAATTATGCTGAGTGAAAAAAAGCCAGTCCTTAAAGTTTCCATACTGTATGATTCCACTTACAAAACATTCTTGAAATGATAAAATTATAGAAATGGAGAAACAAATAGTGTTTGCCAGAGGCTAAGAAGGAAATAGGAGTGAAAAGGACGCAGATGCAGTCATAAAAAGTCAACAGTGGCCGGGCGCGGTGGCTCACGGGTGTAATCCCAGCACTTTGGGAGGCCGAGGCCAGGCGATCACTTGAGTTCAGGAGTTCAAGACCAGCCTGGCCAACATGGTGAAACCCTATCTCTACTAAAATACAAAAATTAGCCAGGCTTGTTGGTGGGTGCCTGTAATCCCAGCTACTTGGGAGGCTGAGGCAGGATAATTGCTTGAACCTGGGAGGTAGAGGCTGCAGTGAGCCGAGATTGTACCACTGTACTCCAGCCTGGGTGACAGAGTGAGACTCAGTCTCAAAAAAAAAAAGGTCAACAGAGGGATCTCTGTGGTGATGGAAATCCTCTATGTCTTGACTGTATCAATGTCAATATCCTGGTTGTGATATTATCCTGTAGTTTGGTAACATGTTACCACTGATAAAACTGAATAAAGGATATAGGGGATCTCTCAGAAACATTTCTTACAATTGTGTGTGAATCTACAGTTATTTCAGAATAAAAAGGCAGCATATGTTATCACTTCACTTATATGACACTCTGGAAAAGGGAAAACTATAAGAACAGAAAATAGATCTCCATCTTCCAGGAGCTGGGGGTGGGCTGACTTGTAGTTGGCCACGAAGGGGCAGGTGGAAATTTTGGAGTGATAGAAATGTTCTACATCTTGATTGCAGTGGCAGTTACATGAGTGTGTGATTCACAGAACTCAGAACTGTTTACTAAAAAGGACGTGTTATATTGTATGTAAATTATATCTCAATATAGCTGTTTTTAAAAAAGATCACGGCCAGGGACAGTGGTTTACGCCTATAATCCCAGCACTTTGGGAGGCCGAGGCAGGTGGATTACCTGAGGTCAGGAGTTCAAGACCAGCCTGGCTAACACAGTGAAACCCTGTCTCTACTAAAAATACAAAAAATTAGCTGGGTGTGGTGGTAGGTGCCTGTAATCCTAGCTACTCGGGAGGCTGAAGCAGGAGAATCGATTGAACCTGGGAGACAGAAGTTGCAGTGAGCCAAGATCGCACCACTGCACTCCAGCCTGGGCTACAGAGCCAGACTCTCAAAAAAATTTTTTTAAATAAATAAATAATTAATTAAAAAGATCACGTGCCCAAAGCACTGACTTTCCCCATCTTTTTAGCCTCTGAACTCTTTTTCCAATGAAATCTTATATGGATTTTTAAAAATCTGTAAAACAGATAAAATTGAGACCCCTACTTAAGTTGCGTAGGGGACGTCCTGTTGATTCGCTTCCTCCACCCCAGGCAGCCCCCAGCACCCTCGGAAGAGTTGAAGCAGGGCCATCGAATCCTCTGGTTCTGTGGTTGTGGGACCTGAGGCGGCAGCTTGGGGAAAAAGGCTTCAATCCATGAATTGGGCTTCCTAATCAGCAACATGGAAACTAAAGCCAGCTCCACGCAGCAGCATGTGAGGTAAGGAATCTTCACCGTGAACTGAGAGCTTCACTGCATGGTGCAGGGGAAGGGCCGGCAGGAGCGGCTTTAGTATTCAATAACTAAGCTCCGTGAGGCACCAGCATGGTGCCACTGAACTCCATGGGAGGCAGCCCAAAGGCACTTAAATGAAAATCGGGGCCAGGCAAGGTTGCCTTGGCTGATGATGGCAGAGAAGGCCATGGGAACGAGTCCCAGGAGAGAGAGCTGCAGTCATCACACGTGGGCTGGCCCCTGCCAGCTGCAGCCCCCACACACTGCTTTCTGTCTGTCCCTTGCTCCAAAAGGACCCTGAGAATTGCTTATCTTACAATTACTTTAGAAGCAAGAAGCTCTCTTGAGGCATCTACATTTTTTAGCTTCATCCTTAAAGAGAATCTTCTAGAGAGGATTCCTGTGGGTGCTTCTAGGATTTGCTGTATCACTTTCTGAATGATCCCAGTGAATCCTGCCTCTGTGATTTACCCCAGCTTCGCAGCTGTTACCTGTGTAGTCTCCCGCTCTTGGGTGCTTCTTTCCTGAATCCATTTTAGGTGATGGAAATTTGTGAATTTGGTGTTGACAGGAGGGTTTCCGAAGAACGGACTTCCCAGAGGGCAGAGCCAGGCCACTGGATTCTAACAGCCAGGGGCTCGGGGGTGGGGGCACCCTCCTTTGCCAGACGCACAGTTCTGTTGGCTCCTTCTGTCTCTAGACATATGCTGCAGAGGAATGTGTTTGGAGACAGAAGCCGCCTGATCACCATGGTGAAGAAGACATGCTGCTTGAGCGGTACAGGGCTCATTATATATTTAGCAGTAGCAATTAGCTGGGCTGCAGTTGGCATTCAGTTGGAGCACATTACTGGCTGGAATGAGCATCCTGAAGAAGGTGCAATCCCCAGAGAAGGGCCTAGATGAGATTTTGATGAGATCCGAAGACCATCCTGTGACATAGTCCAATCTTCCTAGCCAGCCAGCTTTAGGAAGGCAGATGGTAGGGCCAGCCTGTCCTGGATCTGGAATCAGAAGTTCTGACTGTCAGGCCTTGTCACTTGGAAGCTGGTTCCCGTGTGTTAGGCACTATGCTAGGGGTGTGTGCATCTCCACGGGATCTTCCTAACAACCCCCAAAGGCAGGCATTCTTGTCCCTGTTTTACAGATGGGAACTGGGGCTCAGAGAAGGTAAGTGAATTGACCAGTCTATGGCAGAGCTGAGAAAAGAACACAGTCCGTCCTACCCTAAAGCTACCCTCTCTAATTCTCTGGTTTTTAAATCTGAAAATTAAGGATAACCAAAGGTCTCACTCTTCTTGGTACATTTAAAGAAAACTTAGGAAGAGATGCCAGAAGGTGGATGGGTCTGGCTGTAGCTACAGGAGCTGAAGGGAATGAGAGCAGGAGAGCAAGTTGGTTCCGGAGGTGAGAAGGCTCTGAGCAGTGAGAGGGTGGCGAGACTTCCCAGGCCAGGAGTGAGCAAACCCTAGGGACATGGAGGAGGAACTGGCCCTGAAGCAGATGGACAGAAGAGTGAGCCCAGAAACCAACAGGGCCCCTGGGAGCCTGGCATGTGTCTTCCATTAACAGGGGGCATTTCACAGCTGGGGAAAGAAGATTCTTCCAGCTGTGGCATTGGAAAGACAGGCTAGCTCGGAAGAATGACACAGAACTAGCAGCCCAGACTGAGGGTTTACTATGTCCCAGTCACTGTTCTTTGCTTTACAGTCTTATTGACTTCTTACTGCACAATTATGAAATACATTCCATGGTTATTCCCATTTCACAGAGGAGGAATCGAGGACACAGAGAATATTAGCCACTCGCCTAATGTCACGCAGTTTGTATTCACACCCGGTTGTCTTTGGATTCCCAAGACCACTGTTAGGAAATATGGCCAGAGCCCTGTCTGCCTTCCAACATCAGATCAGAGTAAATTCCCAAAGGAAATAATATTTTAATATAAGGAATAAAACCATGGAAGTTTCAGAGAAAACATGGCTGAATATTTTTATAACCTTCAAGAGGGAGAGGCCTTTCCAGCGTCACAGGAAAGCTAGAAACCATAAAGGAAAAGATTGATAAATTTGGCTACAAAAAATTTTAAAACTTCTCTGTTAACATTAGAACATCATAAACAAAGGCAAGACATGTAACCACAACCTGAGAAAACATACTTACATTATATATTACAAAATCCTAATATCCTAAATAAGTGAAAAGTTTCTACAAATCAATGAGAAAATAATGAACAAGCCAAGAGTGAAAAGGACATAAACAGGCATTTTGTAGAACAGGAGACACAATATGAGAATTAAGAAATTCAAACTAAGGCCAGGTGTGGTGGCTCACGCCTGTAACCCCAACACTTTGGGAGGCCAAGGCAAGCGGATCACCTGAGGTTGAGAGTTCGAGACCAGCCTGACCAACTTGGAGAAACCTCGTCTCCACTAAAAATACAAAATTAGCTGGATGTAGTGGAGGGCGCCTGTAATTCCAGCTACTCGGGAGGCTGAGGCAGGAGAATCACTTGAACCCAGGAGGTGGAGGTTGTGGTGAGCCGAGATTGTGCCATTGCACTCCAGCCTGGGCAACAAGAGTGAAACGTGAAACTCTGTCTCAAAAAAACAAACAAACAAACAAACAAAAATTCAAACTTAAATAAGGACATCAGTTTCATCTATAAGAATTACAGGCTGGGCGCAGTGGCTCACGCCTGTAATCCCAGCACTTTGGGAGGCCGAGGCGGGCGGATCACAAGGTCAGGAGATCAAGACCATCCTGGCTAACATGGTGAAACCCCGTCTCCACTAAAAAATACAAAAAAATTAGCCAGGCATGGTGGTGGGTGCCTGTAGTCCCAGCTACTCGGGAGACTGAGGCAGGAGAATGACGTGAACCCAGGAGGCAGAGCTTGCAGTGAGCCGAGATCACGCCACTGCACTCCAGCCTGGGTGACAGAGCAAGACTCCATCTCAAAAAAAAAAAAAAAAAAATTACAAAGATGTTTTTCAATGACTGATACCTGATGTCAATGAGGGTGTGGGCATCATGTCTGCCCATGTAAAACTAACACACAACTTAGCACTATCCTGAAATATGCCTATCCTTCCATGTGGGAGTCCCACTTCTGGGAATGTATACTGCAAAATTCTCAGACGAGTTCATTAAGATATATGTGCAAGGATTTTTTTCTACTCAACTTGTTTATAAAAGGGAAAACCCAGAAATAATAAAAAGTCAATCAACAAGTTATACACCCAAAAAACAGAATGATGAGTAATTTGTGAACTGACATTGAGAATGGACAAGAGGTATTGTTAAGTTAAAAAGGAAGCAAATTGCAGAAGAGTATGTCCAGTGAGCACCCAAATTTGTTGGTCATACTAAATTAATAACATTTTTGGCTCACGCCTGTAATCCCAGCACTTTGGGAGGCTGAGGCGGGTGGATCATGAGGTCAGGAGATCCAGACCATCCTGGCTAACAAGGTGAAACCCCGTCTCTACTAAAAATACAAAAAATTAGCCGGGCGCGGTGGCGGGCGCCTGTAGTCCCAGCTACTCGGGAGGCTGAGGCAGGAGAATGGCGTGAACCCGGGAAGCGGAGCTTGCAGTGAGCCGAGATTGCGCCACTGCAGTCCGCAGTCCGGCCTGGGCGACAGAGCGAGACTCCGTCTCAAAAAAAAAAAAAAAAAAAAATTAATAACATTTTAAGATAATATATACATAGGAAGTAATCAAAGCAACCATTTCTGGTGATTAGGTTGGGGTATTTGAGGGACTTTCACGTTCTTTGTTTATTTGTTTGTTTGTTGGTTTGAGATGGAGTTTTGCTCTTGTTGCTCAGGCTGGAGTGCAATGGCTTGATCTCAGCTCACTGCAACCTCTGCCTCCCGGGTTCAAGCGATTCTCCTGCCTCAACCTCCCGAGTAGCTGGGATTACAGGCGCCTGCCACCATGCCCAGCTAATTTTTGTATTTTTAATAGAGACGGGGTTTCACCATGTTGGCCAGGCTGGTTTCGAACTCCTGACCTCAGGTGATCCACCCACCTCAGCCTCCCAAAGTGCTGGAATTACAGATGTGAGCCATCGCGCCCGGTCTGGGATTTTCACATTCTATGTAATTCAACTCTGCATGTTCAAAATATTTTGAACCCGGAATTACAGTTGTAATCATAAATAATAATAAATATATAAATGACCATGGGTTATTAACATCCCACTGGTGCCTCTGCACAACCCTTGGGAGACAAGCCATTGCCTCTTAAGTGGGACAAAATCTTTTGATAATAATATTTCAGTTCAAAATAGTAAGTAATTAAGACATTTTAAAAAATCTAAAATACTGCCATTAATCAAATAATTCATTTTACAACAATGAAACTACATTTTTGAAACAGTGAGATTGTTTTTCTTTGCTGAATTATTTGGAACTCAACAAACGAATGTTCTCTAAGCAGGGTGTTTAACAGCACATAGTCAAGCTTTTCTTTCCCCCCAGCAAGTTCTGTCTTCCAAACTGCAGTCATTCAGCTGGTTTGCAAAGAGAAGAAGATCAACTTGAGGTTCAAGCCAGGACTTGGAGGCGGTAACGACTGTGAGGTGCGGGCCCTAAAACCACCCCATACCTGAATAAGACACACTAATTATGATATTCCAATGTGGTGGTTGTGGGGGGGCAGTCTGAGAGGCAACTATGCAAATAAGATACCCAAATATTGGTTTCATAACCCTTAAACTCCTCATCAGAATCAGGAGTGAAAAGGCTGATGGCAAGGACAGGTAGGGCTTTTGAAAAGGACTTTCAGCAGCGCTCTCTGTGTGCTGAGTCCCTCCCACTGGGTGCTTGGAAGCCTACTCTGCGTCTCAAGGCTTTGGAAGAGGGGCTTTAATGGGAGGGCTCAGAGTCTCCCTCTGTCTCCGCTGCCACCCACCGCAGTAGCAAAGCAGAAGAAAGCTCTGTGACCCTGGGTTGGATCAAAGGAACAGCAGAAATGAAGAACAGCTGCCAGATGCAGAGAGGAGAACAAAACTTGGCAAAGAAACTAATTTAGAGAAGAGTTGATACTAAAAAACCTCCAGGAATTCAGATAAATCTTGCCACAGCTCTGTACTTCTACAACCAATGGGAAAATGTTTGAATCAATCTTATCTAACTCTGAAAAGGTCCTGAGACCCTGGTTGATATCTAGGTTATACCGTATTAGTTAAAAACACCACATCTTTGCAATGAGGAGCTGCCTGGCATAGCTCTCCGTGAGGCACCGAGATGATGCCACTTTCTCATAAACACACAGGTGTCAGACCCTCTCCCACTGGCTGCTGGGGGAGATGGGGCAGATGGAAACTTGGCTGAGACTGTAAGGAACCCGTGGAGTCAGGGTTGTTAGAGAAACCTTCACAACTCCTCTTTTGGAGGCCACCAAAATCCACAGAGGTCCAAGAACCAAAGATTAAGCTCTTTAGTTGCAGAAAGTCTAAACCAGTCATGAAAACTAGGCCCCAACCCAGATATCTGAAGGCAAAATATGGAATCAGGGGTCTTTAAGCCTCCTGGGAACACTGTGGAACAGCCACTTGTGTGTGCACCCAGTGATGAAGGACTGGTCTTGTACAGTCAAGCAATGATGAATGAATTATCTATTCAAGCCAAGAAACTAAGTCATAATCATTAATACTGTAAGACTAACTCCTGGCTCATCCACATGGGCCATTAGCAGTCCCAAGTACATACAGTGAGAAACACCATCCTTCTAGATAAAGACTAGGGAAGGAGATAACTCAGCAGTTTTCTGCCATAATGGGGATCTGAATAATACAAATATTTGACATTTGTAGATGGTGTGCAATGATCTCAATCCTCTTATCTAAGCCTTGCTGGAGACAGCACTTGTAACATCTACATGATTTTTCATCTTCTCTCCCTTCCTCTACTTTGGTGAATATGTTCACCAATAGAACTGTCTGAGAAAAGGGGATGAAAGGAGGGCAGAAAAATAGCCATCCATAAACAGGATGACCAGTTTCCATGTTACCAAAAGCCATCCATCCTGTGTAGTGTCAAGATCCTTGTAAGCCACTGCTATGTTTTAAGCAGGCAATGTTGATATCAGACCCAGCAGTGATGAAGCTCTTGTTCTTAAATTCCACATGCAAAAGAGGCACACAATTCTTTTGTATTTATATTTATATATGTTACATTTATTTAATGTTTCCATTATCAGACTCTTAAAAGTAATGAAAAACTATTAAATCTATTAAATATCAATTTACCAGCTGTAGCGAGGAATAGCCACCACTGACATGGCCTAGACAGTGTGTGACCTTTTGGAACACTCAGATTGCTTTCCCAAGTGCCCGCAAGTGGGAGGAGAAAGGAAACGTGCTATACAGATGCTGCTTCCTCCCTGGTCTACCTCCTCACTCTATGGTTTGAAATCAAATGTTCTGTGTCTTGAGATGAAATTCAATGGGTAGGTCAGAGCTGGCTGGTTCATAGCAGCAGCTTGACTTGGCAGCAAATTGAACCTGTTTGGAATGTGGAGAGGTAAAGTTTACAAAATGGGTATACTCAGAGTGTATTACTTATTTGATTTCACTGTCTGGTTTGATTCCTTACATCCTCCCTATGATAGGCAGAAAGTGGTACTATTATCCCAATTGTACAGAAAGTGTTACTGAAGCTTATGAAGGTTACAGAATAGTTCAAATTCAGAACCATGCTTTAAACCCAAGTAACTGCAAGGCCAGTGCTCTTTCTATGCCCTCTCTTCCTCATTTCCTCTTGTCCCAAAAGGGGGCTAAATGTGGCCCCTGTCAGATACTGTACCTCTTTTCTTTCCTGCTACCCTGATCTCTTATTTACTGATGAATTATTTATTCTCTGAGCATTTTCTCCCCAATATATTTAAAAACAAAATTTTTAATTGTGGTAAAATATACATAACATAAAATTTACCGTCTTTTTTTTTTTTTTTTTTTTTTTTGAGATGAAGTCTTACTCTGTTGCCCGGACTGAAGTGCAATGGTGTGAGCTCAGCTCACTACAACCTCCACCTCCCAGGTTCAAGCAATTCTCATGCCTCAGCCTTTCGAGTAGCTGAGATTACAGGCATGTGTCCCCATGCCTGGCTAATTTTTGTATTTTTAGTAGAGATGGGGGTTTCACTATGTTGGCCAGGCTAGTCTTGAACTCCTAGCCTCAAGTGATCCTCCCGCCTCAGCCTTCCAAAGTGTGGGATTACGGGCATGAGCCACCGTGCCTGGCCAAAATTTACCATCTTAACCACTTTTAAGTATACAGCCTAGTGATATTAGGTGCATTTACATTGTTGTGCAGCAGTATACACTATTTGTCTTAGTCCATTTTGCATTGTTGTAAAGGAATACCTGAGGCTGGGCAATATGGTTCTGCCAGGCTTTACAGGAAGCATAGCAGCAGCATCTGCTTCTGGTGAGGGCCTCCGGAAGCTTCCACTCATGGCAGAAAGGGAATAAGAGATGGCATCATGTGACAAGAGAGGAGGAAAGACAGGGAGGAGGGAGGTGCCAGACTCTTTAACAACCAGATCTTGAGGGAACTGAGAGTGAGAGTTCACTCAATCCCTCAAGAATGGCACCACTTTGGGAGGCCAAGATGGGCGGATGATGGCCCCCATGACCCAAACACCTCGCTTTAATCCCCACTTCTAAGGGATCAAATTTCAACATGAGATTTGCAGGGGAATAATATCCAAACTATATTGCTATTCTTAATTCCTTAATAGATTTTAAATAAAACAAGAAAGAAATTCTGGGCTTTAGAGCTTGTCATCTCTCCTGTTTACAAAACAAATGGAAATAATAATTTTTAATAGTCACAAGGCACAAATTCCTTGTGTAAATTGCCCTGGTGGACAGCTCCAGTCACCTCTTGACTGAGCCCTTTCCTTGAGGCCCCACTGCCACAGTCCACCTGGCTGAACTCAGCCCTGCTGGGTTCAGTCTCTACAACCTCGTGTTGGATATGTTGGTCCCTGGACCAAAATCTTTAATGGTTCTTCATATTCTGCAGAAGAAAGTCTGTACTCCTGAGGTTAGTTCTCGTGAATCTTCCTACAGTGACTCCAGTGTTGTGACATTGTTTCACTCGCTCCCATCCATTCCCAAGCCCCTTCACATTTGTTACTTTCCTTTATAAAGACAAATCTAAGAACTCACTTTCACAGTCTCTTGCAGCTATGAATAACTTCAAGAAAAACTTTTATGTTCCTAATAACAAGAATGAAAGCAACCCAGGCCACCTCTACATCTTTCTTCTTGTCTTGAGTGAGTATGTGATGCCGGGAACTATGCAGCCATTTTGTGACTGTGAAGCAGAAAGCATGAAGGATACACAGGGTTTTGATGACATTGTAGGAGAGCTAGAGAGCACCTCCAATCCTCCTTTTAGCTATTAATGAGTTCTTTACCTGGATCTAGAAACCATATTGACATCAGGCATATTAACAAGAGAAAAGTATACAAAGTTTATTAGTTTTACTACATGTCTATGGGGACTTCACAAGAGAGTGAAGCCTGAAGAACTGGCCAAAGCCAGATGCTTTTATACTTTTTAGAAAAAGAGCAATAAATTTTAGAAGAAATGACAGAACAAAGAAAATGTGGCCAGGGCAGCAAAATTGTCTAGGGAAGTCACTAGTAGATATATGTGAGGGAGTATACAATAGGTGGAAGATAAAGGTTGCTTTGTTAGGTATGTTTATTCAGGTTCATCGTAGCATTCAATTCCAAGTCTCTGGTGATAAGGGCTATTTCCTCTCCCTGGTATGGAGAGGGTACTCCTCCCAGAGGAATCTTTATAGCTTGCTACATGCAGGAAGAGATAGGTCAGCTTGTCCTTTCTGAAACTACAATTTCTCAATGTTTTCAACTCAAAATAATCAATATGCCAATTGAGCGTATTTGGGGATGGCATGTCCTTCACTCCTTTCACATCAAATCCCTGCCCCCACCCTGCACTGCCTACCTCCAACCTTCTTAAGTGAGAAAAATCATCCTTTATTTGCGTAAGCCTTTATTAGTTTTCTGACTGATTTCACTAACCAATACATATATTCTTTCTCTAAAAATACAAATAAAGAAACAAACAGAATTACTATTTTGGAAAATGATTGAGTCAAGGAGTATCACTGGCTCCTGAAACCATTTGGCAAAAGTTGATGGCAGAATTTTATAATAGAGGATCAGGCTGGCAACACCTGAACCCCCAGTCAAACTGCATATCACAAAAGAGCAACAATTAGACAATTATACGCACCTGGCATGTACAATTGTGAGTATACAATACTAATTACATAGAGTTTTTGCCAAAAAATTGAACTGGAATCTGATCAAGATCCTAAACTGAATTACCAAATTACAGAAAATACGAGGGAACCAGGAACAAGTTACAGGATACCATCAGAAAAATCCAGAATGTGAGAAGTTCTCTAGAGCATATCATGATTCTTCAATAGATAATGTTGACAAGGGAAATAAAAAGAGGGAACCTTTTGATTGGAAGAATTAGGAGACATATCAATCAAATGCAGTGTGCCAACCCTGTCTGTGTAGTACCTGTTTAAGACAAATCTACAATTAAAAAATCTTATCAGAACAATCTGGGGGAATTTGAACACCAACTGGATATTTGAGGTTATTGAGGAGTTACTGTTAATTTTTAGCTATAACAAGAGTATTGTGTTTTTTTTTTTAAAAAAAGAACTGAGTCCTTGAGATACTGCAGTAGAATCCCAATTAATAAAGACAGAAGGATTGACAGAAATAGAAAATTACCATGTGGCAAACACCATAATAATAGTTGCTGCAGGCAACAATCATTAGTAGATTCTAAATTCTAAATTCAGTGAATAAAAATAAAAAGAAATGGGATATGTACATGGTCTCATAATATCTTCCCACAATTGCAAAGAAAAATAATTTTACAGAGAAATCTACAGTCACTACTTGTATTAGCATCCTATTGCTGTGGTATCAAATTACCAGAAGAATCTTAGTGGCTTAAAACAACACAAATGTAGTGTCTTGCAGTTCTGGAGGTCAAAAGCCAAAAATGAGTCTCTCTGGACTAAAAGCAAGGTGTCAGCCAGGCTGCATTCCTTGTGGAATACCCAGGGAGAATCTGGTTCCTACCTTTTGCGGCTTTTAGAGGCTGACCGCATTCCTTGGCTTATGGCCCCGCATCACTTTGACCTCTGCTTCCATCATCACACCTCCTTCTCTGACTCAGACTCACCTGCCTCCCTTTTCTCTTATAAGAACTCTCCTGAATATGTTGGGGCTGCCTGGATAATCCAGGATAATCTCCCAATTTTAGTCTGTTTGGGCTACTATAGCAAAGTCCTACAGGCTGGGTGGCTTATCAACCACAGAAATTTCTTTCTCACACTTCTGGAGGCTGGAAGTCCAAGATCCAGGTGCTGGCAGACTCAGTGTCTGGTGAGGGCCTGCTTCTTGGTTCACAGGCAGCTCTCCTCTGGCTGTGTTCTTACATGGTGGAGTGGCAAGAGAGCTCTCTGGGGTCTCTTTTATAAGAGCACCAATCCCATTTACAAGAGTTCTGTCCTCATGACCTAATAACATTCCAAAGCCTCCACCTCCTAATACCATCACACTGAGGGTTAAGATTTCAACAGATGAATTTGCCAGGGGGAGGAGGGGGGAGGGACACGAACATTGCCTATATCACTCCCCATTTCAAGATCTTTAACTTAATCACGTCTGCAGGATCCCTTTTGCCATGTAAAGTAGCATATTCACAGGTTCTGGGGATAAGGATATGGACATCTTTGGGGATATTATTCTGCCTACCATACCACTCTAACCAACTGATCAGCATTCACATTGGTAGTAATGAGACATAGTGATACCTTGTGCCTGCTGATATGCTGCCCTGAGAAGGGCACAACATTATTTCTGTAGTATTCTTGCCAAAAATGCATAACCTCAATCTAATAATGAGGGAACATCAGACAAATCCAGATTGAGGGAGATTCTACAAAATAACTGGCCATACTCTTCAAATGGGCCTAGTCATGGAAGACAAGAAAAGACTGAGGAACTGTACCAGCTTTCAGGAGACTAAAGACAAATGACAACTAAATGCAACTAAATGCAGAATCCTAAAATGGATCCCAGAATTGAAAAGAACATCCGTTGGACAGTTGGTGACATCTGAATAAGGTGTATAGAGTAGTTAATAGTATTATAAGAATGTTAATTTTCTGTTTTTCATTAATGTACTATGGTTACATAAGATGTTGACATCTTGGGTAGCTGGGTAAAAGTTACACAGAAAATTGTCACACTACTTTTGCAACTTTTTCAAAGGCTAAGTTTACTTCAAAATGAAAATTTAAATTTGTTAATTAAAAATGATAAACCTACCAAAATATTTTTTAAATGAAATGATACACTAACTTAGATTTGCTTTAAAATAATCCAGTAAAAAGAGGAGGAAGTATATGAGGTTAAAGACAAAATTTAATGGGCCATGTGTTGGTCATTGATGAACATGACTAATAAGCACATGGGTTCATTATATTATTCTCTCTATTTTGAACATGTTTGAGCTTTTCCCCTATAAAAATTAAATAAAAACAAGAAGTTATTATTATTGCATAAAATAAATAAATTGAATCACCAGCTTAAAATAGTTCCACAAACAATCTACCTGGTTTACTAGCCAGGTAAAGAAACATATAATCTTACAGAAATGATTTAAGAGTACAAAAGATAGTACACACTCTATTCATTTTTATGAAATCAATATAAATCAGACACCAAAACCTGAAAAATAACGAGAAAGTAAATTACGGCCAATCCCACTATGAAATTATCAGTAGATGCAAAAATTCTGAACCAAGTTTAGAAAGGTAAGTCCAGTAATATTTTAAAACATTAATACATAATGATTAAGTTGGGATCAATCCAAGAAATGCAAAGTTCATTTAACTTTAGAAAAATCAATTAAGGTAATTCACATTAACAAATTAGAGGAAAAAACTATGTTATCGTTTTAATAGATGCAGAAAAACACATTTATTAAGTTTCAACATTTACTCATGATTAAAACTCATAGTATTCCAGACTGAAGAAAACTAGTGATATGACAACCAAATGCAATAGATGATGTTAGATTGGATCTTAGGATCAGGAGAAAATTACTATCAAGGACATTATTGGGGAAATTGACAAAAGTGGAAAATGGACTATAGATAACAGTATTATATCAGTGTTAAGTTTCTTGATTTTGTTGACTACATTGTGGTTAGTAAAGAGAATATCCTTGCTCTTGGGAAATACAGACTGAAGTATTTAGGGGCAAAGGAGCATAATGTCTACAATTTACTGTCAAATTATTTTAGAACAATAATGATGTCTGTGTAGATATCTAGACAGAGAGATGCAAATGTAGTAAAATGTTACCAGTTGGTGAATCTCAGGGAAGGATATACCAAAGTTCTTTGTATTATTTATTCAATAATTCTCCTGTATATTTGAAATTGTTTAGGAATAAAAAATTTTAAAAGAGTCTGCATCTATGGTTGTATTAGTCCATTCTCACGCTGCTATGAAGAAATACCAAGACTGGGTAATTTATAAAGAAAAGAGGTTTAATTGACTCAAAATTCTGCATGGCTGGGGAGGCCTTAGGAAAGTTACTTTTTTTTTTTTTTTTTTTGAGATGGCAGTTTCGCTCTGTTGCCTAGGCTGGAGTGCAGTGGTGCAATTCGACTCACTGCAGCCTCCACCTCCTGGGTTCAAACGATTCTCCTGCCTCAGCCTCCTCAGTAGCTGGGACTGCAGGCATGTACTACCACACGTGGCTAATCTTTTTTTGTATTTTTAGTAGAGATGGAGTTTCACCATGCTGGCCAGGCTGGTCTCAAGCTCCTGACCTCAAGTTATCCGCCTGCCTCGGCCTCCCAAAGTGCTGGGATTACAGGCATGAGCCACTGGCCCAGCCAGGAAACTTACAATCATGGCGGAAGGCACCTCTTCAAAGGGTGGCAAGAGAGAGAATGAAAGACGAGCAAAGGGGGAAGCCCCTTTTAAAACCATCACATCTCGTGAGAACTCACTCACTATCACAAGAACAGCATGGGGGTAGCCGCCCCCATAATTCAGTTACCTCCCACTGGGTCCCTCCCAAAACATGTGGGAATTATGGGAACTACAAGATGAGATGTAGGTGGGGACACAGCCCAAACCACATCAGTGGTAGATGCCAAGGACACATGAATTAATTCTAAAATAGATCAAAAAACTTTTAGTAACTAGAATTAGAAGAAAACCTCTTCGACTTGATAAGGTGTCTGAAAAAACAAAAAAACTACAGCAAAGTACAGTAGGGACATCTGCCACTTATCTGACAGCCATATGCCCCCTATTTCATTTTCCAATCATTGTACCTTTCTTTCCCTCTTTGCCTCACTGCACTGGCTAGAACTTCCAGTTGCAATGTTGAATAGAAGTAGGGAATAGAAAGCACTCTTGTCTTCTTTCTGATATTAAAGGGAATTATTTTTATCATTTCATCATTATGTATAATTTTTGCTTAATTTTATATTTGCAGATATCCTTTATCAGGTAAAGAAGATTCCCTTTTATTCCTAGTTTACCTATTAAAAATACCCAAAGCACTATATTTATTAAAATGAACAAGAGTATTTAGCAAGGTCACTGTATGCAAAACAGGAAAAAAATGGTATTTCTACATACCTACAACAATTTTAAAAATGTAAATTTAAATATAGCATTTACAATAGCATCAAAATATGTAAATATCTAGCAATAAATATAATCAAAGATGTGCAAGATTTGTAGAGTGACAATTATAAACATTTGTTGAAACTACTGAAGATCTAAATAAGTTGAGGCACATGCCTTATGTATTAGAACAGTACATAACTTTTGGTCTCAGTATCCATTTATACTCTAATAAATCAGAAGACCCCAAATAAATTTTATTTACATGGGTTAAATCTATCTGTATTTACCATATTACAAATTAAAATTGAGAATTTAAAGAAATGCATTAATTCATTTATTATAAAAATAACAACGAACCTATTATATGCTAACATGAATAACATTACTATTAAAAGTAACTATTTTCAGCCTGGCACGGTGGCTCACGCCTGTGTTCCCAGTGCTTTGGGAGGCCAAGGTGGGCAGATCACCTGAGGTCAGGAGTTCGAGACCAGTCTGGCCAACATGGCAAAACCCTGTCTCTACTAAAAATAAAAAAAATTAGCCAGGCATAGTGGTACACACCTGTAATCCCAGCTACTTGGGAGGCTGAGGGAGGAGAATCACTTGAACTCGGGAGGCAGAGGTTGCAGTGAGCCAAGATCGCACCATTGCACTCCAGCCTGGGCAACAAGAGTGAAACTCCATCTCAGGAAAAAAAAAAAAACTATCTTCAAAAAAAAAAAGGTAAGAAACTGCACTGCATCTGGCAGAAAGCAGAAGGCCCCTGAGAAGGATTAGGCCCTCTCATCCCAACCTTGCCAACTAAGCCTCATCCTCACTTCTGGCTGGCCAAGTCAGCTTCCGACAGGATCAAGCTTACTTCCCGTGGGTTAGGCCCACTTCTGGCAGGTCAGGCCTCTTTCTGGAGAATCACCTCATTTCCGGAATACAGTATAGTGCTGGCTTCTGATGGATTAGGCTCACTTTTGGTAGATCAGGCCTCTTTCGGGAGAATCACCTCATTTCCGGAATACAGTATAGTGCTGGCTTCTGAGGGATTAGGCTCACTTTTGGCAGATCAGGCCCACTGCCGGCAGATCAGGACCGCTTCCTGGCTTCCCAAGGGTGAGGTAGGCCTCAGGCCGCCCAGGCTTGGGTCTCTGACACTTCCATGGCCAGTGGGGAGGGGTAAACTTGTGAGGTTTTTGATGTCTCCCACTGTGGCCAGCAGAAGAGGTGGGGGAGAGACGAAGGCTCGTATTCTTGTCCAGATTGCTGGGGTCGCGGGGAAGGGCCAGCCCAAAGCACACCGATATTGTCTCCATTTGGCTAGAGCCGTTAGAGGAGGCAGTGGTAAGGGTTGTGGCTGGGCTTTTCAGTTCTGGCTGGTACAGCTATTGCTGGCATGCTACTGTACTGTGATCGTGCAACTTCTGTGTCTACTAATGTGTACTCTCATGTAGGAACCCTATGTGCTGACCACCGTTGGATGAGATTTAGAATTCTCATTTAATCATCTCATCAACTTTAAGGGTTGCAGGTGTTGTTAAAACCATTCTACAGGTCAAGAAATTGAGATGTAGAAAAGTTGGTTACCTTACCCAAAACCTCATAACTGGTTACATGGCAGAGCTGTTCTCAGCTTTTCTTTAAGCCTCTGGGGTCACAACTTGCAGCTGCTGTCATAAAATGGAGCAGTCAATTTTTTTTGTTTTTTTCAGCTGCAGAACTCCTCTCTCTCAGGAGGGAAACCAATTCCAAACCCAGCCTCATCAGGAGAGAAAAATTTTTTTTTTTAAATATCTGAGAGCACATATAAATGGTAACGGTACTTAGGAACCTGTACTGATAATCAAAAAAATTGCATATTCTGTGGCCCAGCCATTGTACTAGGAATACATCCTGAGGAAGTCCTCAGAGACGTTGAGTACACATTTGTTCACACAGATGCACACTGGAGCATTACAATATAAATGAAAAAGTGAAAACCATCCTCAAGTCTAATAATAAAGGGCTGATTTAATTATACATGTGGTTTAAATATATATCCCTAGTATAATCATTGCTAAGATATACTGAGTGCTTACCATATGCCACTCATTGATTTAAGAGCTATACATATATTAACTCATTTAGCCTATGTGATCGATTAGAGTGCGATTGAATAGGAATATTTAAGGCTTGAGAAAATGTTTACGCTCTATCATAATGAAAAAAGTGTATTACAAAACTATTTTTTAAAACTGTGTAGATGCAAAAAGTCAGTAGTTAGAATTAAAATATGAAATTGCTGTTTTTATTTTCTTTTTTGCCATGTGGAGAATTTTCTGGATTTTCCACACTAATCATTTATTACTTAAAAAAAAAAAGATTTAAAGATAAAAGCATAGTCAGGGTATTAGGCCATGCCTGAGAGCCTGATGCCCAAGTGAGTCCAGCTAGTGCTATGGCCACAGGGAGCCACTGACCCCTGGGGCTAACCATGAGAGTCCTTGGCAAAGTGAGGAGACCCAACTGGGACCTCTCTCTACCGTGGGCCCTGCCCACTGCCTTATTTGCTCAGAAGCTCTGCTGCTGTGAAGACCTGGTTCCAGGGTCTGGGTCACCAGAGAGGGCTCCAGTCATTCTGGCCAGCACTAAAACCAGTCACAGAGGTTGACGCTTTCAGGACTAAGATCAAAGGTCTGAATCCAGCTTTCCGAGGCATTCACTGTCTGGCTCCTCCTGACTTCTTGGCCCCAGTTTTCCACTCTCCACAGCCCTTCACTTCAGAAAGGCCATTTCCTCCTAACTTTCCCCGTACCCATGATGCATCCTTCTCCGCATTTTCCAAACTTTCTCATCCTCTACTCCAAAAATATCTTTTTTGTTGTTCCAAGCATACGGATGAGGCTGACAAAACTGGTGATAGTATTGATGGAACTGCTATAAACGCCAGGGTAATAGCAATAACAATAACTACCATTTATTGAGCACTTACCTCATGCTGTTTAAATACATTGATCCCATTTAATCTATATAGCTCATCTGTGGGCAGATACTAGTGTCCATCTTTACAGATAAAAGATCTAAGGATCAAAGAGGTAAAGTAAAATTTCCAAGGTCCCCTCATCAATAAATGGTGGAAACAGCTGGGCACAGTGGCTCACGCCTGTAATCCCAGCACTTTGGGAGGCCAAAGCAGGTGGATCACCTGAGGTCAGGAGTTCGAGACCAGCCTGGCCAACATGGCGAAACCCTGTCTCTACTAAAAATACAAAAATTAGCCGGGCGTGGTGGCAGGCGCTTGTAATCCCAGCTACTCGGGAGGCTGAGGCAGGAGAATTGCTTCAACCTGGGAGGCAGAGGTTGCAGTGAGCCAAGATCGCGCCACTGCACTCCAGCCTGGGTGACAAGAGCAAAACTCTGTCTCAAAAAAAAAAAGATGGAAACAAACTTCAAACCCAAGTCTGCCTGTGCAGCTCACAAAGCACTTTCCTATTCATGACCTCCCCAGATCGGCGAGGATGGCTGCGCAGGTGTGATCAGCCCTCATTCTAGCTGAAGACCCTGAGTCTGGTTGCTGGTAAATGGTAGTGGGGGAGGGAGTCTATTATAAGAATCCAGGTCTCCGGAATTCTAAGATGCAGAAGACATTCATTATGCTCACAGACTTATCATGGCTGTCTTAATGTGAATTCAGGCCAATCCGGGATTCAGAATTTTATCTACTCCCTTAAGTGCAATTGTGAATTCATCAGTGCCCAGGAAAGGCACTGATGGAAAATGTCACACTGTGAATGGAATGTCAGATATGTGTATGTAAGTGTGTGATATATGCGAATATCTAAAACAGTCTCATGAAGAAGTATCTGCCAAGAAGCTGGGCATAAAGAAATTTAAGATTAAATTTAAGGAGGAATATACAGTTTTGCTTCTTTTTCTAAAAATACAAACAAGTAAAACCCACTCAGGTTCGATGAATGGGGAATAGAAGTCTCCCCATTGTAAAGGAGTGACCTTTGACCCCAATTGTAGGGAACTTAAACTACATCCCTGAGGAGTCCTGTGTTCTAGAGTGGATGTGATGATAAGCCAGTGAACAGTGATTATTCATAAGTCTGAATGGATTGTCTTCCCATGCTACAGTTCTGGACCATGGCTGATCTATTTCTTGCTTACAGAACACTCATGAGCCATGAATTCGTTGTGTTGGACTCCCAAGGCAGGCCCAGCCCTGCGGTTCACCTCTTCCCTACATGTCTGTACAAACATATTTGGTTCATTGTTTACTTAGACTTGGCAACTTCCTGTCAATGTCCCAGGAGAAGCATAAAGCAGACCAGAAGTGGAATGAGTTAGTTAGTTTGTTTGTTTGTTTGTTTGCTTTTGAGATGGAGTCTCACTCTGTTGCCCAGGCTAGAGTGCAGTGGTGCAATCTCGGCTCACTACAACCTCTGCCTTCTGGGTTCAAGCGATTCTCCTGCCTCAGGCTCCCAAGTAGCTGGGATTACAGGAGCATGCCACCATGCCCAGCTAATTTTTGTATTTTTAGTAGAGATGGGGTTTCATCATATTGACCAGGTTGGTCTTGAACTCCTGACCTCAAGTGATCCACCCACCTTGGCCTCCCAAAGTGGTAGGATTACAGGCGTGAGCCACCAATTGTAGTACAATTTGAAGTCAGGTAGTGTGATGCCTCCAGGTTTGTTCTTTCTGCTTAGTATTACTTTGGCTATGTGGGCTCTTTTTTGGTGCCATATGCATTTTAGGATTTTTTTTCTAGTTCTGTGAATAATGATGATGGTATTTTGATGGAATTGCATTTAATCTGTAGATTTCTTTGGGCAGTACGGTCATTTTCACAATGTTGATTCTTCCCATCATGAGCATGGAATGTGTTTACCTTTGTTTGTGTCATCTATGATTTCTTTCAGCAGTGTTTTTGTTTTCCTCATAGAGATCTTATATCTCCTTGGAATTGAACCATAGTTTTAAATGCACTTTTTAAGTTTGATAGTTAAGGAAATAGTGTTGTGAATTATTTTAAAGTAATGACTCTTCCAAACTAATTAGCACCTAAATATTTTTATAACAGTTTTATTGAGATATCACATGCTTTACAATTCAATTTTAAGTGTGCAATTCAATGGTTTTTAGTACATTTACAGAATTGTGTGACCGTCACCACAATCAATTTTAGTAAATTTTTATAATCCCCCAAAGAAACTTTGTATTCATTAGCTATCACTCCCCAATCTCCTCACGCCACCTCCCAGTCCTAGGCAACCACTAATCTTTCCATCTTCATAGATTTGTCTGTTCTGGACATTTCCTATATATGGAATCATAGAATATGTGGTCTTTTGTGACTGGCTTCTTTCATTTTGCAAAATGTTTTTCAGTTTCATCCATGTTGTGGCATGTATGAGTGCTTCATTCCTTTTTATGACAAATAAGATGCCATTGTATTGACATGTTACATTTTGTTTAGCCATCAGTTGATGGACACTAGGTTCTTTCCACCTTTACGCTATTATGAATAATGCAGATACAAACATTCACAGGCAAGTTTATGTGTAAACACATGCTTTCAGTTCTCTTGGGTATACACCTAGGAATGTGTTAAAATAGTTAATTGGGAGGCTATTAGGCTGAGACAGCTCCAGCACATTGGGTTCCTATGTAAGCAAACCAAAACCCAATTTGATGTAAACAGTAAATGAAACTAAAGCTTAACCAATCAGAAGCCACCAACTAACCTCTAACTAAGGACTTTCCACCTTAACCAATCAAGTATTTTCATTGTCTTGCTTCCACAAACACCTTATAAAAGTTTCTTCTTGCACGCCTTCACTGAACTGCTGTGGTCTGGTACTGATGAATTCATGAATCACTGAATGCTCAAATAAACTCATTAAAAATTTTCATGTGCCTCAGTATTTATTTATTTAGACAGGGTTTCACTCAGTCACCCAAGATGGAGTATAGTGGCATGATCTCAGCTCACTGCAGCCTCTGCCTCCCAGGCTCAAGCAGTCCTCCCACCTCAGCCTCCTGGGTGGGAGGAGTACCTGGTACCACAGGTGCGTGCCACCATGTCTGGTTAATTTTTGTATTTTTGTAGAGACAGGGTTTTGCTATGTCACCCAGACTGGTCTCGAACTCTTGAACTCAAGCAATCCTCCTGCCTTAGCCTCCCAAAGTACTGGGATTACAGGCATGAGCCACCGTGCCCCAGCCCTCAGTTTGTTTTTAACAAGTGGAATTGCCGGGTCAAATGATAACCCTGTGTTTACTTTTTGAAGGAACTGCCAGACTGTTTTCCAAAGTAGATCCACCATTCTACATTCCCACCAGCAGCGTGTGGAACTTTTGCTTCCTCCACATTCTCACTAACACTTGTTATCTGCTTTTTTGAGGAAAGCCATCATAGTGGATGATATGGTTTGGCTGTGTCCCCACCCACATCTCATCTTGAATTCTCATGTGTTGTGGGAGGGACCTGGTGGGAGGTAATTGAGTCATGGGGGCAGGACTTTCCCATGCTGTTCTAGTGATAGCAAATAAGTCTCACAAGATCTGATGGTATTATAAGGGGGAGTTTCCCTGCCCAATCTCTCTCTTTGCCTGCCGCCATCCACCTAAGATGTTACTTGCTCCTCCTTGCCTTCTGCCATGATTGTGAGGCCTCCCCAGTCATGTGGACTGTAAGCCATTAAACCTCTTTCTTTTGTAAATTGTCCAGTCTCAGGTATGTCTTTATCAGCAGCATGAAAATGGACTAATACAGTGGATGTAAAATAGTATCTCATTGTGGTTTTTATTAGCATTTCTTTGACGGTTGTGCTGAACCTCTTTTCATGTGGTTGTATATTTGGACAAATGTCTATTGAGATTCTTTGCCCACTTTTTAATTGAGTTTGTCTTATTGTTGAGTTTTAAGAGTTCTATATATTCTAGAATACAAGTCCCTTAACAAATATATGATTTGCAAATATTTTCTTCCATTGTGTGTGTTGTCTTTCACTTTCTGAATAGTGTCCTCTGTAGCACAGAATTTTTAATGTTGATGAATTTCTATTTATTTTTTTCTTTTGTTGTTCATACTTTTGATGTCATATCTCACAAACCATTGCCAAATTCAAGGTAATGAAGATTCACCCCTGTGTTTTCTTCTAAGAGTTTTTTATCTCTCAAATTTAGGTATTTGATCCATTTTTAGTAAATTAGGAGTCCAAGTTCATTCTTCTGCATGTGGATATCTAGTCCCAGCACCATTTGTTGAAAAGACTCTTCTTTCTCTGATTGAATTATTTTGGCACTTTTGTTGGACATCAGTTGACTGTAAATGTAAGAATTTCTGGATGCTTGGTTCTATTCTACTGATCTATATGTCTATCTTAATGCCAGTACCACACTGTCTTGATTACTGTAGATTTATAGGTTTTGAAATCAGAAGTTTGAGTCCTCCAATTTTGTTCTTCTTTTTCTGTATCATTTTGGCTATTCTAGGTCTTTTGAGTTTCTATGTGAATATTAGAATTAATTTGCCCATTTTTGCAAAGAAGCCAGCTGGGGGGCAGGGGGTGGTTGTGTGTGCTGATAGGGATTCTGTTAAATCTGTAGATCAGTTTGGGGAGTATTGCCATCTTAACAATATTCGGTCTTCTGATCCATGAACATGAGATGTCTGTCCATCTTTTTACATTGTCTAACATTTTTCAACAGTGTTTTGTAGTTTATAGAGTATAAGTTTTGTACTTCTTTTATTAACTTCCTAAGTATTTTATTCTTTTTTATTATATTAATAAATGGAATTGTTTTCTTAATTTCATTTTTGGATTGTTCGTTGCCAGTGTATAGAAATACAATTGATTTGGCTGGGCGCGGTGGCTCACACTTGTAATCCCAACACTTTGGGGGGCTGAGGCAGGTGGATCACCTGAGGTCAGGAGTTCAAGACCAGCCTGACCAACATGGTGAAACCCTGTCTCTACTAAAAATACAAAAATTAGCCGGGTGTGGTGGCGGGTGCCTGTAGACCCAGCTACATGGGAGGCTGAGACAGGAGAATGGCGTGAACCCGGGAGGCGGAGCTTGCAGTGAGCGGAGATCATGCCACTGTACTCCAGCCTGGGTGACAGAGCAAGGATTCGTCTCAAAAATAAAAATAAAAAGAAATACAATTGATTTGTATATAAATTGTCATTGTATACTGCAATTTTGCCCAACTTGGTTACTAGTTCTAATAGTTTTTTCATGGATTCCTTAGGATTTTCTATATATAAGATCATATCATCTGCAAATACAGTTTTTCTTCATCTTTTACTATCTGGATGCCTTTTATTTCATTTTCTTATACCCTAAATCTTAAAAAATAAATCTTAATGTTCATTTTTTGTTTGCTTAAAGCAAAGTTCAGTATCAATTATATCTCAATAAAGCTGTTTTTAAGGAAACATTTAAACTTCCCTTAAAACCATCACATTTGTGTGCGGGGGAAGGTGGGAGGGAAGCTGTTAATATGTTGGCCCATTTCCTTCTAAGCTTTTTTTTTCTAGGTATATTTGGATGCTTAGCCATAAATATAATTGGACTCATATTGTATAGATATTTTAGTCCTGTTCTCAGGAACTCAATGCACAGTCAAGCCGTTCTCAGGATTAAGAGGCTTTATGAACATTAAAAACAAAATCTTAGCCTTATTGAATGACGGTGTCCTGGAACAGGAGGCGGTGGAGAGACTGAGTGCAGCTACACACAGAGCACCCCTACTCCTGCGGGGTAGGGGGGTTGTCCCATGGCCTCGGGGACAGCACAGCACCCAAGTCCCTGCATCTCTCTCGTAGGAGAAAATGAAGGTCACACAGGCCGCCTGGATTTCATGGGCTCTTTTAAATGTCTAAATACCTCTAAATGTCTGGTTTTTCTGCTATTCTTTAATCCTTAGATAAGGGTTCAGAGCCTGTGCTTCCAAGATGACTTTGGGACCAGGGTGTATGAGGAGGTAGGAAGGCGTGGCCCCTGCACGAGGCCTGGCTGGGAAACGCCGCTGTGATCACATCGTTCATCACTCACTGCTGACCACCTGACAGTTTTCCAGGACCAAGCCTCCTGCACTGTGTGATTCTGGGAACATCTCCTCTGGCTCACAAGGTCTGAAAAGCAAACCAGTCAGCTATGGTATGGAAAACAGTTTTTACTGCCAGAGTTCTTCCCAGCAGGTTCTTATGTGACTTGTTTGTGCTTCAGCTTGGCCCTAATCAGTTCATGTTCTGGGCAAAGGCACTCGCTAAATATTATTTCAGCAGATGTAACATTTACATTTTCCAATGTCAATAAGAAGGCCTCAAAAGCAGGATTTTTTGTAGGGGCAAAATATTACATTGTCTGATTAGATCATAATAGATTTAACCAGTTCCTCCAAAAAGAGACTGGAATCTCTTTGATGGCCACAAGCACTGAGTTCTTAATGTACTTCCTTGGATAAGGCTGTGTGTCACCAGCAATGGTGGCCAGCACTAAAGCTATCCTCCATCTTTCCAACAAGGACAATTCACAGACAAGCCCCATCACTTAAAGACATGGCCAGGGCTTCCCAGGGTGAGGTCTGGCCCTCAATTCTGGTTCTTCTATAAAATTCACAAAGCCTGATAGTGTTTGGCCACAGAAAAAGAGAGAGTTTTCCCAGTGGGACATGTTAGGGTTGAACACTTTAAAGAGAGCAATTTACTTCTAATATCAATTCTGAAGGAAAGCAGTAAGGAAATTCCTGTCAGACCTAGGCTGTTTGTATTTACAGGAACCTACGCGATCGCCAGGCGACCCACACAAATCCATCCAGGTGCCAGGGTGTGAGTCAACACTGGTAACTCAACAGGGACAGAAGGGCAGACACAGGCCTGGAAATCGCTCCATGTGCCTAACAAATTCCCCACAGCCTCATGGCATTTCTTGTAGGTTTCATGGCATCTGGAGAGACCCTCTGGGGCTTCTGCCCACCATTTTTGCCTGGCTGTTACCTCTGTGGGCCATGTCTGCAGAGAACTGTGCTTGTCATCCTCCCAGCCTCGGAACACTATCATCACTGACAGGGCACGTGACCCCTCTTCTGGCTTTTTTTTTTTGCTTAAGATTCCTTTTGCTCCCATACCCATCTCCTCACCAGTATGTTTGAGATGTATCCCTGGATGTGTACCTGGCTGTCTGGTGTCACTGTGTGTATATTTTATATTTGCATTTTACTCGGCTTTAGTCCTGGCTCATTCTACTTCTTACTTGCTGCTGCTGCTGCTGCTGTGTGTGTGTGTGTGTGTGTGTGTGTGTGTGTGTGTGTGTATAGTTTGTGACTCCTCAGGCCTCTGCCCATTTTATGTCAAGAACATCAAAACCACATATGAAAATCACTTGAGCAGTTTTGTCTGGCACTGACTTGCTGAGATCCCAAGACCTAGGGCAGTGTTATCCATGTTCTTCCCAAGGGGCCAGTCATGTCAAATGTGTTGTCCTCTGGTTTATTTTGAACGGATTCCTTCTCCTACCCACTAAGACTGGCACGTATTTAAAATCAGGCACATGAGGACTCCCCCTATGGATACCACAAGAACCTTGGGTGGGGGCTGAGGTTACACAGCCCTGAAAAGGTCCTCCAGTGGTCCAGATCCGGGGTCCCAGGTCAGGGCAGCTCCCCACATCTGGCAGGAAAGTTGCACGCCACCTGGGCAGCTCTGCAGCCTCAGCCACAGCACTCACTCCTGAGCCTCCCCTCTGCATCTGGCGGGGCAGTGCCAAGGAGAAGGGCTCCAGGCCACCCCCGCCCTCCCCACTGGGCCTGCGCAGGCCCCACAGTATGCAACAGCTGACCTCTCCTCAGAGGCCATGCCGAAGGGAAGGCTGGCTCTCTCCAGTCCTCAGGAGACAGATGACAGCCTCAGGCCACCACCCCTTTTCGAGTCTCCACAACACAAGGCATCCGTTCTGCCTCTTTTTGCCATGACAGGGCATCAGCCTTAAAACCACAAGGCCATCTTCATTCCTACTTTTGGCTATAAGTGGGGCTGGAACAGGGGTCAAGACCTTGAACAGGAAAGTCTGGCTCTTTTCCTGGAAGAAGGAAAATACCTTTCATTTTTCCCTAATAAACCACAAACCCACTCTTCTGCCCCCACCCAACAAGGATTACCAGAAGCACTTAAACAAAGACCCCTGAACTAAACAACCAAAATTTCACAGTCGCTCACCCAGCAACCTGCCACACTAACATTTACTGAGCTTATACTGCATCCTACATGCTCTGCTAGGCGCTTGGTAGATATAATCTCATTTTATCTTCACCACAATGCCATGAGGTAGAGACAATCATCCGTGTTCTCCAAATAAGAAATTTGACTCTTAAAAAAACAAGTTAGGGAACTTTCTCAGGATCGAGTGAGAACTGGCACCTACCTGATGCACATGGTTGAGATTCATATAAATTATCTGGGCGGAATAGACTTTTAGAACCTGATGCCCTATTAGAAAGTCGCATCTACCTGCAAAGTCTTCCTCTCAGTAAGCAAGTATGGCCTCACTGGATTATTCCAGCATGCATTGCCTGCCCCTCCCAGGGGATGTGCTCAAAACCTGGCTCTAGGAATTCATCCTGTGGTTGTCTTGTCCTGTGCTGGCCTCACTGCCTTCCTCAGACTGCACAGACCCAAGCTCTTTCAGAAAATGTTGTCAGGTTGGCCACGCAGAAATTCATATCCTTCTTCTCCCTCCTCTCACTTTGAGAGATTGTTGCTTTTTAGCGATAGAAACTTCTAGTAAAGGGAAGGCCCTAGCAGTGGACATTCAGCAGTGGATAGCCACAGACTGTCCCCCACCCCTGCACTTGAGAGGCTCCCAGGTGCTGCTGAGGTCTCCTGCAGGCCAGGTTTGATGACTTTGACTCTCTGCGGGTCTCACTTCTTTTGAGGACAAACTAGCTAGTGACTGTTCCGGGCCATCTGTGGCCATGGAAGCCAGAGCATCACGCATCTGCTGCATCTTTCCATCTACGGAAAATTAATTCCAAAAAACAGACTTTTTTTTTTTTAAGACCGAGTCTCACTCTATCACCCAGGCTGGAATGCAGTGGCACAATCCTGGCTCACTGCAACCTCCGCCTCCTGGGTTCAAGAGATTCTCGTGCCTCAACCTCCTGGGTAGCTGGGATTACAGGTGCGTGCCACCACGCCAGGCTAATTTTTGTATTTTTAGTAGAGACAGGGTTTCACCATGTTGGCAAGGCTGGTCTCAAACTCCTGACCTCAGTGATCCTCTCGCCTTGGCCTCCCAAAGTGCTGGGATTACAGGCCTGAGCCACCGTGCCCAGCCTGAAAAAAAAAAAACGGACTCTTTATGAATCCATTTGTAAAGGCATAACGTTGGTACATTTCTTTGCCACAGGGATGCCAATGACTAGGCCAGCCACCTTGAACATGGGAAAAGTGTTTCACATCAATGGCACGAGAGATCTTTGAGCAGTAGGTGGGGAAGACACCATTTCAATCTGATAAGTAGAGAAACTGTGGCAAAGAGAGGAGGGAAAACTTGCTTTTCTCATCAGAGCTGGAGAGCAGAACCTGGTCTCACGATTTTTTCCCCAGATGAGGTTTGTCCACCTGGTACTGCAAAGACCTGCACCAAGTTCATGACCCTCAAAACGTCTTTTACTTCTTAAAATCCAAAAACGTTGATCTAGCCCCAGGAGTTTACTGCCTCTGCAGCTGCTGAAGCCAGGGCTCCCCTGTGGGAAGGGCCTGATGCTGGGGCTGCACTGCCTCCTGGTGCCCACTGGGAGTTATGTCCCCAGCTCTCCCACCTGATAGGGGAGTCGGGGCCCATACTTGGCTTCTTCTGCCTCATCTTCCTCACATACACACTCCTCTAAATGGACAGAAGGCGACAGGGCACAGGGAGGGGCCTCAAAGGCCTCCACTCACACCCCCATTCCCATAACCAGACCACCTACCAGACAGTGTTGACATATTTTTATTAATTTATTTATATTTTTTGAGAGATAGGGTCTTGCCCAGGCTGGAGTTGAATTGCTGGGCTCAAGCCATCCGCCTGTCCCAGCCTCCTGAGTAGCTGGGACCAACAGGCTGTCCATGTGGTCAAAATAAGCATGGTGAGCCCAGTGTGTGCAGTCACAACCCATGGAGGTCCTTCCATGAGTGTCTGTCAAACCCAAGCCGACACTGCCTTTCTCCAGAGAGGTCCCACATCCATCAAGGACATGATGAGGTCACTGGGGACTCTTAATCCAGTGCTCCACTTCCAATGGCCAGGCTGATGTTCTGAGGACAGGCCTGTATCTTCCCCCTCTGTAGCCATCAGGGAGTTGATGCCGTCTGTGGTCCTTGACCACTATCCAAAATGGGAACCCCTAGGGTGATCTGTCATCCCCTGTGCTTCTCCCTGGCCCAGTCCCACCCCTCCCCAGCATTCCCATCTGTGCCCTGCACTCTGCCCCGCACCCCATCCCACAGTCAGCAAACTCCAGACTGAAGGGCTCTCCCACCTTCTCCTCTCTCCAGCTCTTCTCATGCCCTGGCCTCCCTGTGATGTTCAGGCCCTGGTGAGAGTAAGTGAGAAGCTGGAGAAGGGACTGACCCGCATGCAGGCTGGCCAGGGCCAGAACAACATGTATAGGGGCTGTCAGCCCTGCAAGATGAGCGCCACCACCACCCACCTATCCAATTCAAAAGAAAAACCAGCTTAAACTCTACACAGGTGCAATGAAGGTCAACAAATCCTGGTTTCCCATAAGTGATTTGATGTCTTTTTCTAAAACAGTATCAAACTTCAAGCTTTTTGCCTCCCAAAGCTTTAGCAACCTAAGCGGCATCTGATGTGCCTGTTGGGCAATGCACACATCTGAGGAGGTGGGAGGTGAGGCCAAGCGTGGGGACCTGGGGCCTGGTGCCCTGAGGTGAGGACAGGAGTGGGTGAGGACCAGTGGTGGGAGAGGAGAGTGAGCTTGTGCTTTCAGAGGGACAGGGCACAGGCAGGGGCTGCAGTGAAGCAGGAGAAGTTCCTGGAGATGAGGGGACCACGTTGGCCTGACTCCTGCCCCCACCTGCTAAGGAGGAGAGAGGGGTCTCTGGGAAGCTACCAGAGTCTCCCTCTTGTTGTGCTGACCTGGGCAGGGAACAGACAGGATGGGATTCTAGAATAGTCCCGTCACTCCCTGACTTGGGGAAGCTTGGGACCAGCACCCTAAGGCCCAGACCAGGCCCAGGCCAAAGAAAGCACAGGGAGAAGAATGAGGAAGTTGATGAGTAACCTATGGTGTTCCCAGGGATGTGAGGGGGTGTGAGGGTGCAGCCCCTCCAGGCCCAGGCGCCTGCTGGCTGCTCAGAGGGACGCTGTGCCTCACTGGTCCTGCTGGGTTTGCGATGGGCTCAAATCCTGTGCCTTCCATTTGCATGACTCCAGTTAAGTCATTCAATTGCCCCTGGCCTAAAAGAGGTGAATGGGAGGTAGAGGAGTAAACGCAATGGGTTTTCACTATTTTTTAAATTATGGGAAACAATATATTATATAAAATTTGCCATGTAACCAATGTTTAACTTACAATTCAGTAGCAGGCATGACATCTCCCCAAACAGAAATTCTGTACCTATTAAGCAATAACTTTCTATTTTCCTCTCCCTCCAGCCCCAGGTAAGCCATAACCTACTTTCTGTCCCTGTGAATGTGCCTATTCTAGATATTTCATTGTGAACTCATGCAGTATTTGTCCTTTCGTGTCTGGCTTCTTTCACTTTTAGTTAAGTTTTTCCCAGTTCACCCACCTGGCAGCACGCATCAGACTCACATTTTTTAAGGCTAAAGAGCATTCCATAGCAGGGAATACCACGTTTGGCTTACCATTCAGCCTGTTAACGTTTGTTCGCGGGCCCTGGGGAACAGTGCCGTACTGCCCCTCCATCCGCTGGGTCCTTGCCTTACTCTTCGGGGACTGCGGGCCACGGGGAGATTCTATGCTTAACCCCTGGGGGAAGCACACTCTGTGGGTGCTTTCTTCATGCTGGGGTGTAACGTTCTGTTTCAGGCGTCTGTTGCTTTTGTAACATTCTTAAACCTCTTCCCTAAATAGAGAAAGAGACTAGACGGCCCTGGAGTATTTCTGAAACAAAATAAAATCCCACTGCTGAATGGCGTGGGTCGCAGGGTCGCGCTCCAAAAGCCCCCTGGGGGAGCCCACTCCTCGCGACCCGCAAGGAGGTGCTGCCACCTTCTGTGGCAACGGCCTCGGCCGCTGCTGACCCTCGGAGGGTGGCCCCATGGGTTCCAGCCCCCGGCGACCCTAAGAGACCAGAGGCCCCACGGAGAAGGGACCCACAGGCGCGGGGCTAGGGGGCGGCTACGGAATCCTAGGGTCCACCCGGAGGTGGCCAGCGCGGGCGGGGGACACGTAGAGCCCAGGCTGGGGTCCAGTGCCACTTAGGACGTGGGGACGGAAGCCTGAGGGTTTGAGTCTTTACTGGGCCCTCGGAAGGGAACACTGATTTTGACCACGCTTGATTTTCTGCAGACTGTGACCCTGCGCTAAAAAGCGTCCCTCTCATGATGCTTCGTGCCTGTTTCTCTGAGGCCACGCGGTCCTGGAGGGCAGAAGCGTAGTGTATGTGCGTGTCTGGTGCAGAGTGGGCACCTGCACCCATGCCCCCAGTGACCTCGAGCTCAGAGGAGGGAGGGATGGAAAAGAAAAGGCTGCCTCACAGAATGGAGGGAGAAGTGAACTGGGAGCCTGACCCCTAGACAGGTGTCAATCCTGCTGCTGATTCCATCCAATCAACCCACAGGGTCTATTGGCACCAAAGGGGGCCAGGCCCAGGGACACTGAGGTGACCCCCCTTTGAATTCATTTGAAGGAAAATGCAAGCACAACAGCCTGAATTGGGGACTTTGAACTTAATACAAAATGCAAAGTATATAAATATGAATACATACTGAATTATCTAAGAGCTCTATACATGTTTTTAAGTCTTATTAAAAGCTCACTAAATTTCTTCACATTTTGATCATTGTACTGTTATTACGGGAGAGTTTCTAGGAAATACACACAAATATTTAGTATAAGGCGCATCAAGGCTGCACATGACTCAAAAATAGTTCAGACCAAAAAGTGTTTTCAGCAACCTTTTTGTAAATTGTTTGAAATTATGCCAAAATATGAAGTGAAAAGTCCATTTAACAGTCTGTAAATGGGGAAGGGGCATTTGGCAATCTGTTGGGGGTACCAGCAGGAAGCCAGCACTGGGATGAGGGGGAGCACGTGCTGGGATGCAGGGTTTGTATACATGGCCATGGAGTAGGGGCCAGTGTAAACCTACATCCAGGTTGGGCAGCAAGGAGGGGTGGAAAGACTTGGAGTCTCATGATGGCCTGCCTGCATGTGGGGAAAAGGAGTATAGGATGACAGCAACATAGCCAAAGCCCCAGGATGGCCCACCTGTTATGCCTGGATCTGGTGCATGAGGTATGGGTGAGTCTGATTCAAAGGCCCAGGTTGGCTGGAGAACTGGCACCTCATTTATCCATTCCCTGGGGGAAGGCAGATTTGCAGGCTATCCGAGGTGCTGTGTGGCTCACAGTGGTTCTCAGTGACCACATCTGTACCACCCTCCTTACTGGAGCTGTCAAAGTTCTTCCCTGAGACTTTCCAAACTCTAAGGCAGAGGGAGAGATCCCATTCCCTTCTCTGGTCAAGAGACTATAAGGGATGTAAGGTGGCCTTTAGAGAGATCTGGTCTGAGTGGGGAAGAGGCAGGGGAATAAAACATTCTGCATGATGCATCCAGGAAACCCATACAGAGGCTTATGAACCTAAAAATGATGCATTTGCTGGCTTTGTTCATGTTGGTACAGAAGCCTATAGAAACACTTGAATATTTAGGCAAGATATATATAGAAATATTCACTGCAGCATTATTTGTAAAAATGAACAGATGTCTATTACCCAGAAAATGGATAAAATACTGTGGCAGCCACCTTCTAGTACTCCCACTCTTGTACAGTCCCTTCACGCATTGAACAGGACTAAGCTGCATTAGCTACAGCATATTGGGAAATTATGTGTGTGACTTTCAGAGCCGGGCCATAAAAGCCATGTGGCTTATGCCTTGCTCTGTCTTGGATTACTTGCTCAGGGAGAAAGCCAGCCACCATGTCACAAGGCCACTCAAGCAGCCCTGGTGGAGAGAGGTCCATGTGGCAAGGGGCTGAGGACACTTAACATCAACTTGCCAGGCTGGGCACGGTGGCTCACGCCTGTAATCCCAGCACTTTGGGAGGCTGAGGCGGGCGGATCATGAGCTCAGGAAATCGAGACCATCCTGGCTAACACGGTGAAACCCCACCTCTACTAAAAATACAAAAAATTAGCTGGGCGCAGTGGCGGGCACCTATATTCAGGAGTTTGAGGCAGGAGAATGGCGCAAACCTGGGAGGTGGAGCTTGCAGTGAGTGGAGATCACGCCACTGAACTCCAGCCTGGGTGACAGAATAAGACTCCGTCTCAAAAAAAAAAAAAAAATGGTAAACACTAACTTGCCAGTGATGTCAGTGAGCCATCATGGAAGCAGATACCCCAGGCCCACTGAAGCCCACAGTTGACTGCAGCCTCAGCCAACATCTTTACTGCAACGCACCCTGCCAGACCACCCAGCTAAACCACTTAATTCCTAACCTGCAGAAACTAAGATAATGAATGTTACTATTACAGATTGTTGTGGTTTAAATTTTGTTGATAGGATTGAGGGGCATTTATTGTGGAAAAATGGATAACAAATACAAATGTTAGGGAATCACACAGTGAAATTTTAGCTTGCTTGTTTTTATGAAGAGGTGAAAATGGCCATGTCATAGCCTTCTCATGAGCTCTAGTTTAGAGTCTATGTGAACGCTCTGTGTTTGCACACAGCAAGTACTCCACAAATGCTTATTGCTGTGCTTTTCCAATTTTGTTTCCTTCCCTTAGACTTCAAAGTGAGTTCTCACTCCCTTGATAGGCAGGTATTTTTCCCAGTTTGAATATACTGTCTAAAACATTTGCATTTGGTGTGATTAGTTCATCAGTTCTTACGAGTTGGAGAAAAAAGCCTCCTATGTCCTTTTCAGGACACGAGCTATAATCGGGCCAATCATACCTGAATGGAGACTACAGAAGGTGAATTTTTATCAGTGGTCTCCATTCCATCTTCCAAGCACCCGACTCTTAGGGATGGGGTCTAATTAGGCACTAATGAGGTGGAGATTTGAGACAGAAAATGCCAATTTGAGTTTGTGGCACTTCTGCCCAGCAATACAAAGGTCTAAGGAAGATTTCATTTGTGTCTGGGTGAGAGAACTGTGTTCCTGAAATATTTAGTTTTGTTTTTTAACTTTATCAGGCTAAGCCAGAGATTTGTATAATCACATTGAGATTTATCCCTATGGAAAAAAAAATTCTACAGCTCCCACTACGTCCCACCGATATATTCCCTGACTTCTGAAACGCAGGGAAAACAGCTCACATTAACACCAGAGGCCATGCCAGGGTGCTCATTGCTTCACTCACCATTTGCCAAGTTGCCTAAAACTACTGGCTTATCCAAGGCACAGGGAACTTCTCTGTGCTACACTAGAGTAGAGCATATATTTAAATATGAAAGAGATCATTAAAAATTCAAAGACAACAGAATTAAATGAGGAGTAAAAAAGTTGTATGCCTTTGCCAGAACAAGTTAGTTTGGTATCCCCACACTTGGGTGAGAGCCAGCCCCTAACCCAGGGGAATCTGTGCTCTACTTACGTGCAAATCTCCCGGTGAAATGCTGCTCCCTTGCAACACACTTGGACAAAAGGGAGCTAAGCGGGGTGGCCCACCTCAAAGAGAGAACAAAGAGAACAAAAAGGAAGTTTCTTGGTAATGCCTGACCACCCTGCCTCTGCTAGCCTCCTCATCTATGCCACATCTTCACAAACCTCTGCTCTCAGAGGTGTCAGCTACTGCCTCTTCCCACCCCAAAAGGGTTTCAGAAAGCCTGAGTGGCATTCGATTTCGGCAGGTCCACAAACAGCATCTAAAACAGAGGTTCCGTGTGGCCAATAAGGCTTCAGGCTACCCTTTGGGAGCCTGGCACAGAACAAGGTCTCTTTTCACTTGACCCTCCTTTGCTAATACAAGCCTGCTTGGCTGGGTCCAGCACCCTATGGGGCAAATATTCAGGCCAAGAATAGTCTTCATTCTTCCCATGAAGCTTTCAAAGTCGTCTAAAGAACACAGGAAATTGTCAGCCCCTATTTTCTGCTGAAAATGGCTGACACTAAACTTTGAACATTCTATGGATGAATCCCAAATTACAGGAACCAAGTTTGCTTGAAAAGCAGCAAAAGTTTTTGTTAAAGATGAGAGACTTTAAAGATGATAAACCATCTCGGCATTACTTACAAAGAATGACGTATTTTATAACTCCAATTACTAACACCTTTCCTCTTTTGACCAAAGTTACCTTATTTCCATGGAATTAACTTCAAAAGACTATCTCTGTGCACAAAGAAGCAGATCCAGAGACTTATCATGGCACTATGCACACTTCCTAAAAATAAACTGTCACTAAAACTGAGAAGAAATAATACTTTTTGGTCTGTCATGACCCCAGCAGATTATCACATTCTCAAGGTCCGGACACCTTAATGTGTGCAGTCACAGTGTAATCCTCACTCCAGTCACAATGTAATCCTCACTCCAAACAGCAAAGGCATGGGGCCCATTTTATAGCTGAGGAAACATTCAGAAAAGTTACATGCCCAATTCACAGAGTTGGGGTCTAAACTGAGACAATTAGTGTGTCCGGTGCTTTCTGCTTCTCCAGGCTGCCTGGTGGCCAGCTGCCCCTCTTAATCAGGGAGCATCTGCTCTGTGCTAACAACTCCGTAGATCATGCTTCAGAAATGTGGCAGTGAGCAGACTAGGTGCTAGTAAGGCATAAGATTTACACACAGGCCCTGGTGTCACCAAGACCAGTTCAAACTCTGGTTCTGCCAGTTACCACCTATTGAATAAGCTACTAAATATTTTAAACCCTCAGTTTCCTCATCCTTTCGCAGATGAGGAAACTGAGGGTTTAAAATGTTTACTAACTTATTCAATTATTAGATAACATATTAAGTTATATTAACAGATAACTTATCCAATTGTTATCTATTAAGGATTAAATGATGATAATACATGTAACTACTTAGGTTACCATCTGGAACAGGACAGTTATGGGAAGTTGTTATAACAAAAGAGGCAGGTAAAATTCTGAATGAAGTATAAGGACTTACATTTGCAAGCTTTTAATTAGAAAGGACTTCAATTTACTGGTGTGGCAAATTTTTCTTTCAAATCAAGTAGGACACCACAGCAGTCTTCACTAGGACCTTCCTTGGTGATTCAACAGTAACTATTAACTATCCACATACTACTTAGATCGATCGATGGCCTCCAAGGTGTAGAGTAATACTTCATTGGGGCTTAGGAACTAACCTTTTTGTTTTACTCTTTCAAATTTTATTACATAATGTTCATAATAGTGTAGCAGTACATTTGTTGACACATATTTTCATTGATCAATATGTTACAGGAAGTCAGAGACTCCAAATGGAGGGGCCGGCTGAAGCCATGGCAGAAGAACGTGGATTGTGAAGATTTCTTGGACATTTATTAGTTCCCCAAATTAATACTTTTATAATTTGTTATGCCTGTCTTTACTGCAATCTCTAAACATAAACTGTAAAGATTTCATGGACACTTATCACTTCCCCAATTAATACCCTTGTGATTTCCTATGCCTGTCTTTAATCTCTTAATCCTGTCAGCTGAGGAGGATGTATATCGCCTCAGGACCCTGTAATAATTGCATTAACTGCACAAATTGTACAGCATGTGTGTTTGAGCAATATGAAATGTGGGCACCTTAAAAAAAGAACAGCATAACAGCAATTGTTCAGGGAATAAGAGAGATAACCTTAAACTCTGTCCACCAGTGAGCTGGGTGGAACAGAGCCATATTTCTCTTCTTTCAAAAGCAAATGGGAGAAATATCACCGAATTCTTTTTCTCAGCATGGAACATCCCCGAGAAAGAGAATGCGCACCTGGGGGTAGGTCTCTAAACTGGCCCCACTGGGCGTGGTCGTCTCTTATGGTCGAGACTGCAGAGGTGAGATAGACTCCAGTCTCCCATAGCGCTCCCAGGCTTATTAGGAAGACGAAATTCCTGCCGAATAAATTTTGGTCCGATGGTTGATCTCAAAACTCTGTCTCCTGATAAGATGTTATCAATGACAACAGTGCCTGAAACTTCATTAGCAATTTTAATTTTGCCTCAGTCCTGTGGTCCTGTGATCTCACCCTGCCTCCACTTGCCTTGTGATATTCTATTACCTTGTAAAGTACTTTATGTCTGTGACCCACACCTATTTGCACACTCCCTCCCCTTTTGAAACTCCCTAATAAAAACTTGCTGGTTTTTGTGGCTTGTGGGGCATCACGGAACCTACTGACATGCGATGTCTCCCCCTGACGCCCGGCTTGAAAATTTCTCTCTTTTGTACTCTGTCCCTTTATTTCTGAAGCTGGCCAATGCTTAGGGAAAATAGAAAAGAACCTACATGAATATTGGGGCAGTTTCCCCGATATCAATACATATAACTATGGACACTCAAAAATATTTTCATAAGGAAACAACATCAGGTTTGGAGGCTGTGATCTAGATAACTTTCTGAGTCAACATTTTGCTCCTGATGCATTCATGGCTATCAAGCCATCTTTCCTTTCTTCCCCTCACCTACCATATTCTGACTTCTACTCCTAGATTAATTTCTCCAAGAGGACAGAACATATTAAGATGTGGTGGGTCAGAATGTGCAGGTGGTAGTGGTGACACCCAGCTAATGAGTGTGAGAGGCATGGGTCTGTATCTCCTCAGCTTTCAAGATTACAGCCTGAGCTACACAGAAAGAAGCTCTGTGTCCATTTTATTAGCAACTTCACAACTTGCTTCTGAACCTGATAAGGAAGCAATGATATCCCATTCCACTAGGTGGCAGCAAAACTTTACCCACAAGGTGCCCAAGTGGTTCACTGGTATTATTAGTGCTAACTTGTTCAGCCCCACTTTATTAGCAGAAAGACAGTGGCTAACAGGATACTTCAATTACATAATGCCTCTGACAGTGGAGAACAGACACTGCCGTTTTGCTTTCTACAGGCTGGCCTTTCCTTAGGCCTACCTGAATTTTACATGTATTGTGAATGATCCTTTCAGAAATCCACAGACCAAATAGCAAAACGAGCCTTCTAATATACTTAAGACTGGAGTCAACAATAAAAAGACCTAGTAAAGTTATATAGATCCTACATCAGATTCAGGTGACACCCTGGGCATGCCATGGATAAAAACTTCTGAAGTTTTCATTAGGATGGTAGAATAATGAATGCGTCTTAGAAATCTGTTATTATAATATATACAATTTTGAAATAATATTTCCCAGAAGCAGTAGTACTTAATCAGTTAGGCAGGCAGTCTGTATAAATTTTTTACCTTTGCATTCTCCAAATTCAGTAGGTTGTTCTTAGCCTCCCTAAAACCAAACATTTTTGGCTAGAGGTGTTAACCCAATCTCTCAACACAAACACTGAAAAAAATAAATAAAAAACACCCAAACAACAATCTCTGATATTGACTTATAATTATTCCCTCTGCTTAGGTCATTAATTTAAAAAGTAAATAGGGTAAAACATTTCAAGATAATAAACTGGGCTACATTAATTACACTTAAATTATGTATTATGTTAAAATCTACATCATTTGATCTTGAGAAATTACACCACTCTCTTTCCAGTTAAAAAATTCAGTTTCCAGGGACTTGAGAGTATACCTAATCTGAATGAGTTAGAAACTTCTCAGAGGCCAGGCATGACGGCTCATGCTTGTAATCCCAGAACTTTGGGAGGTTGAGGTGGGTGGATCACTTGAGCTTAGGAGTTCGAGATCGGCCTGGGCCACATAATGAAACCCCATCTCTACAAAAAATACAAAAATTAGCCAGGCGTGGTGGTGCATGCCTGCAGTCCCAGCTACTCAAGGGGCTGAGGCAGAAGGACTGCTTGAGCCCAGAGGGTTGAGGCTGCAGTGAGTCGCGTTTGTGCCACTGCACTCCAGCCTGGGCAACGAAGCAAGACCCTGTCTGGAAAAAAAAAAAAAATTGTTCTCAGAAAAATAAGCATACAAATGAGAGATAGAAATGAATAGAGAGATATGGTATCTCTTAAATTAGAAAATCAGCACAAGCATATAAGAGATGTCATCATAGAGGAGGCAAATTCAAGTTGAAAAGTTTCTTCCCAAACATACTCTACTCTTGTACATCGACTGTGGAATATTGAAGCCCCCACACTCTATTACATCACTACATGGCTTATTATGTGAATTTTTTACAATACAAACAAAACATACAGAAATGCAATATATGAATACAGCTAAACGCAGAATGGTGACTTTTTTTCTCTTCAAGAGGCCATGATTCCCATTTCTAGTAAAATAAAGAGACTGCATATAGGTAGAAACAGGTTGGTCATTAGCTTTGCCTAGAAATGATTTTGCCTAGAAATGATCTATAAATGCATTTTCCCCCTGCTACTTACCATAAAGTGTAAAAAGGGAGTTAATGCAAAGTTTTCTTGTTGGTTCCTACCATATGAAAGATGCTGTATTCTATTTTAGCAGGGCCAATATATGGAAAATATCTAAATTAAATGTTATTACAAAAATGAAGCAGTAATGAGACTCTGGCTAAGGAGGGCACTAAATGAGAATAATATATATTTAAAGAATCCAAAACAAACAAACAAAAAGAGACTGTTATAAAAAAAAAAACCTCTAGGTGCACTGTAAGCATATAGGGTTTTTTTTTCCCCATGTGTATTTATAAACAATGGAAATGTCAAAAAATAGGGTCAACTGTGTTAGACTAAATTATATTATTGTATATGCTGCATTGAATGGAACCTTTGTATTATAGTTATCATAGAGAAGCACAGTTTGCATCATATTATGGCAATTTATCCTCAATGAAAACCTTCCAGAGTCCTTTTTTTTGGAATATCTTGTAAAAAATCAAACCACCAGAACATGATTGTACAACTGTAAAATGTTCTTTTGCATTAAACCAAAGATATCTGTTTAATAAAAAAAAAAAAGAAAATGTAGGAAAGCTACTTAGAGCTGTTACTTTCTAAGTACAGAACACCCTAGACAATTCGAGGCATCTTAATCTCCATCAAGAACAACAACAACAAAAATAATTTTTGTCATGCTGTTAAATCCATCATTATGGATAAAACTAGTGCAAACTGGTCAAACGGATCCAACGCTGATGTCCAAGCTGGCATATTGGCAACTAATACGTAACTGGTGGTCAATAGAGGGTTTAAAAGATCTGCCCTTTCTTCTTGTTCTTTTCCAAGGTTCTAAATGATGAAAGGAAAATAATCAAGATGAGTGACCATTTTATAAACATGATAGACAACATGATAACAACAATAGCTAACCCAATTACAACAATGTTGGGATTTTCAGATACTACTTTTTCATTTAAAGAAATTACAAGATTTAGAAGTAAACAACTAAGACAATGTTAACCTATAGTAGTATTTTCTTAGACAATCAAATATTTGACAAAATTCCAGGATAAGCAGTAAAAAATATGGCAAAATCCCACTTTAATATACAAGAACAATTCTTCCCAAATAAAACAGCACAAACTGAAAAACATCAACTGGCATCAAACAGGGTGTTCTTTTCCCCCACTGTCATTTGCATTCTGAAGTGCAACTGCTTTTACAAATCTATTTTCCTCTTCTTTGGGGAAAATGTTAACAGTAGGCTAGTGTAGTAGAACAAATGTCAAATCTGAAAATGTTTAGTAATGAGGATAAATTATAGAATCCTTATAGGAATCCCACTTTTCAGTTTTAAATGAAACTATGAAGGAAAAGAAAATCAAGGTACAAATATTGAATTTTGTATAAATTGAGAGAAAGTAACTGATTAGCTGTATTGGAAATTAAATATCTAACATTTTGTCTTAAGAATTTTATCGTAAAAACATAATTCAACACAATTAAAATGTACCCCTAAATATATAATAGATTTTGAGCAATGTTCCCTTTGTATGCCAAAATTTGAAAACAACCCTTATGTCCAATAATTGGGGGGAGGAGGTAAGAAATCCAATTCAGGTGAGTTAACTGGGGAGAATGTTATGAAGTTGCTAAATCATAATTATGAATATTAAGTCATGAAAGATGTACTGAAAAAATACTGCTAATGGACACAGACTGTATCCATCCATATAAAAATATTTATCCATGGAAACCGTTGTGTTTGGAATGCATGATAATGGGTGATGACTTTTTAAGTGTTATTCTAATGTTTTTTAAATAAGTAGGAAAACAATTCTTTAAAACATTAATACACACATTTCTTAGTAATCTGCTATTAGTTACCTTGAAGAGTTCTGTTGTTCTAAAATACGTTGTTGAGCTTCCCAGTTTGCTTTCTCATCCTCAAACTGACGACGTTTTTCCTCCAATTCTTTGTGCTGTGCTTCCAAATTCTTTTTCATTTGCTCATGGCGCCGCTGGAGCTAAATCATAGCACAATATATAAAACAAAACTATTTAAGAAACCAGAAGCAGAGGTATGTTTCATCCAGACACCCTAATGATAAGGAGTATGAGCACTATTTGAATAGCCCTGTTGTAAATTCAGAGTACTACCTGGAAAGCACGGTCAAGGACTCCTCCTATTTTAGGACCTGCCACGGAAAAGGCCAGTGACCCAAGACAATAATCTTGGGAAACAGGGGGAAAAAAAGAAGCAATAAACTTAACAATGTGTGGTACTTTATAATGGAAAATTACTATCTTATCTCCTTTTTCTTTAATCACAAATATGTTGGAGGCTGGGCAGTGATCACTGTTCTCATTGTACAGATGAGGAAATAGTTGCAGAATTTAAGTGACTTGCCCAAGACTGCTAGCCAGAAAGTGGAAGAACCAGGACTTGAACAAGCCACCCAATTCCAAGTGTAGAAAGCTAAGACAAGTGAAAAGAAAGCAGGTAGTTTAGGACCCTAAGAGCTCAAAGATGCCAGTGAAGTACTCCGATTCCTGTAAGCAGTGGTTCTCAGACACTGGTCTTCATTCAAATCACCTGGGATGTTTGTTAAACATATAGAATCCTGGACCTCACTCAGATGTACTGAATTAGAATATCTGGGTGTTAAGGGGTGGCGGTCACGGGGACAAAGGGCAGGCGGATCGGCGGGGAGGGAGCGGGGCGCGGCCAGGCCCTGCCCGGGGGCTCCGCATGCTGCAGCTGCCCCCGGGTGCCCCCGCCGCTGCCCTCGCCGCCGAGCAGCATGGAGAGGAGCCGGGGACCTAACCAGAGCCAGCCGGCCGGCCTCCCGAAGGCGGCGGCGCAGGGAACGGCCCGACGCGTGCTCGTGGTCCCGGCGGCCGCCAAGGCGGACAGCGGCACCGCGCGGGGGCGCTGCGTTGGCGGCCCTGGCCCCCGGGCCGGGCAGTGGCGGCCCAGGACCACGCGTCTACTTTCAGAGCCCCTCTGGGGCCGCAGGAGACAGCCCAGTGAGGCGCCAAGGGAAGGTCACCGTCAAGTATGACGGCAAGGAGCTACGGAAGCGCCTCAACCTAGAGGAGTGGATCCTGGAGCAGCTCACGTGCCTCTGCGACTGCCAGGAAGAGTAGATCCCAGAACTGGAGATTGATGTGGATGAGCTCCTGGACATGGAGACTGACGATGCCTGGGCTGCCAGGGTCAAGGAGCTGCTGGTTGACTGTTACACACCCACAGAGGCCTTCGTCTCTGGCCTCCTGGACAAGATCTGGGGCATGCAGAAGCTGAGCACACCCCAGAAGAAATGAGGGTCCCCGACCCAGGCAAACGGTGGCTGCCACAGGACAATAGCTGCCCCCCGACCTCGTAGCAACAGCAATACTGGGGGACCCTACGGCCAGGCCTGGTGCCATGAGCAGGGCTCCTCGTGCCCCTGGCCCGGGGTCTCTTCCTCTGCCCCCTCAGTTTTCACTTTTGGGGTTTTTGTTACTAAACTGGTGGGACTTTTTGTGTTTTTATATTGAATCTGCAGCGCGGGCCCTTTTTAGCTAGGATCCGCCTTTGGTGCAACTAAAAAAAAAAAAAAAAAAAAAAAAAGAATATCTGGGTGTTAAGTCTGGAAATGTGGATTTTCAACAAGTTACAGTGATTCTAATGCAGGTGGTCCTTCCTCTGCTGTGTATTAATGCTGTAAAGAATGCTGACTGAGAGGTGGGAAACACTCATGCAAAATAACTGAAGAAACAAAGAGCTTTACGTCCAAGAGATCATTAGATAAGTAATTTCATTTAGGCGCAAGTCAATCCATTTCTGAAAAAAGTCAACAAATTTTAAAAATCAGATTAAATCCTACTATGCCAAATACCCAAGGGCTATTCAAAACCTTCAGTTATCCAGGAATTATGTTCTGTTATAGATTTTACTACATTGGTGAGTTAACATCTTGAATTTGGATTATAATATAATTTTGCATACAATTTGTTTTCTTTTTTGCAAGCCCGAAGTGACTTCAGATTTATTCCTATTTCAATTATTTCATGCAATTCCTACAAAACAAAATCACGTAAGACACATTTAAGCAAACATGAGTCAAATCAGGTGAAATCTTCCTGATGACAGCAAACAAGTTACTAAGAAAATGTCAGAAAGTAGGAACATAAGAAAGTGTCTCTAGTTATTTTTTTTAAATGCAAGGGAACCACATATACACAATTCGGAATAGTAGTTACCTCTGGGAATGGAGAGAGAGGGATACAATAGGGGACAGGCACACAGGGTCTTCAAATGAGTTGATAACATTCTATTTTTTTAAGCTGGTGGTGGGGCTTACAGTGTTCATCATTCCTTAACTTACATTTATGTCATATGTAAGTAATTATCTTTTGTGTTAACTGCATGTAGATAAAGGTATAGGTCACAATCTCACTCTTAAGAAACCCATGGGGTCAGATGCCTTTCAAAGTTCAACATTTTTCTGTTATTAAAATGACAACACTGCTTAGAAAGGAGTATATGTTTATAAAATACCTCCTGGGCTATCTGGGGCAACAAACATAATCAAACACATTACTTTTTATTTTTTTCAGTAAAATATATAAATATTCACAATATGTAGGATTAAAACTTAGTTCATCTTAGGTTTTGCAGTTTTCAGAGCTTTTTCCATTCTGAAATTGTGAAAAACAGGACTGTAGACCTATCTAGCAATTAACAGCAAACCTAAAAATTAACTGGGTTTAAATGCTGGCATACTAAGTTAACTTATCCTTCTTCTCATCTATAAAGGGGAGATGGGCAATAATATCCTTGTAGGGCTGTGGTGTGCACTAGATGACACAATAAATGAAAGTTGCTTGGTGCTGTGGCTGATGTACTGTGCTGCTGGCTGTGCCCCAAATATTTCCAGCATAATGAATTTAAGGAGAAACTGTATTAAGGCTAAAAGGGTTTCTTTACCTATTTATGTATTTACATGTATCATATACATGATGATTTGCAAACTCATTACCACAGGGATGTTGGTAAACACACTCTAGATGTGGTTTCATAAAAGACAAAGCATCTAGAATGAGCATGCCTAATTCTCTAATGGCTTAGAGTATTAGTGGGAACTTGGCCCAGAGCTCTTCACGGGTCCTTTAAATGTTAACATTCCATCCTTCAAAGAGTAGTTCTCAGCATATACCCGAGGCTTTAAGACGCTGCTGGTGCCACACAAGCTCCGGGGCTGTGGTTGCCACACTGAAGCCTCTGCCGCCTGCTCCGGACACTCGGACGCGCAAGTCCCCATCCTGGCTCACTGCAGCCTCAATCTCCCAGGCTTTCTTTGAGGGTGTTCCCTCAAAGAAAGAGGCCCAAAGTCCTCCCCCGCAAAAAAAGCCAGAAAGGAATGGAGGTTCCTCCCCAGAAATCCACAGCATCTGCAGGACATACAGCCCTACAGGAACAGGCAGACAGGCCAGTGTTGCTGGAGTTGGCCCCTGGCTCCCGGGGTTCCCCCAGGCCAGCCCGAGCTGGGAGCCTGCTGAGACCCCTCCCACCTGAGCCCCACTCCGGCCCCCTGCTAGACTGCATCTACACAATCCAAGGTGACCCTGAAGGCTGGCTGGGGCTTCAGAACCCACACAGCCCCTCAGGTGAGACACAGAGGGTGGTCCGCGGGCAGTGCCAGGCCTCAGGCGGCCCAGGGCAGAGTAAGCAGCTTTGTGGCAGTGTGGTGTGTCAGGGAGGGGAGTCTTCCGTGTCCCGTTGGCTGCGGCTGGGACCAGGGCACGCAGGAAGGGGCTGTGCAGCCAGGCGGGCCCCCCCCGTCTGGATTTGCTCCTGGGCACACAGCCCTCTGTGTCCAGCGGCCTCCCAGGGTGATGTCTAAAGTCCCTGGCAGCTGTGGTCCTGGAGAGAGGCCCACCCCGCAGTACGACCTGAAGACGTGGGAGCAGGAGCCACCAGCAGGTGGGCGCCGCCCCTGAGAGTGCACACGGGGAGGGTGGGCGCAGGAAGCCAGCCTAGGGACGGCGTTCGCACCATCACGGAAGTCTTAGCCCTTTCTTTACTCTCCATGGGCGCCGGGCAGCAGCGACTGCCTGCGGGATGGGCGGAAGGGAAGGCCCTGGCCGATCCCACCCATGGAGAGGACACAGCCACAGGCCGGGACGATACATCAAGCTCGCGCCCACGGCCCTCACATGTCCACGAAGACCATGAGGCACCAGCCCAGGCCCCCATCCAGCAGCATGGTGACGTGGATGCTGTAGATGAGCAGCTCGTTCACCAGGCGGAATTCCACGCGCCAGCGGCCCAGCAGCAGCAGCAGCACCCACAGCTTGTGCTGGAAGCACAGGAGGACGCTAACGCCCAAGTACTGCAGGCAGAAGAAGGCGGCCAGCGTGCCCCAGTGACAGGCTGCAGCTGAAGTAGAGCAGGAAGTGGATGAAGCCCTACAGCCAGCGCGTCTTGATGCACACCTCGAAGCTGTTGTACTTGGTGCGGGCCAGGTGGGAGGCGCCCACGGGCCCACAGACCGCATGCAGGCAGGTGGTGTGTGGACCATGGAAGGAGCACAACCCCCGCGGGATGGGCATGACCGGCATTGGACCCCGGCGGCAGCGGCGTCCAAGCTACGGTCAGCGTAAGGGCCATGGGTGCCTACGCCTGGGAGCCCGCAGCTGAGCCTCGGGGGAGGCGTTGGCCTGATGCCCTCTCCGCTGCGACGCCAGTTTCCCGAACCTCCCGGCAGGCCGGTGGTGCTGGGGGCCGGGCCTGCTGTCCCTCTGGGCTCCATGCGCAGGGCAGCTGCGTGGTGCAGGGGCGCACGGCTGGGGGTGCTGGCGGGGCGGCTACGGAGGTGGTTCACGCGTCCCCGGCTAGGGTTGCCCCACAGGGGAAGGGGCGCCTGGGCGCGGCCGCCGGAGGCGTTTGGCCTAGCTTGGGAGCCGTAGAGCCCTTCCTTGACCACCACCTTAGGGCGGCCTCACGTCCCTTCCACCCACGCGGACCGAGCTGCGCTTCCCTTCCCCCTGCTCCGGGCCCGCGCTGGGCGTCCCAGACTCCACGCTTCCCAAGGGCCTGTAATTTTTAATTATAACAGATTTATGTTGAGAAAACTTCATACTGAAATCACTGATTTATTTTGGGATTACCCAATTTTTTTTCTACTATTCTCAGATATCTATCAAACTACTGCTCTATGGATTCTTATGTTAAGTTTATCCTTTTCTCCATCTTTTCTTTCTTGCCACCTACTGAAGGAAATGTCTCCAAGGTCTTTTTGATTAATAGAAACTAAATGTATAACTCGACATCTAGAAGGGTTTCAAGATAGTAGATATGTCTGCTGGGATGTTTTGTCATTACCCTGCCCAATGTTGTAACACCAGGAACTACCTTGACACTACATTATAAATAAAGAAGGCCAACCTGTTAACAAAAATATCACATTCCCTAATTTTCTCTCCTTTAACTGTGTGTAATTTATCCAGGCATGTCTTTAGTTCAATAAAGGTTATTTCCCTCTTTTTCATTCATACACAAGTAAGTCTGGTCAATTATTATTATCCTAGCACTAGTTTTTGTGCATAAATCCACCCCCAAACTCTCATCTTTAGTGTTCTTATGCCACCTGTATGGAATGGCTTATAATTTTATTTTTCACAACTCACACTTGTTCATTATAACTTTAATAATTCATTGTAAGTACTCTACTATGCTGTCCTACCTAATACACTATGTCCAAGCACTTATGTATTGAAGTCTATATTATTTTATTGTAAACAGGGCTTGCTTCTAGAAATTTCTCCATTTTGTTACGCTAGGGTATTAATTTCTAAAAAATATGTATAAGAAGGTTATATTATCTATAAATTTTACTGAAGATACTATTTAAAAAGGAACACAATGTCTGCTAAGAGCTGGAATATTGGACTGATTACCTCAGCTTCAGAGTCCTTCAGTTTTTGAACTTTTTCTTTGACCTTCATTTCAAACACCTGCTCCATCTCCATCTCCATCTTCTTAATTTTAGCTACTTGCTCCCTTCTTTCTTCTTCCATTTGTGCCAGAGGGCTCCTGTCACGAATATTAAGGGTAATCATTAAATGTCTGTGAATAAAAATTATAATAGAAATATGAAACAGTTTGATGAAAACAGAGATGCTATATATGTATATATGCCATTATTAATATATTTATAACCTAGAACTTCTTTCTGTGATATTTCATATATAAAACTTATGAAAAAAATGTAAAAAGCAAAGATGTTCTCTAAACCTACTACATATCAAATCTAAGGATGATGACATACCAAATAAACTGTAGAAGGAAAATGAGGGAAAAAATTCCCAAAATACATTTACAGAATAAAATATCAGAAGAAAATCATTTAATTTTGTTCTTTAAACAACATTTTAACATGAAAAACAGGAAATGAGTAATGAAGTTAATGTATGTAGAGTATTTTTAGTTTTACCAAAATTTCAAGTGTTACAATCTCTTCTAAGACAGCTACTAACACCACAAAAATGAACAATATTATTATTTATTTTGGTAACTGAACTGATACGTTGGAAATCACTACTAGTCAATACCTAGAGCACTATTTAGGTATACAGAATATTTCTAGGCCTCTTATAGTAACTTCAGTGCTCTTGAAAATTCATTCCACTTGGCCGGCATGGTGGCTCATGCCTGTAATCCCAGCACTTTGGGAGGCCGAGGCGGGTGGATCACGAGGTCAGGAGATCAAGACCATCCTGGCTAACATGGTGAAACACCGTCTCTACTGAAAAAAAATACAAAAAATTAGCTGGGCATGGTGGCGGGCGCCTGTAGTCCCATCTATTCAGGAGGCTGAGGCAGGAGAATGGCGTGAACCTGGGAAGTGGAGCTTGCAGTGAGCCGAGATCACGCCACTGCACTCCAGCCTGGGTGACAGAGAGAGACTCTGTCTCAAAAAAAAAAAAAAAATTAATTCCACTTAACTCAAATATTTCAGTCTTAAATTCAATGATTTAACACACACACACATACTTTAGAGATAATCAGAAGCAAATATTTTATTTTTTTAAATGCCAGAATATACACATAAGCATAGTTAAATAAAAAAAAAATATTCACTCTGTTGATGTTAAAGTCCATGGACTCAAATCTCTTTGGACAATTGTGTTCAAAATTTTTCACACTGAGATATATTTACAGGTGGGATTTATGTTAAGGCCAATATACTTACTCACAGAGACACAAGAGAATACCAAATTACCTAGTGCTTTCAGCCCAGGAGCAGAAAGATAAGTGGGCTCTTAGCTTTGAGAGTCTCTGAAAATTATTCAATACCCTGGGACAAATTAAATGAGGTAGATCCTTCTTTGAATTTGTTAATAAAGCATGCTTGTTTTGTTTCCATAAAAACAGGCTTTGACCATTAAGGTTTATATTTTAAATGGGTAAATTTTATTGTAATACACTAATTTTAAGAAAAGAATTAACTCATGGCTTAAAAACAAAAACCAGACCTTGGATTTCACCCATAACTTTTAACCCTGATTTGACACACTCTTATTATGGTGTCTTTTCTCCTTATTTGGCTAAATATTTCTAACCATCACAGCAATCTTTTCTATAAAGGAAGCAGGCAAGAGAGCTAGAGTGAAAATGCTAAAAACAAAACAAGACAGAATACTGGCTATCAGTTTTTCTTAATTAAGATGATCTGTTTTCGCAATTGCGTAAATTAGAATAAAATGTTATTTAACTCAAGGATATTTCTTCACTGAAAGAAAACTTACTTCTACATGCAAACCTGCCATATACTTTTCCAATTAAGCAATGGATCAAAAGTTCTGAAAATGAAAGTAACCAGACATATTAACTTAGAACAAGAACCTGCATTTTAAAAGCGAGTCAGCTGAGGCCGGGCGCGGTGGCTCACGCCTGTAATCCCAGCACTTTGGGAGGCCAAGGCGGTTGGATCACGAGGTCAGGAGATCGAGACCATCCTGGCTAACACAGTGAAACCCCATCTCTACTAAAAATACAAAAAATTAGCTGGGTGTGGTGGCACCCGGGAGGCGGAGCTTGCAGTGAGCGGAGATCATGCCACTGCACTCCAGCCTAGGCAACAGAGCGAGACTCCGTCTCCAAAAAAAAAAAAAAACAAAAAAAGTGGAGTCAGCTGAAATACATTTTCAAGTGTAAATATCTTTTTTTTTTTTTTTTGGTTAAAAGTTGATGAGATCCTTCTTAATAATATATTTCTCATATTAATGGCAGGTGTTTTTTAATATAGTTGCCTCTGATCTGAGCACACACAACGTCAGTGACTGCCCTGAAACAGCATACCAAATGTGTTTGCCAGCATTCTTCCAGTGAAAGGGTCCAAAGCTTTTGTTACATTTTCAAAGAGTCTATAATTCCCACTGTCCCCTAACACCCCAAAAATCTTTTTTAGGCTCTAGAAAATAAATAATCTAAAAACGATTAATTGCTAATCTTAAGTAACCGAATATGCATATTTAAGCAACTTAAGATTATTCAACAATATAATTGTGATTGTAAGTACATTAAATTAGAAATCAGATATAATTAAATATCTACTCCTACTTATATAACTCATCTATAAAATGTTTATTTTACTTTATCCTTGGGAAGGAGCAGGTAATTTTGCTACCTAAATTATTATTTAAATAACTACAAGGGGAAAATAAGAGACTGCAGAGAAAACATTCAATGATGTTTCAAAATCTTCTTTTAGGCCAGGCACAGTGGCTCACGCCTGTAATCCCAGCACTTTGGGAGGCCAAGGCCGCCAGATCACAAGGTCAGGAGTTCAAAACCAGCCTGGACAACATGGTGAAACCTCATCTCTACTAAAAATACAAAAATTAGCCAGATGTGCTGGTGCACACCTGTAATCCCAGCTACTTGGGAGGCTGAGGCAGAAGAATTGCTTGAACCCAGGAGGCAAAAGTTGCAGTGAGCCAAGATCGTGCCACTGCACTCCAGCCTGGGTGACAGAGCAGGGCTCCATCTCGAAGGGAAAAAAAAACACTTCTTTTAAATTCAAAATTTAAGTATTAAAAATCCCTGTATAGTAAAACTACTATGTCTTTGGAAAAACAATTCCCCGCCTTACATGCCTTCAACTGTATCATATCTAAAGGAACAAAAATTAGCGATTTAGCACATTAAAAGTAAAGCATGCTAAAAGCTTCAATTGAAGGCAAATGCGTAGCTTTCACAATTAAATTATGAAGGTATGTGCCATAAATAAAAAATTTACAGTAAAATTCGCTAAAGCTAATTTATTTCCCAAATTATGTTTGTAATCATTACACTAAATCACTATGAAAATAAATATGCTGTGCAATTATCTTCTGACAGTCTGTTCAAAGTTCTAAACCTGCTAAATGTGTGTACTTTCTAAAAGAAATTTGCAATATTTAACAGTTAAGATACTGTAAGTTTTTAGGCTTGTAAAAATAATCTGACCGAACATACTCAAATACTGTGAAAAAATGTTCATGCATATTTAAAATGAATTTTTTGAAGTCTCTCACCAGTAAAAATATTTTACATTTTTAATTTGTAAATTAACACCTCACTTCTAGACATCTTTATGAATTTTTAGAAAATTGAAATAAAGAATTATGCTTACAAGGCAGAAAATATAGGGAAATCACTTTTTGTCTTCACATTTACTATTTTTTTCCAAGTAAAACCTTTTATTAAACAGCTGGAAAAACCATTTAAGTTATATCATTGCCTGCCTGCTTTTAAATAGGAAACTCTTACACACACACATATAGTAGTAAAGCTTATAAACCTATCAGCGAAATTAAAAACCCAAAGAAATGAAAAAAGCCTAGTAAAACAAGCAAAAGAAAATGGTTACAACATAACCCGAATATGAAACTAAATCCCCAAAGATTTAGCTCCTTCTAGGATTGTCTTTATAAGGTTAAAATTCCTGCAAGCCACACCCCTTCATGTGACCAATAAGAGAATTACAGCCACCACAGAAGGATGACCTAGTCAAGTTCTACTTTGCTGCATTACATGTGACCCACCCTTGGAGTATAATAAAAAACAATCATGTTTCATTTAAATTATGTGTGGTTGTCTTTCCTAAAGAATACATTAAGCAAGTAGATTTACATACTTTTTTGCTCCAGTGGTTAGTAGGTCACTATGTGCAAAACTTTCCAAAGGAATTTCACTTAAATAACTTGAAAGATCAATAAAAATTTCCAAAAATTTTGAGTAATAATGGTTGCCAACATCTTGTTTTGCCAAGTAAGAGTATTAAAACCAAACATAAACAAAACTCCAACTACTATCATTATAATTTTATGAAAGGACACTTGAATAAAGAGTAAAAGATATAACTAAATAAGTTTAATTTTTTGAAACAACTTGAAATTTTCAGAAAATTGTCTTTATTTCTATTTAGATCAATGAAAACTCTTGTATGAAGAATTCTGAGGATCTGCCTTTGGAACCTGTATTTTTAGTCATTTACTTATAAAGTTTTCCCAAGATGACTGATGGAAAAGGCTATGGAGAACAGAAAAATAAATTAACATAAGGGAAAGAGAGACTAGGGTGTGCCCCAACTTGGAGCAAGGTATCTATTGTCACAATTGGTACCAATGATAGACATCAGTTCTGAAAAAGAGTCACCAATCAAATGTGATTTTAAGTAAAAGGTACAAAGAAGATCAAGAAAAAAGGAGGCAGATAAAAGTTCAAGAAGGAAGTTTAACAAGATGGCCCTCCTCTTATTGGGAATCACTTCCTTTAAGAGATCAGCAATCTGATATGACCAACTCTTCTCCCCTTTCCTTTACAGACCCTTGCTGAATTTCCTTTGATTTGAGAGGCTACCCTTTCTGTGGCTTTCAGCCACCCACTACCCTCCATAAGGGATGCAAGATATATTCTCTAAGGAGTTAAGAAGTACTTTGATGGCTCCATACGTTCTTTGTCAGAAACAGGTAATTACTGGATAGCTGCTAAGAACAGCATCCGCTTCTCCAGATCTAACCTTGAGACAAATTATAGCTGACTGGACAAGTTCAGCTATTCTTCAGATTTAAACAACGCATCTAATTCTTGTTTTAAGTCCCTCTAAAATAGAATTGTTCCAGGGCTATTAACAGAAAGGCACATTTTCAGACATCTACACATGTATTTTTAATTTTTATTTTTATTTCATGTTTCAATAGCCTCTACAGTTTGCCCAAAACTACCTCAGAAAATTTAAATATAAGATAAATTGATCTACAGTCATGCACTGCTTAACAATGGGGATACATTCAGAGAAATTCATTTGTCATTGTGTGAACAACAGAGTGTACTTACATGACCGTAGATAGTATAACCTACTACACACTTAGGCTCTATGGTATAGACATTATAATATTATGGGATCTTGTCATATATGCAGTCAGTCATTGACCAAAACATCGTTATGTGGCACATGAATGTATTTTACTATTCAATGTCTAACATCTTTAAAAAGTTTAGCTTATATTCTAAAACCAAAGTGTGATTAGCACTTTGTGAAGCATACATTGCCAAAGATCAATTTAACTATAAATTTTCAATAGGTTCATGTTCCATTCCAAAATTCTTGCAACTCTCAACCCCTCCCCACTACCACTGTTAAAGAATACATTGCTATGGAGAGTCGCATGAGAGCAATACAAAAAGAACATTAAAAGAAGCCTAACTCATACCTGCTTACTTCACTTACTTAAACATTAGTCTTTCTTTTCAGTTATTCATGGATATGTACTGAGCTATGAGGAAAAGCACCTTACATCAGCTAAAGCACCATAAGTTGTTAATGACTTTTAAAGAAAAATTTAACAAAAATATTTTTTGAAATTGCTAACATTTTCAAGACAATGTAAGATACAACCAATAGATAAACTTCTAAGCGATTTCTTTCAGATTCAGTATGTGTTATTCAATGAAGTAGTAACAATCTAATTTATCAAATCATATCAAATATCTATTCCAATTACAGCCATTCCCTAGTTGGCTTGATCTTCTCAAATGTTTATTTTCCTACTTATTATTAACATAAAATAAAATATTATGCTAGCTCCTGGGGCAATTTGCTTTTTAGCAATGCAAACATTTCTTTTCTTATTCGCATAGAAAAAGTATGGTATGATTCCTCTCTTTAAGAGATATATTTCCAGTAGAATTCTACTATTTATGTTTTCACCTGGGATATAGTTTAACTCACGTATCTACACAGAATTTTGTGTATGCGGAAAAAAACTTAATGATACTGTAAAGTTTACTATTTTTCTCTGAATTATCTTACCTGCATCCAACAGCACTACTTTAAAAAGCCTTACATTTGAGACATGGGAACAATTAAACAATTCCTTATATCGACAACATAACAAATGTTTTAAAAAATATATTGTATAAGTACATATATTTTTTGTATATTTTGTATATTTTCTTTTAATATACAAAATTATCAGTAGCTTTGTGTATGTGTTTCTTTTAATGAGTTAAAACATTCATCATTAATGAGAATGAGTTTAAAGTGAATTAGGATTTTATGAACAATATTCACTATGATGGATCCTTACATTTTTGTGCCAAAGTTGCTCAATAAACATTTTGCTAAAAAGAGATAAAAAGCCTTCCTTCTGTTCATGTATTGAGGCTTACCTCAAACAGAATCTTGTATTTTAAATATTTAAGAAGGGACATTTTTCTATTCCATGATAAAGCATGTTAACCACTATGGAAAACACCACAGCTACTTTGAGAACTTGTATTATGTATTTATATAGTTGATCCGTCAGGATTATTGTCTAATGGTAGATAACACCGAGCTACAAATGCACATTATTTAAAATGGTTTCGTAATACAGCTATGCACTGCATAATGATATTTCAGTCAACAAGGGACTGCATATATGATGGTGGCCCATAGGAACTGAAAAATTCCTACTGCCCGGTAGCATTTTGATGATCTTGACCCTGAATAGGCCTAGGCTAATGTGTAAGTTTATGTTTTCGTTTTTAACAAAAAAAAGTTTTAAGTGAAAAAAGAAAGAACTTTTAAAATAGAAAAAAGCTTATGGGATAAAGATTATAAAGATAATATTTTTGTACATCTGTTCATGTGTTTGTGTTTTAAGCTAAGTGTTACTACAAAAGAATCAAAAAGTTTTTAAAAATTTATTATAAAAGTTACAGCAAAATAAGTTTACTAAAGATAAATTTAAAAAGTAAATTTAGTATAGCCTAAGTGTACAGTGTTCATAAAGTCCACAGTAGTGTACAGTAATGTCCTAGGCCTTCACATTCACTCACCGCTCACTCACTGACTCACCCAGAGCAACTTCCAGTCCTGCAAGCTCCATTCACACCAAGTGCCCTATGCAGATATACCATTTGTAATCTTTTACACTGTATTTTTACTGCACCTTTTCTATGTTTAGATACACAAATACTTAACATTATGTTACAACTGTCTATAACATTCCATACAGTAACATGCTGTATAGGTTTACTGCCTACAAGCGATAGCTAGACCGCATAACCTAGGTGTGCAGAAGGCTCTACCATCTAGGTTTATGTAGGTACACTCAATCATGTTTACAGAATGAGGAAATAGCCCAATGACACATTTCTTAGAATGTATCCCCATTGCTAAGTGACATATGATGTAATTGTGATCTTCAATAATGACAAATTTTTTAAAAGTAGGGCACAGACATGGTTATCAGCTTCCTCACACATCTCTTTTTTTGACCCCAACATGAAACTACCACAGCTTGAGATATAAGCTCAATAGGGCAAAGCTACACACTTCATAGTCACTTACACCACTCTAACAACCAAAAGAAGAAACTGAAACTCCAAGTAATTTACTCCCTGGAATAGGATTAGAGAAGGTAACCAAGAATAAATTCATCTAAATATTCCTTTTCTTAAAGCCTGTCCTTTGTTTCCACACAATCTGTAAGTGAAAACTCTATCAAAATGGTTCATTCAAAAAAGCTTCTACTATTAACAAAGCATAACAATATAAATTTATGCTGTTGTGCATAGAGAATATTATCCAAATTTTCTACTGAGTAGCCAGGAGAAATTTAATGAAAATGAAACAATATGATTATTGACTACAGAAAGAATACCTTTTTTTGGAGAAAAAATATATACTTACTTAGCAAACTGCCCTTTATTCTTCTTGTTATCAACTCCATGATAAGTCACAGCTGCCAGTTTTCTGATTCCATAGTTCTCGTAGTGGACATTATTAGTAACATCTTTCAAGTCCTGCGTGTGTTCTGTCATAAATAAACAGCAAGAGTTTGTTTCTATTAATAGCTGGGGGGGGGAAGCTGAAAAAAGCTTTAATATACATTCAAAATGTTACCAAAACAAAAATTTCAGATTTAAAATGAACAAAAGACTATTGTTAAGGAAGGTGGCATTCATCTGTTTTCATTTACACCCAAAGTAGAATAAAAAATAAGCTAACTTGACACCAAATTTAGATTCCATAGAGATTTTAAGACCCATAGCAAGGATTTCATGACTAAAACAACAAAAGCAATGGCAACAAAAGCCAAAATAGACAAATGGGATCTAATTAAACTAAAGAGCTTCTGCACGGCAAAAGAAACTACCATCAGAGTGAACAGGCAACCTACAAAATGGGAGAAAATTTTTGCAATCTACCCATTTGACAAAGGGCTAATATCCAGAATCTACAAAGAACTCAAACAAATTTACAAGAAAAAAACAAACAACCCCATCAAAAAATGGGCAAAGGACATGAACAGACACTTCTCAAAAGAAGACATCTGTGCAGCCAACAGACACATGAAAAAATGCTCACCATCACTGGTCAGCAGGGAAATGCAAATCAAAACACAATGAGATACCATCTCACGTCAGTTAGAATGGCGATCATTAAAAAGTCAGGAAACAACAGATGCTGGAGAGGATGTGGAGAAATAGGAACACTTTTACACTGTTGGTGGGAGCGTAAATTAGTTCAACCATTGAGACAGTGTGGCGATTCTGCAAGAATCTAGAACTAGAAATACCATTTGACCCAGCAATCCCATTACTGGGTATATACCCAAAGGATTATAAATCACGCTGCTGTAAAGACACATGCACACGTATGTTTATTGCAGCACTACTCACAATAGCAAAGACTTGGAACCAACCCAAATGTTCAACAGCAATAGACTGGATTAAGAAAATGTGGCACATATACGCCATGGAATACTATGCAGCCATAAAAAAGGATGAATTCATGTCCTTTGCAGGGACATAGATGAAGCTGGAAACCATCATTCTCAGCAAACTATCACAAGGACAGAAAACCAAACATCACATCTTCTTACTCATAGGTGAGAACTGAACAATAAGATCACTTGGACACAGGGCAGGGAACATCACACACTGGGGCCTGTCAGGGGGTGGAGGGCTGGGGGAAGGATAGCATTAGGAGAAATATCTAATGTAAATAATGAGTTGATGGGTACAGCAAACCAACATGGCACACATATACCTATGGATCAAACCTGCATGTTGTGCACATGTACGCTAGAACTTAAAGTATAATTTAAAAGAAAAAGAAAAAAAGAAAGAGAAAGAGAAATCGCCATAGGAGGGAAGACTTTCTTCTAGGGCACTGAGGAGATTGTCAAGCCCAGATGACAGGCACCACCTTTCCACCTTATGCCTCATTAATGGAAATATCACAATGCCCAGATCTAAGGCAGAGCTTCCCACCTATGAGCCTGCATCTCAATCTTCACCTTCCAGGAACCAGGCAGTGTCTTCTGGGCTGATTACTTCCAGTTTACCTCATTGTGATGTCCAAATATTATAGCTCCCCTCTCCCTTGTGATGAGCATGGAAAATATCGGTGGCTCCAAATTCCTATTGTTTCACCTTAGAAAACAAATCTGAGAACCCCCCTAGCACCAAGCACAGTACCTGGATAAAACAGGCACTTAATAAATATTTGCTCAGCCAACGCAAGGATAAATGGATGAAATTCCTCATCCCTGTATTCATTTCTGAAGACCTGCTGGTGAAAATCTAGCTCTAAACATCTTTCAGATTTATTCCATTGAGGTATGAAAAAGGAAAAAAAAATGACGATGCAAACGAACTCAGCAGCTGGCACAGAAAGTGCAGTCAGATTCTGCTTCCCCTGTAATTAAGCGTGCCCAATGCCTCTGACTTAGGCGATGACAGCGTGCAGCTTGCCTGCCTGCCCTGGGTGCCTGGGAGGGCAGGCAGCCCTCAGGATGCCACTATACAACACATTCGCCACCTTATCAAGATTTCCACAGCCACAGGAAGATTTCTCACCCCGCCATGCCCCCCACAGGCTGCCCTGTGCTGTCATCCCCCTTCCTGGCTGAAGACATGCTGGCTGTCCCCTCCGCTCCTCCCCGGAGATGAGCATCTTTCCTGGGCCTCCCTTGGCGTTTTGACAGCTGCTCCATGTCCCCGCTGCTCAGAGAGGGAAAGCCACTAGGGAGGCCTTGGATGGAAATATTACTCCCTGTCCAGGGTAGCATGGGCTTGATCGCGCCGGATTATTTCTGATTGTTGTCACTGGGCCAAGAGCACAGCGAAGTCAAGAAAGAAATGGCCTCATTAGTGAGAGTGCAGCGGTCTGGGTAGGCAGCAGTGGCGTGGAGGACCTGCTTTTGCGGGAGCAGTGAAGAGAGGGGAAGGAGTGGTGTCTTTATATTGAGATATTTTGAGATTCCTGGTTTCTCCACTCACTTCAATTGCCCATATAGGTTCTGCAGGTTCCACGAAGTTCTAGAACTTGTACAGGATCGAGCCCACAGCTTCTCATGGAATAAACACAGAATCAAGAAAATCTGGTGGAAGTCGCCTGGTTTAACTCCTTTGAGGTCTAGAGCAGAAATTAAATAGTGCTTAATCTGTTACTTTAAAGAAGCCTAGTTCTAACTTTTCCTCAGCTCGCTCTCTCTTTTGCCTAGGATAGGAAGGGTGGGTGCAAATGGCCAGCTCCCTGTAGGTCTGCCTCTTGGAGCCCTAAGTTTCCCGCCACTTCTCTGCACTACAGGCTTTGCCCACGGTGGGATCCTCAGCCCAGGGACCTTGTTTGTCCTCCTCTTGGTGCTGGTGCCTGCTGCCCAGCCACACACCCTCAGATTCATTTTTAAAGAAACATCAACAGCTCTTAAATGGCAAATGAGCCCCTTTCAAAGAGCTGGGATGACTTTGAAAAAGGGCCTGAGACAGCAGTCGACCTCTGACCGTCTCCCCTCGGATGCCCTCTCCATCCCACCCTCTCTCCCCGTCCCTGTCCTCCGCTTTCCCAGAGAGCCTATCTGCTCTTCAACCCTCCTCCCTGCCCGATTGTGCTGTCTCCTCAACACGTCCCATGTTGCTTGATTCCTAAAATAACATAAGGGAAAACATTTTTTTTCTGTTTGTTTTTTTTTTTTTTTTTTTTTTTTTTTTGAGACGGAGTCTCCCTCTGTCCCTCTGTCGCCAGGCTGGAGTGCAGTGGCGCAATCTTGGCTCACTGCAACCTCCGCCACCTGGGTTCAAGCGATTTCCTGCCTCGGCCTCCTGAGTAGGTGGGACTACAGGCACGTGTCACCACGCCCGGCTAATTTTTTTATTTTTAGTAGAGACAGGGTTTCACCACGTTGGCCAGAATGGTCTCAATCTCTTGACCTTGTGATCCACCCGCCTCGGCGTCCCAAAGTGCTGGGATTACAGGCGTGAGCCACCGCGACCGGCCAAAAACATTTTTTTAAATAAAGAAAATGAATCCTCAAAAAAGAAAAAAAAAAAACACAAATCTCCCAAAGCAGTTACTGAAGGATGACCTTTCTATGAAAGAGTATTCATTTTTGTATTATCTATTTAAATACTAGACAAGAGAGTGTAGATTAGCTACTACTGAAGCTCATAAAATCTAAAAGTAACTGCCTTTTAGCAATATTACTAAGGTAATATATGAGTTTTTATTAAGACATAATAATACATTTCAGATGACATATCAAGTTGTTTTCAAACTAGGGAATTTTAGAGTAAATTTCTGTTTCTTCAAACTGTCTAGGTGAATGTGGTATTTTGGTTAAACAAATTTTTGCTTACAGCATTTCCATCATATATAAAATCAATACATATGAGATAAATCTACAATAAATACAGGATGATGTCATCATTATTTAATTATTCAAGACACTGAAGATACCCTTAGCTGCTCCATGGATATCCTTTACCAATGTAGTGTTCTTGGATATACACGGTGTGGCAATACTCTGTATTGTCAGTTCTCCCTCTTCCCATCATCTATTCTGTCTCAAACTTCCTATATCTGCCATCATTCATCTTCACCACTTTACTAAAACTCCCTTCTGGGAGACAAACATAAAGGTGTATTGTTGGCTGGGTGTGGTGGCTCATGCCTGTAATCACAGAACTTTGGGAGGCCGAGGTAGGTGGATTGCCTGAGCTCAAGGAGTTTGAGACCAGGCTGGCCAACATGGTGGAACCCCATCTCTACTAAAAATACAAAAATCAGCCAGGCGTGGCGGCAGACACCTGTAATCTCAGCTACTTGGGAGGCTGAGGCAGGAGAATCGCTTGAACCCAGGAGATGGAGGTTGCAGTGAGCCAAGATCGTGCATTGCACTCCATCCTGGGTACAAGAGTGAGACTCCGTCTCAAAAAAAAAAGCGTATTGTTGTACTGTTTTTATCATTCCTTACATCCAGAAAACCTTTACTGTTACTTCACAATCCAGCTTCTTGAATCTCCCCCTTTGGGAATAAAATGTGATATTCAATTACTCTGATTCATATCGTACTGACATTTCCATGCAATTCTCTGATAGTTGACTCCCCTTAGTCCTAAGTCTGAGTTTTCCAAAAATCTCATCTCCCAGACTTTGTCCCTTGATAAATTCATGTTCTCTTATAGCCACAACAGTTACTTCTAAAGCTCTACTACTCCACTTCGGGCAAGTCAGACAGCTCCCTACTCCTGGCATATCTGGTGATTGACACTGAACAGTTCATGCTAATTTGTCAATCTCTCGTCAAAGAGTTCAACTGCTTTGGAAACCTTTGTCCCAGCCTTGACATCAAAGCATTCCAACCATGAACATTTTCTTCTTGGTTGTCATTCATTTTTGGTACAAGTATATGTCACAGGTGACATCATACCTCTTCAACTATAAGTCCCCCTTTACAAGGAACACACCATTACCTTTTGTGTCCCAATGCAGATAGCAGAAAATAGGAATTTTAACAAAATTGGTAACTCAAGATTGAAGCTAAGATATGATAAACACTTTTTGGAATAAATTATTGTTACCAGTTTCTCTAAGTGGCGAATGATAAGAATAAACACCTATGCCAATATAAAAAAAGTTTATGTAATTTTTTTCTTTCTTTTTTTTTGATACAGAGTCTTGCTCTGTCGCCCAGGCTGGATGGAGTGTGGTGGTACGATCTCAGCTCACTACAACCTCTGCCTTTCAGGCTCAAACCATCCTCCCGCCTCAGCCTCCTGAGTAGCTGGGACTACAGGCATGCAATACCATGCCCAACTATGTTTTGTATTTTTAGTAGAGACGCGGTTTCGCCATGTTGCTCAGGCCAGTCTTAAACTCCTGAGCTCAAGCAATTCTCCCACCTTGGCCTCCCAAAGTGCTGGGAGTACAGGCGTGAGCCACTGTGCCCGGCCTAATTTTAATTATTACATATTACATATCATCACTACATCACTGAAAAATCATTAAAGGTTCTAAGGAAGAATACTTACATGAAATGTTTGCATGAATGTGTAAAATAAAGGTAAGGTGAATTTACTAATTGTTAAGCTATTTTTGTTAGTGTCATCTAATGTTTTAGATAATGGATGATTTTCCTTTCACTAAAATCACTTTCACTTCTATATGACTACATAATTCTGATTTTTTCAGGTTATATGTCTTTATTTCCATTTAATTAAATATGCTTTAACCTTTTATGATTCAACCCACTCCTCCATTCTCAAAATAATTTGGTAATTAGCAATACAGTTTCCCCACAGTTTCAGGAATTTGTCTCTTCCATTTCCCATTGCTGTACCATAACTCTTTCTGTTCTCCTTTTGTTTTCTTTCCGTATTTGATTTCTGAAACACCCATCTCCACACCCTGAAAATATTTGTATAGTTTTCCTCCTTTCCATTGCCTTCTTTGGTTTGCCTGGAGTAAGTCAGTTCTCTTGATTAGCAAACACTTCTTTGAACTTGACTCTTTCTTAGAAGCAATCACTACTCCTTTGACCTGAAGATTTCAATTACTTGGGATTTACAGACATCTGCAATACTGATATTGTATTTCCTTCCTTCAGGTACTTACTAAATATCCAGTAAACGCCTTTGTCTTAAAGACATGAGCTAAATTAAATATACATCTTTCTAATAATGTATAACTTTAGAATTTTTAGGCATAAAAGGCTTGCTGCTCTGCTGTATTAAATCTTCCTGCAGGCATGGTCAATTTGCTCTGTAATGCTTATACTAGGGAGGACCCTCACTAGCTGCCAGGCTGTGAACTTTCAAATATTCAAAGTAGCCTCTGGGCTGGGTGGGCGTGGTGGCTCACACCTGTAATCCCAGCACTGTAGGAGGCCAAGGCTGGTGGCTCACTTGAGGTCAGGAGTTTGAGACCAGCCTGGCCAACATGCTGAAACCCCATCTCTACTAAAAATACAAAAATTAGCCGGGTGTGGTGGCACATGTCTGTAATCCCAGCTATTCGGTAGGCTGAGGCAGGAGAATTGCTTGAAGCCGGGAAGCAGAGATTGCAGTTAGCCAAGATCGTGCCACTGCACTCCAGCCTGTGCAACAGAGCGAGACTCTATCTCAACAAAGTAGCCTCTGGCTTAGTAACTAGCTTTCCCCTCTACAGTGTTTTAGGTATGTAGGAAATTATTGATTGTATACTTTTAAAATACACAAGAAAAAGTTATAGAATGCCACCATGTCAAGCACTGGGCAAGTACCATAGAAGATTTAAAAATAAGAGGAATGCAATGGTAATTAGTATTTATTAAACATTCTCTACTTATATACTGTCACAGCAGATTATATTATTAATATGTATCCTTTTGAAGTCACACCTTAAGAATGGAAGAGGAAGGGAATGGTTCATAATAGAGCCTGAAGTGTTGTATTCTCAAAACCCAGAGGATGACCTTCTCGTGCTTTTGCTCTTCTCCCCTAATTGAGGCCTGGCAACCCCAACTGCTCAATCAACCCTGTCATGCAGTTCCTACCAAAAACACCTGCTCCTTTGAAAATAAAGATCAATTACATGTCAATTTCTTTCATTTCAAAATTCACTCTCATCTCTATTGTATTTCTTGAGGTAGCAGTTTGACTCTCTTAAATTTTCCCCCTCACTTCTCACTTGTGAGAATTACCTTCTTGTTATTCCATGATTTCCAATTATTATCCATATTTATGTTACTACCTTTCTTTACATAGCTAAAGAGATTCTTGCGTTTTGGGAAAGTGGGTAAGAGGTACGAAAATGAATAGATATCAACTTAAGACAGACATCTAAAACTGGAGGTTGAAGAGAGTATGTGGTAAAGGCATAGAGAAGCAAGAGAGAGAAGTGGGAAATGGGGAGTGAGGTAGGGAGAGGAAGGAATGTGTCTCAATATGAAAACACTGAGGATCATTTTGATGCCCTTTCTGTTCCTTGTCTACTAACATCTCTAGTCCTATTATACTTTTTCTTCATGATTTCCTCTCTGCTGCTGCTTTTCTAATTCATTAGTAAGAGCTCCTCTTTACTAGTCCTGGTCCTCTAATCGGGATGGCCTCAATGTCCTGCTCCCATAGGCTTTCCTTCTCTTTCAGCAGGTGTGCAAGACACAATGTAGGGATTTTTTTTTTCTCATCTGATAGGAAGAATGGTTTTGTTCACTATGTTCCAGTACATAAAATATGCCCTACTCACCAGCTACCAGGTTGTGCACCTTTTAACATTCAAATTCTAGCTTTTGACTCAAAAACTAGCCTTCCCTTATACAGTTTTCACAAGTTTTTCACATTAAGAAAGAAAAAGAGCCTCTTCTATTTCACTTTCCATAGTTATTTCAGTATTAAACCTCAACACAAAGTATAACGATAAAGCAAAGAGACTAATTTTCCTATGTATCCCTAGACACACAAATTATTTTGTAACTTTTGCTGATGACTTCAAAACCTTGGAGAAAGAATCGTCTACCTGTAGTGCTTACTTCATTACTAGACTGAAGATATAAATTTAAATTAGCTACATTTATAGAAGGCAAAAAGTAAATCTATCCAACTCTTATTTAGGGAAAGAAAATCTTATGCTATTTCCATCATTGCTTGCACTTACCTTATCAACATATTTCTTAGAACTGTAAAATCACAATGTTCACCATTTTCAACTGTAAGAAAAAAATAGACCACAAATATTATATTTTCACTAAGCCTAGTCTTTTCAAAAAATATTTCACAGTAACTTGGGGGGTAAAAAAAAGGGAGGGGAAATGCAAAACAGCTCAGATCAATTTTTTTGAGATTTAACACTAACATAGTACTCAGTGTAAGGGCATGACAGAGAAGTGTACTATATTATTACCTTACTGTAGTTTAATCCTCAGAAACAGATATGTCAACCTAACTAAAATGAGCTCTCCGGAAACAACTTTGAAATTTTGAAAGGGGAAATCACGTATTTTCTCATTATTGGTAAAAAATATATTTATTATATAATACATTTAAAAAATTCAGTGGTGTAAGTGAAGGGAGAATCACTTTAGAAAAAAATCTTAAGGTAACCAAAATGAAAAAGGGAGCCAAGAACTTTAAGATTCTTTACTTTTATTTTTAAAGAATGTATCACAAACAGGAATATTACTTGGGAGTAGAGGGGTAAACTACAAAAGAGAGATGCAAATCAATTTCTCTGGTGCCTATTTTTAAGGGGTATGTAAGTTCTAAAGCCTCAACTCAGCAACTGAAAGTTGCCTGGGCATGACAGAGAGAGCTGGGAACAAGGTACAGGGGTCACTGGCGGGAAAATTGTCAATAAGGACAGTAACTTGAAACAATATCCTAAAAATTAAAGAATTGTTCAAAATAAACCAAGGGCAGTGGTGTGTGCCTATAGTGATGTGATGTGGGAGGAGCATGACTTGGGAGGATCACTTTGAGCTCAGGAGTTTGAGGCCAGGTGGGCAACATAGCAAGACCTCGTCTCTTAAAAAAAAAAAAAAAAAAAAAAAACAAATTCAAAAATAATAGCAACAAACATAAAACAATCATGTCTCAATTTTGGTTTCAGCTTACTATAATACAGAAGATTAAATATCAGATTAAACCAATACAATAAACCTATTGCCAAGAGGAAGGACTTCTGAGGTTTGGTGTTATAAATAAGATTTTTTTGGTATTTAAAACCCCTTACTTAACCCTTAATAATTTAAGATAGCAGGTTAAAAAACAAAAAACTCCTTACAAAACTAGTAAAGAGTATCTTTTACTAATGAAATTTTTTTACTCTAAATATGCGATGTCAAAAAAGGCAACTTTTGCACTGAGGAAAGGAGACTGTGAATGTTTTAACTGGGCTTATACATTTTTAAAATAATTCTTGAGGGTCCATGACCCATCTGACATTCCGATAAAAGTGACTGGCCTTCTCTCCAAAATGTTTAATTCCAGGAGGTTCATTAGATTCCCTGGGAGCAAACTTAGGGCCCCAGGTAAAGAACCCCTCAATTTTAGTTATGTTTTCAAATAAGAACACAGAAATAGACTTAATAAGGAGGCAGGGATGCCAGCCAGGGTGGGGCAAGTTGAGTATCCCTTATTTGAAATGCTTGGGACCAGAAGTGTTTTGAATTTTTTTGGAATTCTGGAATATCTGTGTTATACTTACTGGCTGAGCATCCTTAATCCAAAAATCCAAAATTCAAAATGCTCCACTGAGCATTTCCTTTGAGTGGCATGCCGGTGCTCAAAACGTTTTAGATTTTGGAGCAATTCATATTTTGAATTTTCTCTTTAAGAATATTCAACCTAGGCCGGGCACAGTGGCTCACGCCTGTAATCCCAGTACTTTGGGAGGCTGAGGCGGGTGGATCACAAGGTCAGGAGTTCAAGACCAGCCTGGCCAATATGGTGAAACCCTGTCTCTACTAAAAATACAAAAATTAGCCAGGCGTGGTGGCACGCACGTGTATTCCCAGCTACTTGGGAGGCTGAGGCAGAAGAATCGTTTGAACTCGGGAGGCGGAGGTTGCAGTGAGCCAAGATCATGCCACTGCATTCCAGCCTGGGTGACAGAGTGAGACTCCATCTCAAAAAAAAAAAAAAAAATTTGAATGTTCAACCTATACTACAACTTTAGGACTTAACACATACTTGCCTGACTTAGTAGGATACAGGTTTGAAAACCATGAATGTATTTAAGAGGAAAATGAGACTACAAGAACCTGAAATCAGTACTATCCTTGAAATCTAGATTATATCAATACAGTATGCATATTATACTCCTTACTATAAATACAAATTTTTAATCACAGTTTTGAGATCTTATAGAAACTCATTCACTGAAGAAAACCTTACCTTCAGCAACACTCCAAGGATACTGCCTTCCTATGACCCTTTTGCCATTAACTTCAATGATAGTATTACTACCCACCACAGCAAGAGGTAAATGGTCCTATAAAACAAAGTATTCTTGTTCAAATACATCTCTATAGTATTCACAAATTTCAAGAATAAAAAAAGTTACATGACTCAACAGATTAGCCAAAAAAAAATTACTTTTGATAGTTTCTGCATTAGCTTTTATAGGCCATTTAACCAATATTTAGTAAATTGACATCACATGATATTACCACCAAGGTAAATAATAAATAAAATTAAATATTCTCTTTAAAGTTAAGAATATTCAAGCATATACTGGTCAAATTATTTACTAAAAATCACTACAGAAAGTTGTCCCATACTTGGGGGGAAAAAGGTAAAAAATATATTAGCATCTGGGAAAATAAAAGGAGGCTAATGACTAGCCTGACTACTTGATCACAAACCAACTGTAACAGTACCTAAAGCAGGGAATAGTATATTTGCTAAGCTCTAACTTTGGAACTTCAAATCCAGGTGACTGGATTTGTATTCATCCATGTATAGCCCTTCACAATTCTGTGGCTCCCGGAAATATCTAACCAGCTATTTTATATAACTGCAGAAATTCTTCACTGGCGAGGTATAAGCATTTCATTATTCCAAGGTATTTGCCTACATAATGCCATTATTCAGTATACCATTTTCAGGGACAAAGTACTTAGAAAACCACAATAAATTAAAATACAGAAAATTGTGTTGATGTGAATTTTTGGTTGGTTTTTATTATTTTTAATTGAAACATAATTGTACATATTTGTGGGGTAGAGTATGGTATTCTGATACCTGTATACAAATATGTAATGATCAAATTAGGGTAATTAGCACATTTATCAACTCACACTTATTTTTCTGTATTGGGAACATTCATAATCCTCTCTTCTAGCTATTTGAAAATATAGACTAAATTACTGTTAACTACAGCCACCCTACAATGCTACAGAACGCTAGAACTTATTCCTCCTATCTAGCTGTAATTTTTGTTGGCTTTTATAAAGATAAAAGAAATACAATTTTTGTCTGGCAATTAAAACATAACAGAAGGAATTCTCTCCTTTCTCATCACTTGTTTCTTAAGAGGGAAAAAATTATATAATATGAAAGCCAGTTAATTAAAAACAATTTGAAATAAGGATTGTGTTATTCACCTCAGTAGTTTACACAATTGCTTATTATATCTACTAGCTAATCTTCAAAGTTAACTATAAAGTTGAATTCAACATTAAATCTCCCTAGGTATTTTGTAAGCCAACTACTTAAAACACTGATACTTTTGATCTTTCCTGTGGACGCTGTAGTATGTTTTTAAGGCCTCAGATTACTTTAGTGTATGTACAGGGATGAACCTACCTTTATCTTTTTAACAAGTTTTTTTTCTTCTTCATCATCTGTTTCTGGAAATTCATGTATTTTAACGTTATGTTCTTGGATTTCTTTATCTAAAATGGAAGTAGTCAGCAAAAGAGCACCATACATAATTAGTACATTAGTCTTATGTTTATTACATGCTTCTTAGATTCCTATATGGCTCCTTGTTTCCACATCCTTTACTGTTTTTTTAATGATGCAAAGTTGTAATCTAAAGTTAAAGTATTATGCTGGTCTTTTTTTTTTAAAACTGTAAAGTTGATATATAAACACCAAATCCATTTACTTCAGAAGTGTTGAAGTCATACAGCTATCATATCAAAAGAGTTCCAAAAGAGATGTAAAACTCCAGAAAGGAATTTCTCTGGTTGATTTCCAGAATAATGACTTTAGGTCATTTATTTACAATGACTGAGATTCTTCCTTTAGATATAAATCTCCAAGTATCTTATTTAGTTGAATAAACAGGGCTAAATTCAGCTAAAATTTTTAGTAGAATCTGGCAAAAGTAAAGTAAAACTAAGTACAACACTGCCCCCTGCACATTCATCAGAAAAATCCTTGCATGTACATGTGCATACACACAAACTGAGGAGAAGCAGGTATAAGATTAGGGGAGGACACAGGGAGAAAACACACCCTAGAAATCAAGAATTAATAAGAATGCAGAAAACTAAAGAAGACAACCTATTAATAACATCAGGAATGACCTAGTTCAAATTAAATTATCATGTCCAAAACCACTCCAAATTCTAAACAGAATACAGACATCCAAATAATTTTCAACTACCTATCCTTCTTTGAGCCCATAACAAACCAATGGCTGATATACCTAAAACTAGCTTCCCTGCCTATACTTATATTTTGGTGCAATTTTCATGGCAAAGCTTCCCAGCAGCTATAAAAGGACCCTGAACAAATTGTGTTACATGGTTACTATACTAGATAGAAGTAAACAGAAGTAAAATTGTCACTGAAGAAAAATAGGACCACATATATTTTATAATTAGGGTATGTACCTACATATACATTAAAAAAAAATCTCAAGTAGCAGCCGCTACTTCCTGATCCACCTCTGTCCTTCCCAAGGTTGCCCTTTCCTCTATCCCCTGACAAAGAGAAGTGCCAGGCATGGAATAGATGCTCCAAAGACATGAAAAGAATGAAGGAATGCATGAAGCAGCCATCACAGTATCCTCTGGGGCATGTTCCCCAGTGGCCACCAGCCTCCTTTTTTTTTTTTTTTTTTTTTTTTTTTGGGAGACAGAGTTACTCTGTCACCCAGGCCAGAATGCAGTAGTGTGATCTCGGCTCACTGCAACCTCCGCTTCTGCCTCCTGGGTTCAAATGATTCTCCTGCCTCAACCTCCCAAGTAGCTGGGATTACAGGCACCCACCACCATGTCTGGGTTTTTTTGTTTTGTTTTTTGAGACGGAGCCTCACTCCGTCACCAGGCTGGAGTGCAGTGGTGCAATCCCAGTTCACTGCAACCTCCAACTCCCTGGTTCAAGTGATTCTCCTGCCTCAGCCTCCTTAATAGCTGGGATTACAGGCATGCACCACCATGCCCAGCTAATTTTTGTATTTTTAGTAGAGATGGGGTTTCACTATGTTGGGCAGGCTGGTCTTGATCTCCTGACCTCAGGCAATCTGCCCGTCTTGGCCTCCCAAAGTGCTGGGATTACAGGGGCGAGCCACTGTGTCTGGCCTGCCACCAGCCTCTTGATAGGCAGGCCAGGCAGACAACATGTGAACACACAGGTGCCAGGACACCCTCCCAAGGCAACAACAAGGAACAGAAAAATTGACGTTGGACTTTACCAAAGGACAAAGAGGAAGGAGGAGGGAAGATAAAGAAAATGTATAGCTCTGTGGGAAAAGGAAACTTTGAGAACTGCTGGGCTGGATTCTTGTGCATGGCATAAGGGTACCCCTGCAAGTCGCCCCAAGGATCACACGTGCACAATTGTGTCCTCTGAGCAAACTCCTCTGAAGGGTATCTGCGTTCCCCACAGCCATTCCTGGTTCTAAGAGGACAAGTTCCAAAAAAAGCTTTTAAAAATTTTTTATGGATTTATTTTTTATTTTTGGTAGAGATGGGGTCTTGCTATGTTGCTAAGGTTTGTCTTGAACTCCTGGCCTCAAGTGATTCCCCTCCCCCTGCCCCACCTCAGCCTCCCAAAGTGCTGGGATTACAGGTGCAAGCCACTGTGCCCGGCCCGAAATCACTTTCTAAGTTCGCCCCTTTCATCTGAAATGTTTTCCTCTTGTGAACTTTTTATGTCACGTGTACCCCTAGGACCCCCTGACAGCCCTCCTCAGGCCCCTTCTGCAGCCTCCTTTGTTATATGTGATCGGAGCACCCCGAGAGCTTCATCATCCATGATGAGCACCCTCCCTCTCTCCAGTCGGAACCATTGGCTGATGAGTAAGGGCTGATTTCTTCTCAAATGATTACCACCCCCAATTCATTACATTGCAAAGACTGAGCTCAGAATGGCTTGTCTGATGCTTGATGTGGTTGCACTTTTTTGGAACGCCATTCATTGAGGATGCAACTTCTCTCCCGTGTGATGCTTTCAGGTGCAAGCTGTTACATGGTTCCACGCGCTTCTATGCTTTGTCCTCCCCTGTGATTTTCGCATCTCCAATAACAGCTCGCCTCCGTCTGAGGATTTTCCTCCACTGGTGCCATTCACTGGGAGTCTCTCTAGTATGAATTATGAGATGAATGGAAATTTTCCCTCATTCATAATATTTGAAGCTTTCCTCTGCCCTGTGAGTTCTTTGATATTCTACTGCAAATCCTGACCAAGTGTTTTGCCATGTGTATCAAGCCAGTAGAGTTTAAGCTTAGAGTCTGCAATTTCCCCGAAGTGGTACCTTTTTATTTATTTATTTAAAGAGCTGGGGTCTTGCTCTGCATTTCTAGGCTGGAATGCAGTGGCACGATTATAGCTTACTGCAGCCTTGACCTCCTGGGCTCAAGTGATCCTCCCACCTCAGCTTTCTGAGTAGCTGGAACTACAGGCACACACCAGCATACCTGGCTAATTTTTAAATTTTTTATAGAGATGAGGTCTCACTGTGTTGCCCCGGCTGCTCTCGAACACCTGGGCTCTAGCAGTCCTCCCATCTCAGCCTCCCAAAGCACTGGGATTACAGGCATGAGCCACCGTGCTTAGCCCAAACTCTATTTTGAGTGCCATGTCATTGCTGATGGTCAGCACCCCCTGGAATGCAGTGGGGTGCCCACCCCTCCCACTCTGCATTCTGCCCATCCTTTAAGCCTGGCCCAAAGCCCATCTGTTCCCTGAAGCCCTCCTGGGATGCTGTGAGCCTGGAGCCCTACTCCCCTGCTTCCCTTCATGAGAATGCACTGCCTGTGAAACCCGTTTAACACTCATGCCACACTTAGCCCTTCATTATCTTTTGATGACTTTTTCTTCTGAAGCAGACTGAGAGATCTTTGAAGAGGGGCCGCCCCTTGTCCTCTGGATGGTCCAAGAATCCTTTGAACCCTGAGACACTCAAGGTGGCTTGGCGGACTGTGTGGACAGGCAGACTGCTTATAACTGTGACGATGTCATCTAGGCAGATGGGTTTGTTGTTCAGGTCATTTACCTTCCACTGAAGATGTAGCCCACCTTCTTCAGGGTGGTTGCCCCTTGAAGGTCACACAGGGAGGAAGGTGATCTTATACTTACTGCCACCTCTTCCTCCCCTCCCAACCTTCAGCCCCAGGCAGACCAGCCGCATTAGCCAAGGTGGTCGATGCTTGGTCTCCACAGCTTCAGCTCTGCCTGAGAGGTGTTGCTAGTTGCCCTGCATTACACTAGGCCCTGGGAACGATTTTGGGGATGGAAAGGCAAGGAACAAGCAAGAAGTCAGTGTTGTTGGCCAGGTGCGGTGGTAGCTTACACCTGCAATCTCAGCACTTTGGGAGACCAAGTTAGGCAGATCACCTGAGGTCAGGAGTTCAAGACCAGCCTGGCCAACATGGTGAAACCCCATCTCCACTAAAAATACAAAAAATAGCCAGGCATGGTGGTGCACACCTGTAATCCCAGCTACTCAGGAGACTGAGGCACTAGAATCGCTTGAACCCGGGAGGTGCAGATTGCAGTGAGCTGAGAGCATTCTACTGCACTCCAGCCTGGGTAACAGAGAAAGACTGCTCTCAAAAAAAAAAAAAAAAAAAAAAAATAGAAGTCACCATTGCTGCGGAGCTGTGCATTCACAGTCCTAGTTAAGTATGACCAGCTCAGGGACCACCCTCGATGTGAACTTGGGGCTCTCTGAAAGCAAGGCTATGCCTTAGGCCTGTCTCTGTGTCCACAGTGCCCAGCTTAGCATCTGACTCGTAGTAGGTATGCACTCAGTATCTGTTGAATGAATGTTGCACTCTGGTTCCCAGGCAGCCAAGGAGTTCTTGGAGGTAGCGAGAACAGACCTTAAGGACTGTACTGAAATGTCCCACCTGGGTCTGCTCCTGCCCCTGGGGAGGACATCATCCCATTGGTATATGGCTAAGTTCTGGGTCTCAAGGACACAGGACAGAAAAGGCCTCTCGCCTTTTGTTGGTGGTGAAATGTCAATCTCCCCTGAAAGGGAACAAATTTGTGTACAAGTCCAGAGTTTTTTTTGTTTTTGTTTTGTGAGATGGAGTCTTGCTCTGTTGCCCAGGCTGGAGTGCAGTGGCGTGATCTCGGCTCACTGCAACCTCTGCCTCCTGGGTTCAAGCAATTCTCCTGACTCAGCCTCTCGAGTAAGCTGGGATTACAGGCGGGTGCCACCATGCCCGGCTAATTTTTGTATTTTTAGTGGAGACAGGGTTTCACCAGGTTGACCAGGCTGGTCTCAAACTCCTTACCTCATGATCCACCTGCCTCGGCCTCCCAAAGTGCTGGGATTACAGGCGCGACCCACCGCGCCCAGCCAAGTCCAGAGTTTTATATAGCCTTGGAGCTCTCTTCTAACTTTAAAAGTTACTAGCCAGGCACAGTGGCTCACACCTGTAATCCCAGCACTTTGGGAGGCCGAGGCAGGCAGATCACCTGAGGTCAGGAGTTGGACACTAGCCTGGCCAACATGGTAAAACCCCAACTCTACTGAAAATACATAAATTAGCTGGGTGTGGTAGCACACACCTGTTATCCCCGATACTTGGGAAGCTGCGGCAGAAGAACTGCTTGAACCTGGGAGGTGGAGGTTGCGGTGAGCCAAGATCACACCACTGCACTCCAGCCTGGGTGACAGAGCAAGACTTCGTACAAAAAAAAAAAAAAAAACCTAGTAAGTTAAAATTCTTGGTATCTTGACACAGATAGTAAGAACTAGTTCTTAGTGTTGGCGCTGCCTGTGAGAACTGCATTTCCTAGAAAGCCAAGTCTTCCACACTGCTGAACTTTGACTTGCCGAACATGTCAGCAGGTCATTGAGCATTCAGGAGAGAAGGAAAGGGAGTTCCCTGGCCAGCGGCCTCTCCGTCTGCTTACCAGAGGCTCATGTATTTACCCAGTTCTCTACAGGCCACAGGAGACAGCCGGTTGCTGGCTCCATTGCTCAAGTCCTGGAATTGTATAGCTGGAATGCCATTTACAATGAGCCTCCAGAATATCCTCAGCCAGGCGCGGAGGCTCATGCCTGTAATCCCAGCACTTTAGGAGGCCAAGGCGGACAGATTGCTTGAGCCCAGGAGTTTGAGACCAGCCTGGGCAACATGGTGAAACCCTGTCTCTACTAACATCACAAAAATTAGCCAGGCATGCTGGTGCGCACCTGTAATTCCAGCTACTCGGGAGGCTGAGGCAGGAGAATCACTTGAACCTGGAAGGCAGAGGTTGCACTGAGCTGAGATTGTGCCACTGCACTCCAGCCTGAGCAACAGAGTGAGACTCGATCTCAAAAAAAAAAAAAAAAAGAATACCCTCTCAAATCCCTCCTCTGATGATGATCCCCAGGCCAAATTGGATAAGAAATTACAAAAACAGGTGGAGGTGGCGGAGATTGACATTAATAACCCGGCTGGACATGGTGGCTCATACCTGTAATCCCAGCACTTAGGGAGGCCACAGCAGGAGGATCACTTGAGTCCAGGAGTTCTGGACCAGCCTGGGCAACATAGCAAGACCCTGTCTCTGCAAACAATAATATTTAAAAATTAGCCAGGTGTAGTGGAGCATGCCTGTAATCCCAGCAACTCAGGAGGCTGAGGTAGGAGGATTGCTTGAGCCCAGGAGTTCGAGGTGGCAGTGAGCTGTGATACCACTGCACTCCAGCCTGGGTGACAGAGCAAGACCTTGAGAGAGAGAGAGAGAGAGAGAGAAGGAGAGAAAGAAAGAGGAGGAATAAAGAGAGGAGGAAGAAAGACCAGGTGAAGGCTATTGGAGAAGCTAGGCATCCCCATGGGGGTAGCAAAGGCCATTCTAAAGAGAATGAGAGGGCCAGGAATGGTGGCTCACGCCTATAATCCCAGCACTTTGGGAGGCCAAGGTGGGCGGATCACTTGAGGTCCGTAGTTCAAGACCAGTCTGGCCAACATGGTGAAACCCCGTTTCTACAAAAAAATACAAAAGTTAGCCAGGCATGGTGGTGCAGGCCTGTAATTCTAGTTAGGAGGCTACGGCAGGAGAATTGCTTGAACCCGGGATGCAGAGGTTGCAGTGAGCCATGATCAAGCCATTGCACTCCAGCCTGGGTAACAAGAGCTAGACTCCATCTCAAAATAAATAAATAAATAAATAGAACGAGAGGCTTCTATGAAATTGCTCAAGAAACTGGATCTAGATGGAGAGCTGTAAAGACACCCCTACCCCATCCCCAGTCCCCACCGTGGAGGGCACCAGATCCCTGTTAAGAAGAGCCAAGCCAGCGCCCTGAAGCTCTAGCTGGGTCTCTCACTGGGCCTTTGGCCCTCACTTGCCAAGTGCATAAGCGACTCACAATCGCAGTCACCATCATGTGTCCAGGGCCAGTGGTGCCAATTGTTTCCCATGCAGTATCTCATTTAGTCCTACCAGCAACCCTGTGAAAGAGGTGTGTTTCTATCCTCTTGTTACAAATGAAAAAAAATAAGACTTAAAGAGGCTAAATAACTTGCCCAAGGTCATGCAGCTAGTAAGTAGAAGAGCAGGGGTTCAAATCCAGCTCTGCCCATCACCCATGTTTCTAAAAGTTCTCATTTTTCCATTGAAGAATTTTAAAATTCCATTTGCTGGAAGAACCAGCCCATTTTCTGTCTGTAACAGGGCCATCTTGAAATAGTCCTGCCTCCACAGTTCCTTCTTCGGCCTGTCAAAGCCACAAAAAGTTTCCCAAGGCCAGGCGCAGTGACTCATGCCTGTAATCCCAGCACTTTGGGAGGCCAAGGCGGGCGCATCACCTGAGGTCAGGTGTTTGAGACCAGCCTGGCCAACATGGAGAAACCCCATCTCTACTAAAAATACAAAAATTAGCCGGATGTGGTGGTGCATGCCTGTAATCCCAGCTACTTGGGAGGCTGAGGCAGGAGAATCACTTGAACCCGGGAGGCAGAGGTTGTAGTGAGCCGAGATCACGCCATTGCAGTCCAGCCTGGGTAACAGATCAAGACTCCAATTCAAAAACAAAATAAAAAAAAATAGCCAGTCATGGTGGCGCACATCTGTGGTCCCAACTGCTCGGGAGACTGAGGCAGGAGAATCGCTTGAACCTGGGAGGTAGAGGTTATAGTGAACCAAGATCACGCCACTGCACTCCAGCCTGGGTGACAGAATGAGACTCTGTCTCAAAAAAAAAAAAAAAAAAGTTTCCCAACATCTTAAATCCCGTAGGCAAGAAACACTTCCAATCACTATTAAAGCCATGTTCATGAGAGAACTCAAGCTTTCTACCTGCAGCAACTGGAATTTCTGCTGTGGGAATTGGGGGACGTTCTTGAGCCATGGAAGCCTTGAGGCCGCTGGGACTCAAGAATCTGTGATGATGCACCCAGCTCCGTGAGTCTTGTGTTCCAGTTTATTTCTGCTCCACTATGTCTGAGGTCTCCTCTCCTCCACAGCTATTGGGGCTGAAATGTCCAAAGTGGCTTTTGCAGTCACATGACTGATGCCTCATGTTCTTCCATGTGGTCTCTCTCCCTGACAGAGTAGCCTTGTCATCTCGTACAGTTGTTGGGCTCTGAGAACCCTCTATGGATACCCTACACCATTGCACCATCACCTGTGCTACCCCCAGCCCCTCCATGGAAACCACTGCCCAGGCAGCTGTGTCACACCACATGACCCTGCCTCTCTGCCACCCCCCAAGCCCCCAGATATACAGTTCAGTGGACCAGGATCACATACAGGCTGGCCAATGATTTTTGAAGTCATCTGGCTCACAAATGTAGGGAAAGCCAGCCAGGCCAGTCAGATGGCCCCTTTTGGAAATTGGAGTGGAAAAACCAGACAGTAAAATCAGTGAGCAACAAGATGTCCTAAGGGCAAGTAGGGCCTGGTCAGACCAGTGTGCTGGCCAGAATTACACCGGAGAAGAAACTTGGCCATTGAAGCAAAACCAAAATAAGCTATGCCATGGAGGAATATCCCCTCGCGGAGGGAAAATGAGCTTGATTTTGGCGAGAGGATAAAGGAGGACAGGGCAGGAACTGAGCTGGGACTCCAAAAAGAGCCAAGAGAAGCCATTCCAGGGGGACCTCCTGCCTGTGGGTGTCATTGCAGCCAGTTTGCCACTTGTTCCCTTTGCTGTCAGTTGGCTTAGAAGTGGGTGGGTGACTTAGCTGTGCTGCTAGAATGTAGAGGGATTTCCAGCCCATGCAGCACGCCATCCCATTTGCCGGGCACAGTGGCTCACGCCTGTAATCCCAGCACTTTCAGAGGCCAGGGCAGGTGGATCATGAAGTCAAGAGTTCAAGACCATCCTGGCCAAGATGGTGAAACCCCGTCTCTACTAAAAATACAAAAATTGTGGGCCAGGCACGGTGGCTCATGCCTGTAATCCCAGCACTGTGGGAGGCCGAGGTGGGTGGATCACCTGAGGTTGGGAGTTTGAGATCAGCCTGGCTAACACGGTGAAACCTGGTCTCTATTAAATATGCAAAATTAGCTGGATGTCGTGGCACATGCCTGTAATCCCAGCTACTTCGGAGGATGAGGCAGGAGAATCGCTTGAACCTGTAGGCGGAGGTTACAGTGAGCCGAGATCATGCCACTGCACTCCAGCCTGGGTGATAGAGAGAGACTCTGTCTCAACAACAACAACAACAACAAAACAAAAACTTATGGCGAGATGGCTGGGACCATCTTGAGACCACGAGGCAACAAGACCAAGGGGAAAAGCCCACATACTGATGATGGCAGAGCCTATGTCCTCCATGACAGCGTTGAGCCACCATACCTATCCTGGAACCCCCACTTCCAGTCTTACTGATCTGTAAGTCACGTGTCTTTATTTTCTGGGCAGATTTCTGCTACCTGCAGCCTAAAGCATCCCTCGCCCCTTCTCAGAACCCCGTGACTGTTGCTGTAACTCCCAATGGAAAATCAACCTAAGTTTAGACATTAGAAATCAAATTATTGCTCATATGGAGGGAGTAAGAATCAGGATTGGTCTTAGCCTACAGAGGAATCCCAGCTCAGAGTCCTAACCCCAAGGCCTAGGGGACATAGACAAGGAAAGAAAGAGATATTCATGCAAGTTCCAGACATCTTCTTTTTTCATTTTGAGACTGAGTTGCTCTGTTGCCAGACTGGAGTGCAGTGGTGCGATCTCGGCTCACTGCAACCTCTGACTCCCTGGTTCAAGCAATCCTCTTGCCTCAGGGTCCCAAGTAGCTGAGATTACAGGCAAGTGCCACCACGCCCAGCTAACTTTTTTTTTTTTTTTTTTATTCTTAGTAGAGACAGGGTTTCACCATGTTGGCCAGGATGGTCTCCATCTCCTGATCTCATGATCCACCCGCCTTGGCCTCCCAAAGTGCTAGGATTACAGGCGTCAGCTACCTTGCCTGGCCTTAGACATCTTCTAAAACAGGACTCCATGAATTGTGGTAACTCAGTGGGGCTTTAATGCCTGAGATTTTGAGTGTGAGCAAGGGAACTACTGGAAAAAGTTGATGGCAGCTGGAACTAAACTGGCCTAGTGGGAACTAGGCCTTTCAGTGGGAACTAGGCCTTTCAGTTACTCTCTAGCCATCAACCTTAGTGCCACCTTAGTTCTCAGGAATAAGGTGTCCTCAGTTGCCATTCTCTATGTGCATAGCCACTGCCTCCCCCCACCCACCCCCTCTGCAACTTTGTTCATTCCTCATCTCCCCTGCCTCTCCTCTTTTTTCCTACATTTTCTTTCTGGCTTCTCTCTTTTTTTTTTTCTTGGGATGGAGTCTCACTCTGTCTCCCAGGCTGGAGTGCAGTGGTGCGATCTCGGCTCACTGCAACCTGCGCATCCCAGGTTCAAGCGATTCTCCTGCCTCAGCCTCCCCAGTAGGTGGGATTACAGGCGTATGCCACCACACCTGGCTAATTTTTGTATTTTTAGTAGAGATGGGGTTTCACCATGTTGGCCAGGCTGGTGTTGAACTCCTGACCTCGTGGTCTGCCTGCCTTGGCCTCCCAAAGTGCTGGGATTCTAGGTGTGAGCCACTGCGCCTCTTTCTGGCTTCTCTAAGCAAAGCTAGGAGCCAAAAATCTACAAAACCTAACTCACTTCTATAAAGAACTCAATGGGCCGGGCATGATGGCTCACGCCTGTAATACCAGCACTTTGGGAGGCTGAGGCAGGTGGATCACGAGGTCAAGAGTTCGAGACCAGCCTGACCAACGTACTGAAACCCTGTCTCTACTAAAAATACAAAAATTAGCCTGGCGTGTTGGCACATGCCTGTAATCCCAGCTATTTGGGAGGTTGAGGCAGGAGAATTGCTTGAACCTGGGAGGCAGAAGTTGCAGTGAGCCGAGATTGTGCCACTGCACTCCAGCCTAGCTACAGAGCAAGAATCCTTCTCAAAAAACAAACAAAAACAGAACTCAATGAGAGAGTTACTGTAGGGAGAGACAAGGATGTATTGGAAGACTTAGAATGCTGGTTCAAGGCCAAGGAATGAGGTTGGTAGGAGAGAAGCTTTCTTCTGGTCTGACTTTTGCCAAACAACGTGTGTGTGTGTGTGTGTGTGTGTGTGTGTGTTGCTTCAACACAAGAAATACGCCTGATTCTTCCCTTATGGAATAAGAAGCTGAACATAAGAGCTCTAGCCCGTCCTCTTTAAATCTCTGTTTTTGAAAATATGAAACAAAGAGAAACTGGCATCCTCCTAATATATCTTAGAAATACCCACTATTTCATTTTACTCAGACCTGGAGAAAAAGCACCCCCAGCCGCATTTTCCCATCTCCAAATAATCTTCAGCATTTGTAGAGATGTGGCCCTGGAAGTTCATCAGATATATGGGGCCCACCTATGAGTGTGTTGTGATGTATTAGAATTTGCAACTGCCAGATTCTGGCACCAAACCCAGCACCTCTCAATGCTGTCCTTCTGCACCCCACATATTGTGTGATGTTTTGAAAGGCAAAGCCAGTGCACCATTGATTTTTGCCTGTTGCTTCATTCCCTCAACAGAGACGTAAGGAATGAAAACTTTGGGGTGAAAGAAGCAAAAAAGTTTAAACTCCTACTTTAATGGGATTAATGCTTTAATGTGAATCTTAATAAACCCTGAATTCCTCCAGCAAGTTTCCCTATATGTCACTGAGGATTCTCTGAAATCCAATAAGGAAAAAAACTGGAAGACTTTTTCCCCTTCTTCATCATCAAGGTTTTTCTCCGGGATGAATTAGCCTGATTAGTGCCTGGAAGTTCTCCCATGATCCGTCCAAGCTCATTCCTTTTTTTGTGTGAATTCTCCAATGATGAGAAAGCTAAGTTTGTCCCCAAGTGATTTTCCACACTCATTGTACTCCTAAGACTTCTCTCCAGTGTGGATGATCTCACATTCCGTATTCCCCATGCTTCCCTGAGTTTTCCGTCTTCATTACGTATGACCATTTTAAGTCCCACCTGAATTAGCTGATATTGTCTAAGTATGGAACTCTGATTGAAGGTTCTTCCTCATCCATTATACTCACAAGGCCCCTCTCTGCTACAAAATCCCAGATGTCTGATTAGCTCTGGACACCATCTCAAAGCATTTTTACGTCCATTACACACATACGATTTTCCTCCATTGTGAATTCTCTGATATTGAATGAGCTATACTTTTCCAAAAGCTCTTGCACATTTCTGCATTGATAGACTCTTTGTTGCATGTGAATTAGCTGATGCTGCACTGGAATGTTGACGATGCCTCCCCCATCTCCACAGATTCTCCCCAAAATAAACGTTACAGTGTTCAATAGCATGTGAGCCCCAGGGAAAATTGCCTATATAAATGACAAAGATGTTCTCTGTGATATAAACACTGTAATATTGAATAAATTCTGAATTCTGTTGCACAACTTGACCATATCATATTTGGAGTTTCTCTCACTTCTAAAACATGTAAATGGAATCACGATTTTTTTCTGTATTCATGGCACTTAATAGGATGGGGTCCCTAAAATGGTCCTCTACAATGTCCCCATGTTTGTAATGGCCCAAGGGGTTCTTCCTGACTACCACACAAACAAAATCCACTGAAGACCATGGCATTAAAGAGTTTCATTGATGCGAAGCCAGCTATGCCACGTGGGAGATGGAGTTATTACTCAAATCAATCTTGCTAACGTCTTGGAGATGAGGGATTTTTCCAAGATAGTGTTGTGGGCAAGGGGCTAGGATAGGGGGCCTGTTGATTGGTTGGGTGCAGGAGATGAAATCATAGAGAATTAAAGCTGTCCTTTTGGGCTAAGTCAGTTCCTGAGTGGGGGCCACAGGACTGGTTGGCAGGTGGGGACATCCAGTTGTCAGAAATGCAAAAATTTGAAAAGCGTTTTTTCTTTTTCTTTTGAGATGGAGTTTCACTCTTTCTGCCTAGGCTGGAGTGCAATGGTGCAATCTTGGTTCACCGCAACATCCACCTCCTGGGTTCAAGTGATTGCCTCAGCCTTCCCTAGTAGCTGGGATTACAGGCATGTGCCACCATGCCCGGCTAATTTTGTATTTTTAGTAGAGACAGGATTTCTCCATGTTGGTCAGTTTGGTCTTGAACTCCTGACCTCAGGTTATCCACCCACTTCAGCCTCCCAAAGTGCTGGGATTACAGGCGTGAGCCACCACGCCCAGCCCTGAAGAGCATTTTTTTCTAAGAATACATATAGATTTTCCACATTCATCAGATTTTTCTTTTCCTTTCTTTTTTTTTTTTTTTTGTTTAATTTTTATTTTGAGACAGAGTCTTGCTCTGTCACCCAGGCTGGAGTGCAATGGTGAGATCTTGGCTCACTGCAAACTCTGCCTCCTGGATTGTTCAAGTGATTCTCCTGCCTCAGCCTCCTGAGTAGCTGGGATTATAGGCACCTGCCACCATGCCCAGCTAATTTTTGTATTTTTAATAGAGTTGGGGTTTCACTATATTGTCCAGGCTGGTCTCGAACTCCTGACCTGAGCTGATCCACCCACCTCGGCACCCCAAAGTGCTGGGATTACAGGCATGAGCCACTGCACCTGGCCTACTCTGCTTTTTCAAAATGCTTGTGGTAAAAACAAGATAGATATGTTGGAGTTAGTATTCATTTAGAGATTTAAAAATGTCTTCAAGAGGGGTTAAGTGTGGTCAGTTGTGTCTTTATGGCCAAGCACTTAGATAAATTGAAAAAAGATGAAAATCATGTAACATAATCACAAAAGATTGTGTTCACAATGATGTCAAGGATCTCATGAAGATTCCTTAATATAGACAACATTTTAACCATAGCCATATTTTAAGCAGTCATCTTTTTTCTCTACAACGTATTCCTGGACTGCTTTGTTAAAAAGTCACATTTTCTTTTAATAATTACTCATATCCTGAAGCAGCATCAAACAAATTCCAATTCCAATGAATATCTCATAAAAGCAAAAACATGGCCAGGTGCGGTGGCTCACGCTTATAATCCCAGCACTTTGGGAGGCCGAGGCAGGCGGATCACCTGAGGTCAGGAGTTTGAGACCAGCCTGGCCAACATGATGAAACCTTGTCTCTACTAAAAATACAAAAATTAGCTGGGTGTGGTGGCGGGTGCCTGTAATCCTAGCTACTCGAGAGGCTGAGGCAGGAGAATCGCTTGAAACTGGAAGGTGGAGGTTGCAGTGAGACAAGATCATGCCACTGCACTCCAGCCTGGGCAACAAGAGCAAAACTCCATCTCGAGTTAATGGGTGCAGCACACGAACATGGCACATGAATACATATGTAACAAACCTGCACGTTGTGCACATGTACCCTAAAACTTAAAGTATAATAATAAAATTAAAAAAAAATTCTAGTCCAATAACATTCAAAAGAGATTTACTTAGCAAAAAAATCCTAAACAACCCTTTTGTCAATCAAGAGGAGAATAAATAAATTGTGGTATGTTCACACCAAAACCTCTACTCAACTATAAAAAGGAACCTACTGATGCATGCAGTGTGAGTGAATCTCACATTGTGCTCAGTGAGATGTGTTAAACACAAAAGGGCACATACTGTGTGATTTTAATTACATGAAATTCTAGAACAGGCAAAGTTAACCTATAGAGAGAGCAATCAGATGAGTGGTTGCCTGGAGTGGGGAGTGAAATGGAGATTGACTGTAAAGGGGAGTGAAGGAGGTGAAAATGTTTTATACCTTTGATAAAAGTCATCTACTTGATATTTCAAATATGTAGAACTTATTGTCCGTAAATTATGTCTCAATAAAGCTGGTTTATTAAAAAAAAGGCAAAAACATAACAATGGGGTAGTCTTTAGTAATATACAAGGGTTATACTATGCTTGGAGTACTGTGACTTTGGATACAGATGTCTAACAAGATTGGTTATTTTACAGCCTTCAATGCACTCTGAAGTCCACACAAAACACAAACTATTCTGCTTTTCTGTCCAGTCCAAAAATAGCCCTAAGAACATTAACATTAACAATGTGCTTCCCTTTTTAGAATTCTGGAGAATCATGGGGAAATTATGTATAAGATATAGGGCTCTTTTCAAAATCAACTTTTCAGAGAAAACTGAAATATCCTTTCTCTTTCTTCTGATAAATTTCCCTGAAAGAAACAGAAACACACCAAGTAATCCCATTGATTTTTTTTTCTTTTTTTTTTTTTCTGAGATGCAATCTTGCTCTGTCATTTCAGCTGGTGTGCAGTGACACGATCCCGGCTCCACTGCAACCTCCACCTCCCAGGTTCAAGCGATTCTCCTGCCTCAGCCTCCAGAGTAGCTGGAATTACAGGCAGTCAACACCAAGCCTGGCTAATTTTTGTATTTTTAGTAGAGACGGGGTTCCACCATGTTGGCCAGGCTGGTCTCAAACTCATGACCTCAGGTGATCCACCCACCTTGGCCTCCCAAAGTGCTGGGATTACAGACATGAGCCACCATGCCCGGCCTCAGTTTCAGCACTTTTTTTTTTTTTTTTTGTGATGGAGTTTTGCTCTTGTTGCCCAGGCTGGAGTGCCATGGTGCCATCTCAGCTCACTGCAACCTCTGCCTCCCAGGTTGAAGCAATTTCCCGCCTCAGCCTCCTGAGTAGCTGGGATTACAGGCGTGTGCCACCATGCCTGACTAATTTTGTATTTTTAGTAGAGATGGGGCTTTGCTGTGTTGGCCAAGCTGGTCTCGAACTCTGACCTCAAATGATCCACCACCTCAGCCTCCAAAGTGCTGGGATTGCAGGCGTGAGCCACCTTGACCGGCCAGTTTGAGTGCTTTCTATCAATCCACGTTTGTCTACTGACTCTTCCTCACCTTCATATTGTTAATTGAGTCCATCTAGTGAGTTTTAAATTTTTGTTATTGTATTTTTGTTTTAAAATTTCCATTTGAGGCTAGGTGTTGTGGCTCATGCCTGTAATCCCAGCACTCTGGGAGGCCGAAGTGGTCGAATCACTTCAATTCAGGAGTTTGCGACCAGCCTGGGTGACATGGCAAGACCCTATCTCTACAAAAAATACAAAAATTGTGCACGCTTTGGTAGCACATATACTAAAATTGGAAAGATATAGAGAAGATTAGCATGGCCCCTGCACAAAGATGACATGCAAATTTGTGTTGCGTTCCATATTTGCTTGAACCTGGGACAAGGAGGTTGCAGTGAGCCGAGATCGTGCCAGGGCACTCCAGCCTGGGCAACAAGAGCGAAACTCCGTCTCAAAACCTCAGAACAAAACAAAACAACAAAACAAGGCCGGGTGTAGTGGCTCATGCCTGTAATCCCGGCACTTTGGGAGGCGGAGGCAGGTGGATCACCTGAGGTAAGGGGTTCAAGACCAGCCTGGGCAACATGGTGAAACCCCCGTCTCTACTAAAAATACAAAAATTAGGCCAGGCATGGTGGCTCATGCCTGTATTCCCAGCACTTTGGGAGGCCGAGGTGGGAAGATCACAAGGTCAGGAGATCGAGACCATCCTGGCTAACACGGTGAAACCCTGTCTCTACTAAAAATACAAAAAATTAGCTGGGCATGGTTGTGGGCACCTGTAGTCCCAGCTACTCAGGAGGCTGAGGCAGGAGAATCACTTGAACTCAGGAGGTGGAGGTTGCAGTGAGTGAGATCAGGTCACTGCACTCCAGCCTGGGCGACAGAGCAAGACTCTGTCTCAAAAGAAAAAAAAAAAGAAAAATTAGCCAGGCGTGGTGGCGGGCGCCTGTAATCCCAGGTACTTGGGAGGCCAAGGAACTAGAATCGCTTGAATCAGGGAGGCAGAGGTTGCAGTGAGCTAAGATTGTGCCATTGCACTCTAGCCTGGGTGACAGAGTGAGACTCCATCTCAAAAAACAAAACAAAGAAAAAAAAAACTAACAAAAGGATAATAAGTGAATACTAAGCAACTCTACCCATATAAATCCAACAAGTTGGATGAAATGGACCAATTCTTTGAAAACTACAAACTACCAAAAATCACTCAATATGAAACATAATTTTTAAAATCTTGTAACAATTTTAAAAATTGAATTCATGGTTTTTTATTTTTATTTTATTTTATTGTGAGACTGCATCTCACTCTGTCACCCATACTGGAGTGCAGTGGCACAATCACAGCTCACCGCTGCCTTAACTTCCTGGGCTCAGGTGATCCTCCCACCTCAGCCTCCTGAGTAGTTAGGACTACGGGCGCCCGCCAATACACCCAGCTAGTTTTTTATTTTTTGTACAGACGGGGTTTTGCCAAGTTGCCCAGGCTGGTCTTCAACTCCTGGGGCTCAAGCAATCCGCCTGCCTCAGCCTCCCAAAGTGTTAAGATTACAGGCATGAGCCACTAGGCCCAGCTGAATCCTTTTTTTTTTTTTTTTTTTTGAGATGGTGTCTCAGTCTGTCACCCAGGCTGGAGTGCAGTGGCACAATCTTGGCTCACTGCAACCTTTGCCTCCTGGGTTCAAGCGATTCTTTTGCCTCAGCCTCCCAAGTAGCTGGGACTACAGGTGCCCACCACCACACCCGGCTAACTTTTTGTATTTTCAGAAGAGACAGAGTTTACTATGTTGGCCAGGCTGGTCTCAAACTCCTGACTTCATGCAATCCACCCACCTCAACCTCCCAAAGTCTTAGGATTACAGGCGTGAGCCACCACGCCTGTCCTTGAATTCATAGTTTTAATAAAAGAATTTCTTGTCTTCGTGGTCACATACAACTAGTTTGGTGATTCCCTGGAAGGACCCATGTGACTCTAGATCAAGTTATACTCTAGGTGAAGGTTTATTACAGTGGAGGATACAATACAAAGACAGCAGGAAAAAGGATATTAATAGATGAAGGCTGGAAGGTCAAATGCATACTTATCCTCTGCAGGGACAGTACAGACTTATCTTTTCCAGGAGCAAACTGCAAGGACTTGTGTGAGATGTCCTTGCCCAGGAAATCCCACTTGAGTTCTGGAGTCAAAATTTGTGTGGTTAGGCCAGGCACAGTGGCTCACCCCTGTAATCCCAGGACTTTGGGAGGCCGAGATGGGAGAATTGCTTGAGTCCAGGAGTTTGAGACCAGCCTGGACAACATGGTGAGATCTCGTCTTTATTTAAAAAAAAAAAAAAGGCTGGGCGTGGTGGCTTATGCCTGTCATCCCAGCACTTTGGGAGACCAAGGCGGGTGGATCACCTGAGGTCAGGAGTTTGAGACCAGCCTAGGCAACATGGTGAAACCCCATCTCTACTAAAAATACAAAAATATTAGCTGGGCATGTTGGCAGGCACCTGTAATCCCAGCTACTCTGGAGGCTGAGGCAGGAGAATTGCATGAACCTGGGAGGCAGAGGTTGCAGTGAGCCTAGGTCGTGCCACTGCACTCCAGCCTAGGCGACAAGAGCAAGACTCCTTCTGGCTCATGGCTGTAATCCTAGCACTTTGGGAGGCTGACGGGGGCGGATCACCTGAGGTCAGGAGGTCAAGAGCAGCCTGGCCAACATGGTAAAACCCCATCTCTACTAAAAATGTAAAAAAATTAGCTGGGTATGGTGGCACACACCTGCAATCCCAGCTACTTGGGAGGCTGAGGCGGGAGGATCACTTGAACCCAGGAGGCTGAGGTTGCAGTGAGCTGAGATCACACCATTGCACTCCAACCTGGGTGACATTCCTGCCATGTGACCAAACACAGCCCTAAACCACCAGGTTGGGCATCATGAATCTTTTATTCTTTTTTTTTTTTTTCAAAAATGGGGTCTCACTATGTCGCCTAGGCTGGAGTGCAGTGGCATGATCATAGCTCACTGTGGCTTTTTTTTTTTTTTTTTTTTGAGACAGAGTCTCGTTCTGTCACCAGGCTGGAGTGCAGTGGTGTGATCTTGGCTCACTGCGACCTCTGTCTCCTGGGTTCACATGATCCTCCTGCCTCAGCCTCCCAAGTAGCTGAGATTACAGGCACTCACCACCACGTCCAGCTAATTTTTTGTATTTTCAGTAGAGACAGGTTTTTGCCATGCTGGCCAGGCTGATCTTGAACTCCTGACCTCAAGCGATTCCGCCTGCCTCGGCCTCGCCAAATTCTGGGATTACAGGCGTGAGCCACTGTGCCTGGCTAAGCATCATGAATCTGTATGTTTACTTTAAACCTGCTGACAGCCTGGTTCATCTGGGCTCACTGTTTTGGGCGTGGAGAATAACATCTGACCCGGTAACTATGTGAATATTCCAGGAGTTTGGTTTTCAGAGTTTGACCAATGGCCACGCTTTGGCTACAGAAATAAGTGAGAAATGAGTGAATCAGACCTGTTGTGTTAACTCTTTCCTCCCACTCTTGAAAAAGGTATCTCCAGACCCAGATAGTTTCACTGGAGAAGTCTGCTCATAGTTAAAGAAATAGCAACACCAATTACACGTAATCTCCAGAAAACAGAAGAAGGGGCACTTCCAGACTGACGAGGCCAGTACAGTTGACCCTTATAACTGCAGGTTCCCCATCCATGGATTCAGCCAACCACAGATTGAAAATATTCCAAAATATGGACTCTAGGCACGGTGGCTCACACCTGTAATCCCGAGAATCACTTGAACCCAGGAGGCAGAGGTTGCAGTGAGCCGAGATCACGCCACTGCACCACTGCACCACTGCACCACTGCACTCCAGCCTGGATGATAAGAGTGAAACTCCGTCTCAAAAAAAAAAAATCACTCTGGGTGGGCGTGGTGGCTCACACTTGTAATCTCAACATTGTGGGAGGCCAATGAGAAAGGATTGCTTGAGCCCAAGAGTTTGAGACCAGCCTGGGCAAATAGCAAGACCCTGTCTCTACAAAAAAATTTTAAAATTAGCTGGGCATGGTGGTGCATCTCTACTGTAATCCCAGGTACTTGGGAGGCTGAGATGGGAGGATCACATGAGCCCAGGAGCTCCAGGCTGCAGTGATCTATGATTGCAACACTGTACTCCAGCCTGGGGAACACAGCGAGATCCTGTCTCAAAAACAAACAAAAAAACAAAAACAGAAAAAAACTCAATTCTGAAAACTTTGCCTTAACTTGTAGTCTAGAGTTGAAGACCCCTCCGCTAAGCTCTGGTGAGAGGCTAACTGAATAAGAACACTTTGACCATCATATTATAATAATTGCTTTCTCTCTTTCTTTCTTTCTTTCCCTCTCTCTCTTTTTTCTCCCCTCCCTCCCTCCCTCCCTCCCTCCCTCCCTTCCTTCCTTCCCTCCTTCCTTCCTTCCTTCCTTCCTTCCCTCCTCCCTCCCTCCCTCCCCCCCCTTCTTTGTTTCTTTCTTTCATCTTGCTCTGTCCCCCAGTCTGGAGTGCAGTGGCACGATTACAATTCACTGCAACCTCAACCTCCCAGGCTCAAGAAATTCTCCACCCCAGCCTCCTCGGTAGCTGGGACTACAGGCATGCACCATCACATCCGGCTAATTTTATAATTTTTTTTCTGTTTTTTGTTTTGTTTTGTTTTGTTTGGTTTGGTTTGAGATGGAGTCTCGCTCAGTTGCACAGGTTGGAGTGCAGTGGCGCAATCTCGGCTCACTGCAAGTTCTGCCTCCCAGATTCACACCATTCTCCTGCCTCAGCCTCCCGAGTAGCCGGGACTACTAATTTTTTGTATTTTTAGTAGAGATGGGGTTTCACCATGTTAGCCAGGATGCTCTCGATCTCCTGACCTTGTGATCTGCCCACCTCAGCCTCCAAAGTGCTGGGATTACAGGCAAGAGCCACCGCACCCTGCAAATTTTATACGTTTTTTATGAAGAGGGGCATTGGCCAGGCACCCTGGCTTACGCCTGTAATCCCAGCACTTTGGGAGGCCGAGGCGGGTGAATCACCTAAGGTCAGGAGTTCCAGACTAGCCTGGACAACATGGTGAAACCCCATTTCTACTAGAAATACAAAAATTAGCTGGGCATGGCACCGCATGCCTATAATCTCAGCTACTCAGGAGGCTGCAGCAGGAGAATCGCTTGAATTCAGGAGGCGGTTGCAGTGAGCTGAGATCGTGTGGTTGCACTCCAGTCTGCGAAACAAGAGCGAAACTTTGTCTCAATAAAGTAAATAAATAAAAAATAATAAAATAAAGAGGGGTGTCTTGTCATGTTGCCTAGGCTAGTCTAGTATTTCTGGGCTCAAGTGATCCACCCGCCTCAGCCTCCCAAAGTGCTGGGATTACAGGCATGAGAACCACTGTGCCTGGCCAGAGCTGGGCTACATATCTCTATTAAGGTTTTCATCAGGGTCAACTGGGCCCTGGCTCCTGCCCCACCCATCCTATGAGGCTGCAGTGTGTATGGCCCCAATAAAGATTCTTCCCCGAACCCCCTACCCCCAGATCTTCCTGCAAGGTTGGCAGAGTTGGATGCTCTGAAAGCTAAGGGCACGTGGGCCAACTGGCGCCTGGCCAGAGAAGGGGAGGAAAACATGTGAGGGCTCACAGGTCTGGAGTCTAGCGCCTCACTGAACACAGAACAGCCACCCCCGCGTGCAGTTGCAGGGCGAGGAAGGTCAGCTCTTGCCCCCTTCTCAACCCTCCTCCCAAACACCAAGCAGGTTTCTGAGAATAGTAAAAGGCCAGCAGACCCATCTTCAGGGCCTCTGTGATCAGAAATGTGCAAATACCTTTTTCTTTTTTCTTTTTTTTTTTTTGAGACTGAGTCTCACTCTGTCACCCAGGCTGTATTGCAGTGGTGTGATCTCTGCTCACTGCAACCTCCGCCTCCTGGGTTCCAGCGCTTCTCCTACCTCAGCCTCCCAAATAGCTGGGATTACAGGCACCCACCATCATGCCAGGCTAATTCTTGTATTTTTAGTAGAGACGAAGTTTTGCCATGTTGGCCAGGTTGGTCTCGAACTTTGGACCTCAAGTGATCCACCTGCCTCAGCCTCCCAAAGTGCTGGGATTACAGGTGTGAGCCACTGCACCTGGCCCAAAGACCTTTTTCTTCAAGCCTTTGGGAGTTAATTAAGCACCAGTATCTAAAAAGCTGTTTCTGCATCCCACACTCAGAGTGAATGGCAGAAACAGAGTCCAGGAATGCACAAGGCTGGGATTCAGATTCAGCAAGTTCTGGGATAGAAAAACTGAACCTAAAGGAAAATTGTATTGTGCACTCACCAGTACTTTGAAAGAGTGTTTCAGTACATTATAAAAAGAGGCTGGGTATGGTGGCTCATGCCTGTAATCCCAGCACTTTGGGAGGCTGAGGCAGGAGGATTGTTTGAGGCCAGGAGCTGGAGACCAGCCTAGGAAACATGAAGAGACCCCACCTCTACAAAAAACATAAAAATTAGCCAGGCATGGTGGTACATGCCTGTGGTCCCAGCTACTCTGGAGGCTGAGATGGGAGAATCCCTTGAACCCAGGAGGTCAAGGCTGCAGTAAACTATGATTGTACCACTGCCCTCCAAACTGATCAACAGAACAAGACCCTGTCTCAAAAATAAAAATAAAAAGACATGAGCTAGCTGACTTTTTTTTTTTGAGATGGAGTTTCACTCTTGTTGCCCAGGCTGGAGTGCAATGGCATGATTTCCACCTCCCAGGTTCAAGCGATTCTCCTGCCTCAGCCTCCCGAGTAGCTGGGATTACAGGCATGCGCCACGACACCCGGCTAATTTTGTATTTTTAGTAGAGACGGGGTTTCTCCATGTTGGTCAGGCTGGTCTCGAACTCCCGACCTCAGGTGATCTGCCTGCCTTGGCCTCTCAAATTGCTGGGATTACAGGCATGAGCCACCATGCATGGCCCCATCTCCCCTTCTTATAAGGACACCAGTCAGATTGGGTTGGGGCCCACCCCAATGACCTCATTCTAACTTAACTTCTTTAAAGACCCTATCTCTAAATATAGTTACATTCTAAGGTCCTGGAGGTTAGGACTTAACATATAAATTTGGGAGACGCAATTCAGTTCATGACACACATACGTCTCCAGTAATTCAACACCTAACAAAAGTGTGATTTCTTCACGTTTTCCACCGCTTTCTCTTCTCAGTTGTTAATATAAGTTTCTGAGTTTTAAAAATACCTTAGCAATTTTGACATTTAGGAAGGTTCATAGCTCTCAGATTTGCCCAGCTTGACGTGATGTTATTTTTCAGAGGGAGCAGCCTCTATTCAGCTCCTAGTCACAGCCGGCCTTTTGGAACATTCTTTCTAGCATTTGAAGGTTTCTAAGAGGTGGGAGGGGGTATCTTTTATAAGAGGTATCTTTTATACTGGGACCCTTTGAGTAATCTAGCTCATGCAAGGCATTCCTCTTCATGAAGGACTGAGCTACCTGACTTCTGACCAGAAACAGATGATTTTTTTTTCTTTTTTTGACCAGAAACAGATGGTCTGTTTGAGCCCAGGAGTTCCAGTCTGCATTGGGCTATCATCGTGCCACTGCACTCCTGCCTGGGCAACAGAGCAAGACCCCGTCTCAACAAAAAAATAAAAATAAAACATAAGCAGTAGTTAAACCAGGAGGGAATGGAGTGGGTGGGGGCATAAGGTCATTTTTTTTAAGCATATAAAAGTTTTAAAGGACTGTTATTGTTTCAACTTAATACCCTGACAAATTTCTGCTCTTGGCATGCCACCATGCCCAGCTAATTAAAAAAACATTTTTTTCTTGAGAGAGAGGGTCTCGCTTTGTCACCCAGGCTGGAGTGCAGTGGCATGAACACAGCTCACTGCAGCATCAACCTGGGTTCAAGGGATCCTCCTGCCTCAGTTTCCTAAGTAGCTGGGACTACAGATGTAGGCCACCATGCCTAATTTAAAAAAAATTTTATAGACACAGGGTCTCACTATGTTGCTCAGGCTGGTCTTGAACTTGTGGGCTCAAGTGATCAATTTTCCACCTCAGCCTCCCAAAGTGTTGGCATTATAGGTATGAGCCACTATACCCAGACTTTAAAAAATTTTTTGTAGAGATGGGGTCTTGCTATGTTGCCCAAGCTGTTCTCAAACTGTCCTCAAGCTCCTGGCCTCAAGTGATTTTCTACCTTGGCCTCCCAAAGTGCTGGAATTAAAGGCGTGGCCTGTGTGGTTCTTTTGGCACTTACACGTGGTCTTGTCTGGCCGGTCGTCTGGTCCTGTCTGTTTCTACCTTTCCTCTTTCTCCAGGGAAAACCTAAGCTTTCCTTATTTGTCCTCATTTGTGTTTTTCTGGGTCTATGGGCAGAGTAGAGTTCTGGAACGGTTTCCTAAAGCAGCCAAGCCCTACCCATTGATTTCTAAGTGCATTTAGAAAAACACATATAAGGCCTGGCGTGGTGGCTCACGCTTGCAATCCCAGCACTTTGGGAGGCCGATACGGGTGGATCTCGAGGTCAGGAGTTCAAGATCAGCCTGACCAACATGGTGAAACCCCATCTGTATTAAAAATACAAAAATTAGGCCGGGCACGGTGGCTCACACCTGTAATCCCAGGACTTTGGGAGGCCGAGGTGGGAGGATCACCTGAGGTCAGGAGTTTGAGACCAGCCTGGCCAACATGGTGAAACCCCAACTCTGCTAAAAAAAAAAAAAAAAAAACAAAAATCAGCTGGGCGTGATGGCACATGCCTTTAGTCCCAGCTACTTGGGAGGCTGAGGCAGGAGAATCACTTGAAGCTGGGAGGCAGAGGCTGTAGTGAGCTGAGATCGTGCCACTGCATTTTCAGCCTGGGTGACAGAGTGAGACTCTGTCTTAAAAAAAATGGTGGAGACTTTAGAAGGGAGACTTTTGTTAACGGATTACTGAACTACAGCTGCCCTTGGGGAAGCCTCCTGTCCTCTCTCTGGTTCATAGCGGTGCCACAGCTGTTATGTTATCTCAGATCTCCAGTTATATCAAGGAGTGACTGATAGTAATATTCTTTTTTTTTTTTTTTTTTTTGGAGATAGCATCTCACTCTGTTGCTCTGGCTGGAGTGCAGTGGCTTGCTCTCGGCTCACTGCAACCTCTGCCACCCGGGTTCAAGCAATTCTCCTGCCTCAGCCTCTCGAGTAGCTGGGATTACAGGCACCCACCACCACACCTGGCTAATTTTTGTATTTTTTTAGTAGATTCAGGGTTTCACCATGTTCGTCAGGCTGACGTTGAACTCCTGACCTCAGGTGATCGGCCCACCGCAGTCTCCCAAAGTGCTGGGATTACAGGCGTGAGCCACTGTGCCGGGCCAAGGGGGCTGATATTCTTAAAACCAAATATTTAAAAAATGTAAATATGTTAATAGAATATTCTTGAATGTTCCCAACTGTAGTTCCCAACTACAGAGCCAGTCCTCTACCTTCTAGTGAAAGCTTCCGGTGGACAAGAAAAGCTTGGGAAAGCCAGAAGGAATAGGAAGCACAGCTCAGGGTGGTCCGCGGCTTCATCAATCAAAAGGACAATTCTTTTTTTTTTTTTTTAAGAGATAAGGTCTCACTCCATCGCCCAGGCTGGTGTGCAGTGACCCAATCACAGCTCACTGCAGCCTTGAACTTCTGGGCTCAAGAGATCCTCCCAGCTCCTCCTGAGTAGCTGGGACCACAGGTGCACACCACCATGCCTTGCTAACTTTTATTTTTATTTTTTTTAATTTTTTGAGATGCAGTCTTGCTCTGTCACCCACGCTGGAGTGCAATGGCACGATCTCGGTCCACTGCAACCTCCGCCTCCCGAGTTCAAGTGATCCTTTTGCCTCAGCCTCCCAAGTAGCTGGAATTACAGGCACATGCCACCAGGCCCTGCTAATTTTTGTATTTTTGTAGAGACAGGGTTTCACCATGTTGGCCAGGCTGGTTTTGAACGCCTGACCTCAGGTGATCCGCCCGCCTCAGCCTCCCAAAGTGCTAGGATTACAGGCGGGACCCACCGCACCCAGACCCTTGCTAATTTTTAAACTTTTTGTAGAGATAGAGTCTCACTATGTTGCCCAGGCTGGTCTCAAGCTCTTGGCCTCAAGCAGTCCTCCCACCTCAGCCTCCCAAAGTGCTGGGATTACAGGCATGAGCCACCATGCCCAGCCCCAGAAGGGCAATTATTACACAGTGACAGTGGAAGGAACAGAGACACAGTCGGTGGGTGGTGGGAAGATAAGAATATTCACTCTGGGCCGGTCACAGTCCACGCGTGTAATCCCAGCACTTTGGGAGGCCAAGGTGGGCGGATCACGAGGTCAGGAGATTGAGACCATCCTGGCTAGCACAGTGAAACCACGTCTCTACTAAAAATACAAAAAATTAGCCGGGCGTGGTGGCGGGCGCCTGTAGTTCCAGCTACTAGGGAGGCTGAGGCAGGAGAATGGCGTGAACCCAGGAGGCGGAGCTTGGAGTGAGATTGCACCACTGCACTCCAGCCTGGGCGACAGAGCAAGACTTTGTCTCAAAAAAGAGAGAGAGAAAAAAAAAGAATATTCACTCTGATGGCTTCTAATAACGTTAGAGAAGTGAGCTTCAGCTGAGCAGAAGAGAGGGAGGGAAGGAAGCACAGGAGGTTTGAGGAGAGAGAGAGGAAGTATGAAATCACCGTTGCAAACCTCCTGGGGGAATATAAAGCGGTTGCCAGGCAGCCTACTTGAAGTCTGTGAATTTAAAGTGAAAGTCTGGCCAGGCCGAGCTCAGTGGCTTACTCCTGTAATCCCAGCACTTTGAGAGGCCGAGGTAGGTGGATCACCTGAGGCCAGGAATTTGAGACCAGCCTGACCAACATGGTGAAACCCCATCTCTACTTAAAATATAAAAGCTAGCCATGCATGGTTGTGGGCACCTGTAATCCCAGCTACTCAGAAGGCTGAGGTGGGAGAATCGCTTGAACCCAGGAGGCAGAGATTGCAGTGAGCCGAGATCGCTCCACTGCACTCCAGCCTGGGCAGTACAGCCAGACATGGTGGCTCACACCTGTAATCCCGGCACATTGAGGGGTTGAGGTGAGGAGGATTGCTTGAGGCCAGGAGTTCAACAGCAGCCTGGGCAACATGATGAGACCTCATCTCTACAGAAAATTAGAAAATCAGCTGGGCGTGGTGTGGTGCACGTCTATGATTCCAGCTCCCAGGGAGGCTGAGGTGGGAGGATCGCTTGAGCCCAGGAGGTGGAGGCTCCAGCGAGCTCTGATCACACCACTGCACTCCAGCCTGTGTGACAGAGTGAGAAGCTGTCTCTAAAATAAATAAACAAATGAATAAATAGATGAATAAATAAAGTAAAAGTTCAGCTGAGTGTGTGCTTTCCCAGTGATGCTTGGCTGTCAGGTGCAGACGCAAGACATCTAGCCCGTTCATGTCACCCTTGTTGAGGGGAACAATGTCAGGAGAGAGAGAGAAAAAGGAGTTTACTTATTTATTTTTTTTGAGAAGGAGTCTCCCTCTGTCACCCAGGCTGGAGTGCAGTGGTGTGTGATCTCAGCTCACTGCAACCTCTACCTCCCGGATTCAAGTGATTCTCCTGCGTCAGCCTTCCCAGTAGCTGGGATTACAGGTGCCCACCGCCACACCTGGCTAATTTTTGTATTTTCAGTAGAGACGGGTGTTTCGCCATGTTGGCCAGGCTGGTCTCAAACACCTGACCTCAAGTGATCCATCCGCTTCGGCCTCCCAAAGTGCTGGGATTACAGGCGTGAATCACCTCGCCCTGCAGGAGTTGATTTTAATTATGAACGATGATTAAGGAAGGCAGTGGACACAGAGAGAGTGACAGTGAGGTGATGAGGCCAAGTGGAGAGTTCTGGAACGAGAGAGGTCAGTGGGGAGCTGTCTGAAGTCTCCTTTCTGGGTGATGGAGGGTCCCAGGTGTGACCGCAGGCAGGGAGAGGTGGCTGAGAGGCACACTGGAAAAGGTCACTGGAGCTGCAGCAGTCCTGGTGCCCAGAGAGACAGGGAGTAGCCTGCCCTGTCCACGTGGGTGACATCACCCTCGGGGAGTAGCCTGGCCTGTCCACGTGGGTGATGACGCCCTCAGGGAGTAGCCTGGCATGTCCACGTGGGTGACGACGCCAACGTCTTGTATGAAATCACTGTTGCAAACCTCCTGGGGAATGTAGAGGGGTTGCCAGGCAGCAATCCCTCTAACGACATGACAAGAATGATGGAGAACACTGTCAACTGAGAGCCCAAGTCCTCAGTGGATGAGGAGGTGTAAGCAGAAGACCAGCAGACAGCAGTCACCGAGAGGGACAGCAGGTGACTCTGCTGCCTTTGGAAGAGAAATGTCTTGGACGCAACCACAGGAAGCATGGAGGATATAGACCCTACTTTAGATTCTGCGGTATGTGGGGTATAGGAGAAAAAAAAGACTCCCTGCACCAGATGGTGCCAGCGGAATTGGGGTCCTGAGGGGACAGTGGGGTCGGAGGGAGGGGACCCTCTTGCAAGAGGCTGAGTGGCAGTTCCAGAGCCGATGATGTCATCAGAGGAGCTGGGGCAGGATGAGGGGTGAGGAGGAGGGTCCAGTCATATTAGACAATGCACAGATCCAGGGGAAGGGCCCATGGCACAGAGGCTCTGTCCTTTGAGGGTCACTGAACCAACAGGGGAAGGTGAGGCATGAGGAAAATAGCCGTGGATGTCCAGCCACAGTGGCTTACACCTGTCATCCCAGCACTTTGGGAGGCTAAGGAGGGTGGATCACCTGAGGTCAGGAGTTCAAGACTAGCCTGGCCAACATGGGGAAGCCCCGTCTCTACTAAAAATACAAAAATTAGCCGGGCATGATGGCGGGCACCTGTAATCCCAGCTACCTGGGAGGCTGAGGCAGGAGAATCACTTGAACCCAGGAGGCAGTGGTTGCAGTGAGCCGAGAGCGTGCCACAGCACTCCAGCCTGGGCAACAAGAGCGAAACTCTTTCGGGAAGGGGAGAGGAGGGGAGGGGAAAGGAGGGGAGAAGGAAGGAAGGATAGAAGGAAAGACGGAAAGAAGGAAGGGAGTGAGAGAGAGAGAGAAAAGAAAGAAAGAAGAAAGAGAGAGAAGAAAGAAAAAGAAAGAAAGAAAAAGAAAGGAAGAAAAAAGAAAGAAGGAAGAGAGAAAGAAAGAAAGAAAGAAAGAAAGAAAGAAAGAAAGAAAGAAAGAAAAAGAAAAGAAAAGAAAAGAAAAAGAAAATAACCGTGGATGACCTCAGACGGCTGCAGGTGACATTTCAAGCTGTGAGTTTGAGGGGTGTGGATGCTCCAGGCAACTGTGGGGTAACTGCGCCCTCTGGTGGCCATATATGGCTAAAGCAAGTACAAGTCCAGACTCACACCTGGAGAACAGGTGCCATTGCCTGAAAGCAACAGTAACCACGACAACAAGGCCAGGTGCAGAACCCAGGTCTCCCCTCATTATTAGAACCTGTGGAGAGATCATGAACGTATTCCCCGATAAGTTCATTTTTAGGGGTAAAAAAGCTCAACAATCTCCCACAGTGTCACTTCTCCCAGGAATATGTGTATGTTGCCCTTGACAAACTGTTGCCCTTGACGAAGAAATGTACCAATTTCCAATGGCAGCATATTTAATTGAGGAAAGATCTCATTAACAGATGTAAGTGCAGGGTCTCAGCATCAGAATTTCCCTTCAGTGTTTTATTATAAAAACGTTTGGGGTGTGGGGCTTACACCTGTAATCCTAACAATTTGGGAGGCCAAGGTGGGAGGATCACTTGAGGACAAGAGTTTGAGACCAGCCTGGGTAATTAGCCAAATGCAGTGGAGCGCACTCGTAGTTTCAGCTTCTTGGGAGGCTGAGAAGGGAGCATCCCTTGAGCCCAGGAGTTGAGGCTGCAGTGAGCTAGGATCACATCATTGCACTCCTGCCGGGGAAACAGAGCAAGACCCTGTCTCTAAAAAATAAATGAATTAACACTCTTAAGAAATGTTCAAACTTAATGAAAAGTTGAAAGAATTTTGCAGTGAACATCCATACCCACCCCTGAAGTCTACAATTATCATTTCATTATGCTCAGTTTATCATATAATCTATTCAACTATCCATCCCTCAAACCATCCTATTTGGAGGCATTTCAAAATGAATTGCAGCATTAGTACATTTCACCCCTAAACACTTCAGCACACATAACAAGACTCTCATATTTATTTATAGTCCTTTTTAATTTGGACATAAAATACGCATATAGGTCAGGCGCTGTGGCTCAAGCCTGTAATCCCAACACTTTGGGAGGCCGAGGTGGGTGGATCCCTTGAGCTCAGGAGTTCAAAATCAGCCTGGGCAATGTGGTGAAACCCCGTTTCTACTAAAAATACAAAAATTAGCTGGGTATGGTGGCACATACCTGTAATCCCAGCTACTCGGGAGGCTGAGGTGGGAGAATCACTTGAACCCGGGAGGCAGAGGTTGAAGTGAGCTGAGATGGGCTGAAATCTGCTTCCTGGGAACACTTATCTTGTTGATTTGGCACCATGCACCACATGAAGTGAGTTCTGATTCCTCTTCCTTATAAAAGCTCTTAAACTGTCCAAAGATGGCCATTCTGTCCCTTTGAGTCACTTCATCTGACACAGAATCTGCAGTTTCTCTACCTGTTCATGCCCCAGGCAAAGCTTCCAGCACTCAGCACTTCACTGGCTAGGCTTTCATGTTTGCAAGGGTGCTGACACATCTCATCTTTCTATGTCAGTGGAAGAAAAGAGACGGTTCAGAGCTGGCCTGCAGTGACAGAGGAACAAGGCCTGTTTGCGGTGGATATGATTGGATGGCCAGGACAGGAAGCCAGGACCTGGAAGGAGAGCAAACAAAATGAGTTTTTCAAAAAGCTAGATGACAGTGGAACCATGCAGAGATGAAAAACGGTGCAACAGGAAACTAGGAAAGCAGAAAACAGAAATAGTGTAATTTCGTAACATTAACAGAGGTAAGTAACATGACATTAGTGATATTTCACAGGGGATATTGGTCAGTGCCTGCAGCAAAATGTTTGAATGCCTTTTAATTGCAAAATTAATGCTTGCGTAAGTTTTCTTTGTTAAAAAATGAAAACAATTCAGATAAGTCTAAAATGTCCCTGGTCCCTACTGTCCTTCCTTCCCTACCCAATTCCAGAAGTGTGTGTGTATGAGCAGGTGCATGGGTGAACATTTGCATGTGTGTGTGTATATATATATATGTGTATGAGCGATCTGTGCCTTAAGGGCATGTTCCTGCTGCAGATAACTAGCCAGACCCACCCCTTTATTTCATATATGTATATGTGTGTATATATATGTACACATGTATACATGTGTATATGCATGTATATATACACATGTATACATGCACCTGTGTACATACGCATATATACATATATGTACATGCATGCATCTGTGTATATATACATATATACATATATGTACGTGCATGTATACATATATGTACACATACATTATATGTGTACACACGCATGCATATGTGTACATAAATATATGTAGGTATGCATGGATACGTGTGCATATACATATGTGCAAATACATATCTATATACACATATCTACGTGCACATACATATCTATGTACACATATCTATGTATACATATATTTATGTATATATACACACACGTACATATCTATATACTTGTATGCATATATAGAGAGAGAATGAAAGAGAGAGAATAGAGATTTATTGTAAGGAATTGGTAAGGAATAGGTATGTATACATAGGTTTATGTATATATACATATGTGTACATAATCTATATATATTTATGTGTGTGTGTGTATATATATATATAGAGAGAGAGAGAGAGAGAGAGGGACAGAAAGAGAGAAGAGAGAGAGATTTATTGTAAGGAATTGGGTCACACAATTGTGGAAGCTGGCAAGTCCAAAATATGCAGGCAGGGTAACTCCAGCCATCAGTGTGGAGACCCAGGGAAGAAGTGATGTTGCACCCTGAGTCCAAAGAAAGCCCGGAGGCATAATTCCTTCTTCCTTGGGGGAGGTCAGCCTTATTTCTTTTAAGGCCTTCAACTGATTAAGTGAGGCCCATCCCACTATGGAGAGTAATCTGTTTTATTCAAAGTACACTGATCTAAATGTTAATCTTACCTAAATAATACCTTTACAAAAACATCTAAGATAGTATTCAGCCATGGCCTAGCCATGAGATATTTAAAATTAACTGTCACAATATGGAATGCATATAAACATTCCTATATAATTAAAATATGCTATATTTTGTGTGCATTATTTAAATGTTATTATAGCATATGACCTGCTTTTATCACTCAAAGTTATGATTAGAGTTCTTTCTTTAATAGGAAATAAAGGAATACCTCATTCTTTCTCAATGTTATGCTTAGACGTATTTCCTTAAGAAGAAATAAAGGAATACTTCATTCTCGCTTTCTACATAGTATTCTGTTCTATGGCTATATCCTGATTTATTTAGCCATTACTCTAAAAATTGGCATTATATTATTCCCAGCTGGTGAGCTGCTTGATCGTGAATTCAAGCAAACTTCTTGAATTCTTTTAAAATGGCGGTCAATATTCTGTTCCTGGGCAGGTGCAGTGGCTCATGCCTGTAATCCCAGCACTCTGGGAGGCCAAGGTGTAAGGCTCACTTTAGGCCAGGAGTTTGAGACTGGACTAGGCAATGTGGTGAAATCCTGTTACTACAAAAAATACAAAAATTAGTTAGGCATGGTGGCATGCATCTGTAGTCCCAGCTACTGGGAGGCTGAGGTTGGAGGATCGCTTGAGCTGAAGAGGTGAAGGCTGCAGTGAGCAATGTTCAGTGCACTGCACTTCAGCCAGGACACTGGAGTTGAGAGAAAGGAAGGAAAGAAGGAAGGAAGGAAGGAAAGAAGGAAGGAAGGAAAGAAAGAAGGAAGGAAGGAAGGAAAGAAGGAAGGAAGGAAAGAAAGAAGGAAGGAAGGAATGAAGGGAAGGAAGGAAGGAAGGGAAGGAAGGGGAAGAAAGAAAGATGAAAGAAAGAGAGAAAGAGAAAGAAAGAAAGAGAGAGAAAAAGAAAGAAAGAAAGAGAAAGAAAGAAAGAAAGATAAAAAGAAAGAATTTTGTCCCAGGAAGAGGGCCGGCCTGATGTGGTTCCAGCAAACTGACACAGGCCAAAGTGTGCATGTTACAGAGAAGATCAGGAGGGTGTCAGGACTTCCAAACACCTGGAGCAAATTCTGGAGGCCCACCTGTTGCCATTGATGTGGCAGATCCCAGCATACGAGGAGCAAAGGAGAGATGACCTTCTTGTGGCTCTGAGAGTCCATAACCCTCTGAGGAAGATTAAGCAACAGGCACATTCTCACATTTATTTAATCTTTAACACCCCTACTGGCTAGGTATTGTTAACTGAATATCACAGATGAAGGACCCAAGGCCAGAGAACTAAAGGCTATGCCTGGCCTAATACCTTTTCCACTACAGTGCTCCCTGATGGTGGACTTTCATATCAAAAAAGCACAAGCAGTTACAAGCAGTAGCAGTAATAGAAGTAAAAATGATGGCAATAATGCCATGCAATAGAATGCTTATTATATGCCCAGCTGGGTTCTCAGTGTTTGGCGTGTAGCAATTCAATGAATTTCTGCAACAGCGTCATAAAGTAAGTACTATTATTAATTCCATCTTGCAGATTAAGAAACTAAGTGTGGCTGAGAATATAGATGGCAGACATTTCCTTCAGATCTTACAACTTAGAAGGGCTCTGGATAATTTGCAATTGCTAGTACCTGTGTCTCTTTTTCTGGAGGCCTTTTTCTGATGCCAGGAAGGTCCGCTGTACCTGCTTTCAAGGCAAAGAGAAGTGCCGAGACCAGCTCAGTCGGGGAGACTCTAACCCAGTGGTGCTAGAGGAATTAAAGACACACACACAGAAATATAGAGGTGTAAAGTGGGAAATCAGGGGTCTCACAGCCTTCAGAGCTGAGAGCCCCGAACAGAGATTTACCCACATATTTATTAACAGCAAGCCAGTCATTAGCATTGTTTCTATAGATATTCAATTAACTAAAAGTATCCCTTATGGGAAATGAAGAGATGGCCAGAAATAAAGGGGTGGGTCTGGCTAGTTATCTGCAGCAGGAACATGCCCTTTAGGCACAGATCGCTCATGCTATTGTTTGTGGTTTAAGAATGCCTTTAAGTGGTTTTCTGCCCTGGGCAGGCCAGGTGTTCCTTGCCTTCATTCCGGTAAACCCACAACCTTCCAGCGTGGGCGTTATGGCCATCATGAGCATGTCACAGTGCTGCAGAGATTTTGTTTATGGCCAGTTTTGTGGCCAGTTTATGGCCAGATTTTGGGAGGCCTGCTCCCAATATGTCCCCCTTCTTTGATTTGCAAATCGATAAAAGCAAAGACAGCTTTGTCACGGTGAGCTACTTCTCTCAGGAGTCAGGATCCACATCTGCAGGCTATACAAGACAAACAACACAGATTAAAAGCACAATCATCATTGAAATCACAGAGCTTCCAAGTGTTTGTATCCATTTTAATGGGTTACTAGCTGCTAATCTGTCTGCAGCTCCTTTAAGCACTCCAGATCCTGGCATTAAGGTCGGGTGTGTCTGGGATGCTTTAAATATTCTTTTAATTTTGCAATATCCAAAAACAAGTTTGTAGAGTGTCTTTCTAGATGCTTTTTTATTCTTTCCCAAATTTTGATCTTACTAAGAGCTATTAATAGTTTCCACAAATCCTTAATGTTTAGCTCCTACAGTGGGCCATATCATTTGAGGTTGAGGTGTCACTATACTGCCACGGTTCCAGATAATAGGAACTCTTGCCATACTTCTTATTATATGTACCATCTGGCCGTTTTGTTCAGATCAGCTGAACATAGTGTGGCCGTGGCACACGGACTGAGAGGTGCAATTTAAGCTAAACATCCCCTTAGGGGATCAATTAATAATGATTCCATAGGAATCATTGTGCAGCATCTCTGCATGTTCTGCAATGCAATCTTCCTAAACAAGTACGTTCATTTTTTTCTGGCCAGGTCCAGTTCTGTTTACAAATAGGTTTTTGAGGGCAGTATGCCTCAAATATAGGAGCAGATTTGTTATGGTAAATACTGAGATCAGAAAGCATGTGTAACTGCATCATAGAGTGATTACATCCAGGCATTATTGCCAGCCAAGATTGATAAATATGCCCAATAAGTATAATTGTTCCCTGTGTCAGCCCTTATTGAAGGAATACTCACAGCAGTGGTGATTACCGCTATCATAGCTACCATTAAATTACTCATTGTGACTGGTTGTCCTGCTTTCTTCAGGTTTTCTTCTGCCATCTGTGGCAGCTTCTTGGTCTGTCCCCAGGTGGGTGGCTGTGTTTGATGGGTGTTGCTCGTGACAGTTGGGGTCCTCCTCAGCATCAGTCTTGACATGGCTGCAACCAGGGGGGTCCTCAGGATCCTTCCAGAATCTCTTCCTTGGCATCTGGTTCATGATAAGGTTTCAGGTGTCTTGATGGTATCCAAATCGACTGCTGGTTCTGGCCTGGAGAAACACAAGCATAGCCTGTACCCCAAGTTATTATTTTACCTATTTCTCAACTTTTTGTTATCGGGTCTCTCCACCAAACCAGTTGTTCTGCTTCTGTCTTTGCAGCTGGTTTCTGTAGATGCTGTTCAGCTACTGATAACATCTGGCCTTTCAGCAGGCTCAAAAAATTTGAAGTTAATAATGCTAGATTCAGTTGTATATGGGCTGTCCCGTAATCCCTGTTTCTCCCCCTTTTTTGTTTTTGTCATCAGTTATTCATCTGTTTGACATTGTAACTGAGCATTTTTAATTAACTGTGTGGAATGAACCACATATGAAGAATCAGAAATCACATTAATAGGCATATTAAAAGCAGTCAATACCTCAATTACAGCTACCAGCTCTGTTTTTTGAGCTGAAGTATAGGGCATCTGGAAAACTTTAGTTTTTGAACCAGAATAAGAAGCTTTACCATTACTAGACCCATCTGTAAAAACATTATCAGCACCTTCAATTGGTTTAAATTTAGTTATTTTAGGGAGAATCCAATTAGCTAATTTCAAAAACTGAAATAGTTTCATTTTAGGAAAATGATTATCAAGAATACCCAGAAAGTCAGCTAAATGGGTTTGCCAAATAAGACTATTTATAAAAGCTTGCTGTATTTGTGCCACCTTTATTTAGTACGCCCGCTCTTGTACAGCTCCTTCATGCATTGAACAGGACTAAGCTGCATTAGCAATAGCATATTGGGAAATCATGTGTGTGACTCTCAGAGCTGGGTCATAAAAGCCATGTGGCTTATGCCTTGCTCTCTCTTGGATTACTTGCTCTAGGAGAAAGCCAGCCACCATGTCACAAGGCCACTCAAGCAGCCCTGTGGAGAGGTCCATGTGGCAAGGGGCTGAGGCCTCTTAACGTCAACTTGCCAGTGATGTCAGTGAGCCATCATGGAAGCAGATCCCCCAGCCCCATTGAAGCCCACAGTTGACTGTAGCCTCAGCCAACATCTTTACTGCAAGGCACCCTGCCAGACCACCCAGCTAAACCGCTTAATTCCTAACCTGCAGAAACTAAGATAATGAATGTTACTATTACAGATTGTTGTGGTTTAAATTTTGTTGCCAGGATTGAGGGGCATTTATTGTGGAACAATGGATAACAAATACAAATGTTATGGAATCACACCGTGATATTTTAGCTTGCTTGTTTTTATAAAGAGGTGGAAATGCCCATGTCATAACCTTCTCAGGAGCTCTAGTTCACAATCTATGTGAATGCTCTGTATTTGGCACACAGCAAGTACTCCACAAACACTTGTTGCAGCACTTTTCAATTTTGTTTCCTTCCCTTAGACTTCAAAGTGAGTTCTCTCTCCCTTGATAGGCAGGTATTTTTCCCAGTTTGAATACTGTCTAAAACATTCGCATTTGGTGGGATGAGTTCATCAGTTCTTACAAGTTGGAGAAAAAAACCTATCTCCTTTTCAGGACATGAGCTATAATCAGGCCAATCATACCTGAATGGAGACTACAGAAAGTGGATTTTTATCAGCGGCCTCCATTCCATCTTCCAAAGCACCTGACTCTTAGGGATGGGGTCTAAATAGGCACTAATGAGGTGGAGATTTGAGAAAATGCCAATTTGAGTTCCTGGCACCTCTGCCCAGCAATAAAAAGGTCTAAGGAAGATTTCATTTGTGTCTGGGTGAGAGAACTGTGTTCCCAAAATATTGAATACAACATTTAGTTTTGTTTTTTAACTTTATCAGGGTAAGCCAGAGATTTGTATAATCACATTGAGAGTTATCCCTAAGGAAAAAAAAATTGGACAGCTCCTATTATGTCCCACCGATATATTCCGACTTCTGAAATGCAGGGAAAACAGCTCACATTAACACCAGGGGCCATGCCAGAGTGCTCATTACTTCACTCACCATTTGCCAAGTTGCTTAAAACTACTGGCTTATCCAAGACACAGGGAACTTTTCTGTGCTACGCTAGAGTACAGCATATATTTAAATATGAAAGAGATCATTAAAAATTCAAAGACAACAGAATTAAATGAGGGGTAAAAAAGTTGTATGCCTTTGCCAGAACAAGTTAGTTTGGTATCCCCACACTTGGGTGAGAGCCAGCCCCTCACCCAGGGGAATCTGTGCTCTACTTACGTGCAAATCTCCCGGTGAAATGCTGCTCCCTTGCAACACACTTGGACAAAAGGGAGCTAAGCGGGGTGGCCCACCTCGAAGAGAGAACAAAGAGAACAAAAAGGAAGTTTGTTGGTAGTGTCTGACTACCCCCCCTCTGCTAGCCTCCTCATCTATGCCACATCTTCACAAACCTCTGCTCTCAGAGGTGTCAGCTACTGCCTCTTCCCACCCCCATAGGGTTTCAGAAAGCCTGAGTGGCATTCGATTTCGGCAGGTCCACAAACAGCATCTAAAAGAGGTTCCGTGTGGCCAATAGGGTTTCAGGCTACCCTTTTTGAGAGCCTGGCGCAGAACAAGGTCTCCTTTCACTTGACCCTCCTTTGCCAATACAAGGCTGTTTGGCTGGGTCCAGCACCCCATGGGGCAAATGTTCAGGCCAAGAATAGTCTTCATTCTTCCCATGAAGCTTTCAAAGTCTTCTAAAGAACACAGGAAATTGTCAGCCTCTATTTTCTGCTGAAAATGGCTGACACTAAACTTTGAACATTCTGTGGATGAATCCCAAATTATGGGAACCAAGTTTGCTTGAAAAGCAGCAAAAGTTTTCATTAAAGATGAGAGACTCTGATAAACCATCTCGGCATTACTTACAAAGAATGGTGTATTTTATAACTCCAATTACTAACACCTTTCCTCTTTTGACCAAAATTACCTTATTTCCATGGAAGTAACTCCAAAAGACTATCTCTGTGCACAAAGAAGCAGATCCAGAGACTTACCATGGCACCATGCACATTTCCTAAAAATAAACCGTCACTAAAACTGAGAAGAAATACTTTTTGGTCTGTCATGACCCCAGCAGATTGTCACATTCTCGAGGTCTGGACACCTTAACGTGTGCAGTCACAATGTAATCCTCACTCCAAACCAGCAAGGAAGGCATGGGGTCTGTTTTATAGCTGAGAAAACATTCATAGAAGTTACATGCCCAATTCACAGAGTTGGGGTCTAAACTGAGACAATTAGCATGTCTGGTGCTTTCTGCTTCTCCAGGCTGCCTGGTGGCCAGCTGCCCCTCTTAATCAGGGAGCATCTGCTCTGTGCTAACAACTCTGTAGAAGATCATGCTTCAGAAATGTGGCAGTGTAGCAGACCAGGTACTTGCAAGGCGTAATATTTAAGCACAGGCCCTGGTGTAACTAAGACCAGTTCAAACTCTTGTTCTGCCAGTTACCACCTATTGAATAAGCTACTAAACATCTTAAACCCTCAGTTTCCTCATCCTTTTGCAGATGAGGAAACAGGGTTTAAGATGTTTAACTTATTCATTTATTAGATAATGTATTAATAAGTTACCTTAAGAGATAACTTACCCAATTGTTATCATTAAGGATTAAATAACACATGTAACTACTTAGGTTACCATCTGGAACAGGACAGTTATGGGAAGTTTTTATTACAAAAGGGGCAGGTAAAATTCTGGATGAAGTACAAGGGCTTACATTTGCAAGCTTATTATTAGAAAGGACTTCGATTTACTGGTGTGGCAAATTTTCCTTTCAGATCAAGTAGGACACCACAGCAGTCTTCACTAGGACCTTCCTTGGTGATTCAACAATAACTATTAACTATCCACATACTGCCTAGATCGATGGCCTCCAACGTGCAAAGTAATAATTCATTGGAGCTTGGGGAAAGTGTAAACCTTTTATTTCACTCTTTCAAATTTTGTTCCATAATGTTCACATTAGTGTAGCAGTACATTTGTTGACACATATTTTCATTGTTCAATACATATAATTATGGACACATGCTCAACAAATATTTTTGTAAGGAAATAGCATCAGGTTTGGAGACCATGATCTAGATAACTGAGTCAACATTTCGCTCCTCATGCATTCATAGCTATCAAGCCGTCTTTCCTTTTTCCCCCTTACCTACCATATCCTGACTTCTACTCCTAGTTTCTCCAAGAGGACAAAACATATTAAGATGCGGTGGGTCAGAATGTGCAGGTGGTAATGTGACACCCAGCTAATGAGTCTGAGAGGCATGGGTATCTCCTCAGCTTTCAAGATTACAGCCTGAGCTACACAGAAATAAACTGTGCCCACTTAACTTGCTTGTGAACCTGATATGGAAGCAATGATATCCCATTCCACTAGGTGGCAGCAAAACTCTACCCACAAGGTGCCCAAGTGGTTCACTGGTATTATTAGTGCTTACTTGTTCAGCCCCACTTAATTAGCAGAAAGACAGTGGCTAACAGGATACTTAAATTACATAATGCCTCCAACAGTGGAGAACAGACACTGCCATTTTGCTTTCTACAGGCTGGCCTTTCCTTAGGCCTACCTGAATTTTACATGTATTGTGAATGATCTTCTCAGACATCCACAGGCCAAATGGCAAAAAGAACCTTCTGATATACCTAAGCCTGGAGTCAACAATCAAAAGTCCTAGTAAAGTTATATAGATCCTGTATCAGATTCAGGTAAAACCCTGGGCATGCCATGGATAAAGAAAGACTTCTGAAAGTTTTCATTAGGATGGTAGAATAATGAATGTCTTACAAATTTATTATTATAATACATAGAATTTTGAAATAGTATTTCCCAGAAGCAGTAGTACTTAACCAGTTCAGCAGGCAGTCTATATACATTTTTTACCTTTGCATTTTCCAAATTCAGTAGGTTATTGTTAGCCTCCCTAAAACCAAACAATTTTGGCTAGAGGTGTTAACCCAATCTCTCAAAACAAAAACTGAAAAAAATAAACACCCAAACAACAATCTCTCTGCTATTGACTTATAATTATTCCCTCCGCTTAGGTCATTAATTTTAAAAAGTAAATAGGGTAAAACATTTCAAGATAATAAACTAGGCTACATTAATTAATTTCTTACCTAAATTATGCATTACATTAAAATCTATGTCACTTGACCTTAAGAAAAGAAATGACACTACCCTCTTTACAGTTAAAAAAAATTTCAGTTTCCAGGGACTTGAGAGTATACCTAATCTGAATGAGTCAGAAACTGTTCTCAGAGGCCAGGCATGACGGCTCATGCCTGTAATCCCAGAACTTTGGGAGGCTGCAAAAAATACAAAAATTAGCCAGGCGTGGTGGTGCACGCCTGCAATCCCAGATACTCAGGGGGCTGAGGCAGGAGGACTGCTTGAGCCCAGAGGGTTGAGGCTGCAGTCAAGTCGTGTTTGTGCCACCGCACTCCAGCCTGGGCAATGAAGCAAGACCCTGTCTGGGGGAAAAAAAAAATGTTCTCAGAAAAATAAGCATACAAATGAGAGATAGAAATGAATAGAGAGATATGGTATCTCTTAAATTAGAAAATCAGCACATATGCATTCTAAATGAGACAAGCATATAAAAGATGTCATTGTAGAGGAGGCAAACTTAAGCTGAAAAGTTTCTTCCCAAACATACTCTACTCTTGTACATCGACTGTAGGATATTTAAGACCTCACACAATATTACATCACAACATCGTTTATTATGTGAATTTTTTACAATACAAACAAAAAATACAGAAATGCAATATATGAATACAGCTAAATGCAGAATGGTGACTTTTTTCTCTTCAAGAGGCCATGATTCCCATTTCTAGTAAAATAAAGAGACTGCATATAGGTAGAAACAGGTTGGTCATTAGCTTCACAATTTTGCCTAGAAATGATCTATAAATGCATTTCCCCCCCTGCTACTTACCATAAAGTGTAAAAAGGGAGTTAAAGGAAAGTTTCCTTGTTGGTTCCTACCATATGAAAGATGCTATATTCTATTTTAGCAGTGCCAATATATGGAAAATATCTAAATTAAATGTTATTACAAAAATGAAGCAGTAATGAGATTCTGGCTAAAGAGGGCACTAAATGAGAATAATATATATTTAAAGAATCCAAAACAAACAAACAAAAAGACGTTGTTATAAAAAAGCTCTAGGTGCACAGTAAGCATATAGGGTTTTTTTTTTTTCCATGTGTATTTTTAAACAATGGAAGTGTCAAAAAATAGGGTCAACTGTGTTAGACTAAATTACATTATTGTATATGCTGCACTGAATGGAACCTTTGTATTGTAATTATCATAGAGAAGCACAGTTTGCATCATATTATGGCAATTTATCCTCAATGAAAATCTTCCAGAGTCCTTTTATTTTGGAATATCCTGTAAACAATCAAACCACCAGAACATGATTGTACAACAGTAAAATGTTCTCTTGCATTAAACTGAAGATATCTGTTTAATAAAAAAAGAAAATGTAGGAAAGGTACTTAGAGCTCTTACTTTCTAAGTACAGAACACCCTAGACAATTCAAGGCATCTTAATCTCCATCAAGAACAAAAAAAAAAATAATTTTTGTCATGCTGTTAAATCCATCATTATGGATAAAACTGGTGCAAATTGGTCAAACGGATCCAACAAACACTGATGTCCAAGCTGGCATATTGGCAACTAATACGTTAACTGGTGGTCAATAGAGAGTTTAAAAGATCTTCCCTTTCTTCTTGTTCTTTTCCAAGGTTCTAAAGGATAAAAGGAAAATAAGCAAGATGAGTAACCATTTTATAAACATGATAGACAACATGATAACAACAGCTAACCCAATTACAACAATGTTGGGATTTTCAGATACTACTTTTTCACTGAAAAAAATTAAAAGATTTAGAAGTAAACAGCTAAGACAATGTTAATCTATAATAGCATTTTCTTAGACAATCAAATATTTGACAAAACTCCAGGATAAGCAGTAAAAAAATAAGGCAAAACTCCATTTTAATATACAAGAACAATTCTTCCCAAATGAAACAGCACAAACTAAAAAGTATCAACTGGCAGCAAACAGGGTATTCTTTTTCCCCCACTGTCATTTGCATTTTGAAGTGCAATTGCTTTCACAAATCTATTTTCCTCTTCTTTGGGGAAAATGTTAACAGTAGGGTAGTGTAGTAGAACAAATGTCAAATCTGAAAATGTTTAGTAATGAGGATAAACTATATAATCCTTATAGGAATGCCACTTTTCAGTTTTAAGTGAAACTATTAAGGAAAAGAAAACCAAGGTACAAATATTATTGAATTTTGTATAAATTAAGAGAAAGTAATTGATTAGTTGTATTGGAAATCAAATATCTAACATTTTGTCTTAAGAATTTTATCGTAAAAACATAATTCAACAGTTAAAACATACCCCTAAATATGTAATAGATTTTGAAGAATGTTCCCTTTGTGTGCCAAAAATTGAAAACAACCCTTATGTCCAACAACTGGGGGGAGGAGGTAAGAAATCCAATGAAGGTAAGTTAACTGGGGAGAATGTTATGAAGTTGCTAAATCATAATTATGAATATTAAGTCATGAAAGATGTACTGAAAAAATACTGCTAATGGACACAGACTGTATCCATCCATATAAAAATATTTATCTATGAAAACCATTGTGTTTGGAATGCATGATAATGGGTGATGACTTTTTAAGTGTTATTCTAATGTTTTTTAAATAAGTAGGAAAACAATTCTTTAAAACATTAATACACACATTTCTTAGTAATCTGCTATTAGTTACCTTGAAGAGTTCTGTTGTTCTAAAATACGTTGTTGAGCTTCCCAGTTTGCTTTCTCATCCTCGAACTGACGACGTTTTTCCTCCAATTCTTTGTGCTGTGCTTCCAAATTCTTTTTCATTTGCTCATGGCGCCGCTGGAGCTAAATCATAGCACAATATATAAAACAAAACTATTTAAGAAATCAGAAGCAGAGGTATGTTTCATCCAGACACCCTAATGATAAGGAGTATGAGCACTATTTGAATAGCCCTGTTGTAAATTCAGAGTACTACCTGGAAGTACTCTGGTCAAGGACTCCTCCTCCTTTAGGACCTGCCACCCAAAAGGCCAGTGACCCAAGACAATAATCTTGGGAAACAGGAAAAAAAAAAAAAGCAACAAACTTAACAGTGTGGAGTACTTTATAATGGAAAATTACTATCTTATCTCGTTTTTCTTTAATCACAAATATGTTGGAGGCTGGGCAGTGAACACATCACTGTTCTCATTGTACAGATGAGGAAACAGTTGCAGAATTTAAGTGACTTGCCCAAGATTGCTAGCCAGAAAGTGGAAGAACCAGGACTTGAATAAGCCTCCTAATTCCAAGTTTAGAAAGCTAAGACAAGTGAAAAGAAAGCAGGTAGTTTAGGACCCTAAGAGCTCAAAGATGCCAGCAAAGTACTCTGATTCCTGTAAGCAGTGGTTCTCAGACATTGGTCTTCATGCAAATCACCTGGGATGTTTGTTAAAAATATAGAATCCTGGACCTCACTCAGACGTACTGAATTAGAATATCTGGGTGTTAAGTCTGGAAATGTGGATTTTCAACAAGTTACAGTGATTCTAATGCAGCTGGTCCTTCCTTCTCTGTGTATTAATACTGTAAAGAATGCTGACTGAGAGGCAGTAAACACTCATGCGAAGTAACTGCAGAAACAAAGTGCTTTAAGTCCAAGAGATCATTAGATAAGTAATTTCATTTAGGTGCAAGTCAATCCATTTCTGAAAAAAAAAAAAGTCAACAAATTTTAAAAATCAGATTAAATCCTTCTATGCCAAATACCCAAGGACTATTCAAAACCTTCAGTTATCCAGGAATTATGTTCTGTTACAGATTTTACTACACTGGTGAGTTAACATTAACATAATGTTAATATATAACTATTATATGTATTATATATTATATACATATTATATATGTTACTATAATTTTGCATACAATTTTTTTTTGCAAGCCCGAAGTGACTTCAGATTTATTCCTATTTCAATTATTTCATGCAATTCCTACAAAACAAAATCACCTAAGACACACTTAAGCAAACATGAATCAAATCTGAGGTGATATCTTCCTGATGACAGCAAACAAGTTACTAAGAAATGTCAGAAAGTAGGAACATAAGAAAATGTCTCTAGTTATTTTTTTTAAATGAAAAGAGTCACATATACACAATTCGGAATAGTAGTTACCTCTGGGAATGAGAGAGAGGGATACAATAGGGGACAGGCACACAGCATCTTCAAATGAGTTGATAACATTCTATTTTTTTAAGCCAGGTAGTAGGCTTACAGTGTTCATCATTCTTTAACTTGTTACATATAAGTAATTATCTTTTGTGTTAACTGCATGTAGATAAAGGTACAGGTCACAATCTCACTCTTAAGAAACCCATGGGGTCAGATGCCTTTTGAAGTTCAACATTTTTCAGTTATTAAAACGACAACACCGCTTAGAAAGGAGTATACACTATATTTATAAAATACCTCCTGGGCTATCTGGGGCAACAAGTATAATCAAACACATTACTTTTTATTTGTTTCAGTAAAATATATAAATATTCACAATATGTAGGATTAAAACTTAGTTCATGTTAGGTTTTGCAGTTTTCAGAGTTTTTTCCATTCTGAAATTGTGAAAAACAGGACTGTGGACCTATCTAGCTTAACTTAAAAATTAACTGGGTTCAAATGCTGGCATACTAAGTTAATTTATCCTTCTTATCTATAAAGGAGAGATGGGCAATAATATCTACCTTGTAGGGCTGTGGTGTGCACTAGACAACACAATAAATGAAAGTTGCTTGGTGCTGTGGCTGATGTACTGTGCTGCTAGCTGTGCCCCAAACAAGTATTTCCAGCATAATGGATTTAAGGAGAGACTGTATTAAACAAGGCTAAAAGGGTTTCTTTACCTATTTATGTATTCACACGTATATTTACACAATATATATCATGTATCATATACATGATGATTTGCAAACTCATTATCACAGGGATGTTGGTAAATACACTCTAGATGTGGTTTCATAAAAGACAAAGAATCTAGAATGAGCATGCCTAATTCTCTAATGGCTTAGAGTATCTGGTGGGAACCTTGGCCCAGAGCTCTTCACAGGTCCTTGAAATGTTAACATTCCATCCTTCAAAGAATAGTTCTTCAAAACTGTCTTCACCATTCACAGTAATCATTAAAATTCCCAAAGGGTTCCTTGGCTACAGGTTCACAATTACTTGTTCGTAATATTTACTTTTAGCAACATGTCCTAAAATACATCTGCCTCAAATATAAGTTAAACTACTTTTAGATTCTCAATGGAATCTAAGTGTGGAGATAATGTAGTAGACTCTTGATTATTCCTGTTTTTTTCCCCCTTTTGGATATAGATTTTCCAGATTATATGTGAATTACTGAAGAGGTAGAGACTCAATGCATATATTTACAACATGCTGATAAATTAATCTCCAAAATGTCATGTTAAGAACTTTAATTATTCATTTATAATACAACAGCAATAGCTAAGACAGTGACTTTTGATTAGGGGTGTGTGTGTATGCACATTTTGGTTTGCCCTATGATAGGAGGGCACTGCTATTAGCATTTAGTGGCAGTGCCAGGGATGCTAATCCTGTAGTGCTCAGCGTCTGAAACCAGGAGGAATTATTCCATACCCCTGCTAAATTAAACTCACAACAAATATAACAACAGTGAAAGATTTTAATAAGAAATTACAAGAAAAGCCCAATAATGTAAGAGAAATGATGTGGAATAAAAACATTTCCTCGAAATTATTTAATACTTTCTCATTCCGTGCATTCTATTTACTCAATGGATTAGCATACTTTTGTTATGCCTTTAGTCAAAAAAGGTTTCCATATTTTATGCGGTAATTACAAAAGCAATGAGATCAACTGTAAGAATATAACGAGAGATCTGAATCTCTTCTTCATACACTTAGATACAAATATTAGTGAAGCCACATAAAACAGGGATCTTACTAAATTTTATCATTAAAGATTGTTTTAAAACTATTTTATATTACTGTCATCCATATATATATATGTATATAATTTTGAGACAAGGTCTAGCTCTGTCACCCAGGCTGGGATGCAGTGGCACAATCATGGCTCACTACAGCCTCTATCTCCCAGGCTCAAGTAATCTTCCTGTCTCAGCCTCCTGAGTAGTTGGGACCATAGGTGCAGGCCATCATGCCCAACTATTTTTAAAAATTTTTTATAGGGATTGGGTCTTGCCATGTTGCCCAGGCTGGTCTCAAACTCCTGGACTCAAGCAATCCTTCTTCTTTGGCCTCCCAAACTGCTGGGATTACAGATGTGAGCCACCACACCTGGACCTCATCTCACATATTTTAAAATAATTTATTATTTTATAGGGCTTTTTGTTTGTCTGTTTGTTTTTTGAGGCAAAGTCTTGATCTGTCGCCCAGGCGGGAGTGCAGTGACGTGATCTCAGTTCAGTGCAACCTCCGCCTCCCAGGTTCAAGCGATTCTCCAGCCTCAGCCTCCCAAGTAGCTGGGATTACAGGCACTCACCACCACATCCAGCTAATTTTTGTATTTTTAATAGAGATGAGGTTTCACCATGTTGGCCAGGCTAGTCTCGAACTTCTGAACTCAAGTGATCTGTGTGCCTCAGCCTCCCAAAGTGCTGGCGTTACAGGCATGAGCCACCATGCCCAGGCTATTTTATAATTTTTAATTATAACAAATTTATGTGAAGAAAACTTCATACTGAAACCACTGTTATTTTGGGATTACCCATAGTTTTTTTTCTACTATTCTCAGACATCTATCAAACTAACTGCTCTATGGATTTTTAATGTTCAGTTTATCTTTTTCTCCAACTTTTCTTTCTTGCCACCTATTGAAGGAAATGTCTCCAAGGTCTTTTTGATTAATAGAAACTAAATGTATAACTCAACATCTAGAAGGGTTTCAAGATAGTAGGTATGTCTTCTGGGATGTTTTGTCATTACCCTGCCCAATGTTGTAACACCAGGAACTACCTTGACACTACATTATAAATAAAGAAGGCCTAACCTGTTAACAAAAATATCACATTCCCTAATTTTCTCTTCTTTAATTGTGTGGAATTTATCCAGGCATGTCTTTAGTTCAATAAAGGTTATTTCCCTCTTTTTCACTCATACACAAATAAATATGGTCAATTATTATTATCCTAACACAGTTTGTGTGCATAAATCCACCCCCAAACTCTCATCTTTAGTGTTCTTATGCCACCTGTATGGAATGGTTTGTAATTTTATTTTTCACAACTCAAACTTGTTCATTATAACTAATAATTCATTATAAGTATTCTATTACACTGTCCTACCTAATATACTACGTCCAAGCACTTGCATATTGAAGTATGTATTATTTTATTATAAACACGGTGCTTGCTTCTAGAAATTTATCCGTTTTGTTACACTAGGGTATTAATTTTGAAAAAATATGTATAAAAAGGTTATATTATCTATAAATTTTACTGAAGATACTACTTAAAAAGGAACACAATGTCTGCTAAGAGATGGGATATTAGACTGATTACCTCAGCTTCAGAGTCCTTCAGTTTTTGAACTTTTTCTTTGACCTTCATCTCAAACACCTGCTCCATCTCCATCTCCATCTTCTTCATTTTAGCTACATGCTCCCTTCTTTCTTCTTCCATTTGTGCCAGAGGGCTCCTGTCACGAATATTAAGGGTAATCATTAAATGTCTGTGAATAAAAATTATAATACAGAACTATGAAACAGCTGATGAAAACAAATCAGATGCTATATGTCACTATTAATATATTTATAACCTAGAACTTCTTTCCATATTTCATATATAAAACTTGATTATTTATGAAAAAAATCTAAAAAACAAAGATGTTCTCTAAACCTACTGCATATCAAACCTAAGGATGACATACCAAATAAACTGTAGAAGGAAAATGGGAAAAAAATTCCCAAAATACATTCACAGAATGAAACATTAGAAGAAAATAATTTAATTTTGTTCTTCAAACAACATTTTACCATGAAAAATAGAAAATGAGTAATGAAGTTAACATATGTAGAATATTTTTAGTTTTACCAGAATTTCAAGTGTTACAATCTCTTCCAAGACAGCTACTAACAACACAAAAATTATTATTTATTTTGGTAACTGAACTGATACGTTGGAAACAACTACTAGTCAATACCTAGAGCACTATTTAGGCATACAGAATATTTCTAGGCCCCTTATGATAACTTCAATGCTCTTGAAAATTCATTCTACTTAACTCAAATATTTCACTGTCTTAAGTTTTAAAGATGTTCAGTGATTTAAAACACACACACATACTTCAGAGATAATCAGAAGCAAATATTTTGTTAATAATTATTTTTAAATGCCAAAAAAATAGACATAAGCATAGTTAAATTAAAAAAAAAAATGTTCACTCTGTTGACGTTGAAGTCCATGGACTCAAATCTCTTTGTAGAATTGTGTTCAAAATTTTCACACTGAGATATATTTACAGGTGGGCTTTATGTTAAGGCTAATATACTTACACAGAGACACAAGAGAATGCCAAAGTACCTAGTGCTTTCAGCCCAGGAGCAGGAAGTGGGCTCTTTGCTTTGAGAATCTCTGAAAATTATTCAATACCCTGGGACAAACTAAAGAGATAGGTCCTTCTTTGGCTTTGTTAATAAAGCATGCTTGTTTTGCCTCCATAAAAACAGGCTTTGACCATTGATTGAGGTTTATATTTTAAATGGGTAAATTTTACTGTAATACGCTAATTTTTTTTAAAAAATTAACTCATGGCTTAAAAACGAAAACCAGACCTTGGATTTCACCCGTAACTTTAAGGCTAGTCATTTTAACCCTGATTTGACACACTCTTATTATGGTGACTTTTCTCCTTATTAGGCTAAATATTTCTGACCATCACAGCAATTTTCTTTTCTAACAGGGAAGCAGGCAAAAGAGCTAGATAGAAAATGTTAGAAACAAAACAAAAAGGACAGAATATTGGCTACCAGTTTTTCTTAACAAAAAGGCAAGAACAAAGATGTGATATAATGCTATGAATTAAGATGATCTGTTTTCGCAATTGCGTAAATTAGAATAAAATGTTGTTTAAATCAAGGATATTTCTTCACTAAAAGAAAACTTCTACATGCTAACCTGACATATATTTTTCCAATTAAACAATGAATCAAAAGTTCTGAAAATGAAACTAACCAGACATATTAACTTAGAACAAGAACCTGCATTTTAAAAGTGGAGTCAGCTGAAAAACATTTTCAAGTGTAAATATCATCTTTTTTTGTTAAAAGTTGAGATGCTTCTTAATAATATACTCCTCATATTAATGGCAGGTGTTTTTAATACAGTTGCCTCTGATCTCTTGAGCACACACAGTGTCAATGACTGCCCTGAAACAGCATACCAAATGTGTGTTTGTGTTTGCCAGGATTCTTCCGGTGAAAGGGTCCAAAGCTTTTGTTAGATTTTCAAAGAGTCTATAATTCCCACTGTCCCCTAACACCCCAAAAATCTTTTTTAGTCTCTAAAAAAGAAACAATCTAAAAACAATTTTGTGATTGCTAACCTTAAGTAACTGAATGTGTATTTAAGCAACTTCCAACAATTATGATTGTAAATATATTAAATTAGAAATCAGAGAGAAATATCTATTCCTACTTATACAACTCATCTATAAAATGTTTATCTTATCCTTGGGAAAGAGCAAGTATTTTTGCCACCTAAATTATTATTTAAATAACTCTAGGGGGGAAAATAAGAGACTGCGGATAAAACATGCAATGATGTTTCAAATCTTTTAAGCCGGGCACGGTGGTTCACACCTGTAATGCTAGCAGTTTGGGAGGCCAAGGCAGGCAGATCACAAAGTCACGAGTTTGAAACCAGCGTGGCCAACATGGTGAAACTCCATCTTTACTAAAAATACAAAAATTAGCCGGGCGTGGTGGCACACGCCTGTAATTCCAGCTACTTGGGAGGCTGAGACAGGAGAATTGCTTGAACCCAGGAGGCAGAGGTTGCAGTGAGCCAAGATCGTGCCACTGTACTCCAGCCTGGCTGACAGAGCAGGAGTCCATCTCGAAGAAAAAAATATCTTCATTTAAATTCAAAATTTAAGTATTTAAAATCCCCTGCCTTACATGCCTTCAACTGTATCATACCTAAAGGAAAAAAAATTAGTGATTTGGCACATTTAAAGTAAAGCATGCTAAAAGCTGCAATTAAAGGCAAATGCATAGCTTTCACAAATTATTAAGGTATGTGCCCTAAATAAAAAATTTACAGTAAAATTCGCTAAAGCTAATTTATTTCCCAAATTATGTTCATAATCATTACACTAAATCACTATAAAAATAAATATGCTGTGCAATTATCTTCTGAAAGTCTTGAAAGTTTTAAACCTGCAAATGTGTGTTTCTAAAAGAAATTTGCAATTATTTAACAGTTAAGATACTGTAAGTTTTTTAGTCTTGTAAAAATAATCTGACCAAATATACTCAAATACTGTGAAAAAATGTTCATGCATATTTAAAATGAATTATTGAAGTCTCTCACCAGTAAAAATGATCTTTCAAATTTTTAATTTTTATATTAACACCTCACTTCTAGTCATCTTTATTTTTAGAAAATCGAAACAAAAAATTGTGCTTATAATGTAGAAAATGTAGGGAGATCACTTTTTATCTTCACATTTACTATTTTTTTCCAAGTAAAACCTTTTATTAAATGGCTGGAAAAACCATTTAAGTTGTATTATTGCCTGCCTGCTTTTTAATAGGAAACTCTTACCCACCCCCATATAGTAGTAAAGCTTATAAACCTATCAGTGAAATTAAAAACCCAGACAAAGAAATGAAGAAAGCCTAGTAAAACAAGAAAAAGAAAATGATTACAACATAACCGGAATATGAAACTAAACCCCCAATGATTTAGCTCCTTCTAGGGTTGTCTTTATAAGGTTAAAATTCCTGCAAGCCACATCCCTTCATGTGACCAATAAGAGAATTATAGCCACCATGCCACATAAGGATGACCTAGTCAAGTTCTACTTTGCTGCATTACATATGACCCACATTTGGAGTATAATAAAAGACAATCATGTTTCATTTAAATTATGTGTGTGGTCTTTCCTAAAGAACAAATTAAGCAAGTAGATTTACATACTTTTGCTCCAGTGGTTAGTAGGTCACTATGTGCAAAATTTTCCAAAGGAATTTCACTTAAATAATTTCAAAGTTCAATAAAAATTTCTAAAAATTTTGAGTAATAATGGTTGCCAACATTTTGTTTTGCCATGTGAGAGTATTAAAACCAAACATAAACAAAACTTCCAACTACTATCATTATAATTTCATGAAAGGACACTTGAATAAAGAGTAAAAGATATAACTAAGTTTAATTTTTTGAAACAACTTGAAATTTTCAGCAAATTGTCTTTATTTCTATTTAGATCAATGAAAACTCTGTCATGTATCAAGAATTCTGAGAATCTGCCTTTGAAACTTGTATTTTTAGTCATTCACTTATAAAGTTTTCCCAAGATGACTGATGGAGAAGGCTATAGAGAACAGAAAAATAAATTAACATAAGGGAAAGAGAGACAAGGGTGTGCCCCAACTTGGAGCAAGGTATCTATTGTCACAATTGGTACCAATGATAGACATCAGTTCTGAAAAAGAGTCACCAATAAAATGTGATTTTAAGTAAAGGGTACAAGGAAGATCAAGGAAAAAGGAGGCAGACAAAACTTCAAGAAGGAAGTTTAGAAAAAAAAAAAAAAAAAGACGGCCCTCCTCTTATTGGGGATCACACTTCCTTTAAGAGATCAGCAATCTGCATATGACCAACTCTTCTCCCCTTTCCTTTACAAACCCTTGCTGAATTTTCTTTGATTTGAGAGGTTACCCTTTCTGTGGCTTTCAACCACCCATTACCCTCCATACAGGGATGCAAGAAGTACTTGGATGGCTCCATACTTTGTCAGAAACAGGTAATTACTGGATAGCTGCTAAGAACAGCATCCACTTCTCCAGATCTAACCTTGAGACAAATTATAGCTGACTGGACAAGTTCAGCTATTCTTCAGATTTAAACCACACAATCTATTTCTTGTTTTAAGTCCCTCTGAAATAGAATTGTTCTAGGGCTATTGACGTAACAGAAAGGCACATTTTCAGACATCTACACATGTATTTTTAATGTTTACTTCATGTTTCAATAGACTCTACAGTGTGCCCAAAACTACCTCAGAAAATTAAATATAAGATAAATTGATTCACAGTCATGCACTGCTTAACAACGGGGATACATTCTGAGAAATTCACTTGTCATCGGTTCAACAACATAGTGTACTTACACAACCTTAGATAGTATAACCTACTACACACTTAGGCTCTATGGTATAGACACACGATATTATGGGATCTTGTATATGCAGTCGGTCATTGACTGAAACATCATTATGTGGCACATGAATGTATTTTACTATTCAATGTCTAACATCTTTAAAAAGTTTAGCTTATATTCTAAAACCAAAGTGTGATTAGCACTTTGTGAAACATACATTGCCAAAGATCAATTTAACTATAAATTTTCAATAGGTTCACCTTCCATTCCAAAATTCTTGCAACTCTCAACCCCTCCCCACTACCACTGTCAAAGAATACGTTGCTATAGAGTCACATGAGAGCAATACAAAAAGAACATTAAAAGAAGCCTAAACTCACACCTACTTCACTTATTTAAACATTAGTCTTTCTTTTCAGTTATTCATGGATATGTACTGAGCTATGAGGAAAAGCACCTTACATCAGCTAAAGCACCATAAGTTGTTAATGACTTTTAAAGAAAAATTTAACAAAAATATTTTTTGAAATTGCTAACATTTTCAAGACAATGTCAGATACAACTAATAGATAAAACTTCTAAGCGATTTCTTTCAGGTTCAGTATGCGTTATTCAATGAAGTAGTAACAGTCTAATTCCTATTTATTATTAACATAAAATAAAATATTATGCTAGCTCCTGGGCCAATTTGCTTTTTAGCAATGCAAACATTTCTTTTTTTATTTGCATAGGCAAAGTATGGTCATGATTCCTCTCTTTAAGAGATATATTTCCAGTAGAATTCTACTAATTATGTTTTCACCTGGGATATAGTTTAACTCATGTATCCACACAGTAGAATTTTGTATATGCAGAAAGAAACTTAATGATACTGTAAAGTTTTCTATTTTTCCATGAATTATCTTACCTGCATCCAACAGCACTACTTTAAAAAGCCTTATATTTGAGACATGGGAACAAATAAATAATTCCTTTTATCTACAACTTAACAAATGTTTTAAAAAATATATTGAATAAGTACATATATTTAACAAAAAATATGTACTAGTACTTTAACATACAAAATTATCAGTAGCTTTGTGTATGCGTTTCTTTTAATGAGTTAAAAAGTGCATCGTTAATGATAAGTTTAAAGTGAATTAGGATTTTATGAACAATATTCACTATGATGGGTCCTTACATTTTTGTGCCAAAGTTACTCAATAAACATTTTGCTCAAAAGAGATAAAAAGCCTTCCTTTTGTTCACATATTGAGGCTTACCTCAAACAGAATCTTGTATTTTAAATATTTAAGAAGGGACATTTTTCTATTCCATTATAAGGCATGTTAACCACTATGGAAAATACTATAGCTATTTTGAGAACTTGTCTTTCGTATTTATATAGTTGATCCTTCAGGATTATCGTCTAATTGTAGATAACACCTAGCTACAAATGCACATTATTTAAAATGGTTTTGCAATATAGCTATGTACTGCATAATGACATTTCAGTAAACAAGGGATGGCATATATGATGGTGGCCCATAGATTCCTACTGCCCAGTGGCATCTTGATGATCTTGACCCTGAGTAGGCCTAGGCTAATGTGTAAGTTTATGTCTTTGTTTTTAACAACAACAAAAAAAGGTATAAATGAAAAAAGAAAGAACTTTTAAAATAGAAAAAAGCTTATAAAGATTATAAAGATAATATCTTTCTACATCTGTTCAATGTGTTTGTGTTTTAAGCTAAGTGTTACTACAAAAGAACCAAAAAGTTTTTTAAAATTTAAGTTATTATAAAATAAAGTTACAGCAAAGTAAGATTATTGAAGAGAAATTTAAAAAATAAATTTAGTATAGCCTAAGTGTACAGTGTTCATAAAGTCCACAGTAGTGTACAGTAATGTCCTAGGTCTTCACGTTCACTCACTGCACACTCACTGACTCATCCAGAGCAATCAATCTCCAGTCCTGCAAACTCCATTCAAACCAAGTGCCCTATACAGATATACCATTTTTAATCTTTTACACTGTATTTTTACTGCACCTTTTCTATGTTTAGATACACAAATACTTGACATTATGTTACAACTGTCTATAACATTCAGTACAGTAACATGCTGTATAGGTTTATAGCCTGCAAGGAATAGCTAGACCACATAACCTAGGTGTGTAGAAGGCTCTACCATCTAGGTTTGTGTAGATACTCTATGATGTTTACAAAATGACAAAATAGCCCAATGACACATTTCTCAGAAATGTATCCCCACTGTTAAGTGACATATGATGTAATTATGATTTTCAATAATGACAGATTTTTAAAAAGTAGGGCACAGACATGGTTACCAGCTTCCTCACACATCTCTTTTTTCGAACCCAACATGAAACCACCACAGCTTGAGATATAAGCTCAACAGGGCAAAGCTACACACTTGGTAGTCACTTACACCACTCTAACAACCAAAAGAAGAAAACGAAACTCCAGCTAATTTACTCCCTGGAATAGGAATAGAGAAGGTAACCAAGAACAAATTCATCTAAATATTCCTTTTGTTAAAGCCTGTCCTTTGTTTCCACATAATTTGTAAGTGAAAACTATCAAAATGGTTCATTCAAAAAAGCTTCTACTATTAACAAAGCATAACAATATAAATTTATGCTGCTGTGCATAAAGAACATTATCCAAATTTTCTACTGAGTAGCCAGAAGAAATTTAATGAAAATGAAACAATATGATTATTGACTACAGAAATAATACCTTTTTGGAGAAAAAAATATATACTTACTTAGTCAGCTGCCCTTTATTCTTGTTGTTATCAACTCCATTATAAGTCACAGCTGCAAGTTTTCTGCTTCTGTAGTTCTCATAGTGGACATTATTAGTAACATCTTTCAAGTCCTGCATGTGTGTTCTGTCATAAACAAACAGCAAGAGTTTGCTTCTATTAATAGCTAGGGGGAAAAAAGCTTAAAAAGTTTTAATATGAATTCAAAATTTTACCAAAACAAAAATTTCAGATTTAAAATGAACAAAAGACTATTGTTAAGGAAGGTGGCATTCATCTGTTTTCATTTACACTCAAAGTAAACCAACAAAAAATAAGCTAACTTGACACCAAATTTAGATTCCAGTGACATTTTAAGACCTATAAATCCCCAAAAACAGTTACTGAAGGATGACCTTTCTATGAAAGAGTATTCATCTTTATATTATCTATTTAAATACTAGACAACAGAGTGCAGATTGGCCACTACTGAAGCTCATAAAATCTAAAAGACACTGCCTTTTAGCAATATTACTAAGGTAATATATGAGTTTTTATTAATACATAATAATAAATTTCAGATCACATATCAAGTTGTTTTCAAACAAGGAAATTTTAGAGTAATTTTCTGTTTCTTCAAACTGTCTAGTGAAAGTGGTATTTCGGTTAAACAAATTTTTGCTTACAGCATTTCTATCATATATAAAATCAATATATATAAGTCTACAATACATATGAGATGATGTCATCATTATTTAATAATTCAAGACACTGAAGATATCCTTAGCTGCTCTATGGATATCCTTTACCAATGTAGTGTTCTTGGATATACATGGTGTGGCAATACCGTATTGTCAGTCCTCTCTCTTCTCATCATCCATTCTATCTCAAACTTCCTATATCTGCCATCATTCATCTTCACCACTTTACTAAAACTCCCTTCTGGGAGACAAACACAAAGGTGTATTGTTGGCTGGGCACGCTGGCTCACACCTGTAATCCCAACACTTTGAGAGGCCGGGGCGGGCAGATTGCCTGAGCTCAGGGGTTCGAGACCAGCCTGGCCAACATGGTGGAACCCCATCTCTACTAAAAATACAAAAATCAGTTGGGCGTGGTGGCAAGCACCTATAATCCCAGCTACTTGGGAGGCTGAGGCAGGAGAATCGCTTGAACCCAGGAAGTGGAGGTTGCAGTGAGCCAAGATCACGCATTGCACTCCATCCTGAGTACATGAGCAAGAGACCGTCTTAAAAAGAAAAAAAAAGTGTATTGTTGTACTGTTTTTATCATTCCTTACAACCAGAGAACCTTTACTGTTACTTCACAATCCAGCTTCTTGAATCTCCCCCTTTGGGAACAAAATGTGATATTCAATTACTCTGATTCATTTCGTACTGACATTTCCATGCAATTCTCTGATAGTTGACTCCCCTTAGTCCTAAGTCTGGTTTTTCCAAAAATCTCATCTCCCAGACTCTGTCCCTCAATAAATTCACGTTCTCTTATAGCCACAATAGTTACTTCTGAAGTTCTACCACTCCACTTCAGGCAAGTCAGGCAGCTCCCTACTCCTGGCATATCTGGCGGCTGACACTGAACAGTTCATGCTAATTTGTCAATCTCTCGTCAAAGACTTAATTGCTTTGGAAACCTTTTTCCCAGCCTTGACATCAAAGCATTCCAACCATGACCATTTCCTCCTTGGTTGTCATTCATTTTTGGTACAAGTATACGTCACAGGTGACATCATATCTCTTCAACTGTAAGATCCCCTTTACAAGGAACATGCCATTACCTTTTGCATCCCAATGCAGATAGCAGATGATAGGAATTTTAACAGAATTCATAACTCAAGATTGAAGCTGAGATATGATAAACACTTTTTGGAACCAGTTTCTCTAAGTGGAGAAAAATAACAAATACCTATGCCAATATAAAACAATGTTTATTTAATTTTTCTTTTCCGTTTTTTTTTTTTTTTTTTTTTTGATACAGGGTCTCGCTCTGTTGCCCAGGCTGGATGGAATGCAGTGGTACGATCTCAGCTCACTACAATCTCTGCCTTTCAGGCTCAAACCATCCTCCCACCTCAGCCTCCTGAGTAGCTGGGACTACAGGCATGCACCACCACGCCCGACTATTTCTTGTATTTTTAGTAGGGACGAGGTTTCACCATGTTGCCCAGGCCAGTCTTGAACTCCTGAGCTCAAGCAATTCTCCCACCTTCGCCTGCCAAAATGCTGGGATTACAGGTGTGAACCACTGCACCTGGCCTGATTTTATTTATTATATATTACATATCATCACTGCATCACTGAAAAATCGTTAAAGGTCCTAAGGAAGAAAACTTACATGAAATGTTTGCATGAATGTGTAAGATAAAAGTAAGGTGAATTTACTAATTGTTAAGTTATTTTTGTTAGTGTCATCTAATATTTTAGATAATGAATAATTTTTCTTTTCACTAAAATCACTAAAGTCTTCTATACGACTACATAATTCTGATTTTTTCAGGTTATGAAAGTCTTTATTTCCATTTAAATATACTTTATCATTTTATGATTCAACCCACTCCTCCATTCTCAAAATAATTTGTTAATTAGCAATAGTTTCCCCACAGTTTCAGGAATTTGTCTCTTCCATTTCCCATTGCTGATATCGTAACTCTTTCTGTTCTCCTTTTGTTTTCTTTCCCCATTTGATTTCTGAAACACCCATATCCACACCCTGAAAATATTTGTATAGTTTTCCTCCTTTCCATCGTCTTCCTTGGTTTGCCTGGAGTAAGTTAGTTCTCTTAATTAGCAAGAGAACTTCTTTGAACTTGCCTCTTTCTTAGAAGCAATCACTATTCCTTTGACCTGCAAGATTTCAATTATTTGGGATTTACAGACATCTGTAATATTGGTATTGGTATTTTATTTCCTTCCTTCAAGTATTTATTAAATATCCACTAGATGGCTTTGTCTTAAAGACATGAGCTAAATTAAATACACATCTTTTTAATAATAACTTTAGAATTTTTAGGCATAAAAGTCTTGCTGCTCTGCTGTATTAAATCTTCCTGCAGGCATGGTCAATTTGCTCTGTAATGCTTATACTAGGGAGGTCCCTCACTAGCCGCCAGGCTGTGAACCTTCGAATATTCAAAGTAGCCTCTGGGCTGGGTGGGTGTGGTGGCTCAAGCCCGTAATCCCAGCACTGTGGGAGGCTGAGGCAGGTGGTTTACTTGAGGTCAGGAGTTTGAGACCAGCCTGGCCAACACGGTGAAACCCTGTCTCTACTAAAAATACAAAAATTAGTCAGGTGTAGTGGTGCATGCCTATAATCCCAGCTACTCAGGAAGCTGAGGCAGGAGAATTACTTGAACCTGGGTGGAGGCTGCAGCGAGCCAAGATCGTGCCACTGCACTCCAGCCTGGGCAAGAAAGTGAGACTCCATCTCAACAAAGTAGCCTCTGGCTCAGTAACTAGCTTTCCCCTCTACAGTGTTTTAGGTATGTAGGAAATTATTGATTGTATACTTTTAAAATACACAAGAAAAAGTTATAGAATGCCATTGTGTCAAGCACTAGGCAAGTACCATAGAAGATTTAAAAACAAGAGGAATGCAATGGTAAATTAGTATTTATTAAACATTCTCTACTTATATACTGTCATAGCAGATTATATTATTAATATGTATTCTTTTGAAGTCACACCTTAAGAATGGAAGAGGAAGGGAATGGTTCATAATAGAGCCTGAAGTGTTGTATTCTCAAAACCCAGAAGATGACCTTCTCGTGCTTTTGCTCTTCTCCACTAAGTGAGGCCTGGCAACCTCAACTGCTGAATTAAACCTATCATGTAGTTCCTACCAAGAACACCTGCTCCTTTGAAAATAAAGATCAATTACATGCCATTTATTTAATTTCAAAATTCACTCTCACCTCTATTGTATTTCTTGAGGTAGCAGTTTGACTGTCTTAAATTTTCCCCCTCACTTCTCACCTTGAGAATGACCTCTTGTTATTCCATGATTTCCAACTATTATCCATATTTATGTAACTACCTTTCTTTACACAGCAAAAGAGATTCTTATGTTTTGGGAAAGTGGGTAGAGGTATGAAAATTAATAGATATCAACTAAAGACAGACATCTAAAACTGAAGGTTAAAGAGAGTATGTGGTAAAGGTGTAGAGAAGCAAGAGAGAAAAGTGGGAAATGCGGAGTCAGGTAGGGAGGGGAATGAATGTGTCTCAACATGAAAATACTGAGGATCATTTTGATGCCCTTTCTGTTCCTTGTCTACTAACATCTCTAGTCCTATTACACTTTTTCTTCATGATTTCCTCTCTGCTGCTGCTTTTCTAATTCATTAGTAAGAGATCCTCTTTACAGTCCTGGTCCTCTAATCAGGATGGCCTCGATGTCCTGCTCCCATAGGCTTTCCTTCTCTTTCAGCAGGTGTGTAAGACACAATTTAGGGATTTCTCACCTGGTAGGAATACTGGTTTTATTCACTATGTTCCAGTACATAAAATGTGCCCTACTCACCAGCTACCAGGCTGTGCACCTTTTAACATTCAAATTCTAGCTTTGGACTCAAAAACTAGCCTTCTCTTATATAGTTTTCACAAGGTTTTCACATTAAGAAAAAAGAGCCTCTTCTACTTCACTTTCCATAGTTATTTCAGTATTAAATCTCGACACAAAGTATAATGATAAAGAGACTAATTTTCCTATGTATCCCTAGACAAATTACTTTGCAACTTTTGCTCATGACTTCAAAACCTTGGAGAAAGAATCATCTATATGTAGTGTTTACTTCATGGCTAGACTGAAGATATAAATTTAAATTAGCTACATTTATAGAAGGCAAAAAGTAAATCTGTCCAACTCTTACTTAGGGAAAGAAAATCTTATGCTATTTCCATCATTGCTTGCACTTACCTTATCAACATATTTCTTAGGATTGTAAAATCACAATGTTCACCATTTTCAACTGTAAGAAAAAAGCAGACCGCATATGTTATATTTCCACTAAACCTAGTCTTTTCAAAAAATATTTCACAGGAACTTGGGGTGTAAAAACAAGAAGAGGAAATGCAAAACAGATCAATTTTTTTGAGATTTAACACTAACATAGTACACTCAATGTGAGGGCATGACAGAGAAGTGTACTCTATTATTGCCTTATTGTAGTTTAATCCTCAGAAATAGATATGTAAACCTAACAAATGAACTCTCCAGAAACAACTTTGAAATTCTGAAAGGGGAAATCTTATTATTGGTAAAAAATATATTTATTCTATAATACATTTAAAAAATTCAGTGGTGTGAGTGAAGGGAGAATCACTTTAGAAAAAATCTTAAGGTAACCAAAATGAAAAAGGGAGCCAAGAACTTTCAGGTTCTTTACTTTTATTTTTAAAGAATGTATCACAAATAGGAATATTACTTGGGAGTAGAGGGGTAAACTACAAAAGAGAGATGCAAATCAATTTCTCCGGTGCGTATTTTTAAGGGGTAAGTTCTAAAGCCCCAGCTCAGCAAGTAAAAGTTGCCTGGGCATGATAGAGAGAGCTGGGAACAAGGTACACAGGTCACTGATGGGAAAATTGCCAATAAGGACAGTTACCTGAAACAATATCCTAAAAATTAAAGAATTGTTCAAAATAAACCAGGGGCAGTGGTGTGTGCTTATAGTGACGTGATGTGGGAGGAGCATGATGTGGGAGGATCACTTTGAGCTCAGGATTCTGAGGCCAGTTGGGCAACATAGCAAGACCTTGTCTCTTAAAAAAAAAAACGAAGTTCAAAAATAATAGCAACAAACAGATAAAACAATCAAATCTCAATTTTGGTTTCAGCTTACTATAATACAGAAGATTAAGTATCAGATTAAACCAATACAATAAACCTATTGCCAAGAGGAAGTACTTCTGAGGCTTGGTGTTATAACTAAGATTTTATTGGTATTTAAAACTCCTTACTTAACCCTTAATAATTTAAGATAGCAGGTTAAAAAAGAAAACAAAAAACTCCTTACAAAACTAGTAAAGAGGATCTCTTATTAACGAAATTTTTTTACTCTAAATATGAGATATCAAAAAGGGCAACTTTTGCACTGAGGAAAGAAGACTGTGGATGTTTTAACTGGGCTTACAAATTTCTTCAATCATTCTTGAGGGTCCATGACCATCTGACGTTCCGATAAAAGTGACTGGCCTTCTCTCCAAATGTTTGATTCCAGGTGGTTCATTAGATTCCCTGGGAGCAAACTTTGGGCCCCAGGTAAAGAACCCCTCAATTTTAGTTATGTTTTCAAATATGAAAACAGAAATAGACTTAATGATGAGGCAGGATGCCAGCCAGGGTGGGGCAAGTTGAGTATCTCTTATTTGAAATGCTTGGGACCAGAAGTGTTTTGAATTTTTTTGGAATTTTGGAATATCTGTGCTATACTTACTGGTCGAGCATCCTTAATCCAAAAATCCAAAATTCAGAATGCTCCAGTGAGCGCTTCCTTTGAGCAGCATGTCAGTGCTCAAAACGTTTTATTTTGGAGCAATTCACATTTTGAATTTTCTCTTTAAGAATGTTCAACCTATACTACAACTTTAGGACTTAACACACACTTGCCTGACTTGGTAGGATACAGGTTTGAAAAATACCAATGTACTTAAAGAGAAAATTGAGACTACAAGAACCTGAAATCAGTATTATCCTTGAAAATCTAGACTATATCAATACAGTGTGCATACTGTACTACTTACTATAAATACAAATTTTTAATCAGTTTTGAGATATTTTAGAAAGTCATTCACTGAAGAAAATCTTACCTTCAGCAACACCCCAAGGATACTGCCTTCCTCTGACCCTTTTGCCATTAACTTCAATGATAGTATTACTACCTACCACAGCAAGAGGTAAACGGTCCTATAAAACAAAGTATTCTTGTTCAAATACATCTCTGTAGTCCTCACAAATTCAAAAATAAAAAAAGTTACATTACTCAACAGGTTAGCCAAAAAAAAAAAAAATTTACTTTCGATAGTTTCTGCATTAGTTTTTATAGGCCATTTAACAAATATTTAGTAAACTGCCATCACATGGTATTGCCACCAAGGTAAACAATAAATAAAATTAAATTTTCTCTTTAATGTTAAGAATATTCAAGCATATACTGGTCAAATTATTTACTAAAAATCACTACAGAAAGTTGTCCCATACCTGGGGGGGGATAAAAGGTAAAAACTATATTGGCATTTGGGGGAAAAAAAGCGGGGGGCTAATGACTAGCTTGCCTACTTGATCACAAACCAACTATAACAGTACCTAAACCAGGTAATAGTATATTTGTTAAGCTCTAACTTTGGAAATTCAAATCCTGGTGACTGGATTTGTGTTCATCCATGTTCAGCCCTTCACAATTCTGTGGCTCCCAGAAATACCTAAGCAGCTATTTACAACTGCAGAAATTCTTCACAGGCAATGTATAAGAATTTCATTATTCCAAGATATTTGCCTACATAATGCCATTATTCAGTATACCATTTTTAGGGCCAAAGTACATAGAAAACCATGATAAAATACAGAAAATATGTTGATGTGAATTTTTGGTTGGTTTTTATTGTTTTTAATTGAAACATAATTGTACACATTTGTGGGGTACAGTATGGTATTCTGATAACTTTATACAAATATGTAATGATTGAATTAGGGTAATTAGCATATTTATCAATTCAAACTTATTTTTCTGTATTGGGAACATTCATAATCCTCTTCTAGCTATCTGAAAATATAGACTAAATTACTGTTAACTACAGCCACCCTACAATGCTACAGAACGCTAGAACTTACTCCTCCTATCTAGCTGTAATTTTGGTTGGCTTTTATAGAGACAAAATAAATACATTTTTGTCTGGCAATTAAAACATAACAGAACGAATTCTCTCCTTTCTCATCACTTGTTTTTTAAGAGAAAAAAATTACATAATATGAAAGCCAGTTAATTAAAAACACTTTGAAATAAGAATTGTGTTATTCACCTCAGTAGTTTATACAATTCCTTATTATATATACTAGCTAATCTTCAAAGTTAACTATAAAGTTGAATTCAACATTAAATCTCCCTAGGTATTTTGTAAGCCAACTACTTAAAACACTGATACTTTTGATCTTTCCTGTGGACGCTGTAGTATGTTTTTAAGGCCTCAGATTACTTTAGCGTGTGTACAGGGATGAACCTACCTTTATCTTTTTAACAAGTTTATTTTCTTCTTCATCATCTGTTTCTGGAAATTCGTATATTTTAATTTTATGTTCTTGGATTTCTTTCATTATCTAAAATGGAAGAAGTAGTCAGCAAAAGAGCACCATACATAATTAGTATATTAGTCTTATGTTCATTACATGCCTCTTCGATTCCTATATGGGTCCTTGGTTCCAGATCCTTTACTGTTTTTTAATGATGCAAAGTTGTAATCTAAAATTAAAGTACTACGCTAGTCTTTTTTTTTTTTTTAACTATGAAGTTGATATATAAACACCAAATCCAATTACTTCCGAAGTGTTAAAGTCATATAGCTGTCATACCAAAAGAGTTCCAAAAAGGATGTAAAACTCCAGAAAGGGATTTCTCTGATTGATTTCCACAATAATGACTTTAGGTCATTTATTTACAATGACTGAGATTCTTCCTTTAGATATAAATTCCCAAGTATCTTATTTAGTTGAATAAACAGGGCTAAACTCACGTAAAATTTTTAGTAGAATCTGGCAAAAGTAAGGTAAAACTAAGTACAGCACTGCTCCCTGAACATTCATCAGAAAAATCCTTACATGTACATGTGCATACACACAAATTGAGGAGCAACAGGTGTAAGATTAGGGAAGGACACAGGGAGAAAACACATCCTAGAAATTAAGAAGCTCAAGAATTAATAAGGAGAATGCAGAAACCTAGAGAAGACAACTTATTATTAACATCAGAAATGACCTAGTTCAAATTAAATTATCATGTTCAAAATCACTCCAATTCTAAACAGAATACAGACATCCAAATAATTTTCAACTACCTATCCTTATTTGAACCCATAACAAACCAATGGCTAATATACCTAAACCTAGCTTCCCTGTCTATACTTATATTTTGGTGCAACTTTCTTGGCAAAGGTTCCCAGCAGCTATAAAAGGACCCTGAACAAATTGTGTTACATGGTTACTATAGTAGACAGAAGTAAACAGAAGTAAAATTGTCACTGAAAAAAAATAGGACCACACTTCTTTTACAATTAGGGTACGTACCTATATTTAAAAAAAAAAAAAGAATAAACAAGGAATTGACAAATACATGATGACGAGAAAAATGAGTAATAGTAGCTAGCTCTAAAAGCAATGGTTTTAGTCAGAGGTTGTATATTAAAATGACCTGAGTACAACCACCAGGATGTGACCAATTTGAAAGAAGAGGTCACTTCATATTCATCTTTTTTACCTTTATCAGTAAAAATCCAAATCGAAACACATAATAAACAAAAAGAAATGTATTATATGATAGTGTTTGAAACTTAGAAATAGCACATTACAAAACAAAAATGGGAATGGGTAAGTGTAAAACACAAAAATACTAGATACAGTAAAAACAATGTACTAAAACTTTCTGAAAATTAGTATGAATTTAGCACAACTTCAAAGCAAATTTTAACAGGCTTTTTATAACAGGTTTCAAGGTATTCTGAAATTCATATTGAAAAAGGTGAAAAACAAAGTATTTTGTTACAATAGGACTATATGGACAATAGAGATAATTACAATCTACTTTTAAATATTATATAAAGCTGCTGTGGTTTAAACAATATACTACTGGCCTTTGGACTACTGGAATAGAGAAAGGTTCCAGAATTGACCTTACATTTCATAAAATGTAATATATAACGAACCAAACACAATTAAATTAGAAATATGTGTGACTGTGTAACTCAATATTATTGAGACAACTAGACGTGAGTCTAGAAAAACAGTTTAGTGGCCTTCCAGCTAGCTCAGTCATACAGCATGAGACTCTTAATCTTAGGGTCATAGGTTTGAACAATAACTTAAACTATAAATATCCCGTAAAGTGCACTGAAAACAAAATTAGTGCACTGAAAACAAAAATAAGCAGCAAAAGAGAAAACAGAAAAAATATTGTGAAAATGAGAGAGAACTAAATATCCAGAATAAAAAGAACCCATATCAATAAATACGGGTAATACCAAGTACTACTGGTCAAAAAGACAAAGGATTTGAGCAGATGTTTACAAAAAGGGGGAAAAAAATGACTTTGTTTTTAAAATGTTCAGCCTTTCGGGAAAATAAAAGGAAAAGACAAAGAAATGATTGGTTACCACTTCATTCCAAAAAAGTTTTCAAAATAAAAATAACAATGCTGGCAAAGTCACAGTGAAACAGATGTACAAATTTGTTTTATTGGGAAAGCACCATGACAAAATGGGGAGTGGGGAGATAAAGACCCATAAAAACAATCATAGCCTTTGAAAGAATAATCCACTTCCTGGGAATTCATTCTAAGAAAATAATTCAAAAAAAAAAAAAAAAAAAAGAAAAGAAAAAAAAAGAAAAGAAAAGAGAAAAGAAAAAAGAAAATAATTCTAAAGAGTATGGGGAGAAATTGTCTGTGTGGGGGTGTTATTACAGAACACTTAAAACAGCCATATTTAAAAACTGACAAAGGCAGAAGATTGAAGAGTTATTTCTAATACAGTATAAATGACAATATAGTAAAGCAGTAAGAGGAATGGATTGCAACACATTATACTAAAAATAGTAAAAACTGCAAATTATGAGAACGGTATAAGAAACCTGGGTTAACACATCCTGCTCACCTGTTTTTTAAACTGTTGGCATTCCTCTGGTGTGAGTGTGTCTGCTTTGGCAATAAGTGGGATGATATTCACTTTTTCATGCAAACGCTTCATAAACTCAATATCCAATGGTTTAAGTCTGAAATACACAGTATTTAATTTGACTGAATTGATCAGTTTGGGAGAACAAGATTCTTCACATCCCCAATGCTAGTTAAATACAATGTAACTACTTTACTTACTTATCAGAAACACTCTGAAGATGTATTAGGCCAGCAAAAGTTAGGTAGAACAGGACTTCAAGAAGCATTGGAGTGGCTAAGGCTTTGACTCCTGCCCTTGAACCCTGGTCACAGGGTTTTGGCCCTAAAGAGGAATTGGAAAAACCAGAAAGGCTCCTAATAGAATTTCCTAGAATTATCTCTATATTTATTACTCAAAATTTACAAGGTTTTTAATTTTTTTTTTTTTATTTAATTTTTTAAGACAGGGTCTCACTCTGTTGCCCTGGGTGGAGTGCAGTGGTGTAATCTCAGCTCACTGCAACCCACCTCCCAGGCTCAGATCCTCCCATCTCAGCCTCCTGAGTAGCTGGGACTACAGGTGCACACCACCATGCCTGCCTAATTTTTGTATTTTTTGTAGACACAATGTCTCGCCAGGTTGCCCAGGCTGGAGGATTTTTTAAAAATGAAAAATGGTAGTCCTCTTCCAACTCCACATTCAGTTCTTGCTACCAACTATCTTTCTCTGACAAGATGCTCACAAGATAATCTTCAACATCCCTTTTATTCATTACAATCTGGCTGCTGCCTCCAGTTTGCCTCTGTACTTTCAAGAAGGTGACTAAATACTTCTATCATGGTGCTTACCATTACTTATTCTCTCACAAGCTCTTCTTCCTTAGGATACTTTTCAGGATCCTCTTAGTAAGCTAGTCCCTTAAGAAGTACATTCTTTAGAATTCCCTACCAGGCTTTCTCTTCTTACTCTACATTCAGTACAATTATTATGACTACAATAGATTTCAATTATCTTCAATTGGTCAACTGACTTCCAAATCTTCATAGACAGCTCATATCTCACTGTTAAGTTCCAGGTTTGTGTTTACCCAGTGGATATGCTACCTGGGTGTTCCATGGGCTCCTTAAAATCAAAAGCTCATCTGAACCCCCATTTTCCCTCTTCTACGCTTCCTATCTCAGTGAATGGCATTACAATCTTCCCCATTACTCAAGTGTGAAACCTAGGATTCCTCCCCTCCTCTAATCCTATTCCTATATATAGTATGTGTATAGATGTGTGTATGCATGATGTATGTATATCTCCATTTCCATTACTTTAGTCTAGGCCACCAAGTCCTTTGGAATGAATAACTATAACATGAATCATCCATACTGAAGTCAGAGTGGTCTTTCTAAATCCAAATCTTATGGAGTTATGACCTGACCAAAAATCTTACTAAAGGCCAGATGCCTTAACTAGAATGGCCCACAAAGCTTGTGAAGACATAGATTCTCAAGCTAACCTCATCTCTTAGCATTCCTGGCCTTTCTTTCGCCTCCTACTTCCAATGTGCCAGCCTTTCTGAATTTCTTACAATTCCTTGAAAGCATCATACTTTGACATCTGGCCACAGGCTACTACCTTAGCTGGAACACCCTCCTCCATTCTCATCCTCCTTCTCCTTGGCCTGGCTAATTCCTATTCATCCTTTAGGACACTGGCTTATGATCCAATTTCCACTGGGAATCCTTCTCTAACCTTGAGACTAGGCATATTTCTATGTGCTGACAACACTTAGTGTGCTGTACCATAACTGCCTGCCTGCATACAGATGGGTCCTCACTAACTATGGTTCCACTTAACAATTTTTCAACTTTCTGATAGTGTGCAAGCAATACGCATAGAATAGAAACCATACAACCATTCTGCTTTTTACTTTCAGTACAGTATTCAATAAATTACATGAGATATTCAACACATTATTACAAAATAGGTTTTATGTTAGATGATTTTGCCCAAATGTAGGCTACGCTATTAAACGTATCTTCAACTTCAACAGGTAACCCTGTCCCAAGTTGAGGAGCATCTGTATTTGTTTCTCCCATCTTCTCACTGAAATACCCTCTACAGCGAGGGCCTTATCTCAATTTATCTGTATCCTCAGCACCCAGCGTGGTATCTAACACTCAAGAAGGTGCCCAAATATTTGTTGACAAAAAAAGTAAGCTGCTGTGATTTTCGTTATGTCCTTTAGTAATTCTAAATGAGAACCGAAGTCCTCAAATCTGGAATATATTGTGGACTAAAATTGAATGTTTCACAAGAATAAATGAAGATACTAGAAATATTTTGCAAAGGACTACCATTCTAAAGTGGTATTCTTTAACTTTTATAAAAACATGAGAAAAATGAAATAAAGGTCTCATTCTGTTAATAATTTTATTGACATACTAATAATTGAATTGACTGACATTTTAAAATAAAGAAAGAGAAACATATATATTAAAACTGGGGGGATTAGGGCCCTAAGACTAATAAGATAGTCCAGTCCTTTTTACTAACAAAGATTACTGTATATACTTTACTGTAGTAGTAAGGCTGACAGGCAGAAAGACAGAGACAGTGAGGGGGAGAAAGCAAACATGGAGAATTAAGATAGCTGCCTCCTATTCTAATTCTCCTTGTCTTAAATCCCCTGAAAATTGACACTGGCATTCAGAGAATAGGGAGCACAACGAAAAAAGTGTGTGTAGATGGAATAACCCTGTTTATATTATCTGTAAACTGTGTTCTTGCCTCACTAGTGTTAACTAAAAGAACCTATCCATTTTTATTTATTTATTTTTTTGACAGGGTCTTGCTCTGTCACCCAGGCTGGAGTGCAGTGGTGTAGTCATAGCTCACCATAGCCTCCAATTCTTCCACTTTGACTCCTGGGTAGCTAGGACTACAGAGTGCACCCCCAGGCCCAGCTAATTTTTTTTTCTTTTTTTAGTTTCACTCTTATTGCTCAGTCTGGAGTGCAGTGGCACAATCTTGGCTCACTGCAATCTCCGCCTCCCGGGTTCAAGCAATTCTCCTGCCTCAGCCTCCTGAGTAGCTGGGATTACAGGCATCCACCACCAAGCCTGGCTAATTTTTGTATTTTTAGTAGAGACGAGGTTTCACCATGTTGGCCAGGCTGGTCTTGAACTCCTGACCTCAGGTGATCCACCTGCCTCAGCCTCTCAAAGTGCTAGAATTACAGGTGTGAGCCACTGCGCCCAGCCTCAACTAACTTTTTAATTTTTTGTAGAGATGGGATCTCACTATGTTGCCTAGTCTGTGGCCTCAAGCAATGGTCCTCCTGCCTTGGTCCCCAAAGTGCTGGGATTACAGGCGTAAGCCATTGCATCTGGCCTGAACCTATCCATTTTTGAAAAAAAATTTTAAGTTTTGCTTCTTTTCATTAATCATTATATAAAACACTAAATATAAATGCCATGAAATATTCAATCTCAGATTTCTAAATTGTTATGGTTTTTCAATTCATATTCATGACAAATTTAAACTGCCACTACCTTATTAAGCTGTTATGTCAGATATAAGCCTGCTTATCAATCCAGTGACAAAAAAGCAGAGTTCAGTTAATCCAAAATTTTAATAAATCTTAAGGGCATTTAATATAAACTATTAAAATCCAAATAACAAGATTTTATATTTAAATGCAAAACAATACTTGCTGAGTATTTATTATAATATCCCAACTTCTAGAAAGAAAGATATTTAAAAATAAACATAACAAGGAAATTAGGGAAGTCAACTTCTTAAATATAACCAAAGGGTCAAAGAACATTTAAGTCAGTTTAAAAATTAAACTTTAGGAAAAAAGGTAAACCTTGTAAAAGTCCCATTAAATTTCAGAAGCCTACAAAATGTCAGCAACAGAAAACATTTAGTTCACATGTATATTACATTCTGGTTGAATTTTTTCCTCTGTCCATTTAGTTTTATATTGGCTGGTCTTTTCATCAACAAATTTAGTTTTTAAATCTTGTTTTTAAGCAACAGAAAATCCTTTATCGTTTCTAGAAGATAAACCCATACTAGAGAGAAAAGACTATTTAACCTCAAAGTCTACAGCATAATGAACAACCACAGGGCAAATGACAAATTTTTTTTGTATGTATGTATGTATGTATGTATAAGAGAAAAAATCCTTCTGTATAAAACTCACTGGATGACACCAATTTTTCTAAAAGTGGTAATCAATACTAGAAGGATAAAACACCATTTTAAAATTCATGTTCCAAGTCAGTTTTTTATTTTAATAACAATTACAAAATACTGAACAATGCAAATGAAGCAATAATAGCTGAAATCATACATTAGCCATGCATGCAGTTCATACTTGGTAGAGGGAGGTAGGAGGCACTGAAAGTACACTGTTGGACCAATTTATAATTATCTAAAAACAAATCCCTCCAAAAAGGGAACCCAGGGACTACCCAGACAAGACGGAAACGCTCTGATTCATCTATTAGACTGCATGGAATTTCAGTCTGTAGTGAGCAGGATATCTGGAACTCTATACATAAAATTCTGTGTCATATTCCTTCACTTAATCCACAATATCATGTACCAAAGGGCAAAACTTTGCTCCATTTCTAAAAATAAACTGAGAAATTGTTCAAAGGTACATTTTTATATATAAGAAATAGCAATTTTAAACATCTTACCCCTTGTGACAAATAAGAAATGGCACAAAGCCACTACATATCATTTGAATATAAAAATTTGTTCTTTTAAAAAAGCTCTCATTTCCCATGCAATTTTAGGAAATAAAATTTTCCCCAAGGGGATGGAAGGAATGTGACTTCATGAGAATTACTAAACTTGGAGAGAGTCCAGAAGATCTAAAATAATAAAATTGGTTATAAGCTGACAAGTTTTATTGACTTAAATGCAGGTTAAGATTTCACTCTGCTGGCTTAAAGGAAAAAGCCCTGACAAGTTAAACGAGAATGACTTAAAAATACAAATTCAAGTAGCTACACAAATACTCATAAAAGGTTATATAATATGTTGTATTTTTGAGATTACTTTTTTTGAGCCTTTTAAGTCAGAGTCAGTTTAGTGATTTAAACATGTAAACTGAGAGTACTGTAAAAGAATATTAGACATAAAAGAAGAAACATCTTTACTCCACTACAATCTGGCAGTGCAAACATATAAGTATATAATTAAGGCTCCCTTATCCATCTAGAGTGATAATGGGCATTGACCTATCTATAAAAAAGTAAAAGAGAGCAAGAAGCCAAAAATAGAAGAGAAAGGTATACTTGAAGGAATTGGTTTACACTACTGTAATGTGAGTGTTAGATAACTTAATGCTATTTAGCCTGATGCTACTACAGTTCTTTTGGTGGAGAGATGGTGGAGTTATAATCATCAGGTGGCTGAATTATATATACTGAGTTACTTACCCAAAGGAAAAGACTGAGGAAGAATAACTGGAAAATTCTGCAGTTGTCAATAACACATATATGTACTCAAAATGACAGCAGAAGTACAAAAAACAAAAAAAGGGAGTACAGGCTAACTATAACAAACAGAACAATCAGATTAGATTAATGTCTAGATTCTTAGGTCTTAAGTCCTAATAAACAAAAGATTAGTACTGACAATATGATACCTGAACAACACGTCTATGACAGCTAAGGTGAAACAGAAGCCAAATAGATTTATTGTAGAAAGAAATGGCACAAGAAAACATTGGCATGCAAGTGTTTTTGATAATCATTTCTATGAAACTTATAATAAATAGCATCTTTGGATTTATTTTGAATATGTCTAACTGGTATGGCTGCTTCTCTTTATTTGGTATTTCTATTAGTAGCAGAGTGGTCAACATGAAAGCTAAATTTGCCACATTGAGACCTCAAACCATGGTGGCAACACTGTTTATTTCATGAAGCAGGGAAAATCCTTATGAATGAAGAACTAAGGAGTAAAATCACTGTTAGCTTATATAGGACTTAAAATGGCTTTTCAACTAAGACATTTCTACATGAAATTTAGTACTTCATAATGGCTATAGTTGTGTGTACTTCACAAACTTAAAGATTACTAAAGTATGCACATAAAGGTAACAGTAAGCAACAACAACAAAAAAGGAATCAGAAGTATCAAGGTACTGACCCATGTCCTGAAGGAGCAATGAAGTATAAACAACACTGCACCCTGTTATCAGGCATCTGACGTCTGTTCACTCGTGATTCTGCATTTAGGTAGTCCTCAAATTTACTATCAATGTAGTCGATAACAGGCTGCCAGCTATAGAACGCAAATAAACAAAACAAGCTGCAATTCTACATATGAATTAACTGATGACTGTTAAAGGACAATAATCAGTATTTTCAAATGGGCAAAATGAATTTACCAGTAGAAGATATGTCAAGTTATTCTATATATTCAAAAATATAAATTATGTTGAATAAATATTCATTATTCAAAACTTTCCAAATGAAAGAAAATAAACTATTTACTGTCGAAACACAGCTAAATATTAGCATATTATTTGCACTAATAAGTGTATTAATAACACACTTCATAATATGAAAACAATTATATGCAGTTTAAAATTTCAAATGAGAGATTACTTTAAATAATAAAAAAACTTCATGGTGAACTTGGGAGTTTTAAGAGTTGACAGAAAATTACCTCAAAAACAATGTGAATTCAAACAAAAATAAAAGTATTATTTATAAAATACTAAGATAATTACTTCAGACTAAAATTTCATAGTTGTTTTCTTCACTTAGGACTTACAGAAAAACTGAAAGTCTAAATATCAGGTTTAAATTAGGATTGAGATAGAATTTATACAAATGAATAAAATTAAAGTGAACAGTTTTAAATTTCTTACAATAATGAGAATTCTTCTATTTACCTATGTTATTTTAGAATATGTCTTAAAAACAATTTTATGATAGGTATTATCTCCATTTTATAGAAAAGTAAATGGGTTCAAAGAAGTTAAACAACTTTGTCAGATAAGTGGCAAAGTTGGTATACAAACCCAAGTCATGTTGCTTGAAGTTTGGTGACCTTTGCTAAGATGAGAAGTTTTAAAATGTTAAGAAGAAAAAGTTTAACCACCCCAGTACCCCAAATGCACTGCAAAGTTGTGAGGACAAACCCTTCTTACCAATTACTATTATCCACTGCATCTCCAAATCCTGGGGTATCAACTATTGTGAGCAGCAACTGAACACCACCTTCTTTGATTAAAACTTTGGATTGTTCCACCTGTAAGAGTAATTGGTGCAGATGTTAATATCATACATTACATCAGTGATTTCCTACAAGGGGTGATGGTAGGGACGTTCGAGTTTATCAAAACCAACTGGGAAACTGTTAGCAAACTAAATCTACCTACTACCACATTACCTTTAGAATTGATGATAGCGGGCATTGGAAATCCAGATTATTTGAAAGAAAAGCATATATACAAATAGTCTGCCAATCTCTTGGCAAATTCATACTGGGTTTATGACTCATACTTGGTATAAAGACAGACAGAGGAACTGATAAAATAGTGATCACCACTAAAGACATGTAATACTTATATAACTTAAATGTGCATCTAATAATACAAATAAGCAGTTTGAGTGATTTAATAATTCACAGAGTTCAAATGTAATTAATCAGAGAAGAACATCTAATCTACCATTTACAGTAAATGTCTTCCTGGACTATTCTCTATCAAGTTTGGCCCCAACCACTCACTCAAATAAACTTACTATCATTCCTTAATCTTTCTCAGCATGGATGTATTACCCTTGTATTTATGTTATGGCTAGGATCCAATCCTTTTCTCAAATGTGATACTCCACATTCTGGACAATGTAATCAGCAAAAGTCCAGACAGTTTTTATTTTAAAAAAAAGTGTATTCTGGTAGGGTGAAACCTTACTAACTGATTATTGGACTTAAATGATAACAACAGTTCCTGGAACAATTTAAGACATTCTGTAATCTCAAGCTCTGTATCAGAAGATGTATTATCATTCATCCTGGGCATATGCTGCTGTTAAATGCAAAATATCAGTTTTCAGGAACCCAAGATAAAGCAAACACGGATTCAAATGAAAAGGGAATAATTCCTCCAGAAAAAGACAGGCTTTCTCCTGATAACACATTTAATAAGGATAACAAGTCCTTATTAAGGCTAGAGGCTCCAAGTATGCTGATAAGCTAATTTACAAGACAAAAAGTTTGGGACACTTTTAGAGATAGCCTACTTCCTTTTGGCATGTTTTATAGATGCTACCTGATGCATGAAGAGACTAACATGCGGAGACTAAGATTGCTGAGCAAGAAAAGTCTGTAGCCACACTATCCAATAACACTTTCTGAGATGATGGAATTGTTGTGTATCCACACTGCATCTCCAAATCCTAGGGTATCAACTATTATGAGCAGCAACTGAACACCACCTTCCACTTGTCCATGTGGCTACTTAGTCCTTGAAATCTGACTACTGCAAATGAGGAGCTGATATTTAATTTTATTTAATTTGAATTAACTTAAATAGCCACATATGGCTAGTGACTACCGAATACACAGCAGAGGTCTACAGCAATCAAGAGTTTTCTGTTAAAAAAATTTTATTATGAGGAATAAAACTTATTAAAACTGAAAAAAATTGCCTGAGATGTGGACACACATGACTTATCTTTTAGAGAAATGAGATGCCAAATTCTTATCTTTTAATGTTCTTTAAACTGCTTTGATCCTGATATAAACTATCAAGTGAAAATTTTGCAGATCCAAAAGATATTTATCCACCAAATATATACTATTGGCAATCTGAATATTAAGTATTAATATGCATTATCATTAATCTGTAGATTAAAAAAGTAAACATCAATAACAGTTGTAATATTTTCTGATCATCCTCAGTATCAATGATTGATGCACATCATTTAGGAGATCACTGTCACATACCACACAACTAAGATAACATGTCTATTATCAGGTTACCCTAATAACATGAGAGAGGCAAAATAACTCAGAGAAAACAATCAGATTCATCAGTGTGAGATCATGAGAACCAAAGGAAAAACATTTTTTTTTTTTTTTTTTTTTAGTCAGGGTCTCACTCTGTTGCTCAGGCTGGAGTGCATGGCAGATTATAGCTTACTGCAGCCTCACTCCTGGGTTCAAGCGATCTTCCCATTTCAGCCTCCCAAAGTGCTGGGCCAAAAAAAATGTTTAATGGTATCATCTCATCTAGTTTAGGAGGTTTACATTTTATCTGGTGATCTTCTAGCCAAAGGACAACCCAGTCAAATCTAACATCTCAATATCTTGAATTCACTTCCATCTCCTTTATAAAGACAGATCATTTATTCATGGTAACTGTGGCTGAAGCAGAAATATCCAAAGTAATCATACCACTCCTTTACCTACTTACTCTTTTAAATAACATAGTACTACACACTAGAAAGTGATACAACAATATAGTAAATCTACATGAATCATCTCCCAATTTTACTTCAAACTATTTCTGGTTCCTTTATTACCAAACGAAGCCCATTCTACCTTCAGTAATATGCTGTATACCAATTACACATTTTAACTTAACAGCTTAAATTTTAAGATATTTCCCTGTTTTTTAAAAAAAATCAGTTCAACAACTTAATTACTTATTGACTTGCTAAGACAAATGAAGATTTGTATTTTACACACTTTAAGGAATGTTTATAAAGCTTCTTTTCTTCTCTGGCCTACAAAATTCTGTGTATCCATACACGGTCAAATACAAAGAAGTCAGCGACATATGGAAGAGATCCAGAAAACACAACTAAACTAGTGCCATTCACAGGATCCGACTGTATCCTATCATCTGCTTTTACAAGTATCCTCATGGGATCCATGGAAAACAAATTAGTTGAAGTCCAAGAATTTCAAACTTTTCTAACAAATCTATTCCAAATGGCCACTTTCCCACGCACTTTCCTTAAGCAGGTCACATCAACATCTTTATGGCATCACTCAGGGTTCTCTAAGATTAGCTGCATCATTTAATACCAAAAGAATGAATCAAGGGCATTTTCAACTGTTTTTCCCTGAAAAATAAATAAAACTAAAGCTATCGTCCATGTATCATCTATGTATAATTCATCTATTGAGACCTCTTTTGGCATCTGAGATTCCAGAAATCCAAGGTACTCATTTTCTAATACTGAGTGTATACAGTATACAAGAGTTCCAGTATACTGAGTTTTCAGTTTTACCATCTGAGGAAAAAAAGTCAAACAATGTTTATTATACAGTGTCATATAAACTAACCTAACTTAATGTTTACATGCCACTTATTAAGGTAAATAAAAAATGTTATTTAATTAAGAACATAACATTTTGAAGAGAGGGTTAAAATTTTCTGTCAAGAGCCTACCTCTACCTTCACTTGCTCAAGAGGTAGCATTACAGCCAAAACTCTGAAGACATTGGAATGGCCTGAGATACTCCACTTAGCTCAAACACAAAAACTATCTATTTTGCTTATTTACTGGCTCAAAAGACAAATATCATCTTACATGTTTCATCGTGTTCCACAAGAAAATGAAAGAGGAAGTGACCAATAGTAAAACAGTTATGCTTAAAGAATACCTCCTTCTCATCAAGACCCAGAACTACTTTACTAAGAAAGTTGATCCCAAAACTCTAACTTGGCCTTCTATTCTGAACCTCTCTACCTCTCATATCCCTGTCTCCTTACACTGAGACCTCAAATCCCTTGCCCCTCTCATTTTCTATTAGCAACCTCCTTCCCAAAACCTTTATTTCTTTCCCTTTCCAACTCAAATCCCACTCTGGATTAACCCATCTTTCTATTCCTATACCATAAAATTCATGACTTTCAACCTCAACAAGAATTTCCCTGCTAATATTCCTCTTATGTGCTCCTTAGTCTCATGCCTCTCCCATTTCCCAGTAGGCTCTTCCCAAGCCCATGTCTGTCACAATGCTCAGTGAAGTACCTCATATCTCCACTTAAAAATGAGACCATTCCCAGTCTGTCTGAATCAGCACTGTACCTTCCATGGTACAGTGTGTGTGAAATATATCTTTTTCCTAAAGCTAATTTCTCAATATGTTCTAGGGAACTGATTAATTTCCATTTTAGATTCATCTTGACAACCGTTTACACTATTTCCCCTCTATCGTCAATCTCTCATTTCTTAGAGAATGACTTGCCACAGGATATAACCATTCTCAGGTCTCTTTTGGAAATCATCAAACCACTCTCTGAGTCCTCTATACTCACTCCTAGGTATCCCTTTTCATCCCTTCCTTAATAGCCATCACCCATCTTCACTGACTCACCACTCACTTCTCAACCCACTGCCATCTTGCTACCACTTCATTAAAATTTACCTTGCCAAGGTCACCTCTACAGCACCTTACAAAAGCATCTTTCTCACTAAGTCATAATTGTTTGTCCATATTTTTCCCACAATTGTGAGATCTTTGAGAACTTTTTGTCTATCATCATTGTAGCCCCAAAACTTAGTTTAAGACAAGCATTCAAATATGTTATGTGAATGGCTCAAAAACTATCAAAACTGGACCAGCTGTCAACAGGAGACTCTCCTGATAGGGCTCTGTGAAAATTTTTCAAGGAGTCTATCAAGTATGTTACCCCAGAGAAGTACATACTGCTTTCACCTTTTCTCACTTTCAAAATTTTGCACCCACTTCATCTACAGAGTTTGATTTACAAAACTTCAGGGACCAGCTGGGTGCGGTGGCTCACACCTGTAATCCCAGCGCTTTCGGAGGCTGAGGTGGAAGGATCAGTTGAGGTCGGGAGTTCGAGACCAGCCTGGCCAACATGGTGAAACCCCATCTCTACTAAAAATACAAAAATTAGCCAGGTGTAGTACGCGCCTGTAATCCCAGCTACCCGGGAGGCTAAGGCAGGAGAATTGCTTGAGCCCAGGAAGCAGAGGTTGCAGTAAGCTTGAGATCACACCACTGCACTCCAGCCTGGGCAACAGAGCAAGACTCCATCTCGGAAAGAAAAAAAAAAAACACTTCATGGACCAATAAAATGTTTCAAAGGGGAGCAGCGTAGTTTCCAACTAAGAACTTTAAAAAATCTAACAGTGTCATTGCACAAAAGAATTATCTTAATACATTAAGAGAAAATTAAAATGGACTTCAATCTCAGAAGAAAGGATAATTTCTTCCCAAGAAAAGACAGATGATACCCTTTCAGTGACATGAAGTATGATTTAAAAATTTTCAAATGCAGGCCAGGCGTGGTGGCTCACGCCTGTAATCCCGGCACTTTGGGAGGCCGAGGCGGGCGGATCACGTGAGGTCAGGAGTTCGAGACCAGCCTGGCCAACAAGGCAAAACCCCATCTCTACTAAAAATACAAAAATTAGCCAGGCGTGGTGGCACACGCCTATAATCCCAGGTACTCAGGAGGCTGAGGCAGGAGAAACACTTGAACTTTGGAGGTGGAGGTTGTAGTGAACCGAGATCGCGCCACTATACTCCAGCTGGGTGAAAGAGCAGGGCTCCATCTCAAAAATAAATAAATAAATATAAAAATTTTCAAATGGTACAAAATTATAAAATAACGGTTAACTGTTAACATACATACAACATTGTAAGCAATATTTTTCCAAAAAATTTTGTTAATCTGGGTATCTATATTTGATACTGAAACATGAAGTAGAGCTCAAATGTTCAATTTTTTTCACTTCATTTTCATCAATCTTTTGGAAAAATATATATATAAGTAAAAAATGGAGGTAACATGGTACCATTTCATTCCACTTGAAACATTCTGAAAGAACTAAGGTAAAACACTTCCCTCTCCTCCTTTCACCCTGACAGACACAGGATAAAACCAGTTTGCAGCAGAGCAGTTGTTCTCAAAATGTAGTACCCAGACTGGCAGTAATACATTCTGAGAACTAAATAGAAATACAAATTAGTTGGGCCCTGCCTCAAACCTGCTATATAGCAAACCATGAAGAAAGGGACTCAGCAATCTGTGTTTCGACAAGCCTTCCAGGTGATTGTGATGTGCGCTCAAGTTTGAGAAGCACTGGTATAAAGAATTCCAGGACTGGTGTCAGCTCGCATCTGGAAATGCACAGATATAACTCAGGGTCCTGAGGTCCAAGATAAGAGGTTAAGAATTAATCTTAATGAGCTTCTATCAATACTGAAAACTTCACTTGAATCAGAACTGCTATTTTACACACAGGAGGCTAAAAATCAGCTCTCTGTTCAGTGTACACAGCTTCCCATTCCTTCCAAGACTGTGAATGTGAATGAATATCTCCTTTAAGATACAAGTCTCTTATAAATAGATAATGCCCAGGGATGAGAATATGAGATCATGGTCTTTATTAATATCTTGCTCCTTATTCAGCCACATAATAGGAGACAGTTTTTCTCCCCATTTTCATAAACGTTTGTCTTCTGAAACTCAGGATTGTATGTTTACCAGTCTAATATGTCTGGACTGAGATACAATACTGGTGACCACTCCCCTCTACTGTGAGAGTTTATTAGCTTCCAAGGGCAGATCATCTGCTAGACTACTGGGCTTGGTAAGGAGCCAGCCAACTATCAAAAAGATTACATTCTCATTTTCTAACTACATTCAGGCTTCTTGAATGACTCTGACCCTGTCTGTAATATGGCATGTTCTTTCCTGAGTAAGTGGGCAAAAGAGTTTAGATGATCTTCAACTGGTTTCCAGTATATAAAAGAATACACCTCCATGGTTCAATCAGGAAAGAGGACTTCTACAGGATTCTAGTAAGGATCAATCTGGTTCTCAAATGTTACAGGTCTTCCTTTTGGTAAAGAAAAGATATTTAACAGTGGTGCACAGGCTTCTGTCTTAAAAATCCTCCTAGAGATATTCTTACCTCCATTACCCCTTTGTTTTCAAGATAAAGAGAGTTTCTGGGAAGATATTCACAACAGAAGAGGATATTTTTGAAGTGTTATTTTAAAGGAAGGTAAAATGGGTTTAGACAATTTATTTTGAAGCTAGGCCAATGTAAGAATTCTAATAAATTGAGGGCATGTCACATCTTTAACAGATGCTTGCCTGGGGAGAAAATGTCTGCAATATCTAAAATGTAGGGGATTATTAGTTAGATTTTTAAAACTCCTATAAATCAGGAATAAAATGACAGAAAATATTATCAAAACACTTTCATGAAATAACAGTTAATGAGTACAAAAGACATGTTCAACCTCACTAGAAATCAAAGAAAATAGACTCAAATACCTTTATATCTTTATGCACACACAACAGCAATGAGTGCCTAAGTCCACCAAGACATACACAAGAATGTTCCTATTAGTAAAAAACTGAAACCCAAAGGCTTATCTAAAATAAACAATAAATGATATACTGATACATTCACACAATGGAGTAGCATACGATGACGATGAAAAAGAACTACACCCAACATGAGTAAATAATACAGACGTAATCTTCACTGAAAGAAAACAGATATAAAAAAGTATATGTATGTAACATTCAAGAACAGGCAAATTTATCTATGGAGAAAGCAGTCAGTTAAGGTGTGTATCTTTGGGGGGTGTAATACTGAATGACAGTGAGCACACAGAAGAAACTAGGGTTCTGGAAATGAACTGTACATTAATTTGGGTAGTGGTT